>NC_000001.11:220684587-221309587 GCF_000001405.40 Homo sapiens | reverse complement strand
GGTCCTATTTTTTTAAGCTTTAACTTCTCTTGAGCAATGTAATATACTTACAAATTATAAAAAGTCAAAGTATATTACAAACTTTAGAATGAAAATGCCTATTTCAGGGACATAGTCAATTTTGTGGCCAGCAAATTAATTTGAAGAAAATATTGATAGCCACAGGAGACAGACAAATTCCTAGCCAGCAAAAACCGACCTTCAAGCCATGGACAGTTTAAAGCCTGAAATCCGAGCTGCCAGTTCTGGATGGAGTCCATGTCGAAAGTGAGAACTTCCATCCCCATCTTACTCACTCTCTCGTGATTGATTTATTCTGAATGATGCCTTTTAACCAATCAAATGGTGCTTTTTGCAAGACCACCCATGGACCAATCAGCATGCATTCCTCCATTCTAAGCCCATAAAAACCCTGGACTCAGTCTCACAGACGCCAACCCACTTTTGGATCCCCTCTTGCTGCTGAGAACTTTCCTTCTCTCACTCAATAAAATCCTCCTCTGCCTTACTCACTCCCAGTATCTGCATACCTTATTCCTCTTGGTCACAGGACAAGAACCCGGAACTCGCTGAGCCACAGGCAGTGGGAGTAAAAGAGCTGTAACTCTCCCTCTTGCTTGCCAAATGATGGGAGAGAAGAAGCCATTGGGTGCCGGCCCTCCCACTTGTTGAACTGTGGGAATGAAAGAGCTGTGATACTCCTGGCTGGCTCACCAGGCTGCCAGGCAGTGGGAACAAAAGAGCCTATAACAAGCCATAACACCCCCTCCCGCTGGCCCAACTACAGAAGCAAAAAAGCTGCTTGGCGCCATGGCCTCCTGCTTGTGAAACTACTGAAGCAAAAAAAGCCACAACAATGTAAGCAACATTGAGGAAGTGGGTACAACATGGCCACCCCTAAAATACCAGTTTGAGGAGTAAGGAGTTAAAAGGTAGAGGGCAGTTACTTCCACACATTTAGCCATGAGGATGGGGCAGTTCACTCTTCAGATTCAGAACCAAAGGGAATTTGTGTATTTTATCTTCTTTCTTGTTTTATGGTAAAGGAGCAGCTTAACAAAAGCCAGAAGACATATTGTCATAGAGAGAAGTGTACCAGCCTGCTAGGCAGAGTGATGGGTAGGGAACAGGAGTGGTTTCCCAGATATGTGCTGAGTGGTGCTGCTCCACTCCACAGTGCACCTCATAGCTAGCTCACTGTGGCTGCCTGGACTCTTGGCTTCACCTCCATGTGGCAAGGATGTTTAGGGGCTAGTGAACTATGCAGGCTAAACTCAGCTTCTGACAGAATTGTACATCAAGGATCACCTGAACTCATTGAAAAGCCTTTGTTTTAATTTTTGCAAGCTAAATGGGGTTTTATTTCTCATTGCATATGATCTCATCCAACAAATGCCATTTCATGTGGCAAGGATAGTCAAAAATTTTTCCAAAACCATTTTCATGTAACTGGACTTTACTGTGAGAAGAAAAGCATCATTCCTTCCCTTGGAAGCTTTTGCCACCCTTCCTTGCTTATTCTACTCTGTCACACATTTCCATATTTTTATAGGCCCACAAAGCACTTAAGGTGAAGTGATAAATAGATCCCTGTCCAAATGCGTTCCTTTCTATTCACATCTTCTTCCATCCATTCACCTCCAAGGGTGTCTTTCTACCAGCTGATTAATTTAGTGTTTTTTAGCACTATGGTGCAATGCAAAGCTGCCTAAACCAATGATGGATTTATCTACCCTCAGACTCATGCTAACAGGCTATTGTTCATTCCTGACCACAGTTATAAAGACAATGAGAAGAAATCTGAACATGACAGCAAGTTTCAAGGCCCACCTATAACAGCTACAGACATCTGCCTGTTTCTGAGTCTGACAGGAGTTATTTCCATCAGACCATAAAAAAGCTATTTGGATAGTCCTTCTTAGGACATGTGGATATTTTTGTGCACTGATTCTGTTATACATAAAATAGAACTGAACAATTGCACTTTAAAGAGATTTTGTAGTTATCTCAAATCTCTAAACCCTATGGTCTCCAAGCAAACATATGGACCAATGCCCAGGAGGAGTGAAAACAAACAGGACCTTCCTGTCCCTTGTTGACTCTCCTAGCTCCAGCCATAGTTTTAGCTTTCCAGATCATATAGTTAATCCCATAGGGTTTCATGTATAGAGTCCTTGTCAGTAGAAAGAATTGCTCTAAGTCACGAAGGTAACAGTATTTACAAGGGGGCATTACCTTTATTTACCTCCAGAGGGTTCAAATTGCCTTTACTTACATTTCTTCATTTGCTTCTCCTAACAGTGCTAGAAGAAGATTATTCTTACTATATCCATTTCATTTATGAGAAAGGAAGACAGAGTGTTTGCATGATCTGATTACATTACGCATCTTCTAAGAGGCACAACTTGGAACTCCAACCTGGAAATTCAAGTCTAATCAGGCATCTTTCAACTGCACCAATTATTCCATTGAGATTTAGTGAGCACTGGGGAGTGCGAGCACCCTACTGGGTGTCCCCAGTAAGACAGCTCTCAAGTTTTTACAACCCAGTGGCTCTCTACCTAAGACCTCAGAGAACGTTTTAGTATAACAACTAGTATATTCCTCTCACCTGGTAATTTTCATCTTTTCCCCATGACCTTGGGATCCTCACATCTCTGTGATTTCCTCAAAATCAAGCACTGTATCTTGTTCAACTTTGTATCTGCAGCACCCAGCCCAGTGCCTGGAACCCAGGAGATAAGGGATGAGTTGAACAAATAAACAACTATACTAATGTAACAGATACAAGCATTAACAGTGCTAAAATAGTGGCATGAACAAAGTATAATGGCAACAGAAAGGGGGAAGTGACTAAGTCATCCCAGGAACTTGGGAAGGCTTCATAAGAAAGGTGACATTTGAGCCAGACCTTGACCAATTAGAAGGATTTCATAAAGTAGAGAGGAGAAGGAAAGACATTCCAGGTGGGGACTGTATGGATATATCAAAATCTTGTTAAATAAGGCGCTGCACGGCCTGACTGAAAAGTAGCACAGGGCAGCTAAAGGATCTGGGCTTAAAGAGGAGGCACAGATTATGACAGTAAATGAAATCAATTAAATGAATTAAATTTAATTAAAGTACTTAAATTACCGAAAATAAACTGTTTGAATTATTTTCATTTAAATTAATTACAATTGATTAATTAATTATTTAAATAAGAGGTCCTATCTCAAACTATAAGCTCCAAAGAATGTTGTTTTAAGCAAGACAGTTATTAAGAGGAAAATCCTCCACTCTTTTTTTACTGATAAAAAATACGTGTACGTATTTACAGGGTACATGTGATATTTTGTTACATGCATAGAAATCCCTACCTTTAAAGTGGGCATGGCTCACCTTGGTGCCTTCTCCCTGGGCTCCACCCTGTCCCTGCCTGGGAGGAGCTGGCCTGGCCCTCCAGGTTGGTGCAGCAAGCCCAGCCACACCTGGCATGCATTCCGGGTGCAGCCTGCAGCCGCACCTCCAGGACAGGCTGGTGTCTGAGCTGCAGTGCCTTTAGGGATCCCCAAGGCCCCCTCAATCAATAATCCCCAGGGTTTTTCATGAGGGTTGGATTATGAGGATTTGGAAGGGGGACGATTAAGCAGTACTTCAAAGAGGTGCTCGGGCCACACCTGCAGCATTTATGAAGATCTATTAATAGAAAGCACACAATTTAGCACTAATCCCTAATTCATAGAAAATCAATGATTTATGCCTTTGGTCCCAAAAGGCACTGAGAACTTTGGTTCATAGGCTGCCTGGAGGCAGGGTGTGCTGGCCCCACATCTGGTCAAGGCTGACCTGGGTCACCCCAGGGTGGTGTGGGACCCTTTAGGCCACACCAGTAAACGGAAAACAATTCTGCAGACCCACAGTCAATCCTTCCAGGACCTAATCTTTTCTTTTTTTTCTTTAATACTCAGACGTCAACCGATCTGGTACAGGACCCAGGTAAATAGATTGAGCCCTGGCAAGAACAGGACTGATGCCAGTTTGCTGGGAACTTGCTGTCATGCCAAGGATCTGTCCCTAGCAAGCTCCTCTCATCTTCCTCTTTCTCACCTGGACCTCCATTTTGACATTTGGAGAATGGTGACAGTCACATTAACAAACATCAGACTACCCTGTGGGTGGCTTGGGAATTCTGGAATCTCTCTGGGTCATATTTGATCCTAAAGGTTTATGTATTTGAATTTCTCATTAAAAGAATCATGGAGCAGATCCATTAATTAATGTCTTAGTGCACCTCAGAGAGCCAAAGGCCAGCTGCCTTTGGGGGATACTTTTGCTGAATACACAAAAAGAGAAAAACATGTTTGAGTCACAGAAGGAAGAATTTAGATTATATGAAACCAAAAAGAAAATTCCACAAATAGCAAAGACAGTTAAATAATCTTTTTTCATTCCTTAAGAAAGAGACATTCAACAGACAGTGAGAACATAGGATGGATATTCTCTTATCAGAGAATTCAAGGCAAGATTGTCCCATATTTATGGTTTTATGAAAACCAGGGTGCAAAAGACCAGATGATGTATTTTCACTGATAACCCATTCTTCCATTTATAAATGAACAACTATGTATAGGCATTTTTATTATTAAAAGGCTTCATATCATTTTTTTCCCAGCTTAAATATAAATATATTGGCTACCTGATACTACTTGTGTCAAATCTTTCAATTATCTTCATGCATATCTTAGCTCAGCCCCTAGGTAACACCTCTGCTTTGTGAACAGGAATCTGATACACAGAACCAAAACTTTAACACATCATAATTTACGGGATGATTAAAATCACTGGAAAGAAATTTGCACCATCCCAGAGTTCACCACAGGGTTCCCTTCCATGGACTGAGGTAAATGTTTATAGAGCACTGAGCTGGAAGGAGGAGGGAATGCAGAAGACTGGGGAGCAGGGGTGGGGGTGCAAGCAGAACCACCTCCCCACCATCCCCAACATGGTGAAGAGCTGCCAGCATTGAGAATAGCATGTCTCAGGATGGAATGCACTTAATGGGAAAGAAGAAATCAGACTCAACCACATTATTTCCCTATACACATCTTTTCTCTATTATAAATATATGTAGATTGTTTTTTAAAAAATGGCAAATATGTAAAAGTATAAAGAAGAAAATAAAACCACTAATTCTACTATCTGGGATTAACCATAGTAAATATTTTGGTGTATTTCTTTCTAGTATTGTTTTTCTATACTTACCCATTCAGAGATAGATGATATGGAGATAAGTACAAAACCCTGTGTTGTTAAGCAAAGCAGGGGTAACACTCTGTGTCATTTTACATTGTGCCTTTTCTCTTGATACTATGTCGTGAAGACTTTCCTATGCTATTGAATATCATTTTAAAATATAGATTTTCATGCCTTTAAAACTGTGGTTTTAACTTATTCAAATATTTCTCCCTTTTTCTGAAGTTTATTATTAATATTTTACTATTTTAAATGTCACAGGCATGAACAACCTTGTTTAGCCTTGAGAGATAGTAAAATGTGGTGTTAAGAACACATGCTCTGGCATCAGACTGCCTGAGTTTGAATCCCAGCTCTACCACTAGCTGTGTGCCTTTGGGCAAATTACTTAACCTCTCTGCACCTCAGTTTTATCACCCACAAAAAGAGAGTTCCCTTAAAATTATTTTTAATGAGCTAATTCACCTTTACAGGTGCTTAGAACCTTCAGAAAAGACATCATATGATGTGTCACATTATGACATCATGTCACATTATGATACATCATAAGAGCTACACAATTATTGATTGTTGCTATTATAGTGAGGCAATCTTACTCAATTTTTTTCTAATTTATCCTGGATTCACCCTAGCAATGCACTCACACTGGTATTGCAGTTAAGAGTACTAGCCATTGCCCAGCCTCCACACCGGGAGCAGCTGTGGATACTGGAATGGTGGTACTCAAGGGGCATGTTTACCTGGACTCCCCTTGCTTCACAATGACTCTGTCATCCTCTCAGTGCTTAGGGGCTTCATCATTGCAAATATCACCCAAGACAGTCAGTTCTTTCTTGCTTCCCTCTCCCCATCCTGCCCTTTACGTCCATGCCCCCACCCCCACACATGCCTCGCCTTCCCCCCACCCCACCCCACTCACCCTGAGACAACTATCAATCCCAGGTGGATTTAGAGGAATGGAGTCAATCCTGGGTCCAAAGACCTGTCTTTGGAGTACTTTTGGCCGTAACATCCAAGGATTTGTTTGTTCCTTTCTTTCTCTGTGTTTCTTTTGTTCTCTGCAAGATTATAATTCATGCTTTAGGCTGCATTCTCTTTGAGGGGCACTATCCTCCTTTTATTGAAGGGATTGCAGGGATAAGAGAAAAAAGGTACTATATTTGCATATATACAGGAAATTAGGAGCACATTCTCTCTGTGTGTCCTCTCTCCCCTCCCCGACTTTTATTCTTAGAGCCACAATTTGGCAAACAGCTCACCTCAGGATTTCTGACATTAATGAGGTAGCAAGGAATGGAGAATTGCCTGCTGAGAGACAAGCTTCAGGAAGATTGTTCAGAGCCTCTTGCTCAGCAGAATTGATAAGATTAAGCCAGTCATAGACCAGTAAACAAACTGCATGGGAAAGACCAGAAATTTTTTTTGTGTGTGATTTTGTTCCAAGAAATGTAACTTTTGTACTCTGTGTGTTGGACACATTGAGTTATATGGAAGAGGACTAGGTCAGAAAGCAAACCAAGGGACTGTGTTTCTGTTTGAAAATCTGCAGCCTGGGGTTGGCTTTTATAATCTTGTAGAATAAAACTCACAGGAAAGGAGGCTCCTGAAATAGTTCTTGCTGAGATCACTCTTTCCCTGTTGCACTCTCTCTTCCTTCACCTTCCATTGTGTTCCCCCACACCCTTCTGTAGGCCTAAGGCTAAATTCTCAGCTGACCCTAATTCAAGCAGGTATTTTTTATAGGGTGATTCTACACTATGGGCACTCATTTCTGTCTGTTGTCCATCATTCTAAATAATGTGCCAAAATGAGCCAGCAAGACTGAACCAGTTTTGTGTTTATTTGCTTACTGATAAGGGAGATCACATTTTCTCACAAAGAGAGAGTGTGTGAATATCTGTGGAGCAGCAGAAGGACCATATACAAGCACCGAGTCTGCCCACAATGTGGTAAGAGGAAGCCACTGTGCCTTGATGTACTCATCTGTAAAATAGAAATCCTACCAGCCTTGCTCACTGCAAAGTATCACTCCTGTAATAAAGGAGATAATGTTTATATAAAGCACTTTATCAACTAGAAAGAGGTATCCAACGGAACATACTGAATGTTCCTGAAGTGTTTTTTTCTGTTTTCTTTTAGTAGTTTTATAGTTTTGGGTCTTATATTTAAGTCTTTAATCCATCTTGAGCTAATTTTTGTATAGGGTGAGAGGTAAGGTTATAGTTTCATTTTTCTGCATGTGGATATCCAATATTCCCAGCACCAGTTTTCTTACCTTGTTGTATGTTCTTGACATCTTTGAAAATCAGTTGGTTGTAGATACCTGAATTTATTTCTGGGTTCTCTATTCTATTCCATTCCATTGATCTGTTTGTTTTTATAGAAATACCATGCTTTTTTGACTATAATAGCCTTATAGCATAATTTTACGACAGGTAGTGTGATGCTGGAGATTATTTCTTAATATATATTTTTTCTCTTCTCAGAACTCTCTCACTTTCTCCTGTTCTATTTGTTTTTCTTGGTGTCTTTCATGATGGTTGTTTTCTTTACTGTTTTGTGATTTGTGTCTGTTCATTATCTGAAATAATTTTTTTAAAATCCAATTCATTTAAACAATACAAGAAAGAGGGAAAAGGGAGTGCAAAGAAGACAATTCAAGTTCAAATACAAAATATAATGCTATGTATAAACCCAAATAAATGAGTAATTATATTAAATGTAAATGGGATAAATACTCCAAATGAAAGCCTAAACTTTTAGACTAGATGAGAAAAAAAGGGCTATGTTTTGTTTACAAACTATACATTTTAAATATAAGGGCAGAAAATAGAAAGACTGAAATTCAAACACTAAGAATTTAGACTTTAGGTAAGAAATATTTGGAACCTCTATAGCATAGACTTTTTTCTGTGGGCAAAATGACAATGACATTACCTAATTCAGTAAATACCATTGCTGGCCAAAAAGAATTAAATTCACAGAAAAGAAATTGATCATTTTTTGCCCCCTCTACCAATCTTAGGTAAATAAAGTTTTTATTGGTTCTAACCAACCCTCATCCCTAGTCCTTTATTTGTATATTGAAGTATTTAGGTGCAAATGTTTACTTGTACTGACTTTTGCGTGAAAGTTGCAGACTTTTCGGTCGGGTGCAGTGGTTTATGCCTGTAATCCCAGCACTTTGGGAGGCTGAGGCGGGTGGATCATGAGGTCAAGAGATCGAGACCATCCTGGTCAACATGGTGAAACCCCTTCTCTACTAAAAATACAAAAATTAGCTGGGTGTGGTGGCACATGCCTGTAGTCCCAGCTACTCAGGAGGCTGAGGCAGGGGAATTGCTTGAACCTGGGAAGGAGAGGTTGCAGTGAATTGAGTTCACGCCACTGCACTCCAGCCTGGCAACAAAGCGAGATTCCAGAAAAAAAAGAAAAAAAGAAAACAAAAAGCCACAAAGAATTTGTGGCTAAGATCTCAAAAGGACAGGCAACAAATACAAAAACAGACAAATGGGACGTATTATACTAAAAATCTTTTGCTCCACAAAGAAAATAATCAACAAAATGAAGAGACCATCTGTTGAAAGGAAGAAAATGTTTGCAAACTATTTATCTGACAAAAACGTATATGCAGATTATATAAAGAAGTCAAGCAATTCAACACTAAAAAAAATCCCATTAAAAAGTAGGCAAAGGACAGGAACAGACATTTCCCAAAAGAAGACATAAAAATGGCCAACGAGTGTATGAAAAAAGGCTCAACAACACTAGTCATCAGGGAAATGCAAATCAAAACCACGATGAAATATCATCTTACCCCGATTATAATGGCTATCATTAAAAAGAAAAAGAATAACAGATGATGGTGAGGATGTGGAGAAAACGGAACCCTTATACACTATTGGTGAGAATGTAAATTAGCATAGCAACTATGGAAAACATTATGAAGATTTCTCAAAAAATGAAAATAAAACTACATATAATCTAGCAATCCTACTAAGGTATTTATGCAAAGGAAAACAAATCATTGTATCAAAAATATACCTGCACTTACATGTTTATTGAAGCACTATTCACAATAGCAAAGATATTAGAATCAACTTAAGGGTCCATCAACAGGTGAACAAATAAAGAAAATGTGGTTACACAGTGGAGTACTATTCAGTAATAAAGTAAAATGAAATGAAGTCATTTGCAGCAACATGGATGGAACTGGAGGTCATTAGGTGAAGCGAAATAAGCCTAGCACAGAAAGATGAATACTGCATGTTCTCCCTTACATGCGGGAGATAAAAAGTTGGTCTCATAAAGGTATAGAGTAGAATGGTAGGTAGCAGAGCCTGGGAAGGGTGGGTAGGTATGTGGGCAGGGGGAATGAAGAGAGGTGGGTTAACAGGTACAAACATACAGTTAGATAAAAAGTATAAGTTGTATTGTTCAACAGCAGTGTAGAGGGACTATAGGTATCGACAATGTATTGCATATTTCAGAGTAGCTGGATGAGAGGACTTGAACTGTTCCCAGTACATAGAAATGAGAAATACTCAAAGTAATGGCTACCCCAAATACCCTGACTTGATCATTATGCATACTATGCATGTAACAAACTATGACATGTACCCTATAAATATTTAAAAGATTATCTCAATTAAATAAAAGAAATCATCTCTAATTGGTTATTCAGAGAGTTCTGAGATGGTAGTGCATCCATTAAACAAGATTAAAATGATTTAAAATATATCCTAGAATTTAAACATGTGGTTACTATAAATTAAGAAATTTTGAAGTTTAGATATGGCATAAAGTCATAGAAAGATTTCATAACAATGTAAATGTGCCACAGAACTATAGACTTACAATGATAAATTACGGTATGTGTCTTTTACAAAAATAAAAAATTAAATAGAAAAGAGAAAAGACACAGGGGAATCAACTCAGGGTGCAGAAATTAGTAAATAAAAAAAGGATGTTTCTTCATTTCTGAAAAAATGGCAAACTAGCATGGATTCCTGCCTGTCCCTCTCCAAATCAACAGGGTGAAAACCACGGAAGTAAAATGGGAGCATGGCTCTCAGGAAACTTAAACAAACACACAAAATAGGAAGCTCTAAAGAAAACTATGGGGAGTAACAAAGCCTATCAATTGGTGTGTGTGGTACACAGGAGTAGGTGGCTACAGCCTTGAATGGAGAGTTGCATATAGTAGCTGTGAGGGTTATTTTCAAAAGGGTTTTCAAGTCCTCCTTTTGCCTAGGAGACTCATTGGATGCCTTGTAGCTTCAAAATCAGCAATGACAGACCTGACCACTTGTCAAGGTACTATCAGGGTAGTATAAAAGCTTTGCTAGGTGATGAGCTGATGAAAACAGATGATGCCTTACTCTCTACCCTTGAGCATTCACCCCTATACCTCTTTCTCATCTGAATCGCTAGCCTTGGTAAAGTATCAAGTCACTGTATGAATGACTAAAAATAAAACAAGGAACAGAGGATTAGTTTGGCGGACTAAGAGGAAACAAATGGAGGTGGTTGGTAATGGGTTCACAGTGCCAAGAGCTCTCCAAACTGGATCTCATCACCTTCCCTCTCTTTTAATTTACAGGGAGAAAGAAACATACCAAGAATTAACCCTCAGTCCTTCTCTGAAGCATCCTACTTGATTGAGCAGGCAACACACTCTGGGGAACAGGCTTTTGGACCGATATATTTATTTACCTAAGGAATGCACTCACTAGGAAATAAAAACAACCAACCAAAGAACAGATAACTCGTGAAACAGAATAAGGATTGACACAGCAATAATGTAAATATGAATGCAATAAAATAATTCAAGAGATAAAGTAAGATCTTAATAATATAAATAAGGGACAAAAGGTCATAACAAAAACCAGGTGGAAATGATAAAGTTTAAAAAAATGTAATCAGTGAAATAAGGAATCCAATAGAAGGAATAAACAACAGAATGGGTAAAGCTTTGGGATTAATAGATATTCAGGTGATCAGATTGAAAAGCTATTTCAGAAGGTAATAAGAATGGAATGAAAAACATAAAAGAAAGGCTAGGCCGGGTGCGGTGGCTCACGCCTGTAATCCCAGTACTTTGAGAGGCCGAGGTGGACGGATCACGAGGTCAGGAGATCGAGACCATCCTGGCTAACGTGGTGAAACCCCGTCTCTACTAAAAATACAAAAATTAGCTGGGTGTGGTGGCAGGTGCCTGTAGTCCCAGCTACTCAACTCAGGAGACTGAGGCAGGAGAATGGCGTGAACCCGGGAGGCAGAGCTTGCAGTGAGCCGAGATCGCGCCACTGCGCTCCAGCCTGGGCGACAGAGTGAGACTCTGTCTCAAAAAAAAAAAAAAAAAAAGAAAGAAAGAAAGAAAAGAAAAGAAAAGAAAATAGAAGAATAGAAGAAAGGCTAAAAGATGTGGAGGATATAAGCAGAAGTATCAGGGTACAGATAATGAGAGTGCCAAAATATAAAAAATAAAGAGGGGAGAAATTCTTATATTTCATTATAATGAAATATAAGAATATAAAAGATAGACTATTCAAAATGTTTCAAAGATTAAGAGAAAATAATTTACACAGGAAAAAGAATGTAATTCATATTACTTGGCACCAACATGGATGCAAGAAATAGATAACTTTTTTAAGGAAAAAACCTAGAATCTTAAATTTTACATTCAGCAATATTGTCATTTAAAAATGAGGATGTAATTAAAAATATTCTCAGGCATATGGGCTTTAGAAAAGTTTTTATATAAATTCTCACTTTCAAAGAAATTACTAAAGAAAATATGCAAATAAAAATAAAAAGATAAATCAGGAGGATGCTGTAAGAGATATGAGAATTAAAGGTCACTAAATGGCTTATCTAAACTACAAAATTGAGAGCCAGAGAGAGGAAGAAAATTCATAACAGTTAAAACTAACATTTTAAACAAATTACTATCATGAGGTGAGCATTGGGGAAGAGTTTTTGCATGGTTGGTAAGACATGCCAAGATATTTACATTGTTAGGTATAGATATAGATATAGATGAACTTAAGAAATCTATAGAGAAAATAAACATGGGAATGGATCTTGAGTTAAGAATACTCATTTTTAAAAAAAGAAAAGAACACAGTATATAACTTTTAAACAAGAAGAATAAAATTTAGTAGATTGAATTGAAAGCAGGAATGTAATTCTTTTAAAAAATTAAAGTGCAATAAATGGAAAATATGAAATTTGATGGCAGAAATAGTCCCAATGATATCAATAACTAAGTAAAAAAAGAGATCCTCATACTGGCTAAAATTAAGCAAATCTAACAATTTATGGCTACAAAAGACATGGTTCAAACAAAAGAATATAAAAATGGTAGAAATAAAAGAATGGAAAAAGATGTACTAGCCACAAATAAGACAAAAATAAAAGTAACAAACTTTATAAACTTTAAAAGAAAATGTAGGGCAAGATATCATAAAGAACAAAGAAGAATGTTATACTCAGTAACAAAACAGTAGAAAAAGATGACACAATTAATATTAACATGTGTAGACCTAAGACATAGTGCCAACATGCGAGCATTAACAACTATCTGAATTGTAACTGGAGATTTTAACACGTCTCCCAGAAATTGACGGCTCCAGAAGACAAAAAATGAGCAGACACGTGGGACACCTACAAGAAACCACCTTGAACTCATATCTACACACACACACACACACACACACACACATATATATTCAAATCACTATATATATACATACTATCTGTATACATAAAACTCAACTCCCAATAAACAGGAATCATATATTTTTATAGCACACATGGGATATTTACAAAAATATATCATGTACTAAAACAAATGAATATTCAATTTTATCCCAAAGAACAAGAATCATACAGACTATATTTTAAGACCATAATACAATAAAATAAACAATAACTTTAAAAACAGCCCATATGCATGGCAAGCATATAACATATTACTAAATAATTCTTGAGATAGGAAGAAAATCACAAGCTGTTTCAGTCAGAATAAACTAGGCTGTGTTGAGATAAAAAGTACCTGCCAAATCTCAGTTGCTTGAAAGAACAAACTTTTGATTTTTATTCATGTTATAACATAGCCATCATGGGCTGACAAGGGTCTCCTCTCTAAGTCATCTTCACCTAGGGAGCCAGGTTGAGGGAGGTTTCATCTTCCGAATTCCTCAATTGCTATGGCAGGGTACAAAGATCATGGTGACTTAAACTCACCATTAATATTTCTGTCCAGAACTGATGTCAATTCCTCTCATACTTCACACAGCCAAAAGAAATCACATGTCTATATCTAACTTCAAAAGATGTGAAGAAATGCAATTCTACCATGAACTCAGAAAGGAGACAGCCAGATATATTTGATGAAAAGCAGTAATAATTACCACATTATAGAAATTATGCTTAGAACAGAAATGTACACTTAGAATTTGTAACACTTAGAACTAATCAACATTGAGGACACTATAATATGGCAAAAGCTGTACAGCTTGTTTTATGAAGAAAGTCCTTGTTTCAACACTGAATGAAGGAAATCAGAAAGAATACCATAAGCCAATTTCACTCTGAACACAGATATAAAAATCTTAAAGTATTAAATAACCAAACCCAGTGGTATTTTTGGTTTTTATTTTTTATTTTTTTTAATTTTATGTATGCATAATAATTGTACATATTTATGGTGTACATGTGATATTTTGATACAAGTATATAATGTGTAATGATCACACCAGCATAATGAGATTATCCCTCACCTCAAACATTTATCATTTCTTTCTGTGTGTTTGTGTGTGTGTGTGTGTATATATATATATCCACACACACATATTTTATTTTATTTTTTTGTCAGAGTCTGGCTGTCACCCAGGCTGAACAGTGGCACAATCTTGGCTCACTGCAACTTCTGCCTCCCAGGTGCAAGTGATTCTCCTGCCTCAGCCTCCCGAGTAGCTGGGATTACAGGCACGTGCCACCACACTGAGCTAATTTTCTTATATTTTTAGTAGAGTCGGGGTTTAACCATGTTGGCCAGGCTGGTCTCAAATACCTGACCTCAAGTGATCCGCCTGCCTCAGCATCCCAAAGTGCTGGGATTGCAGGTGTGAGTCACTGTGCCTGGCCCCTTCGTGTATATATTTTTAAATTACTTTAGTATTAAGTAGAATTTATCTCATGCAGGCAAGGATAGGTCAGTGACAAAAAGTCAATCAACACAATTTACCATATTAAGAGATTAGGAAGAAAATTCATATGGTCAGGTCAATTGGTTCAGAAAAAGTATTAAACAAACTTTAATGCAAATTTATGATTAAAAAATTGACAAGTTAGGAACAGAAATAAAATTTCTTATATTTGTAAAAGTTATATAATAGAAATTTAGTAAAAATGTTATTTTATATAGAAACTTTAGACACATTTGATCAGGGACAAGAATAGAATGACAAATATTGCTACTATTATCAGACATTTGTTATTAGCTAAATATCTAATGTTACCACTGGAAAATTCTGTAATAAAATAAAAAAGAAATAAAAAGTATTGAGATTGGAAGGGAAGAGATGGAACAGTCATAAGTTGCAGTCATTATTTGCAGAAGGGTTAACTTCATGGCTGGGCCACCTTTGCAGTGACACAGGGCCCTGAGCTCAGAAGGGCTTCATGCTTGGTTTGATGCTCTGTTGTAGCCATTCTGGATTTCTTCATAATTTTATTTTCTAATTTTTGTTTTGCAAATGAAGTCTGATGGGATAATTGAGCATGTGCATCATGAGTAGAAGAGAAACATGCAATAAGTTGTCTGCTATTCCTTGCCTTGCCATTTACATATAGAGGTCACAATGCCTCATGAGTGCAGTATGTGGTAGGCCCATGATGCAACTAAGTTGAGCAATACTCAAAGCAAGTGTAAAGGTAAGCGTATTATGTCTATGACTAAGTAGGGTCCTGACAGCCTGGAAAGAACATGCTATTTTGGTTCAAACCAGAACTTTCTTCTAATGCAGAAAGACGGCAGTGACATTCTAAGAAAAATGAATGACCAAGAAGACCTACCATATTCTTTCTCACTCATGTTTCTTCTCTGTATTAGCCAACCACTTATGCTGATTATTATGATATAGAAGAAAAGGGAAAGATAGGATAACCCAAAATTCCTTTCCTTTCAGTCTTTCCTTACTCATCAGTAAACAGAAGGTAGAGTATTGGTAGGATGCTCAGCACAAATCAAAAAGAGAAACACAAACAGTGGATGTTTTCTTGTGGACCATTTCCACTGTTCTGGTAAATACAGGCATTATTACCCTGAATTGTATAACTCTGAATTCAAGTTAAATACTCTTTTATTTGCATTTAAAACTGGCATTGCGCAGTACTAAAGATAAATAGTAAAATTTATACAAATAAATTAACATTTTAATTTTACTTTCTTAGAAGAACATTTAATAGCAAATATGAAATATCATGACACATTAAGAGAGAGCCTATTGAACTTTTTATTTTAGTACCTTTAACAGCTCTTATCTATTTCCTGCTTTCTGAACAAGGATCCCTGAATTTGCATTTTACCCTAGCCCTGCAAGTTATATAGCTGGTCTTACTTGTAGATGATATAACCATCTCCACAGGAGAAAAATACAAAATTAATAGCCAAATTCTTAGAAGTAATCAAATAATTTGGGATAGAAAATCTGTCTTTTAAAATAGATATGTTTCCAAATTATAATCAATTAAAAATATATCTTAGAAAATACAAGAATCTACAAAAACTAATAAAATTCAAGATATAACTTAACCAAAAGTGTACAAAGCCTCTACAAAAACTAATGAAATTCAAGATATAACTTAACCAAAAGTGCACAAAGCCTCTAGAGAAAATTTGAATACTCTAATAAAGGCTTTAAAAAAATCTCTTTAAATAGATGGTCCAAGTTCTTGGGTGAACAGACAGATATTACAAAGGTACCAATTCTTCCCCTAATTAATCTACTAATTTAACACAATTCTCATCACAATCTCTGCTGAAGTTTTCTAAAGGTCCTTAATACATTTATTCTAAAATTTTATGTGATTAGCAAAGGCAACTTAGAAGAGAAAAAGGGGAGAAATAGCCAAAGTATAAAACACACAGGTGCTTGCACCTACATATGAAGTAGCATCGTTTGTCTGGGGTAAATACCCAATATTCGTTGTCTCACAGCCACAGAAAACTAGGACCCAGACACACCAGAGTGAGGTTAAGAGCGGAAGTTTAACAGGGGAAAAGAAGAGCTCTCTGCACAGAGAGGGGTCCTGGAGAAAACGGATTGCTGCTTCTGTGTTGAAACACAGGAGGCTTTCTAGATGAGCTTGAGGAGGCGGTGTCTGATTTTCACAGGGCATGAAAGATTGGTGGGACCAGGTGTGTCATTTGCATAGCGTGTGAAGAACTGGTTAAGACTAGGTTTGTCATTTGCATAGCGTGTGAAGAAACTGGCTGCCCCATCCTAATCTTTTATTATGCAGATAGGTTCTTTACCTGGCCGATGCCATGTTGCCTGCTTTTTTTACTGTACGCGTGGTGACAAAGAAAAGGGAAGATGAAGCCTCCAAGTTGAACATGCCTGGCCCTCAGGTAGCCCTTTTTTATTGGCACGGCTGCCAGCATTCACCTGTGCAAACTTCCAGGTGCTTATCTATGTCTGCAGCTCAATTTTTCAGGCCACTCTTCGTTTGAAAAAACATGATTTGGGGACTGCTTTTTATTAAAATGGAAGCCTTGCCAAGGACTCCTTTATCCTCGCTATCTGCCTAAAAATTTCTTTCTAGCCCTTGTAACACACATACACACACACACACCCCCATGCACACACACACAGATCACTGGAATTGAATGGAGAGCTCAGGGAGAGATCTATATAAAACCTAATACATGATTAGAATGGCACCATGAAACAGTAAGGAATGAATAGGCTCCTTAGTAAATGATTTCAGGAAAACTCACTCGCTGTGTGAGGGGAAAAAAATACTTAACCTCTACAAAACATTTTATACAAATGTAGACTCCAGAAAGATTCAAAACTTAAATGTAAAAAGTAAAACAATTATACTCATAGGAGATGATATAGAAACAGAACCGTCTTCATGGGTGTGGGACACCACAGAGGCCAATGCTTAGAAAGGGTCAGTGTGTGGTTGAATGCCCTACTTGTTGTTGTCATCTTGAAATTCTTAATACTTTTTTAAACAAAGGGCCCCACACTTTCATTTTGCACTGGGTTGGCAATTTATGTAGCCAGTCCTATGTAGAAATATATCTTTCTACATAGGGATGGTGATGGACTTTTTTTTAAAAGCCCAAATTATAAGGCAAAAATTGATTTCTACCTTTAAAGAATAACATGGATAAAGTAATCAGACATCATAGCAGATTGGGAGAAGTTATTTGTAAGGCCCACTACTGACAAGATATGAATATTGAGAAGGTATAAGGTAAAAGGTAGCCACTTGATTAAGTTTTGATTAAATTTTCCAAACTTTCAACTTTATGGGAACAGTAATTCTGTTTTACATTATTGTCTGTCATTGCTTTACATATTATTAAATTACCTAATTTAAATAACAATTACAACAGACACAAACATGTTTGCGAATAAACACAAACACCTCTTAGGAAGCATTGAATTCATTTGGTGACAGCAGCAGTGAGAGGGCTTTCTGCAGTGTGACCTCCTACATGGGAGGCCATCATGTCTGGAGCTTCACAAGGTATGTTTTACAGATAAACTAGTGTGTCAGACAATCCCATGAATCAGTTAAATAGAAGTAATTTAACACGCTTTAAATTATATATCAAAAAACTTCTTAGATTTTTAAAAATCTTGTGCTGGTTCCCAAAACGTCTCCCTAGAGAACTTGAGTTGTTTTCAATTTTCAAAACGAATGCTGACTTTCAGGATGATTCTTTTAGGCTCTAAGCCCTATAGTCAGTGTCAATTTGTGTGCCTTCTAGGGAGCATAAAAGCCCACAGAAACATCTGATGATTCATTTGAACTGTTTGGCTGCAATAAAACATGCACTTAAAACTAACTATTAATTTATTTATTCAATAACACTCCTGCTGTATGAGCTATGCTGCGTAAGAATGTGTCTATCAAATCGCAATTATGCAAAAGAAAATTGTGCATTGCCTAGGAGTAGTTTTTCTTCCTTAGAAAAGGGTACTTTTAACATGTCACAAAAACAGGTAATTACTTTGGTTAAAAAGTATCCACAAGTCTCATTTGAAAGTTATGCTTGAAATAAGCATGAAAAAAACAGGTAATTACTTGGGCTAAAAAGTACGCACAAGTCTCATTTGAAAGTTATGCTTGAAATAAGCAAGCTTTGTGGAATTACTCAATGATTTTCTCTTTCTTCAGTCAACAAGTTGTCTTTCTATAGACGTCATTTTGGTGACCTCTCATGCATTGTCCCATTTTTACTGTCAATGGAAAACTAAAATGTTCCGTAAATAGTGAAACTAAAAGTTCACTGTTTCATTTGATGTTTGCAGTAGTTCCCTGGTAGATATCTTTCATCAAACTAAAGATGATCTTTTCCTAATTTTTTATGAATATCTATGAAGCGGGCTTTGGGGTCTCTATCAAAATTGTCATGCAGTTGTTTCTCTTTAAATCTAAAAATGCAAAACATTGCATTAATAGATTACCTCTATGGAGACATTCCTGTATGATGTATTATTTTTTGTATGCCACTGGATTTTACTTGCATATATTTATTAAGGATTTTTATGTCTACTGTCATAAATGAGATTGATCTACAGCTTTTGATACTCTGTTCAACTTTAGTGTCAAGATTATGGTAGTCTTGAAAAATGAGTTGAAAATGTTTTATATTTTTCTGTTCTCTGAAAAAGTTTAAATAACAGAGAAATTGCATGTTTCTTGAAATTTGACAGAATTTCTCTAGAACTTTTCTATATAGTTAGTCATGTCTTCTACAATCATTTCAACTTCTTCTATGACTATTGTATTTTTCAGGTTATACACATCTGGAGTCAGTTTTCATTCTTTATATATTTTTAGAAAGTCATCAACTTCATCTATTTCCAGATTCAGTAATATAAAAGCAATAAGCATATTCTTGAATTTTAAAATCCTTTTGTAGCTGTGGTTATTTTTTCTTTGCTCATTTATAATATGCTTAGTTGGGGGTGGTTAGCTTTAAATAGCTAAATATTTATCAATTTTATTGATTTTCTTTAATAAAATAGCTTTTTATTTAATTAAAGATTATGTTTTTTATTCATTTTGTAGTTTTATATTTCATTATTTTCTGTTTTTATATTTTTTAACTCTATATGTTTGTTTTTTTATTTTCAATGGAACCCAATTTGTTTTCATTTTTTCTTGTTTTCTAAAACACAGTGCTTAAATAATACATAGCCATTGGAATACTGGCTTACATTTAAGTACTTTCATGTATTTTGTAAATGGTAATTTCATTTGCATTTATCTCTAAATACTTTGTAATTCTAATATGATTTCTTCCTTAACCTTAGTTTTAGTTAGAACAGTATAAGTTTCCAAATGGATACAATATTTGGCTATATGTTTTTCTAATATCTACTTTTATTGCATTATAATCAGAAAATACCCACCTATTGATTTGAATTTATAGAATGTATTAGTTTTCTTCATGGCTAACGTAGGGCTAATTCTTAACTATTCTTTGTATATTTGAAAAAAATGTGTTTTTCTTGTTGGTTAACAATGTATGTACATATATATTCAACCAACATTATTAATTCAGTTTTTAAATGATGTCCTTTGCTATTACTGTTTATCAATTTCTGAAGGACAGTATTAAAGCAACTCATTATCATAGCATTTCTGGATGTCTCCTTGTATTACTAAGAGCTTTTTTTTATCTCTCTGGATGCCATTTTTTGTGGATTGCTCTTGACGCAGGGTCTTTGCATGGTGTACACATTGCATAAAGAAAATAAATCATGCTGTTTACTTTGCCTAGAACATCTTCCTGCCCATCCTGCCCCGTACAGTCATATGACTTGCTCACTCAATTCAGGTGACCATCTCAGAAAGGCATTTCTTACTACCCTACTAAGAGAGAAACCCATCATTCTCACTCTCCTTCATCTGCTTATTATTCATAGCTCTCATCACTGCCAATTATATTTATAAATCCATAAATTTATTATCTACTCTCATTGGAATTAAGCTCCTCGAAGGCAGGGAATGTGTTTGCCTAGATAAGTATTATAGTTCCAGCACTTTTACAATGCCTGGCTCATTGTAAATGTTCAGAAAATAAATGTCGATATTAATAAATGAGTGAATGAATGTACATTTTCTCTTATAAAATTTCTGTTTAACTTGTTTTTATTTGCGTTTTCTTTGTCTACTATTATTAGTTTTAACATTTACCTAGTGTATCCTTTTTATCCAGTTTAAATTTTTAGTAACATTTTATTATAGGTAGATCTTTAGTAAGCAGCATATGTCCGATTTTTGCACATTTACTCACTTTAGAATTCTGTGTTTTAATGTGGAAATTTAATGCAGTTACATTTATTGTGACTAGTGATATACTTGGATGTATTGCTGTCGTTTCAAGTTGCCTATTACTATTTTTCCTGTCATTTGTAGTCTTAATTATGAGCTGACATGTACAAATATTTTACAATGCAGCAAGCCAAATTCCAATAACTTTTTGGTTTTTATCTAATTTAATGTTCAAAATAACCTTTTGATTCATGATTCATGTTGCAAGTGAAGAAACTGAGGCTTAGTAAGATTCATTAACTTGTCCAACATTTCATAAGTGTTAAATTGGCAAACCAGGACTCAGATATTAGATATTTACTCTAAAGGCCATGGTTTTATAATTTATAGATTACACTGATTCTCATTTCTGAGTTTTTCTCTCTCTCTCTCTTTCTCTCTATATCTGTTTCTCTCCCTCTCTGTCTCTCTCTCTCTCTCTCAAATGACTTAAATGTTAAATCTCCTATTTTTATATCTCTAATGATAATATGTAAATTTTGATTAATTATATTTCAACATATTTTCAAACAAATTAGGTAATAGTTCACCATCTACAACCGATCTCTCCTGAAAAAATACAAGATTACAGGCATACTTCCACTACTGCTCCTCTGCCTAAAGTTGTGTTGAAATAATCTAAATTGTTTTTCCCAGGTTACCATATTGTTATTAATTTTATTTTGCATTATATTTTTTCAACTTACTGGCCAACAATTTTGTCTTATATTCTGAAAAATCTTCTTCTACTGACTGTATATAACTAATATGTATTTCATCTATGCTCATTCTGTTACTTGGCTTCTTTTCTTTAATTTTTGGGCACTGGTGACCAAACGATTAATATTTGAATTTCCTAAATTTAATTCTTATTCTTTGACTGGTTCTTTATCATTGCAGCCTGTTCTTATTTGGCTAAAACAGAGTTCTAAATTTTCCAATGTTACTTGGTAGAATTTTTATCCAGTTTCCTCTTTTGCATGCACAATTTCTGTTTCTTCCAGTTTCAATAATGTTTTTTCACTCTTTCTTATACGCAGTAGATTATTCTCAAATAAGTTTTCACTGTTCATTTAGATTTATGACTACAGTGATTAATAATGATAGTAATTTTCTCTGTAGTCCTAGAAGTATGTTTCAACAACATGCTGAAGGGAAAGAAGACTTCGTGGGTATGCTAATAGGCAGGCCCCAATTACCAAAATGAGAAAACCTTTTCTTTGGGAGTATAGTTTTTTAGAATATTTTATTTCTAAATAGAATTGAGTTTCCTTTGCCATTCTCTGAATCCTTTTGTATTTCTAAAATTATCTCAAGCTTCATCTTCATTTCTTTCCTGAGTCCCTCCAGTAGGCATACTAAGACTTTCCCAGATGATACATGATATTAATAATCATTATGAAGATGCATTTTCTCTAAAATATGTACTTTACTTGAATTATTTTATTTTATTCTCAAAACCACTCTATGAAGTTGAAACTTTTATTAAGCATGTTTTATAGATAACAAAACCTAGTCTAATGAAACCCATGGAGATTAAAGGCCTTGTCCAAGGTTACATACCTAGTAAAGAAGGATGGAGCCAGGATGTGGATTCAGACAGGCTGACTTAAACACAGGTCCACAATGCCTCTCTCTGATATGCTGTCACTCTTCTCTAATGTAGTGTGGGATATGGAATCCTCTTTAACCCTTGATCAGGTCACGGAGCATGGAGGAAAATTCCAGAAAGAAAGTCTGGCTGGAACAAAGAAATGGATTATAGGGAGGTATGCTTTAAGCTCTGAGGCATGGAATTTTTTTTATCTGAGAAGGCAGAGTTCTCATAATGGCTTACCCAGGCCACACTTTGGAGATTTAAGAGTCTGTGATAGCTCAGTTTCAGGCTGTTGTTGCTATGATTTATAACCAGGATTCAGTCCTTTGCATAGCGGTCATATGCCATTCTGTCCAGACTTTAGTGCTCAAAAGATTGCCCCTTGTCATTCCAACCCCAGTTAATAGGAAACACAAACCACCCTTGAGATGACAAACCTATCTTCTAACCATTGACTAGTTCAGCTCCTTAGCTCTGCAGAAGTTGAGCTTTCTATTTTTAGAGTTTGGCAAGGCAGAAGACATGCTGGGTGAGCTTTGTTTAAGGCCCCCCACCAGACTCTGCTTGCCACAAAATCCAGCCAAACATACCGTGTAGCAGGCCAATTAAGCTGCAGCTGTCTGTCAACTGAATCAAAGATGGGAGTGGACAACAAGGGGCTGTTTTTGCCACAGACAGTAAGCAGAACACAGGATTAACTTTCCTGCCCTTAAAGCTCTGTAGAGTAACCTGCCATTTATTCTATCTGTATAGTAAGAATCCTTGCTTTTTATTACAGGAGCTTGACCAAGCTACCTCTGGCAAAACAAAGGGATCTCACCTTAACTGTCCATGGCAGGGTTGGGGGTACGGGGCAGGTAGGTATCTGTTTTATAGGTCATCATAAGATACCTAGTATCAAACCTGGTATCAAAAAACCTGGTTGTGGGAAATGATTTTTTATCAAGAGTTGCCTCAAAGTTGTGAGAGGTGACAGCGTGCTGGCAGTCCTCATAGCCCTTGCTCGCTCTCGGCGCCTCCTCTGCCTGGGCTCCCACTTTGGCGGCACTTGAGGAGCCCTTCAGCCCACCGCTGCACTGTGGGAGGCCCTTTCTGGGCTGGCCAAGGCCGGAGCCTGCTCCCTCAGCTTGCAGGGAGGTGTGGAGGGAGAGGGGCCAGCCCCGGGGCTGCGCGCCGCGCTTGCGGGCCAGCTGGAGTTCCGGGTGGGCGTGGGCTTGGCGGGCCCCGCACTCGGAGCAGCCGGCCGGCCCTGCCGGCCCGGGGCAATGAGGGGCTTAGCACCGGGGCCAGTGGCTGCGGAGGGTGTACTGGGTCCCCCAGCAGTGCCAGCCCACCGGCGCTGCGCTCCATTTCTCGCCGGGCCTTAGCTGCCTTCCCGCAGGGCAGGGCTCGGGACCTGCAGCCCGCCATGCCTGAGCCTCCCACCCTCTCCGTGGGCTCCTGTGCGGCCCGAGCCTCCCCGATGAGCGCCGCCCCCTGCTCCACAGCGCCTAGTCCCATCGACCACCCAAGGGCTGAGGAGTGCGGGTGCACAGCGCGTGACTGGCAGGCAGCTCCAACTGCAGTCCTGGTGCGGGATCCACTGGGTGAAGCCAGCTGGACTCCTGAGTCTGGTGGGGATGAGGAGAACCTTTATGTCTAGCTCAGGGATTGTAAATACACCAATCAGCACTCTGTATCTAGCTCAAGGTTTGTAAACACACCAGTCAGCACCCCGTGTCTAGCTCAGGGTTTGTGAATGCACCAATCGACACTGTATCTAGCTACTCTGGTGGGGCCTTGGAGAACCTTTGTGTGGACCCTCTGTATCTAGCTAATCTGGTGGGGAAGTGGAGAACCTTTGTGTCTAGCTCAGAGATTGTAAACGCACCAATCAGCGCCCTGTCAAAACAGACCACTGGGCTCTACCAATCAGCAGGACGTGGGTGGGCCAGATAATAATAAAAGCAGGCTGCCCGAGCCAGCAGTGGCAACCCGCTGGGGTCCCCCTTCCACATTGTGGAAGCTTTGTTCTTTCGATGTTTGCAATAAATCTTTCCACTGTTCACTCTTTGAGTCCACACTGCCTTTATGAGCTGTAACACTCACCGCGAAGGTCTGCAGCTTCACTCCTGAAGCCAGCGACACCCACGAGCCCACCGGGAAGCCCAAACAACTCCAGACGCGCCGCCTTAAGAGCTGTAACACTCATGGCGAAGGTCTGCAGCTTCACTCCTGAGCCAGCGAGACCACGAACCCATCAGAAGGAAGAAACTGTGAACACATCTGAACATCAGAAGGAACAAATTCTGGACACGCTGCCTTTAAGAACTGTAACACTCACCGCGAGGGTCCGTGGCTTCATTCTTGAAGTCAGTGAGACCAAGAACCCACCAATTCCAGACGCAGTTGCATTTTATAGAACAGAATGCTTTAAGAACGTGAACTCTAAAATCAGTATGCCGGGGCTGATGAGCTCAGCTCCCCTCATCCTAGCTCTGTGGTTTTGGGCAAACGATTTAACCTCTCTAATCTCAGTTTCCTAGTTGGTAAATGGGAATAATTATAGTACTCATGTAAAGGAATTTTTGTGAGGATTAAATCAGATAATCCATGTAAAGTACTTAGCATAGTGCCTGGGATGGTATATGAGTTTGATGGATGTTGATTTTTATGGTTCTAGATATTCTGTATTTTAACTGAACTTTCGATCCAAATGATGAGTATTATTATCCTAGTTTTTACAGATAATCAAATTAAGGAAGAGGAAGTAACTGGACCAAGTTGACACATCTTGTGTTTAATTGAACCAGGATTCAGTCTTTAGCTGTTTGATTCTAAAGTCTTAGAATTTTCAGTGTGCTTTACTGAAATCTACTCCTTGTAGAACAGCTTTCACTGACTTATTCCTTGGCATTTTGCCAACTACCCACAACAAAGGATATTTATGAGACAGACTCATTATGTCTGTGATTGTAGCTATTGAAGGGATCATGTTAAGAACATTGTCTACCACATCACACAGCAGTTTCAGCGTTCATGGGAGAAATTCCTTGGGAATCAGTTTTCACAAAAACTATGCTCCTTACTGAACAAGTCATTTGTGTTATTTTTCTTATGCAGAACTGTGACTAATCATGATCTTTCTTTCTTTGGGCTGTTAAGGAGCTTAGAATCAAATTTGTAGCCTTTTTCTGCTGCTTCCATGTACTAATGTTATTACAGATTTATGATATTCCTTTTCTATTTCCCCTTTATTATCATGGCCTTGATAATATATTTTATCCCAGTGAACAGTGTGTATTTTTAAAAGCTTCCACGGTGCCTTTGTGGAATAAAACAAAAATGAATGTACTTTAAAAAATTTAAAACTACCATTTAATACATGTTTATCTCTTTTCTTGGGTTTGCTCTTTGCTAGTCTTATTGGGTCAGATGCCATTATTTTCCCAGGGTTGGATAAGCCCTATTGGAACACATGAACACAATTACTCAGAGTTTTATGATTCTCTAGTATGTCAATAACAGGCAGAGGCCAGGCTGATTTAAACTACAGAAATTTATGAAAATAAAAAACTTCATAACTAAACATGCTAATTTCTTTTATACACAAATGTTTGGCTGGTAGCAGTAGGGAAAATAAGAGGGAGAGAATTAAGAGAGGAAGCAATTACATTTACTTATTTACAACATCCTCACAAGCCCTGTCTGTTCATTCAAGGCTGGTTCAGGTTCCCCTTCACTGTGCTCTCTGCTATCTTTGCATTTATTGCACTGTAATGTAAAAGGATTGTTTCTTATTCTTTATTATTTTCCTAATGTCAAGCATATTACCATAGTATGTAGAAGATTAGATAGATAGATAGATAATGCAGACTCAATATATGTTTCTTAAATGAATGAATCAAAGACATTCAACAGAGTGAGGCAGGTAAAAGACTTGGAAGATTTATGGGAGGGTAATATGTACATTATGTCTATTAAATAAAAATGTATAAGCCAGGCAAGGAGGAAGGGGAAGGAAATTTTAAGCAAAGGAAACTGTGTAAAGTCAAAGCTGTGAGAACACATGATGTGCTGGAGGAATTGCAAATATTTCAATTTGGCTTTAGTCTGGGTAAACGTGGAATAGAACAAGATGAACTTGGAATGTGAATTTATCTTGAGCACTGCAGAAAGTCATTGATGAATTCTAGGTAGGGGAAGGGGGGAGGTTATGAGATGATCACATATGTGTTTTAGAAATATTACTTTGATTCCAGTGAGAACTGTGGATTTATTGCAGACATTTAGGATGTTATCACATCAATCCAGGAGAGAAATTATGATGCTTTAAATTAATTAGGTAGTTGAGTTGTGATGAGAGGTTTTATGATGATAGAAATCATAGATGCAGTATTCAATTGACTGTGGAGGATGTGGGAGAGGAAGGAATCTATAATGCTCTCCATGTTTCTATGTTGATTAACAAGATGAATGTTGGTATCATTTTCCCAAACAAAAAAATAAAAGAAGAGAGTGGGAGGAGGGAGTCAATTTTGGACATGTTGAGCTTGAGATGCTAAATTAAAAAGACCTGTAGATACAAAAATGCAGAGCTCCAAAGATTGCTCTGGGTAGACAGTGCATAGTTTTGAGGAATTGGCATACAGTTAGCTGAAGGCAATGGGCAGGATGTGTTTTTAAGCAGATTGGGAGAGGGTAAAGGATAGAACACTATTGGACATTGCCCTCTGGGTAATGAGCAGACAAGAAGGATCCAATGAAGAAACTAGAAAAGATGGTCAGAGGGAGTATTAGAGAGATCTCAAGCCAAGAAAGAAAATTTCAGGACATCAGGAGAATCTTGTGTTTGCAGAAATTTGATAGAGCAGACATCCTAAATAATCCTTCTAAAAACAAATGATGTTTCTATACGCCAATTATTTTCAAGCTGAGAGCCAAATCAAGAACATAATCCCATTTATACTAGCCACAAAAAATTAAATACCTAGGAATACATCTAACCAGTCAGGCGAAAGATCTCTACAAGGAGAACTACAAAACACTGCTAAAAGAAATCACAGATAACAGATGAAGAAACATTCTATACTCATGGATTAGAAGACTCAATTTCATTAAGAAGGTCATATTGCCCAAAGCAATTTTCAGATTCAACCTGATTCCTATCAAACTATAATACCAATGTCATTTTTCACAGAATTAAAAAAAATACGCTAAAATTTATATGGAACCAAAAAGGAGCCCGAATAGCCAAAGCAAACCTAAGCAAAAAAACAACAACAACAACAAAAAAAAGCAAACCCATCACATTACCAGTCTTCAAACTATACTACAAGGCTACAGTAACCAAAATAGTATGGTATTGGTACAAAAAGAGACACATAGACCAATGGAACAGAATAGAGAACCCAGAAATAAAGCCACACACCTACAACCATGTGATCTTCAACGAAGTAGAGAAAAATAAGCAATGGGGAAAAGACTCCCTATTCAATAAATGGTGCTGATATAGCTAGTGAGCCACATGCAGAAGAATGAAACTGGATGCCTAACTTTCGCCATGTACAAAAATTAACTCAAGATGAATTAAAGATTTTAATGTAAGACCTCAAACTATAAGAATTCTAGACGAAAACTTAAAAAACACCATTCTGGACATGGGACTTACGAAAGAATTTATGACTAAGTTTTCAAAAGCAATTGCAACAAAACCCAAAATTGACAAAGAAGACCTAATTAAACTAAGGGCCTTCTGTACAGCAAAAGAAACTGTCAACAGAGTAAACAGACAACATACAGAATGAGAGAAAATATTTGCAAACTACGCATCCAACAAAGGTTTAATATCCATAATTTATAAATAACATAACAACAAGCAAAAAACAAATAATCCCATTAAAAATGGTCAAAAGACAAGAACAGACACTTCTCAAAAGAAGACATATAAGTGGCCAACAAACATATGAAAAAATGCTGCACATCACTAATCATTACAGAAATGCAAATCAAAACTACAATGAGATGCCATCTTATACCAATCAAAATGACTACTATTAAAAAGTCAGAAAACAAAAAAATGTTGGCAAAGCTACCCAAAAGGGAAAGCTTATACACTGTTGGTGGGAAAGTAAATTAGTTCAGCCACTGTGGAAAGCAGTTTGGAGATTTCTTAAAGAATTTAAAATGGAACCACCATTCAACATAGCCATCCCATTACTGGGTATATATCCAAAGGAAAACAATCTTTTCTACCAGAAAGACACACGCATTTGTATGTTCATTGCAGCACTATTCCCAATAGCAAAGACGTGGAATCAACCTAGATGCCCATCAGTGATGGACTTGATAAAGAAAATGTGTTACATACACCCCATGGAATACTATCTAGCCATAAAAAAAAATTTCATTTCCTTTGCAGGAATATGGATACAGCTGGAGGCCATTATCCTAAGCGAATGAACGCAGGAAGAGGAAATCAAATACTGTGTGTTCCCACTTATAGGTGGGAGCTAAACACTGGGTACTCATGGACATAAAGTTGGCAACAATAGACACTGGAGACTACTAGAGAAGGAAGGGAAGGAGGAAAGGATTGAAAAACAATTTATTTGGTACTATGCTTAGTACCTGGGTGATGGGATCATTCATAACCCAAGCCTCAGCATCACACAATACACTCAGGTAACAAACCTTTACATGTATCCCCTGAATCTAAAATAAAAGTTGAAAAATAAATAAATAAATAATAAAATTTAAAAACATATTTTCAAATAAAATGCTATAAGGAACCTTTAGAAGCAAAAATTATAATGACAGTGTGGACCCAAAGGCAAGCTCCCCCTGAGGCCCACTTTCTCAGAGAAACATTGAACCCCAGAGACCTTGAGGTTTCATTTCTTTTTTGTTTGCTTGTGTTTTTGAGACAGGGTCTCACTCTGTCGCCCAGGCTGGAGTGCAATGGCAGTCACGGCTCATCGCAGCCTTGACCTCCTGGGCTCAAGCAATCCTCCCACCTCAGCTTCCTGAGTAACTGGGACCACATATGTGCGCCACCACACCCACCTAATTTTTTCTTTTTCAGTTTTGTAGAGGTGGGGACTTGCTGCGTTGACCAGGCTGGTTTCGAACTCCTGGTCTCAAGTGATCCTCCTGTCTTTGCCTCCCAAAGTACTGGGATTACAGGCGTGAGCCTGGCTTTGAGCTTTCATTTCAATAGCTATGCAGTGTCTACAAAGTAAGAGACAAACAAGTGAGAAAGTCTAATAAGAGACCCTTTAGAAATTCGAGGAACCGGCCGGGTGCAGTCGCTCATGCGTGTGTGTAATCCCAGCACTTCAGGAGGCCAAGGCAGGTGGATCATCTGGGGTCAGGACTTTGAGACCAGCCTGGCCAACGTGGCGAAAGCCCATCTCTGCTAAAAATTAAAAATACAAAAATTAGCCAGGCGTGTTGGTGCGCACCTGTAATCCTAGCTACTTAGGAGGCTGAGACAGGAGAATTGCTTGAACCCGGGAGGCGGAGGTTACAGTTAGCCAAGATCATGCCACTGCACTCCAGACTGGGTGACAGAGTAAGACGCCATCTCAAAAAAAGAAAAAAAAAAAAACAGAAGGAAATGCGAGGAACCTAGTGTAAGAATGAAAAATAAATAAGCCACCCTGGCAAAAGAGAGAAACCAAAAATCTTGTCTATTTTCACCTTTCCCTCTTTGACAAGAGAAATAAAATCTGCCTTAAGTCTCCCCAAGAATTTGGAACCATAAACTGGACCTAGATGGTTTGAATATGAAATCATAGTAAAGAACAAATGGAAAAACACAAAATACTAAAACAAAAAGTAAGTTTGGCACTGAAACAATAATCAACAGAAGCAGCAGAGATCTGAGTCACACCAACAAAGACTACAGATTGCAGGATTATCAAGCAAAGGACAAAAATAACTATGCTTCCTATGTGAAAGAAATAAAAGTGGGCATTGAAAGTAAACAGTCCAAAATATTACTAATCAAAGTTATAGAAGAAGACAAGTAAGAGACTGAAGGAAAGGCAGTATTTCAAGATATTATGGCAAATTTTTACAGAATTAATGAAAGAAAGCAATTCATTACTTCAGGCAACCTAACAAATTCCAAGCAGGATGTGATCCAAGACAAAGTAGTGATATTCAATGCACAAAAGACAAAAAGAACATCCTAAAGTAGACAGATGAGAAAAGTACACCCACAAAGAAACAGCAAGACCAACATTTGATTTCTCAACAAAAATGGACAGGACAAAAATATATTCAATATGCTGAGAAAACAGAGCAATGGATCTAGAGTCTTTTACTCAGAAAACTTATTTCCAAGAATAAGGACAAAATACAAAATTTACACACAAACAAGAGTTTGCCATCAACAAGTTTCTATTTAAGAAACTTCTAAAGTATGTACTTCATAAAGGTGATTCCAGATAGAAAACGTGAGATACAGAAAAGAAACAGTGTTCAAGGAAATTTATAATTATATGGGTGAACATAAATCACTGATTCTCTGAACATAACACTGATATCTATTTATAGGTTTTTAAAATGATCAAATTGATTAAAAAGTTTGTATATAAATTATAAACTGGAAGAGACTGAAGTTAAAGTATTCTAAGATTCCTGTGTTATCTGAAGAGACTTAACAGTATTGATTATCTTTAAGGTTTGTTAAAAGCCAAGAGAACAACTAAGACTTTTAAAATTTTATTTTATCTTTCCAAATTATTTGTATTTTGACTGGACACTTTGAAAATCATTTCTGGAACAATAAAGGGAATACATAAATAAACCAATAAATATCCCTTAAAAATAAGGGACTGGTCAATAGTGTCAAATGCACAGGAAGGTCAAGCAAGGTCAAGAGTAAAGTGCCTCTTGAATTTGCCAACTAGAAGATTCTCTGGCAACTGGTAACCTTGGTGAACGAGTTTCATTGCAGTGACAGGGATGGATATCTGATTATGTGGAGATGCAACTGTTGGTCAAGAAATGGAGACAGTGAATATTGATCATTATTTTAAGAGTTTTAACTATAAAGGGTAAACAAAATAGGGAAGTGGCTGGAGGTAGATGCAGGATAAAGAAAGGATTTTGTTTAATGTTTAGAGAGACTTGAGCTCATTTATAGGCTGGGGCAATAACCAATTGCCTCGGAGTACTTAAAGATTACGGGAAAAGAAAGATAATTGAAGGATCCTGATGAAGCTTCCATGTCCCCAGTACAGTAAGTGTAGTAAAATTCAGAGAACAGGATAAAGAGGATAAACAAGAAAAGTGACATCCCTCCATTAATACAAAGTAAAGACAGGTCTAATAATTGTGTGTGTGTGTAGTGTAGTGTGTAAGGGACACTAAAATGAGTAACAAAGAAGCCTAGCCTAGGGTAAGTGCTTAAAAATAATGGGGAATGTTCAAAACAGTTAAGAAAGTGGAGAGAAAACTAATTCAAGACTCACAGAACTACTGGACATCATTCAGAGTTAACTGAGGTTCAAGATGCCAGATTTGTAGGAGAAATATCATGCATGGTAGTACAAATTTTCTCCAGCAGTGTTCAGCAGGTCATCCATGGAAAATACAGAAGTGTGAATTTAGAGTTGGGATTTTGCTGGCTATTGGATCCAAAGTACATGGAAGTTGAGTACAAGTAGAGACGCATGAATAGTGAAGCTAATAAAGTTTAAGCTCCAGGACCTCCTCTACCACGGATGCCTGAGAAGTCCCAACAGAGGGGTCACATGATTATATGGTTTCTTAAGTTTTGTTTAAGATACTGTATTTAATTAGCTAAGGCCACCCTCTGTTTCCATGCTAACTTCATGTCTGCCATACCTCCTCTCATATCAAGTCACAGACATTTTTGTGATCCAATGAAAGGGAAGTTGAGTTAAAGGTTGGGTGTGGTAGAATATGTCTATGTGATTTACAGACACTTCCACTTATAGTTAAGTTGCTGTTATAGAGTTAATTCTAGCCTAAGATTAGCTTTCAGAAAACTCCTGCTGCTCCTTGTCACCTGACACTGTGATGTAGATTTAAGGCCCAGAGTCCTCCTGTGGGATTTACGTATCCTACAGTGCCCAGAACCACAAGGATGTGGGTAGTGGTTAATAAGTGTTGACAATTCAGAACATTGAAAATTAGTCATTGCACAAGAAAATCTAAAATACCAGGAAATCTTAAAGCTCATAAATGAAAGAAGCTTGATAGAAGTTTCCCCTAATTTGACAATAATCCCCAAATTTACATGACATTACCATAACAAGTTGTCAAGCTGAAAGAAAAGTTTCTAAACTACTAATGATTAAAATTAACTTTTGACCAACCAAACTAGGTATCAGCCTACAATCATGGGACTCACACTCAGAATGATTCTACCTGCTGTCAGCTAACTACTTCATTTTCTCTTCTAATGTAACTTGTGCCTGAATATTTATGTATTGCAATTAATTTATCATAATTATTTATAAATGTTTCCCTTTTATTATAGTTAGGACATTATTCTTTTTTATTATGTGATTTGGTAGATCATTCAGAATAATGATCATTTCAGGATAATGAAGGGATCTAATAAAATATTTGCTTTAAAAAGCATCATTGACTCCGGTTGGGTTGATAACCACTGATCTAGGCCAACTGTGTACCTGGAGCTTAGATTCCATCCTTGGGACTCTAGTCTGTGTCTTTCACCTCCACAGGTGGCCTCCTTCAATCATAACCTTCATCCTCCCTCGCCAACTTTGAAAAGGGCAGGGCTGTATACAGAGGTCTGCCTCCAGCCACTCCATTCCTCCCTTCAGGTTGACATAAATCCACCTCACACCACTTTTTTTTTTTTTTTTTTTTTTAACTCACACTGGCCTTTTTGTTCCTTGGAGTCATCAATTTGTCCTTGCCCCAGTGTAGAGGGTCATGACTGCAAGTGGTCCAGGTTTTTGGTGTTTTGAACAAAGAGTTGGATAAAACATCCAGCAAAGCAAAGGAAGAATGAAGCAACAAAAGAACAAAAGCAGGGATTTATTGAAAATGAAAGTACACTCCACAGTGTGGGAGAGGACCAAGCAGTGGCTCAAGGGCCCAGATACAGACTCTTCTTGGGTTCAAATACCCTCTAGAAGTTTCCCGTTCATGCTCAACTCATGTAACAGAAGTAGTAGCCTGCAATCAGTCTGAGTGGTTGCAGAAAGCAGCCAACCAGAGGCTGAAGTAAATTTACAAAGTTGCAAACGAAGACTCAACCTGCAATTTTCCAATTTTCCAATTTTCTATCTGCACATAGAAAAGGCCAAAGGGAGTAGCTTCTGGTGCTTTTGTTACTTAGGCTTGGAAAGTTAGGGTTTTCCTTTCAATTTAGTTCTAGGAAGTAGGCGTGAAACAGCCTTAGGTTCCCTGCCTCCAGACCCTATTCTCCTGCCTCACCAAGACTTTTGCATTTTCTTCTCCCTAGATCTTTGTATGGCTAATGCCTTCTTGTTATCAGGTCTAGCTCGAATATTATCCCTCCAAAAGGCCTTCTCCTCAACACTTTATCCAAAGCAGCCCTATATCATCCTGTTCTGTCTCCTTCATAATACTTACCATCCTCTATAATTAACTTGTACATGCATTTACCTTGTTAGTGACTTTCCTCTTCTTCCCCATGAAGATGCAAACTCACAGCAGGAAGAGTGGTCTGTCTTTTTCAGCTCTATATTCCCAGGATGTAAACAATTTCTGGCACATAGCAAATACTCAACAAATACTTATTGGGTGAATTAATAAACCTGTTGTATTAGTTTGTTAGGGCTGCCAGAACAAAATACCACAGAAATTGGTGGCCTAAGCAGAAATGTATTTCTCACAGTTCTAGAGGCTGGAAGTTTGAGATCAAGATGCTGGCTGCAGATGGCTACACGCGTGCTGCCTCTTCACGTGGTTGTCCATTGACACTCATATGCACCTAGTGTCTCTCAGCCTGTGTCCTATCTCTTCTTCCTATAAGGATACCAGTATATTGGATAAAGGGCCCACCATAACAGCCTCATTTTCAGTTAATCACCTCTTTAAAGACCTTGTCTCCAAATATAGTTATACTCTGTAGTCCTGGGGGTGGAGACATCTACATATGAATTTGCAGGGACAACATTCAGCTGATAACACCATGAATGATCCCTCCCTGTCCTAAATGCATGGGAGGCAGGAATTACTCCAACTTCCCGAAACCTTCAGAAAACAGCCCTGGTCAGCTCTTATCAAGTTTCCCCAAGTGCCTAGGATGAAGACAGTGGAAGCTTTAGTCAGTTTCTAACTCTCCTGAAGCATGGATATATGATGAATATTCTGGAGATAGTTCTAAAGCAAAACAAGGACAGACCACCACCACCCCACCTCTATCCCAACAACGTCTCTGGCTAGAGTCTATAGGTGTTTGCCCCTGGGTGGCTCTCTGTGTGCCTGGCCATTACGGAACAGATGGGGCCAGCTCGCTAGGCAGTGCTAAGTTGTGAGGGGCCACACGCTGCAGAAGGCTGCCAGTGGGAGGAGGTCCGTCTGGCGGGGTGCAATCAGCCTGCACCATCTGCAGCTGTCTAGGGATCAGATTTCCAAATCACCTGCTCTGGCCCCGGCTTCAGGAACTGAGCTGTCAGACAAAGCCCTGTAATTACCCCAGACTCATCTACACCTTCCCTGTCTATCTCCTAATTGAGGTTTAATGGCTTTGGTCACAGGAGGGGGCTTTTCCTGCCTTTCTAGATTTAGATTCTTTCATCTGAGCATCAAGCCAATTAGTTTAGCATCTGGGGTAACTGACAGAAGTCAGGCCTTGACTGCAAAGACATTTCCAGGCCAGGAACATCTTTGTGGTAGTTGTTGGTGGGGAGGGCTGTGTGTCTGTGTGTGTGTGTGTGTGTGTGTGTGTGTGTGTGTGTGTTTTCAATATTAGGATGCAATTTAGAAAATGGGGACTGAGATAGAAATGGCGGAAGTTGGAGTATTTGAAGCTTTATGATTTACATTGCACATGAGTTTTACTTACACCTTCTGTTTCTATCTTAAATGCTTCTTATATTTACTTAAGTGAATCTACTTAAAGGCAATAGATGCAGTAGAAAAAATATTGGATATGACGGCTGATATGTGTCTCCTTATCCTTCAGCAGAATTTATAATCCACTTGGAGACATGATTCAGGGCCTTGATTATCACACTGAGTGGAGCGTCCTCATGGAATTAAATATCATCATTATTCTGACCTCTTTGCCTTTCCCTTGTACTGCTCTCCCCTCTGCCGCCCTATCATAAACCCCAGTAAAGGCAGTTCAACTAAACAGATTTCCTCAAGATCAGATGAACTGAGCCAAGACTAGGAGGCTCCAAGCTCTGCAGAAATACATGGCCTTCTGGAACCTTCAGAGCCCCAGTGATGAATGGAGATATTGCATCAGTAGTCAGCAAGCACACATTAAGGGTTCAGGACAATCTGCTGGGCCCCTGTATTTGGGTTGGCTTGTCACTCCACTGTAGAGGCAGGCAGGAGCTCAGGGGATGGTTTATAGCTGGGTAAATGGATGCTCTGCAGCCAACTCCTGATGAGATTTTAGCTCCCCTCTAGACTCTGGAGCACACACTCCGGCTTTAAGCAGACCCGGAAATAGTCCTGCCAAGAGCAAGATGATTGTCACCATTAGGACTTGGCTGTGGAGCAGCTGGTTAGCTCAGATTTCCCTTAAAGTGTGAAACAGAAGATTATAACCTACACAAATACTGTTTTAAGAAGGAAGGGGTGCATACTTATTGAATTATTGGGAGGTGTTCTAGCACTGAATGGAAATAGGAAGTGGTAGGTGGACTTTGGAAAGCCTGTGAATGAGTGTGTTCTTGGCTAGTTCATATATTTCAACTCTGAGCCCTAAGGTAGCTGCTCATAGGTCATATCACAGGAGGAAAGTAACAGACACGCACAGGTTTCTTCTTCAGATACTCAGACACAGATGAGCGAAAAACCATGGGACTCATATACAGTTAATCCTTGAAAAGACCATTCCAATCAATCAACCTTAAGAATTTATGAACATATTCAGATACCCTGGGCACCATGCGAGGGTGCTGTGGAGCTTAGGAAGAAGGATAGCACACTGTGCCTGCCCTCAAGAAAAAAGAGGAGCACAGTAAAAAAAATGAGCAAAAATCACAGAACCAAACAAGGTTCAATTAAATATTAAATTATATAATTCTGAGCAAAAGCACTCTGGGGAGTTCAAGGGGAAAAGAGGAAAACATTTATTGAGTTCTTACTATATGTCAAGCACTTTGTAAATTCCTGACAGGCATTATCTGATATTATTAACCCTCACAACATTCTATAAAGAGGGCACTATTATCATTTCCTACAAATGAGGTAACTGGGGCATAAAGAAGTTAGGGAACTTGCACAAGGTAGCACACTTAATACGTGACCTTTTTCTTTTATAAAATAATTCAACCATACAAAATTATATAATTAACTATGTTTAAAAAAAATACCTGTATATCCATCACCCAGCTTAAGATAAAATGTTAGCAATAGATGAAGGCCCTGAACACATCTCGTTCTCCTTTCCTTAGAGTTAACCCCTCTCCTTAATTTAGAGCCCAGTTTTTTAACTGTTACCCTGAATTATATCTCCAAGAAATCAATGAGGATGTGAGCCATCAGAAAGACATTATGGAGGTGGTGGTTTTGAATGTTGGATGGGATTTGAATCAGCAAAGAGAAGGGGCTTTCAGCCAGGGAGAGAGCACAGGGTAGTGCCACAAGGCTGGGGTGGGAGGAGAGCTGGTAGGAGGCTTGATTGGAGGGCAGGGAACACACTGGGGGATGCTCAAAATTATAGTTTTCATACATTCACATCATAAATGGCTTTGATTGAGGCACATGTTATGCAGGAGAAATAATACAACAAAATAAGGGAGCCATGAATAAAATGTGCTTCCCCAAACCTCACCAGCCAATCACCTGTTTAGCACCATATAGAGGGCCATCCCCAGGGCTTGGCATATAGAGGACATTCAACAAATGTCTATCGTATGAAAAGCTACTCAGTGAGCTTCTAGAAAGCCTGTGTGTCCCTCTAATTCATCAGCGGTGCCAGGTCTGAAAGAGAAAGAAAGGAAGGGGAAGGGAGGGGAAAGGAGAGAAAGGGAGAAGGGGAGAATATTGGGCGTGTGGAAATTTATTGGGCAGTCACACAAGTTTACTAAGAAGCAGATGCAGAAAACCTGGACCATTTTATAGTGAACAGCTGCATATCCCGTGTGAGTCTGAGGGAGATGAGTCTTCGTTCCATTAATAGCTATTGATGACACCTGAGTTCTGCTCTAAGCCGCAGGCTTCATTGCTTCCTAGAAAGACCTAAAGAGGAGACACAGCAATTATCCCAAGGGTCCCCAAGTCCAGAAATTTTCAGTTCTATGGTCTTTCATACTTTCCTTAATATTATATTCTACCATCAAATTTTCTAGCAGAAACTTTAACCAGCATCCCACTTTCTATTGTATGTAAGTTAAAATCTAAATTTCCTAGTCTGATATAGGAAAGGAATTTTATACTTTGTTGTGTATTTTCCTCTCTAGCTCCAATGTCCATTATTACATTTAAGCCACTCCATGGATCCCTGTTCTTCCTCAAACACGCTAAATACTTTCTCACCTCCGGATCTTTGCTCATATGGTTCCTTCTAGCCAATATGACCTTTACCAAGTACAGCAATCCCACATCCTTCTCAAGGTAAAACTCAGATAGCACATCCTCTATGATGCCTTTCCAACCTTCTTCAAGGTTAATTAATATCTTCTTCCCCTGTAGATGCATTTCCACGATAGCATGCATCCCATTACGTGGTAATTATTGGTCCATGTGTCTGTCTGCAGAGCTGGACTATAAATCCCTCAAGAGCAGAAATTTTATTTTTAAGAGACAGTGCCTTCCTACATACAAAATACTACATATTTCTTTTTCATTAAATATCATGAAGAATAATAGAGAATATGGCCAGGTGCGGTGGCTCATGCCTGTAATCCCAGCACTTTGGGAGGCCGAGGTGGCAGATCACGAGGTCAGGAGATCGAGACCATCCTAGCTAATATGGTGAAACCCCATCTCCACTAAAAAAAAAATACAAAAAAATAAGCTGGGCATGGTGGCGGGCACCTGTAGTCCCAGCTACTTGGGAAACTAAGGCATGAGAATGGCGTGAACCCGGGAGGCAGAGCTTGCAGTGAGCCAACATCACGCCACTGCACTCTAGCCTGGGCCACAGAGGAAAAAAAGAAAAAATAATAGAGAATATATAACAGTCAGTTCTAGGGCAGTGTTGAATTGAAGAGGTTTGGACATACATCCAGGGTCAGTTTTTACTCACTTGATTAACGCTTAATCTGCTCCAAGAACACCTCTTGTTAGTGGTACTTGCTTCAGAAAAACACTGTTATAGGCCTACTGGGAGAGGATGCCCCTGTGAGCGTATGTCAGGAAGTTCATGTGCAGATCATGCCCACCCTTATCTCCATCACGTTGAGACTGTTCTCCGCCTGTGTCAACACAGGATGAGGGTGTTCTGTTCCAGGACTGCATTCATGATTCAGCTTTAAAAAGCCATAATTCCAAATTCTCTAGAACTGTCATGGAGACCTAGGATTTGGGTACACTAAAACAAATGCCAACAAGCTACACAGTCCAACTGCTCACCAAATACAATACCAAGGCAACAACCTTTAAAAGCTAATCTGCATATGATGTCAAGTGACTTGTGTTGTGCATTTTCCCCACTAAATAGACCAAAATACCTATCTGACTGGAAGCTCTAGAGGTGGCCACAAATTCTCATTTTTTTAAAGAAGGATAAAGTTTTTCAATTACAAACACATAAGACTTTCACGAAGGCAGCTTGGATGTAGAGCCGTATAATGAGAAGTACAAGGTGGGCAGATCATCTCTGATTCACCAGTAATCCCAGTGAATGTAAGAGGAGACATGGAGCTCCCCTTTTAATTTCTCCTCCTTTGCCTCCAATGCTGTGTAATTCTACACCCATCCCCACTTCTTCTTCACAATCTCAGTAGTAACTTGCACCTTGGGGGCCTTAGGGACTCAGCACTAGGGCAGAGGGTTGCTTAGGAAGGCCAGTGGCTATAAATTAGATCATTTCAGCTTTGCTTTCAGTAAACATTCACAGGTGACCTCAGGGATCTAACCTTGACTTGTAACACTGTCATTATTGGAAGATGCATTTTCAGTTGCAAACAACAGGATTATAAAAATAAACTTTTAACTATAACCCATTTCTAAGGCTTCCTGCATCCAACTCATGTTGGGGACCCACACAGAGAAATAAATTCACAGGTCTGTTGCGTTCATACTGAGGGAAATCTTTAATAATAAGATATGAGGTAGCTGCCTACCGCAGTGCATTCATGTATGATAGATGGTTGTTTATTTGGGCAGCAGTTAATATTTCTGCCCAGGAATAGAGTTTTACATTGTTAATAAGACATATGATGGACTGTGAGATTCTCAACATTTCACTTAAGTCAGTGACTTGTTATATGGCTGAATGTAGGGTAACCAGTTTTAAGATGAATGATTCTATTTGCTTTTAGAAAATATGCATCTTCAGAGGAAGATAGTCATTTTTTTTTTAAAAAAAAGGATAAAGACATCTGAGCATTTGGTTGCCCTCTGAGAGCTTTTTAATTTCACAAATAAATGTGGCTTTTAATTTTCAATCAGCAAGAATTTTAAGATAGATTTGTCTTCATCAGATGTAAAATAATGGAATCAGAATTGATCACTCTGAATATTACACTCTCTGTCAAAGGTCCTCCTCGACATCAAGGGAGAAGGCTGTCCAGATACTTGGAAGTTACTTGCCTCATAGGAGAGAAACAGAGGATGTGAGTAAAGCTTCTCCAATCAGAATTAACAAAACGAGAGATTTAACTTGTCTTTCTCAACCTGGTTGTCCCATTGTTTCTTTGGCAAGTCTTCATAAATGTCTAAGCAGGCATATAAGGAGAAAAAAAAGGAGAAAAAGTAGGAGAAGAAATAAGAAGAGAAAGAGGAGAAAAAAAAGAAAAATGGATCCTAAGTAAAAATGTTTAACCATAAACTTCTTCAAGTTTTTATCTGGGGGTCATCACTAAATAAGATAACGTTATTTTTCAGACTCCTGCTTATTTAAAATATTTTTATGCATTCATGATTTTCTTTATAGTTCTTGGATAGAGATTCTTGCCTTTGTGAATTTAGGTGCTAAACCTGGTGATTCCCAGTTTATTCATCATCACTTGCAGAGTGGTGGAGCCCTTTATGGGGTCATCACTAAATAAGACAACATTCTTTATTTTTCAGATTCTAGCTTATTTAAAATATTTTTATGAATTCATAATTTTCTTTATAATTCTTGAATAGAGATTCTTGTCTTTGTGAATTGAGGTGCTAAACCTGGTGAATCCCAATTTATTCATCATTAGTACAGAGTAGAGGAGCCCCTTATTTTTGGAGTGGGACAGTATCCTGAGTAAAATCTCACAGCTAGCTGGTGGCAGAGAACATTGTTTTTTTTCTCAATTAGATTGTAAATTATTGAGGAAAGAACAGATGTTCCATTTTTTAAAAAACTATTCTGTAGCTAGCACTGCATCTTAACCACTGTCGATGACTCACAAAGTCCTACTGAATGAGTGGAGACCTAACTATGATTTGCTCCACTCCAGAAAGCTGCCAAATGCAACTGAAACTGGAAATGTTGGCCCTTCAGGAGCAGAGGGAGTATCTCTAACTCATAACATCATAAGACTTGCCAACACTTCTTATATTCTGGATACTGTTTTAAGTGTTTTATATATGCTAATGCATTGAATTCTTACAACAACCTACGTGGTGGGCATTTTTATCATCCTCATTGTGATTAACATCATAAACCTTGTTTTACTAATGATGATGGAGGAAAAATGGTTTAAGTGATTTGTTCGAGACCACATAGCAGGTGATATAGTTTGAATATTTTCCCCGCCCAAATGTCATGTTGAAATGTAATCTCCAGTGTTGGAAATGGGGCCTGGTGGGAGGTGTTTGGGTCATGAGGGTGGATCCCTCGTGGCTTGGTGCTGTCCTTACGGTACTGAGTTTTTGTAAGATCTGGTTGTTGTAAAGCATGGAAACTCCTCCCCACCCTCAACCCTCTCTTGCTCCTGCTTTCGCCATGTGCAGTGCCTGCTCCCACTTTGCCTTCCACCATGAGTAAAAGCTTCCTGAGGCCTCCCTAGAAGCTGATGCCAGCACTGTTTCCTGTATAGCCTGAAGAACCGTGAGCCAATTAAACTTCTTTTCTTATAAATTACCCAGTCTCAGGTATTTCTTTATAGCAATACAAGAATGGGCTAATACAGCAGGGAAGTGGCAGAACCAGAATTTAAGCATAGGTCGTCTTGCGCTGAGGGATGGAGCTCTTATACACCATATACCATTGCCTCTCAATGTGGTATGTGTGAGAATGGCAATATTCTCATTGAATGTTGTTACAATAGTAACAACAAAATCTCTGAGTGTTGGAAAGGAACCTAGTCCTGATGAAATGCAGGTTATTACTCAAAATTATGGTTTCTTCCATCAAATTTCTCTGCTGGAGGCTGACACCTGTTGTTGAGTTTGTATGTGTGTTGGTTTGCTTTTCAAGTTTTGCTATGGTGCCCAGTACATGCAGGATTCTAACTATATTCAGCGTTACTGGGAGGAGACAGGGCAGTGAGGGATGCCAACAGACTGCAAGATTAGAAATGTACACAATGCCAGTATTTTTGACATATCATCTTGTTCCAAGGGATAATTTTAAAAACAAAAATTTTAATGTATATCTTATATATGTATATATATCATGTATGCATATTTTAATATATAGCTTATACATGTATCTTATATTCATACAAATAATCAGTGACTACTAGATGCTGAGTGTTTGCACATTTAATCTTATTTATTCCTCACTTACTAATAACTATCACTAAGTACCACAGCAAGGATTCAGAGTAAAGATTGCCTGACTCCAGTCTCTGTTAGTCCCCAATTGCCGGGAGACATGGTCTCTGTGAGTTGGTTAATAGTCAGTTCCTCTACCTACTCAATCTCGGGGAGTCCAAGTTTTCTCCTATGTAACATATATAAAGGCTACACAGTTACATTGTTATGAGGATTACATAAGATAAGATGAGAAAACATACAGCCAATAGGTGCTACTTTAAAAAAAAAATTTAGTCTCCTTCCTTAAAAATAAGACACTTGAAATTCTCAAGGATCTTACTTTGCCCCCAGTGTCTCCCTCCGTCCGCTTACACTGCTTCTATCCAGAAAAAAATAAATAAATAAGAGGAAGGCCTTGATGATGTTTACAACTTCTGAAAACCCCCTACCTCAATCCCTTCCTCCGATATTATTTCAAAGGCACAAAATCTGGGCTTTTACAAAAGTAAGCCTCAACGACGTAGTTCAAGCAGATGGTCCATGACCCCATCTTATCCAAATGTCAAGCCTTTTCCAAAATCAGCAGATCATGACTCATTGGTGGATCACAAAATTCATTTATTGGTTTGCAATAAGCATTTTTTTAAAACAAAATGAAATAAAAATAAAACAAAATAGATTTGGAGATATCAGAGTTTATCACACACTGGTAAGTAAGAGAAGTTTCATTTTGGGTAACTTTTATTTCAGTTGTGTTTAGTCTCTGTGCACTATGTTCCAATGTGTTTCTTATTTTTATGCATTGATGGATTTCTTGGAGATGGGTGTCAGAATTAAGGAACTCGTAAGGAACTAACTTCTTTTGTAACCTAGGCCAATATAAATTGATACCCTGATATTAATTTTGTTCAGGGGTTGCCTAAATCTTTTTAGCAGTACTGATCCACCTGTGACAGAGTTTAGGATCTAAAATTAATTTATCAAAAGAGCGAAATCCAAAAGTCCAAGGGGAATGGTGTCTGACTTCTCCATTAGTGATTTCTTGTATAGTTCCTGTCTACAGCACCTATCACTTCATCCTCGGTATTCTTCAGTAAATTTAAGAGGGCTTTACAACTTGATGGACGTTACAAGAGTGTTAGGAGAACCCAACACAGGTGTTTTTTTAAGTGGTGCTTTGAAACCCACGACTCCTAAGTTTCACAAGGATAAGGTCCATGATTTTCTCAGTTATCCCATATTCCCAACCCCCTTAGTCACTCTGCATTCCCAAAGCCCAGTACAGTGCCTGGTACATTACAAGAGCTAATTAATATTTGCTGAATGAATTAACAGTAAGTGTAGCTCCAGATGCCAAAGCAAAATGAGGATTTCCCTCTGTATTCTACTGGTTTTTATTCAGTATAAGAGTGAAAAACTCAGCTAACTTTTTCTCTGCCAGAAATATCCCTAACAGTACAAGAACAAATTCAATGACACCACAAGGAAACAATCAGTCAAATGTACAGTATGAAATATTTCTATAGACAAAAATCTTGGTATAACCAACAGATCTATGGCATAAAACTAGAGAAGGAGAAGGAAGAGGAGGAGGAGGAGGAAGAGGAGAAGAAGGAGGAGGACCTGTTGCAAAACAAAAGAGACTTAAGGAAAAAACAACTAATGCAATGAGTGGGTCTTGTTTGGATTCTGAACTAGTAAAAAAAATATTGAGGTAATCAGGAAAAAAATTAAAATGGACTAGGTATTAGATGACTAAGGAATTACCATTAATTATGTTAAGTGTGATATTGGCATGGTGATTATGCTAAAAATAGAAAGCTCTTATCAGCTAGCAAAGCATGCCAAACTGTTTACAGAGAAAAAGACACATCTGTCATTTGTTTTTAAATCTCCAAGCAAAAAAGACAGGCATGTGTGAGAAGAGGATTTGATAAAATAAGATTGGCCAAATGTTGATTAATGTGAAAGTTAAAGGACAGGTACCTTGAGGTTCATTACAGTATTTTCTCAAGTTGTATACATATTTGGAAATTTCCATACTAAAAAGTTATATAGAGTTAGACCTAGCGGGTTACAAACGACAACGTAAAACTTCAAGACTATGATTTCATGCTGTCTTGTGTAATCATATTCCAGGAGGACCCAAGACAGCATTTACTGGGCTTTGTATGCCGACTTTGAACAGTTTCCAAATGTGGTAATCTGATGTAACTTGCTCATTATTTTTTAAAAATAAAAGATCATACGTGCTGTTAGAAGCATCAAAACTTCATTCTATTCATCTGGAGCAAAATGTTCCTCCCAATACAGCTTTTCCTTGAAAGAGGAGGAGGGCAGAGAGAGCCTGGGGTGAGAGGTCGGAGAGGAGAAACGACCATTGAGTTTTCTACTTTCCGCAGAATGGCAAGATCCTTGGGGAGACAGTAAATTGAAATTAAGGCTGTTTCAGGCAGCCTACAGGATGTGCCTGCAAATGTTAGACATATCGAAATGGTGAAAAAGTCTGTGTGTGCCCATTCATATGAAGTGAATGCCTTGTAATGTGCTCCAGCCCCTGGGAATGGTGGCTGGATTGAGAAACGGAGGCCGGAAGAATGGGATGGATTTGACATAAGTACTTTTAAGTGCTCTGAAGGCTGGGCTCCTCCCTGTGGTTTAACAGCAAAGTCCACTGGGAGCTACAAGGAAAGAGCTGAGTGAATCCCTACAGCTTTTCGTTTTAAGGATAACAAACCTTAAAACAGGTGTGAGCTCAGAAAGATCCTTTTTCTTCTTGTTTTTAGAGTCTTCTGTAACCAGCCAGCTCTCTGTGTATTATTATCATTCCACAGAATGAGGTCTGGGGTAGGGGAAGGGAGGAGAGGAAAGAGAAGCTGAATAAACAAAAATTGCTCCGAGTGACTAATATTCATTAAGTCCACTGGTTATGCGCTATGAAATTTATTAAACTGTGGTTTCCAAGAGAATGTATTAGCGCAGCTAATGAACACAAATAAAAAAGAGGCCTCCAGGAAATGGTTTCCTGGACCTAGATGAGACTGGTGAGTAATGTGACAAGACATTAAAATGTTAAAAGCTTCTATTTTAGTCTAGAAGGCTGATTATTGGAAGGGGTTGCCTTCAGTGGGGGAGGGGAGGTAGGAGAGAGAATGAGAGTCTAACTTGTGTGAAGGAGCTTAAAGCTTTGCATTTGTATTCACCAGGCAAGGAGGCTCTGTGCTGAAGGCCTCTGAACTTCAGTGCTGCCATCTGGTGGAGAATGAGCTTGAGATACTGTAGAAAACGATGGCAGCCGCCATCTTTAAGATGTCAGGAATTGAAACACAGGACACAGAAATACTTCACTGTTTCCTGAGTGGCACCAGTGGAATCCTTTGTAACTGTGGTATCAGAAGCAAAGAAAAACACTTGCACAGTCCCTAGCTATGCAGAAATATGGCTTAAATACTGTATAAAGAAAACACAGCTATCTCATTCTGCTATTCCATTCCATCAGGATTTTAGCAATTAATTTTCATGAATTCCCACCTGCAGTCTTAGGCTGAAGTGTTAGCACTCTTAAAGACATTTGTTTCATAGCTCCCTCCAAGATGGCCAAATAGGAACAGCTCCAGTCTACAGTTCCCAGCGTGAGAGACACAGAAGACAGGTGATTTCTGCATTTCCAACTGAGGTACAAGGTTCATCTCACTGGGACTTGTTGGACAGTGGGTGCAGCCCACAGAGTGTGAGCTGAAGCAGGACAGGGCATCGCCTTACCCAGGAAGCGCAAGGGGTCGGGGAATTCCCTTTCCTAGCCAAGGGAAGCCGTGACAGACAGTACCTGGAAAATCGAGACACTCCCACCCTAATACTGCACTTTTCCAACGGTCTTAGCAAACGGCACACCAGGAGATTATATCCTGCACATGGCTCAGCAGGTCCCATGCCCACGGAGCCTTGCTCACTGCTAGCACAGCAGTCCAAGATCGAACTGCAAGGCAGCAGCAAGGCTGGGTGAGGGGTGTCTGCCACTGCTGAGGCTTGAGTAAGTAAACAAAGCAGCCAGGAAGCTCGAACTGGGTGGAGCCCACCACAGTTCAACAAGGCCTGCCTGCCTCTGTAAACTCCACCTCTGGGGGCAGGGTATAGCTGAACAAATGGCAGCAGAAACTTCTGCAGACTTAAACGTCCCTGTCTGACAACTTTGAAGAGAGTAGTGGTTCTCCCAGCATGGAGTTTGAGGTCTGAGAACGGACAGACTGCCTCCGCAAGTGGGTCCCTGACCCCCGAGTAGCCTAATTGGGAGACACCTCCCAGTAGGGGGTGACTGACATCTCATACAGCCGGGTGCCCGGGCTTCCAGGGGAAGGATCAGGTAGCAACATTTGCTGTTCTGCAGCCTCCGCTGGTGACACCCAGGCAAACAGGGTCTACAGTGGACCTCCAGCAAACTCCAACAGACCTGCAGCTGAGGGTCCTGACTGTTAGAAGGAAAACTAACAAACAGAAAGAATAGCATCAACATCAACAAAAAGGATATCCACACCAAAACCCCATCAGTAGGTCACCATCATCAAAGACCAAAGGTAGATAAAACCACAAAGACGGGGAGAAACCAGAGCAGAAAAGCTGAAAATTCTAAAAACCAGAGCACCTCTTCTCCTCCAAAGGAACGCAGTTCCTCGCCAGCAACAGAACAAAGCTGGATGGAGAATGACGTTGACAAGTTGACAGAAGTAGGCTTCAGAAGATCGGTAATAACAAACTTCTCCGAGCTAAAGGAGGATGTTGAAACCCATTGCAAATAAGCTAAAAACCTTGAAAAAAAGATTAGACGAATGGCTAACTAGAATAAACAGTGTAGAGAAGACCTTAAATGACCTGATGGAGCTGAGAACCATGGCACAAGAACTACGTGACGAATGCACAAACTTCAGTAGCTGATTTGATCAAGTGGAAGAAAGGGTATCAGTGATTGAAGATCAAATGAATGAAAAGAGGCGAGAAGAGAAGTTTAGGGAAAAAAGAGTAAAAAGAAATGAACAAAGCCCCAAGAAATATGGGACTATGTGAAAAGACTAAATCTACGTCTGATTTGTGTACCTGAAAGTGATGGGGAGAATGGAACCAAGTTGGAAAACACTCTGCAGGATATTATCCAGGAGAACTTCCCCAACCTAGCAAAGCAGGCTAACATTCAAATTCAGGAAATACAGAGAATGCCACAAAGATACTCCTCTAGAAGAGCAATCCAAAGACACATAATCGTCAGATTCACCAAGGTTGAAATGTAGGAAAAAATGTTAAGGGCAGCCAGAGAGAAAGTCGGGTTACCCACAAAGGGAAGCCCATCAGACTAACAGCGGATCTCTCACCAGAAATTCTACAAGCCAGAAGAGAGTGGGGGCCAATATTCAACATTCTTAAAGAAAATAATTTTCAGCCCAGAATTTCATATCCAGTCAAACTAAGCTTCATAAGTGAAGAAGAAATAAAATCCTTTACAGACAAGCAAATGCTGAGAGATTTTGTCACCACCAGGCCTGCCTTACAAGAGCTCCTGAAGGAAGCACTAAACATGGAAAGGAACAACCGGTACCAGCCACTGCAAAAACATGCCAAATTGTAAAGACCATCGATGCTAGGAAGAAACTGCATCAACTAACAAGCAAAATAACCAGCTAACATCATCATGACAGGATCAAATTCACACATAACAATATTAACCTTAAATGTAAAGGAGCTAAATGCCCCAATTAAAAGACACAGAATGGCAAATTGGATAAAGAGTCAAGACCCATCAGTGTGCTGTATTCAGGAGACCCATCTCATGTGCAGAGACACACATAGGCTCAAAATAAAGGGATGGAAGAAGATCTACCAAGCAAATGGAAAACAAAAAAAAGCAGGGGTTTTAATCCTACTCTCTGATAAAACAGACTTTAAACCAACAAAGATCAAAAGAGACAAAGAAGGCCATTGCATAATGGTAAAGGGATCAATTCAACAAGAAGAGCTAACTATCCTAAATATACATGCATCCAATACAGGAGCACCTAGATTAATAAAGCAAGTCCTTAGAGACCTACAAAGATGCTTAGACTCCCACACAATAATAATGGGAGACTTTAACACCCCACTGTCCACATTAGACAGTCCAACAAGATAGAAAGTTAACAGGGATATCCAGGACTTAAACTCAGCTCTGCACCAAGTGGACCTAATACACTTCTACAAACTCTCCACCCCAAATCAACAGAATATACATTGTTCTCAGCACCACATCGCACTTATTCCGAAATTGACCACATGGTTGGAAGTAAAGCACTCCTCAGCAAATGTAAAATAACAGAAACTATAACAAACTGTCTCTCAGACCACAGTGCAATCAAATTAGAACTCAGGATTAAGAAACTCACTCAAACTGCAGAATTCAGGATTAAGAAACTCACTCAAAACTGCACAATTACATGGAAACTGAACAACCTGCTCCTGAATGACTAATGGGTACATAATGAAATGAAGGAAGAAATAAAGATGTTCTTTGAAACCAACAAGAGCAAAGACACAACATACCAGAATCTCTGGGACACATTTAAAGCAATGTGTAGAGGGAAATTTATAGCACTAAATATGCCACAAGAGAAAGCAGGAAAGATCTAAAATCGACACCCTAACATCACAATTAGAAGAACTAGAGAAGCAAGAGAAAACACATTCAAAAGCTAGCAGAAGGCAAGAAATAACTAAGATCAGAGCAGAACTGAAGGAGATAGAGACACAAAAAACCCTTCAAAAAATCAATGAATCCAGGAGCTGGTTTTTTGAAAAGATCAACAAAATTGATAGACCGCTAGCAAGACTAATAAAGAAGAAAAGAGAGAAGAATCAAATAGATGCAATAAAAAATAATAAAGGGGATATCACCACCAATTCCACAGAAATACAAACTACCATCAGAGAATACTATAAAAACCTCTAAGCAAATAAACTGGAAAATCTGGAAGAAATGGATAAATTCCTCGACACATACACCCTCCCAAGACTAAACCAGGAAGAAGTTGAATCCCTGAATAGACCAATAACAGGCTCTGAAATTGAGGCAATAATTGATAGCCTACCAACCAAAAAAAGTCCAGGACCAGACAGATTCACAGCCGAATTCTACCAGAGGTACAAAGAGGATCTGGTACCATTCCTTCTGAAACTATTCCAATCAAAAGAAAAAGAGGGAATCCTCCCTAACTATTTTATGAGGCCAACATCATCCTGATACCAAAGCCTGGTAGAGACACAACAAAAAAAGAGAATTTTAGACCAATATCCCTGATGAACATCAATGCAAGAATCCTCAATAAAATACTGGCAAACCGAATCCAGCAGCACATCGAAAAGCTTATCTAGCACAATCAAGTTGGCTTCATCCCTGGGATGCAAGTTTGGTTCAACCTACATAAATCAATAAATGTAATCCATCATATAAACAGAATCAAAGTTAAAAACCACTTGATTATCTCAATAGACGCAGAAAAGGCCTTTGACAAAATTCAACAGCCCTTCATGCTAAAAACTCTCAATAAACTAGGTACTGATGGGATGTATCTCAAAATAGTAAGAGCTATTTATGACAAACCCACAGCCAATATCATACTGAATGGGCAAAAACTGGAAACATACCCTTCGAAAACTGGCACAAAACAGGGATGCCCTCTCTCACCACTCCTATTCAACATAGTGTTGGAAGTTCTGGCCAGGGCAATCAGGAAGGAGAAAGAAATAAAGGGTATTCAATTAGGAAAAGAGGAAGTCAAATTGTCCCTGTTTGCAGATTACATGATTGTATAGTTAGAAAACCCCATTGTCTCAGCCCAAAATCTCCCTAAGCTGATAAGCAACTTCAGCAAAGTCTCAGGATAAAAAATCAATGTGCAAAAATAACAAGCATTCCTATACACCAATAATAGACAAACAGAGAGCGAAACTATGAGTGAACTCCCATTCACAATTGCTTCAAAGAGAATAAAATACCTAGGAATCCAACTTACAAGGGATGTGAAGGAAGTCTTCAAGGAGAGCTACAAACCACTGCTCAACAAAATAAAAGAGGACCCAAACAAATGGAAGAACATTCCATGCTCATCGATAGGAAGAATCAATATCATGAAAATGGCCATACTACCCAAGGTAATTTATATAGATTCAGTGCCATCCCCATGAAGCTATCAATGACTTTCTTCACAGAACTGGAAAAAACTACTTTAAAGTTCATATGGAACCAAAAAAGAGCCCGCATTGCCAAGACAATCCTAAGCAAAAAGAGCAAAGCTGGAGGCATCACACTACCTGACTATACTATAAGGCTACAGTAATCAAAACAGCATGGTACTGCTACCAAAACAGATATATAGACCAATGGAACAGAACAGAGCCCTCAGAAATACTACCACACATCTACAACCATCTGATCTTCGACAAACCTGACAAAAACAAGCAATGGGGAAAGGATTTCCTATTTAATAAATGGTGCAGGGAAAACTGGCTAGCCATATGTAGAAAGCTGAAACTGGATCCTTTCCTTACACCTTATACAAAAATTAATTCAAGATGGATTAAAGACTTACATGTTAGACCTAAAACTGTAAAAACCCTAGAGGAAAACCTAGGCAATACCATTCAGAACATAGGCATGGGCAGGGACTTTATGACTAAAACACCAAAAGGAATGGCAACAAAAGCCAAAATTGACAAATGGGATCTAATTAAACTAAAGAGCTTCTAAACAACAAAAGAAACTACCATCAGATTGAACAGGCAACCTACAGAATGGGAGAAAATTTTTGCAATCTACCCATCTGACAAAGGGCTAATATCCAGAATCTACAAAGAACTTAAACAAATTTACAAGAAAAAATCAAACAACCCCATCAAAAAGTGGGTGAAGGATATGAACAGACACTTCTCAAAAGAAGATATTTATGCAGCCAAAAGACACATGAAAAAATGCTCATCATCACTGCCCATCAATGAAATGCAAATCAAAATCACAATGAGATACCATCCCATACCAGTTAGAATGGTGATCATTAAAAAGTCACGAAACAACAGGTCCCAGAGAGGATGTGGAGAAATAGGAATACTTTTACACTGTTGGTGGGACTGTAAACTAGTTCAACCATTGTGGAAGACAGTGTGGCAATTCCTCCAGGATCTAGAACTAGAAATACCATTTGACCCAGCCATTCCATTACTGGGTATATACCCAAAGGATTATAAATCATGCTGCTATAAAGACACATGCACACATATGTTTACTGCAGCACTATTCACAATAGCAAAGACTTGGAACCAACCCAAATGTCCATCAATGATAGACTGGATTAAGAAAATGTGGCACATATACACCATGGAATACTACGCAGCCATAAAAAAGGATGAGTTCATGTCCTTTGTAGGGACATGGATGAAGCTGGAAACCATCATTCTCAGCAAACTAACATAGGAACAGAAAACCAAACACTGCATTTTCTCACTCATAGGTGGGAACTGAACAATGAGAACACTTGGACACAGGGTGGGGAACATCACACACTGGGGCCTGTCATGGGGTGAGGGGTCAGGGGGGAGGGATAGCATTAGGAGAAATACCTATTGTAAATGATGAGTTAATGGGTGCAGCACACCAATATGGCACATGTATATATATGTAACAAACCTGCACGTTGTGCACATGTACCCTAGAACTTAAAGTATAATAATAAAAAAAAGACATTTGCTTCATAATCTAGTCCAGTTGCTCCAATCAGAAACCTTGGGGTCATCCTTGATTCACTTCTTTCTCCCACCTGCCATCCAACACATCAGCAAATCCTGTTGGTTCTATAGTGGTAATATCTCCTGGGCTACTTCTTGTCATGTAGGCTGCTGCTACCCTGATGTGAGCTACCAGCATCTCTCTCCTGGATGATTGCAATAGCTTCTGAACTATTCTCCCTACTTCCAACCTCGCAGTCTAGTTTGTTCTCTACCAGTTGCCAGAATGAACTATTAGAACATGTTAGATTATTTCCTTTTTCTGTTCAAAACCTTCCCATTGCCCCTAAGCTCACTCATAATAAAATCTAAAGTCATACAAAATGTTTCAAGGCTCTAAATGATCTGGCCCCAGTTCCCTCTCTGACTTCATCTCCACTTTCTGCTCAGCTACTCTGTTCCAACTACGTTGGCCGCCTTGCCAGTCCTCAGAGAGGTCATGCATGCCCTAACTCAGTTTCCTCTGCCTGGAATGTTCTTTAGTCAGACATCTGCATGGCTTTCTATTCGTTCCTCCAGGAACCTTATCAAGGAGGTCTTCCATTACCATCATATTTAAACACCACACCCTCTTCCCTCTGGCTCCACAACTCTTTATTTTCTCTAATTTTTTTCAATGTTTTTACTGTGATAAAATAAGCATAATATAAAATGTACCATCTTAACCATTTTAACTATATTAATTATATGTATTAAATATATTCATAATTAAGTACATTCATAATGCTGTATAAGCATCACCACCATTGATCTCTTTTCATCTTGTAAAACAGAAATTCAATGTCTATTATACAATAAGTTTCCATTACCCCTTTCCCCCAGCCCCTGGCAACTACCATTCGATTTTTTGTCCCTATGATTTTGACTACTCTAAGTACCTAAGTGGAATAATACAATATTTGTCCACTTGTGACTAGCGTTTTTTCACTTAGCATATCTGCAAAGTTCATCCCGAATGTGTCAGAAATTTTAAAGAATATGTCAGAATTTTTTCCTTTATAATACTAAAAACCCATTGTATATATATATACCACATTTTGCTTAATGCATTTATCCATTGATGGACACTTGGTTACTTCCATGTTTTAGCTATAATGAATGATGCTGTCATGAACATGAGTTTACAAGTATTGCTTCAAGATCCTGGTTTCAATTCTTTTAAGCATCCAGAAATAGAATTTCTGGATCACAGGGGTATTCTCTATTTAATATTTTGAGAAACCATCATACTATTTCCCCAATGGCTGTACCATTTTACACTCCTACCAACAGTGCACAAAAGTTTCCAGTTAATCCATATCTTCACAAACACTTGTTCTCTGTTTGTGTGTGTGTGTGATGGTAACCATTCTAATGGGTGTAAAATGTATCTCATTGTAGTTTTTATTTGCAGTTCCCTAAAGATTAGTGATACTGAGCATCTTTTAATACAATTTTTGCCATTTGTATATGTTATTTGGAGAAATATCTATTCAACTTCTTGGCCCATTTTCGAGTTGGTTTTTTGGTTGCTGAGTTTTAGGAGTTCTTTATATCTCAGATTTATTTTTATTAACGGTACTTATCACATCCTAAAATGTATTTATTCATGTTTTTATATTCTCATTTTTCATCTCCTCCAAATCCCCTACAATAAATGTAAATTACGTGAAAGCAGAACTTTGAGGGGGAGCAATATAGTATTTTTAACATGGTTTGTTTGTTTCTAAAACTTCACAAGCAGATAGTGTCAGCCTGCTCAAAATCCTATATTGATTATTGCAAATTGTAAGCTCCAGGATGGCAGGTCTTCTTTGTCTGACTTTATCTCCCTCTGTCACCACTGCCTAGTGCAGTGCCTGCTAAATGGCATATATACAATAAGCAATAAGCCTTTTTCTTTAACATCTTTGTTAGATTTAAGTACCTAATTCATGTAAGTGTAATATTCAATGATTTTTAAATCGGATTTATAGAGGTGTGCAATAAGCACCACAATCTAGTTTTATAACATCTCCCAACCTCCAAAAAGTACACTCATGCTCATTCTCAGTTCATTCCCACCACCATCCTCAGGGCCCAAGCAGTTACTGGTCTGCTTCCTGTCTCTATAAATTTACCTTTTCTGAAGATTTCATATATATGGAAGCATACAATATGTAGTTATTTACATATGGCTTCTTTCAGTCAGCATAATATTTGTGAGGTTCATCCATGTTGTAGCATAAATCAGTAGGGTTTTTTCCTTTTTATTGCAGAGTAGTACTCCATTACATGGATATACCATTTTTAAAAAATCTATTTACTGCTTGATAGACATTTGGATTGTTTCCATTTTTTGGCTGTGAACATTCATGTACATAACTTTGTGTGGACATGTGTTTTTATTTTCTAAAAGAGATTCCTAGCAGTAAAATTGCTGAGTCATATATATTTGTTACTAACTTTTTAAGAAACTGCCACACTGTTTTCCAAAGTGTCTGTACCACTTGATATTTCCAACAAATTTGCATGATGATTCCAGGTTCTCCACTTGATTATCAACACTTGGAATTGTCTTTGTGTTTATAGCCACTTTAATGAGTGTATAGAGGTATATCATTATGATTTTAATTTGCATTTCCCTTACAACTCACATAGTTAAATCTATTTTATGCACCATGATTGGCAATTTGAATATTCTCTTTAGTAAAGTGTCTACTCAAATCTTTTGCTCATTTAAATTTTATTTTTGAGTATAAAACTCTTTATATAGTCTAGATACAAGTTCTTTATCAAAAATATGACTGGCAAATGTTTTCTCCCTATGAAGAACTTGTTTTTCCATTGGCTTAGTGATATTTTTTGTAACACAAACATTTTACATTTTGATAAGGTTCAATTTGTCTGTTTTTTTATGCACCATGTTTTTGGGGTCATTCATTAGGAACTTTTCATCTACTCAAGATCACAAAGACTTTTTTCAATCATTTTCTTCAAGAATTTGTATAGTTTTATTTTTTGCATTTATTTTCTTCAAGAATTTGTATAGTTTTATTTTATTGACCAAACTTTTGCAGTTTGGTCAATAAAATGCAAATACAGTATTTTGATTGCATTTTGATTCAACTGTTATGTATGGTGTGAGGTATAGCTCTAAGTTCAGTTTTTTTTTCACATGAGCATACAATTGTTCCAGCACCATTGTTGAAGACACTATTCTATCCCCATTGATTGTCTTGCCATATTTGTTGAAAATCACTCATCCTTTAACGAAATGTTTGGTTTCTAAACTCTCGATTCTGTGCCATTTATCTATTGAAGTGTATATTCTTTTACAATAGTTTTATATTTCACCACATTGTGTTTTCTACTTTTATGTTATAGTAAATTTTGAAATCAGGTAAAGTAATCCTCCAACTTTGTTCTTTTTCAAAAGTTCTTTTGGCTCTCCATATCCTTTGCATTTTTATGTAAATTTTAGAAAAATGTTATCAATTTGTACAAAAATGCCTGCTGATATTTTGATAGGGATTGCATTGATTTTATTGTACTAATTGGGGGTGAACTATCATCTGCTGTAGTTGAATATTTGTCCCCCCCGCCAAACCTCATGCTGAAATGTGATACTTAATGTTGGTGATGGGGCCTAATAGGAGGTGTTTGTGTCATGGAGGCAGATTCTTCATGAATGGCTTGGTGCTGTCCTTGCAGTTATGAGGAAGTTCTCACTTTATTAGTTCCCACAAGAGCTAACTGGCTGTTAAAAAGAGCCTGGCACCTCCCCACATTCTCTATTGCTTCCTCTCTTGACATGTGATCTCTGCACACACTGGCTCCCTTTTCCCTTCTGCCATGAGTGGAAGCAGCTTAAAGATTTTATCAGCTGCCTAATCTTCCAGCCAGCAGAATAATGAGACAAATAAACCTCTTTTCTTTAGAAATTATCCAGCCTCAGGTATTCCTTCATAGAAACACTAAAGGACTAAGGCACCATCTTACTCATATTAAATTTTTGATACTATTAGAAATCAAATATTTTATTGATCTTATTTCATATAATTTATTGCTACCGTATAGAAATACAATTAATTTTGTATACTGATAACTCCTATATTAATTCTAGTATTTTCTGTGAATTTCATGGGAATGTCCACATTCAGTATATGTCATCTGCTTGAAAAGATGTATATTCTGCTATCAGTGGGTAGACTGTTCTTTTAAAACAGAGGTTGGGTTGGCTAAAAGTGTAGGACAAGTCTCCTATATGTTTGATAAACTTTTGTCTGGTTGTTCTATTGATTTTTAAAAGCATAGTATTGAAATCTTCAATTGTTATTGTAAAATTATCATTTTCCCTTTCAATTCTGGCTGGTTTTGCTTTCTTTATTTTGAAATTCTGTTGTTAGGTGTATATATTTATAATTGTTATATTTTCCTGATGTATTGACACTTCTAGCATTATAAAATGACCTTCTGTGTCTCCAGTGATATATCTTATGTTAAATTCAATTTTGTCTGATGTTAGTATGACCACTGCAGCTCTTTTTTATGCCTGGTATATCGTTTTCCATCCTTTGCTTCTAACCTATTTTTGTCTTTGAATCTAAAGTGTATTCCTTATAGTTAAAATACAGTTGGATGTTGCTTTTCGATCCATTCTGACAGTCATTGCCTTTTGATCAAGGTGTTTAGGCTTTTCACATTAATAAAATTATTGATATAGTTGGATTTATATTTGCCACTCTGCTTTTTGTTTTCTATATGTCTCCTATATTTTTAGCCCTCTGTTGCTTTTAATTACTTTGGTGTTAAAAAATGTACCATTTTAATTCCTCTTTTGATTTTTTTTTGTTATAATTGTATTAGTGGCCGATCTGATCTGAGGATTAACATATACATAATAATTTATAACACAAACTTCATAAATTAATACTAACTTAATTCTGGTAAAATATAGAAAATTTAATAAAGCTTCTCTCCTTCTCTCTTTGTACTTTAATTGCCATATATATTACATCTGAATATGTTCTAAACCTAACCCTGCAGTGCTATACTTATTGCCTTCTATCACCATGATAGTTCCTTTAGGCTAGTAGAGATGTAGGCCCTCCCACTGCCTATATTGTCACTTTTGCCATGCTTGGTGTAGGCATTGCTCACCATTCCACATCAAGTGATACCCCTTCAGCTGTGGCAGTGAAGCTGCACATTTTCCTGGCCCACCTGGCCCTTCCAGACCCTCCTTGCAGACTGAGCTGGAGGGTGGGTGGGGTGGAATGGAGCAGGTCCACGCAAGAACATCACTGGCTCCCATTGTTCTTACTTAAACTTCTTATTTGAAGGTTTTTAAGCATGAAGGATTCTCTGATTCTTTTATGCTTTTGTTTGAGTCCTAGAAACAGATTTTTAATCCATTTTATCTAGGTGTGTAGTTAATTTGGGAAGAGAGTTTGCTGACCTCCTCACTCAGCCATGTATGTAAATTTTAACCCCAAGTAAGCTTTAAGTTCTAGGAGACAGCTACCATATTTTCTACTGCTTTTGCACTCATTCAATGAGGTGAATTGCTTTCCCTATCACATAATGTCCTGAAATTGAAAGGATTTATTACAGTACTTCAGTAACATTGGAGACCATATTGCTTGGAGACATAGCGGAATCCCAAAATGAGCATTGTCAGCATTTCCATATTTGAAAAGAAAGAAATGTCTGACATACTTCACTGACCAAGGTAGTGCAAGGTCCAAATAAGAAAAGGCACGGTTACTAGTGTCCCAGAATTTGCCTCCTCCAAACACAGAAAGAAGGAAAATAAGCTTAAATCCCTACAAAATGGAATTTGGTTAGTTTTATGAGAACCTCCACAAGGCAGAGAACATAGGAATATTTTTCTAACGCCTGTTGAAGAAAATTTATCTAAGGCAACATTTAAGAAATAGGACTATAATTATTTTTCTGTCATGCTTTCTATTGAGACATTTCTGAGGCTTGGGAATGGGCTAGAGGGCCTTTCAAAAGTCCCTTCTAAGAATCTTCAAATCTTGATTTATGAATCCCCCTACCACATCTATATCCATTGAGATATTTTCTAAGTTAAAGCACAGAAGATTTATCAGTCTTCAACATACAAGAACCTCACACATTTATCTCTCAAGTGTCATGATGGTGGACTTTCACAAGGCCTAAAAGCTTTCCACAGACTTTGAATTGTGCTTTTATTTTTATACCTTTCCTATATTGAAAAACAAATAATAGAAAGAAAAAGCTAACTCTGTAAGGGAGGGAATACAGCTGATACCCAGTTTGGGCCACCTAGAATGCATCAGAATTAATGATAACTTGGTCTGACAGCATCCTTACCACAAGAGATGAAGTCACCCTAGGAAGTGTTGTAGGGGAAAATAAAATCAACAGAGTGAAAAAGAAAAAAAAAACTATAAAGTCTGAAATATATGTTGTCCAAGTATTTTCCCTCCATTAATTTTGGAAGCCCTTGAGTGTTTTCAGGGAAATTTAATCTGCATGTTTCTGAACCATTTACACTTAACTCACCACAATGTTGCTCTGTAACAGTCATTTGTTGTCCAAGAAACGCTCTGAACCTTGTTCATAAAGATTTTTATTAAAGCAATTGTTTTCTTTTCCCTTAAAATGAAATTATGCTTTTCTGAATTGAAGGGAACATTGAAATGAACCCTAAACTCAAAACTTGTGTGGCACAAATAATAGATCCACTTTTGATCAAAGTGTGTCACCATTCAGATTTCCAACCCAAGGTACTTTGGTTTTGGCAGCATCACAATTAAAGGTTCAGTTGAAAAGACACAGGTTTATTACTCCTTGGATAGCTAAAGTGAGCCCTCTCAGGCCTCTTTTAAAAGCAAGACTTTTAATGAACTTGGCCTGTCTAATAATCAGCTCTGCTTTAGACCCAACTGGAATGAAGCTCTGAACCAGAGTGTGAGAAGTGAGACAATGGAAGTAGCAGAGATGATTCATGATGTTAAGGACTTTATAGTCCAAGGGACTAAACAATAAAATGAAGGCAAACATTGCTCCTACCTCATAGGATTGCAGTAGAGATTAAATGAGATTATCGTATAAGGTGTTTAGCATTTCCAAGAACATAGTAAGACCTCAATATATTTTAACTCCAATAATAATTTATCTTTACAAGTGTTTGTATTGACAATCAGACTCTAAACCAGGCACCTCTAGACAATACACTTAAATAAGACCACTCGACAAGAATGCTCACTCATGCATTTACTCATTCGCCAGCTCCAAAAACCCTTGTGAGAATGAATGACTCCTAGTTCAAAAAGTATTTTTGTACTGAATTTCATGTCATGATTGAAAGCCTAGCTAGAATACTACCATGAGAAAAGCCATTATTGCATTATAAGAATCCGAATGAGTCTGGCTCATGAATCAGCTGATTTAATGTGTACTATATATCAAAAGATTTTGTGAATTTGTTTTGTGTCGTTTAATCTTTAATACCAATGAAGAGTATTTGAAGAGCCCTTTGTTAAATCAGCTACAGAACTTTAATGTATTTTACTCTTATTATATTTGTGATGGTTAGTTTTATGTATCAATTTGGCTAGAGAATAGCTTAGAGTTACCTAATCAAATGCTAATGTAGGTGCTGCCATGAAAGTATTTTGTAGATAGAACAGCTACAATTATAGGTTGGTGCGAAAGTAATTGCGGTTTTTGCCATTGAAAGTCATGGCAGATAACCTAATAATAGTTAACTTTAAGTGAAGACTACCTTCAATAATGTGAGTGGACCTCATCCAATCAGTTTAGAGTCTTAAGAACAATTACTGAGGTTTCTTAGAGAAAAATATATTCTGCCTCAAGACTCCAACAATTCCTGTCCCTGTGTCCAGCCCTCAGACGTGCCAGCTCCCACAATCTGATACAATATCTATTGATCTTTTAAAATGCTAACATTTTTAAAAATCAGAGTAAAGGCACGATCTGGAAAGTAATAAGCTGTTTTGTCTAGTAATTTCTGTAGTAACCTAAATTGTTTCACTTGCCCTCTGGAGGAAGTAGCATTGTCTTTGCTGCCTGCCTATCACCCTTGTGACTTAAGGGTGTACAGGTTTGCCTACCTTACTTGTTGCACAGTGTTACCAGGTAGAGCATGATACATCACTTATTCAACCAATGAACGTTTATTGAAGGTCTACTCTGTACCATGTACTCATCTATACACTGTGGGTTATGGTGGGGGAAGGCAAGGAGGAGGTGGGACAATGAGTCAACAAATAACTAAATAAAATATATATAAAATGATGGTAAGTCCTTTGGTGAGAAACAAATTAGGAGAAAAGATAGGTAATGCTAGAGGAAGGGTATAATTTTAAATAGGTTGGTCAGTGAAGGCATTCCTAAAAATATGACCTTTGAGCAAAGCCAAGGTGTCAATTATGCTATTTAATATTGGTAAATATTTATATTTTAAAATAACAGAAGAACCGGATTCAAAATGGCTTGAGCAATAAGAAAGCTATGTTTTCACATAATAGTAATAATGGCCAGGTGCGGTGGCTCATGCCTGTAATCCCAGCACTGTGGGAGGCCAAGGCGGGCAGATCACGAGATCAGGAGATCAAGACCATCCTGGCTAACATGGTTAAACCCCATCTTTACTAAAAGTACAAAAAATTAGCTGGATGTGGTGGCACGCGCTTGTAGTCCCAGCTACTCGGGAGGCTGAGGCAGGAGAATCACTTGAACCTGGGAGGCGGAGATTGCAGTGAGCCAAGATCACGCCACTGCACTCCAGCCTGGGTGACAGAATGAGACTCTCTCAAAAAAAAATAGGAATAATAAGAATAGCTAACATTTATTGAGTGTCTACTATATGCCAACCACTCTTCTAAGCACTTTGCATATATTAATTCACAACAGCCAGCTAAGCTAGGTCTATTCACTAACGGGGTGACCAAGATTCAGAGAAATTAAGAATTTTCCAAAAGTTATGGAATCGATATATGGCATAGCTCTGCAAGCTTGTCCTCAGCTCAGATTCTCACTCATCAGGAGGAAGACGAGTTCCAGGTACAAAGGATCAAGGCTCTGTCTAATGTCTTCAGTATCTCTCCTACCTGGTATTGCTTTCATCTTTAGATGTAGTGAGGTGTCTACAGTATTTCCATGGGCCACACCTAGATACAAAAAAGGAGATCTTTCTTCTCTTCCTGAGAAGAAGGTAGTGTTCCCAGGAGACACCAGCATACTCCCCTCCACAGAGCAAAGGCTAGCAGTGGGTCACAAGCCCATCCCTAAACCAACCACTACAAAGAGGAATGAAATTAACAGGTTCGGGTCAAAGTAATTCCTTGGAGGAGAGGATGGGATGTTGGGGATTCAAACACAAAGACTACTCCAGTGTTGTAATAAGGGTGTGTTTATGATGTTCTCATCAGCCAGGCCCAGTAAGAGAGGAGAGTAGGCACCAAACCTTTCATAGCTGGAGTGCATGGCTGTATGTAACTGTCCTAGGAGAATCTAAATATTTCATTCACTTGATCCTGTTAGCAGATCTCGACATGAATCCAAGGGTAGGCAGAAGATATGGTCACATAGAAAAGACCACAGCTCCCCTTTGGGACACACCCTGCAAATTCTGTTTTTCATCCTCAAGATTTCAGTGTTGAGCCATTTTAGAGTATATGCTTTTTCCCTACATCACCAGGGATATTGACTGAAAGGAAGGCTGTTCATTTGTTTTGACCTTGTACTTCAAAGTGACTGAATCTCTTACGAGATTTTTTTCAAAAGCTTTTAGTCTCACTAAAGACCATCAAGAGATTGTTGGCTATATGCTAAAAGTAAGAGCATAGAAAAGCCAGTGGGCATATTTCTGAAGCCAAAATTGGGTGAAAAAGCAGAAAATACTCAACTGGAAATTGCTTTGAAATTTATCTAAAGATAATGCATAATCATTTTAACAATACCTTATTTTATAGGCTGTGCTTGATAATGTTTATCTGCTCCATTATAAATCCAACCAGTTAAAATGCCTGATTGCCCATCCAATTTCATTTGATATCAAACATGATAGGGAGCTTTTCATTATCAAACAGACTTGGGTTTTAGCCCTGTTCAGCATTTGTCTCCAATCAAACTTACTACCTCCCTTCTCAGTCTGGCATGGGAGTACAAGTATTACAAATATCTATATTGTCCCAGCACCCTATAATGGTATTACAATGACAATTTTATTAGGTCCATAAAAATTTTGCAACTTCCCTGCAGCACACTGTAATTTCACCAACAGTTGTTAAAGGCTTTAAATTATTTTTGTGCAAAATTGAGATGAATGAATGGGCTTGAGCATTAATGCATTTCTCATTGTGTAATGGGGACTTTTTCTTCCCTCTCTCTTTGCCAAGTGCAGAGAAAAAGCTATCCCATTCAACTATTTGTCAACTCCCATTAGAAACATTTAATATGAATAAAAGTTATGGATTCAGTTTCCAAAGGATACTGCCAGAAGATTTCAAGATTACTACATCAGTACTTAAATACAACCATTGTTCACCTTATAAAAATCTATATGTGGCCTGACAGGTATAAAATGTAGCTTTGTATGCTGAGTCAGCATGAGAGACTTTTTTGGTTGAAGTGGAGTTCAAGAAATAAAAAGTAAATTTGTTCTCAAGTCAGTGAGGAAAGATTTATCTGAAAACATTCCCCCAATAAATACGAAACTGACAGACTGTGATGCGATACGCACATTCTCGACAGAAAAAAAAAATAAAGCATGATTCAATCTACTCCATAGGTAAGAAATAGGTGAATTCATTTTAAAAGTTTTATGTACACAAACTCATAAATGTAAGTATGATCATATGAATTTTGGACTACCTTTCAAAGAGGAATATTGCCCAACATATCCTTTGAGTTGTATTTCTAGAAGTAGTGATGGGTTTGCCTCTACCCATATTCACACACAGTCATCACTGGGACCTGATTCTTCAGGCCACAACTAGTTGTTCAAACTCCCCACATATATAGCATCACTTCCTGATTTGTGCCATAGTTATTTGTGCACATCTTCTCATTCCTACAAAAAAGCTTATTTTTTGTGGCCTTTATCTTTATCTAAGCCCATATTGCCTTGCAAACATTAGCTGTTTATCATGTATTTGCTGAATTGGCAAATAAAAAAAGATGAATGAACAAGGTGTCTGTCACACAGAGATATGTAACCTATAACCTGTGGAACTAACTAGTTTATTAAAAAATCGTATCATGTCACTAGAGAAAGGAAATCAACGCCACAATGAGGTACTATCTCACACCAGTCAGAATGGCTATTACTAAAAAGTCAAAAAATAACAGTTGCTGATGAGGATGCAGAGAAAAATAACATTTATATACTGTTGGTGGGAGTCTAAATTAGTTCTCAACCATTGTGGAAGACAGTGTGATGATTCCTCAAAGACCTAAAAACAGAAATACTATCTGATTCAGCAATCCCATTACTGGGTATTTACCCCAAGGAATATGAATTGTTCTATCATAAAGACACATGCATGCAAATGTTCACTGCAGCACTATTCACAATAGCAAAGACATGGAATCAACCTAAATGCCCATCAATGGTAGACTGGATAAAGAAAATGTAGTACATATACACCATGGAATACTATACAGACATAAAAAAGAACAAGATCATGACCTTTGCAAGAACATGGATGGAGCTGGAGACCATTATCCTAAGCAAACTAATGCAAGGACAGAAAACCAAATACCACATGTTCTCATTCATAAGTGAGGGCTAAATGATGAGAACGCATGGACACAGAGGGGAACACCACACACTGGGGCCTATCAGAGGATGGAGGATAGGAGGAGGGAGACGATCGGGAAAAATAACTAATGGGCACTGGGCTTAATACCTAGGTGATGCCCTAATGTGTACAACAAACCCCCATGACACAAGTTTACCCATATAACAAACCTGCACATGTACCCTTGAACTTAAAAGTAAAAAAAAAAATAAGAGAAATTACATCATGAAAGTAGAGAATTTACAACTGTGACATCATGATAAATATTAGTAGGTATTAAGCTAAATGGTAAGGGCATAGAGATGTATAAGACAAGGGTCTTTAAACTGGAATGTGTGTACCCCTGGAAATACACACTTTCCAAGGAACACATGGCACGGGTAGTTTTTAGAGAATACATTTTCTGATCTTCAACTTCCATACTTGACCTTTATTTGCTTGGGAAATGCCTGGGCTTCAGATTTTCTGTTGATTCTCCCTTCTTCCAATTTACAAAAGACAGACATCCTGAACCTGATGCTGGTGCATTTTCCTGAGGTGTAACCCCAGCCCCACCCCATGGCTGGCAAAGAGACCATTTGAAATATTGGTGTTGATGAAAGCTTCTATGCTCATGATGGATACCACACACCAGTGAGAGGGCTTTTTGTGTTTCTTTATATTATGCATAGATTTGTAAAAGCAAAGTGTGGCACTAGAAACAAGGTACTATAAGTCTATGTTAAATGTACAACTGTTGAGGCAAAATCCTGTGATGGCAAAGCAAAGAGAATGCTGATAAGAATACACACACACTACATATATAGCATCTGCACTTTTGTATATACATATCCAGGTGCAAACCCATGGAAGGTTTCATTCCCTTATCTATTTACCTTACTATTGGAATTTGGAAGTGAAATTTTCAAAGGGAAGTGAACTAACAAGTTTATTTGAATTGAAATATGAAGTTTGGCTTTCTTACAGAAAGTAAATCTGATTTGGAGACTGCATCTGATAATGAGGACTGACTTTGCCAATTGATTCTACAGAATACGTTTTTCACAAATTAATAAAACTACATATTATGCTCAAAGGCCTTGATAAAAATATATTTACAATTATGATAAGATAAAATGGCTTTGTTTAAAAATGTTCTTTGAAGGAAAAAGTTACCATTTAAATTCACATTATTTTTATTCCTCTAACACCTTCTAAACATGTTAGGTTAAGCAAGATTCCTGTAAGGGAAAGAACAATAGGCATAAATAATTGTCATTTTCTAGGTCTTGTTAAAACTTTTTTTGAGAGAGATATACTTCCACAAAACTAAGAAAGTAAAGACTTGTAACTGAATTTCCATCTGATTATTAAAAATAATTTTTGATGACACATCTTCTATTTAATTTTTAGCATTTAATTCAAAAGGAGTTACTTCCCATCTAATTTAACATGTGAACAAGATGTCTCAGTGCTACATCTTTTGAAATGAAAAATGGAAGTAAAACTGATATTGAACTTTGTTTCATTCTGGCAATAAAGAGAACAAATTAAAGATTTTAAAGTATCTCCTTAAAAATGTACTTCCCATGAAATTGCATGTTATTGTATAAAAATAAATATACATAATAATGTAATTATATGGAGTTATGTTGTTTGATTGATTATGCACTAATGATTTTGATGACTGAATGATAACTCAATCCGGTAGAAATTGTTTCCAACATTGAACCTAATGGTCATAGAAAATTTAAGACTTCAAAAATTTTAAATGTGTATCATTGCCAAGAAGAATGATAGAGTACTCAATAAATGACTTTCAGTTCTTAAATTAGGACAAAATGTGAGGGAAGTAGAATGAAAATATAAGTTCAAGACAAAAAAATGAAACTGTAAAACTTTCAACCTGTAAAAGGGTTATTTATGTATTTTTAAATAGATGGTGGTGGTATCAAATTGCTGTGGTATATAACATTTCATTGGATATATTTAAAAAGTGATGTAATAATTTAATTTTAAATTGCCAATACTTGCAACAAATAAAACATTTCCTTAGGATTGCTCAATTTCTTATGCAAAATTTTAGATATCAATATAAAAATGGGCAAAGAGGCCCTGTTTTTCAACATTCTCTAAAAATGTCTAGGTAAATAGGTTTGAAGTCCACTAATTTCAAGGCAGTCCCTTTGCTCAGAAAATACCCAATCTAGTGTATGAGAGAGAAAACATAGTTACAAAACTCAATTCATAATAAATACACTCAGCATTCTAGGTTTAATTCTTTTGGGTACTAAAAGTGTAAATCAGATAATTAAATTTGGGTTATCCATTCAACACTTTACTCATCCTCCTCTGGGCCAGGCTCTATGCCAGATGCTGGGGATGCAAAGGTTAACCTGACAAGGACATTACCCTAGTAGAGCTCCTTAGTCTGATGGGTGAGCTCCTTAGTACAGAACAAACTGACCAGGAAATGGCCTAAGAATTTAAGCTATGTGAGTGGACTTGAAGGATTGCTATAATATGGATTCTTTCTGAGCAGTGCTTTCTTTCTTAAAAAGACGGTGAGATTTGTACCATGTGCCACATTCATAGTAGCATTATTCACAATAGTCAAAAGGTAGAAACAAGCTAGATGTCCATCGATGAATGATTGGCTAAACAAAATGAGGTACATACATGCAATGGAATATGGCTCAGCCTTAAGAGAAAGAAAATTCTGACACATGCTACTAAATGGATGAACCTTGAGGATATTATGCTCGGTGAAATAAGCCAGTCACAAATAAACAAAAAATGTATAATTCCACTTACATGAAGTACTCAGAGTAGTCAAATTCATACAGACAGAAAGTTGGTAATTACCAGGGGCTGGAGGGGGTGAGAAATGGGAAGTTATTGCTTAATGGGTAAAGAGTTTCAGTTCGAGCAGATTAGTTCTGGAGATGGATGGTGGCGATAGGTGCACAACATTGTAAATGTACTTAATGCCGCTACTTAAAATGTTGTGCCCCAGCACTTTGGGAGGCCGAGGTGGGTGGATCATGAGGTCAAGAGATCGAGAACATCCTGGCCAACATGGTGAAACCCCGTCTCTACTAAAAATACAAAAAGTAGCTGGGCGTGGTGGGGCGTGCCTGTAGTCCCAGCTGCTCCGGAGGCTGAGACAGGAGAATCACTTGAACCCGGGAGGTGGAGCTTGCAGTGAGCCGAGATCGCGCTACTCCACTCCAGCCTGGCGACAGAGCAAAACTCCATCTCAAAAAAACCCCCCATAGAACAGAACTTATGTTATGCATACTTTACCCCAATTAAAAAAATGATGGTAAAAGTGAACTGAGTGGTTATTTATTTTTTTCAAAATATATTTACTAAGACCCTACTACCAGTACACAAAGAATAAAATAGGATTCCTGCCATCCAGGATTCCTTAGTCTGGTCCTGTTTATGTGTAAGTCCAGAATCTACAGCCAAGGCGTGTGAATCTTTAACAGGGGAGCAAACACATAAATCAAGTCCCTGACCTAAGCCTGAGACCATCTTCTGCAGTCTGATTATTCACTTTCGGCAAATTAACTAAAGCACTAATAAATGCAAACTATATGGCAAGGTGTTTTTATCCACCTGTAATTTTTTTTGAAAGAAGAAATTAATCGGACAACTAGAATTCTTCAGAATAATACCTGTAGCTTCAGCTACATGATAGAATTCAATAAGTTGTCTATAAAATAAAATGGTCAGTAATTGCACTCACATCAACTTTCCTAAAAACCATGACTAGCGTCAAGCCAAAAATAAAACATAAAAAATTAGTCCCTGTTTAACTTAGATCAAATGAGCTGGAGAGCTGCCAAATCTTGCTTTGTTTTATGCTCTATGGAGACAGCCTAAGTCCCTCAGTCCCTCATCTTTTCAACATTTGTGGGAAGTAGTTCACTCATGAGAATAATTCTCCCCACATAGAAGGAGGGAAAACAGTTCTGTTCTTTGCACCAGATCATAGCACAAATTATTTAAAATGCGGTAATAAGAAAATCCTATCCAATTACCTTTTTAAATTAAAAAACGGCCATCAAATGTTATTACAGAAAGTGGCCTCAGAGAAAATCAACGCTTCCAAATAACAAAGAGGGAAACAGAGGCCAAGGAAAAGTAAATAACATCTTTAAGGAACCAGAAATGCAGAAACACAGATGATTTTTAAAATCAGTCTTCTGGTGCCCAGTTCTGTGCTTTCACAACTTCTTCCTTTTGAATCTAAGGGGTAAAAAGCAGAAAACTCATCCTAACCAGTTCCTTAAAATCATGTAGTGTAAAGCAAGTTACTCACTGCTGATTTCAGTTGGTGGTTGGTTTGGTTTAGTACATTAACTAGCAACAGCAACTCAGCCCAGAGTCAAAATGGCAATTCCTTTCAATTGCCATGTGCATGATGAGAAAAATCAAGAAAGACAGCAGCTAGCAAAGACCATTTCCAGTGTTTCAGAGGCCTTTTCCAGCGCAGGACTCTCTCCTGATACCAGTATATTGCCCATCTGTGCTCAGGCTTACCGGTTCTCCCAGTAAGGGTGGTCAGCCACAGAAGAGCCTATGGAATCCAAACAGTGACTCAGATATAAGGAAGAGGAGAAAGACCAGGTGGAAAAGACTGGCAACATCCCACAAATCTGCACAAGCTAGAAAAAGCAGGGAGAGAAACCTAACTTCCACAACATATTGGAGACAGAGGAAGACAGGTCCAGATTTTCTACATGTCCTCCCAACCTAAATCCCACTTGCCAACTTGAGTTATAAAAATAGACTTCAGGATAATGGGGCCTTGTAGCTGGGAGAACAGGGAGGTGCAGCTGACCAAGTTTAGAAATAATAAAGACTCACGGTAAGTTTTTTTCTATTTTTTTTATTATCAATGACTTACTCTAATACTTTTTTTTCCTTCTCAATATTCTCCACAGTAAATCAGATCCCATGTGACCTTCCTTTCTCCTGCTGTAATTTATAGGGAGGCAGTATAACAAGAAAAATAAATGATACTGATTCAGAGTCCAAAGGACCCAATAGGATCACATTTCCAGGCAATAGTTGTGAATAGCGTTTATCCAACCATGTACTTTTTTCCAGTGGCTGATGTGTATGTGTGTGTGCGTGTGTGTGTGTGTGTGTGTGTGTGTGTGTGTAAGCACAGGTCAAGCAAAGAGAGGGTAGAAATAGAATATTAAAGTGAATAATAATTTTAGTTCTCTGAAAAGTCTTTTATGCTATATATAAATGAGATAAATCTCACAAAGTTTACTTAGGTCTCAGGAAGGAGAAGAAGGGGAGAAAACATGAAAAGAGAAAGAAAGAGAGAAGGAAGGAAGGAAGGGAGGGAGGGAGGGAAAGGAGAGAAGAGAAGAGAAAGAAAGAAGGGAGGAAAAGAGAAAAAGAAAAAAGGAAAAGAGAAAGACTCATACTTAGGTGAATACTACTTGTGAGAAAAACAAAGCAGAGGCCCAATGCTGGGGAGTAAACGCGTTTCCACATGTGAATGCCAATATATTATTGACTTACTCTGAGTCATAAATATGCCAATTTGCCTCATTTCATAGTGAGGTCAGGCTCAGCCCAAATAAGCAGCCATCCTCCTCTGCTTACTTAATGTTCCTAAATATGAGCTTTCCCCAAAGCTCTCCGCGCATATAATATAACGCCATGTGCATGTGCGGTGGGGAGGAGGGATCGGAGAGGTGACAGAAAGCAAGCTGTGAACACAAAGATACTTTTAAGCTGAATACTTGTACATGATATATAGAACAGAGGATCGTCCATCATGGTTATTGAAACTGTGACCAGCAAAGCTATAAACCTGACACGAAAGAAGAGAAAATATGACTTGTTAGGTTGAAAAAGCACCAAAGAGGGAATTATAAAAGGGAAAATTTCATGACAAATTAGTTTGTATTTTTTGTTTTCATTTCTGACACATGGAAGGAAATGCTATATGTTTGCTTAAGGAAGTGAAAATTTCTCCACTTCATCCATTTAAAATCCTCACCCTTAGGCCTTTTGTATTGAAGCATAAAGTTTGGAGACCTTAAATAGTCATAATGTTTCCCTAAAGAATTTGGCCTCAGAAACATATTACAATTCAGAAGGGCTAAAAAGGAAAACCATTACAGCAATCTGGCGGTGTCTGCTTAAGAGTGTTCATAAGAAGCATCAATTTATTCCCATGGCTTCTTTACCATATTTGATGAAATATTAGATACAATTGGAACAAGCGGCTCAAACAAGAAAGTCATAAACTTGGAAAGAGTGTTGTAAAACCAAAGTGTGTTAACGTGAAATAAGTTTCAGATTGGAAAAAAATGCCCCATGGCTTGCTCATAGAAGAGGCATACAACGGACTGAAAAGTCACAGATGTTGAGGGCCAATGTGGTCTTTTCATACACATTCCCCTTCTGGGAACTAAGATTTGGAGCTGATTAACAACAATTTCCCAGCTCTGGGGAGCAGGTAAAGCAGAGCAAATAAAAGAAGAAAGCTCAAGTTCAAGAGAAAATACTGAAAATCCCCTATTTTAATGCACTCTGCAATTTTTACATGTGTAGGGGGAGCTGAGGGAGTGAGAGAAGACAAGATGAAGACAAAGAAATTCCTCCAAATGCATCATATTAGTAGTTGCAATAATAATACACCTCACTAGTAGAATAAGTCTTTCCATTATAATTTTAATTTTTAAAGATGTTAATTCTCCCTAAATTATCTACAAAAATTTATAGAATATTGTGATTTCTATTAAAACTCAACAAAATGTTTTTGGCTTGAAAAGTAATTTGAAAATTTAGATGAAAGAATAAGTGAGCTGAAATAGGAAAATTCTGAAAAGAAAGATTTGTGGGGCAGGAAGTACTTATTCTAATAGATAATACAATTAATTATATAAAATATTTATAATTGAAACATTTTAATTCTAACACAGGAATGGAAATAAACATGAAAACAGGACAAATTATGTGTAAATTTAGTATATATAAAAGATTAGATTTAAAATCAGTGCAAAAAAGACTGTGTGCTTAAAATAATGTTGAACTAATCTTTTAGTAATTTGGAAAATAAATTAAGCTATATCTCAAGTCACTCCTGATTTCAATATAAATCTTAAATGAATTCAACATTTAAGTGAAAGAAAAATGCAAACCTAAAAGTACTAGGAAAATTTGGGTGAGTACTCTTTTAATTTCTGGATGGAGAGAACTATTCTAAATATGGCAGAAAATTCAGAAACCACAAAACATAATGCAATTTTGCTGCATGAACAGAAGATGAATGTTATTGCGAAAAAAAATCAGCAAAGTCAAAATGCCAAAGACAAACTGGGAAATCCATAGACTATTATATTTTACATTTATATTAGAAGATGTATTTGTATGAATAAATTAAGGTATTTAAGTTAATATACCTAATATACAAAGAACCTTCATAAATCAAGAAAAGGACAACCTCCCGTAGAAAAATGTATGAAGAATATGTACAGGCAATTCACAGAAGAAATTTAAATAGCCAATATAATTAAGAAACATTTAATCTCACTCTAAATAAATGCAAATAAAATGGCAGGGAGACATTACTTTTTTTTAACCAATAAAATGAACTGTGCATTTTGAAATAATTAGCAGATCATTGAGAATCTACCAGCTAATTCTTGAAATTACTTCTCAACACTTTTATAGCTACCAACAAGTCCAAAAACTCTCCTCCAGGCTCCTGCAATAGCCTCAGAAGTGGCAGCGCCTCCCTTGCACTGCTGTAGTCAGTTCCTACAAGGTATCACTTTCAAACATAAATCACATAATTCCAGGGCCTGGAGCCTAACTGCCCAGATTTGAATCCGGTTTTGCCTCTAACTCACAGTGTGAACTTGAACAATTCATCTAATTTGTGCTTCCATTATGTATTTTGTAAAAGCAGGATGATAGCGATAGTACCTGACTTTTGCACTGGGAGGATTAAGTGACTTAATACATGGCACATGTGACACATGCCAAGAACAGTGTCTGACATATAAGAAAGCACTTAGGAAGTATTTGTGATAAGGAAGATGCTGCCGCTGCTGCTGCCGTTAACAATGATGATGACATCCCTCTGCACAGAATCTTCCAATGGCATCTTATACTCAGAATAAAACACAGAATTCTATCACAGCCTACAGGGCTCTTCAAGATCTGGCCCCTGCCTATTTGGAAACTAACTTCTGTGCCTCCTTCTCTGAATTGCAGCTCTACTACCCAGCACATCATATACCTTCCAGACTGGTCTTTTGTCATTTGCTTTTTGCTTGCCTGGACCACTCTTGCCCAGATTGTCACATGGCTCACTGCTTTATTCAACTGAGGTGATGGCTGAAATGTCACCTCTCCAGAAAAGACTTCCCTAACCACTCTATCTAACATAATTCCTGCCTCTACTCCTAACCATGGTGGATGCTCTTATATAAATTAATCCTACTTTCTAGAGAACAATTTAGCTACATGTGTTATAATTTAAAATGAACATTCTCTTTGATCCAGCAATGTCACCTCTAGGCAATTATACTATGGAAATAATCTGACTAGTATGTGAAGATCTATGTGAAGGTTTTTCATCAAAGCATTGTTTATAGTAAAGAAAAATTAGAAACAGTCTAAAAATTCATCAGTAGATACATCAATTATCAACTTGCTATACACAAACCACACCCAAAACTTAGTGACTTTAACAATAACCACTTATTTAGCTACTGAGTCTATGTGGATTAGCAATTTTAGCAGGGCTCAGCTAGATGGTTCTTCTGGTTTGAGTTGGCCTTTCTCATGTGTCTGCAGCTAGTTAAAAGCTGGGTTTATGGCCAGGCATGGTGGCTCATGCCTGTAATCCCAGTACTTTGGGAGGCAGAGGTGGGTGGATCACGAGGTCAGGAGATCGAGACCATCCTGGCTAACACAGTGAAACCCCATCTCTACTAAAAATACAAAAAATTAGCCAGGCATAGTGGCAGGTGCCTGTAGTCCCAGCTACTGGGGAGGCTGAGGCAGGAGAATGGCATGAAGCCGGGAGGCAGAGCTTGCAGTGAGCCAAGATCGCGCCACTGCACTCTAGCATGGGTGACAGAGTGAGACTCCGTCTCAGAAAAAAAATAAAAAAAAAAAAAAGCTGGGTTTATTCACACAGCAGTACCGCAGGATTTCTAGAGAACAAAAGGAAGGATGCAAGATCCTTGACGTCTAGGGTCAGACTTGGCATTATATCATTTCTATTTTATTCCTTCAGCCAAAGCAAGTCACAGGGCCAGCCCAGATTCAAAAGGTGCAGAAACAGACTCTACCTCTTCCTGGAAGAAACAGCAAAATCACATTGCAAAGCAGCATGGATATAGGGAAGAGCAGAAAATTGCAGCCATTTTGCAATTTACCAGGATAAGGGACTGGTTTAATAAATAATGGTAATGATTACATTTGACTATTTGGCAGCTAATGGTGATGTTAGTGTGTATTCATTAAGAGGACTTCCATCCTTCTTGACTTTCTTCCTGATTCCTTCCTTCCCTCCCTCCCTTTTTTTCCTTCTTTCTTCCCTTCCTTTCTCTTCCTCCCTCCCTTCTTTCTCTCCTCCTTTCTTCCCTTCCTTTTCCTCCCTCCCTTCTTTCTCCTTCCTTCCTCCCTGAATTCCTGACATCCAAGCATCCTTACATATCTTCTCACAGCAGTTTAGTTTAGACATTCTCTTTTGACGGCTAGAAGAAGAGCAAGAGTATCAGCAGAAACTTGCAGGCCTGTTTGAATTCTGTTTGCATCAACACTGCCAAAGCAAGTCACATGGCCAAACTCAAAATCAAGGCGGGGGAAATAGTCTCCACCTCCTGATGGGAGAAACTTCAAAGTCACACTATAAAGGATATGGTAGGAGAAGAATGAAGAACTGGGGCCATTGAGGCAATCAATTACTGCAAGAATAGAGTGTTGTTCTAATTGGAAAGAAAGGGCTGAGGATTTTTTCTAGAAGCTGTATTTATTTGCACAGCAAATACACTGGCTTTTCTTAGAATATTTACTTGTAAATTTAGGAGCGGCTACTGGGGATTATATAGGGCAAAACATTCCCAATTAGCATGGTTTGACATCCATAGCTGCTCAGTGTTACTATAAAAATATAATGAGATATATTTTAAAGTGCTTTAAAATTTGCAAAGTTACGTACAAATGACTATTCTATGTTGATTTCCAACTGCCAGTTACTGTCTTCTGGACCTTCTTTCCTTCCTTTTGAGTATTCAGGCAATGCAAAATCATTTTAGTAATAGAGTGAGCCAGACATGTTTTGTGTCGATAAATCCATGGCCCCAACACACAGACAACTTCCCACAATGTCTACCAATGCCAAACAAATTACTTTTGGGAAATTTTACAACATTAGCATAGATCATTGAAATTTAGACAGATTACTATCATTATTCCTTCTAATACTTGCATCTTAGGTCTATCAAAGGGCTTGGTGATATTTAAAAATCAGGTAAGTTACATCAAACTGTTGCTCTTACTAACATGAGTCTCTTTGTCAGGAGGATTCTAAAATGAGTCATTCTTCCTTGAAATGTATCCAGTCGCTGTAGCAGCTGTGAAATGTAGGAGTTGATACTCTTTAATATTGAGGTGAAAGAGTCACTGAGCCTCACCCTTTGGAAACTACTTTGGCTACAACGCTTATACAAAGTTCAAGGCCTTCATGATGAGGCCTAAAGCCTTTAATTAATCTGTTTGCCTCTGCAGCTCCTGTGGTCCCTGAATACTCCAAACTGTCCAAACTGCACAGCAACAACCTTTTATACTTAATCTCTCTCTCTCCCTCTCCCTCTCCCCCTCCCCCTCCCCGCCCCCTCTCGGAGCAACAATATGCATTTTTAGCTATCTTACCCAGAGTCCAGCTGTTGAAAAATAAAACTTAACAAAACTCTCATTAGGAAGATTTCTGCCCCAGAAAATGCAGAAAATTTTTACAAAGCCCTCCTAGGATGTAAATGCTCTTCCCTTTTCCCTCAAATAATTATCTATCCCTCAACTGCTTATCTTTTCTATATCTTTTTATCATTCATTAAATAAGTTTATTTTCATCACTCATCATTCACAAATATGTGAATGCAAATATTATATTAAGCATTTCTCTGTGCTAGACATGGTGATGGGCACTGCCAATTAAATCTGTATTATAGTTTAAAGCCTAGGAAGAAATTCTCAAATCCATTTCACCTATCTTAAATCTTAGCAAACCAACCATACTGTGTCCGGGATTGGTTCCTTCCGGTGGGTTCTTGGTCTCGCTGACTTCAAGAATGAAGCCACGGACCCTTGCGGTGAGTGTTACAGTTCTTAAAGATGGTGTGTCCGGACTTTGTTCCTTCAGATGTTCAGATGTGTCTGGAGTTTCTTCCTTCTGATGGGTTCGTGGACTCGCTGGCTTCAGGAGTGAAGCTGCAGACCTTCCCGATGAGTGTTACAGCTCATAAAGCCAGTGTAAACCCAAAGACTCAACAGCAGCAAGATTTATTGCAAAAAGTGAAACAACGGGGCTTCCATAGCATGGAACGGAACCCGGGTTGCCACTGTAGGTTCTGGTGGCCTGCTTTTACTCCCTTATTTGGCCCCACCCACATCCTGCTAATTGGTCCATTTTACAGAGAGCTGATTGGTCCATTTTACAGAGTGCTGATTGGTCCATTTTACAGAGTGCTGATTGGTCCATTTTACAGAGTGCTGATTGGTGTGTTTACAAACCTTTAGCTAGACAAAGAGTGCTGATTGGTGCAGTTACAATCCTTCAGCTAGACAGAAAAGTTCTCCAAGTCCCCTACCCAATTAGTTAGACACAGAGCACTGATTGGTGTGTTTACAAACCTTTAGCTAGACACAGAGCACTGATTGGTGCATTTACAATCCTTTAACTAGACAGAAAAGTTCTCCAAGTCCTCACCCAACCCAGAAGCCTAGCTGGCTTCACCTCTCAATATCACCTTCTTCCTCACTGCACATTTGTTTCTGCGTTTGTGGACTACAATGTGTAGGGGGCTCCATTCTTTTAAAACTTGTGAGAGTAACCAAAGTAAACTGTCCTATGCGATAGCACAGGTGTGCTCTCTCTGGCCATCTCTCTCTGGATCTGCTTGTGTTTACTGTAACAGCTGCCTTTTCACAAGAGAAAGAAACAAAAAAAATAAGAAAGGAAGGAAGAAAGGGAGGAAGGGAGGGAGAAGGAAAGAAAGAAAAAGAATGAAGGAAAGAGGAAGGAAGGAAGGAGAAAAAAGAAATAGATTCGGATGTGGGCATTTAAAGGAAGGTGAGATAAATGGAAAAGGTTAGACTGCTTTGGTTTTCTATGATTTTGCACTAGCTAGCATGTAACAAAAAGAGCCTCTCAAATGGTATACTTTTCTGATTAGAATTCTGCCTTGGGGCTTACCACTAAATTCCAGCTAGTAACAAGGCATTGCTGATTTTCTTACTTGTCGATGTTCTTGGTAAAGATTTTACCTAGTGACATATTGTCTGCATCTAGGCCAATTTTAGGCATTGTGGTATAATTCTACCTATAAAGGCTCTAATCTCACTACTGTCTCTAACAATATATAAATAATCCCCTTCCACACACCCTCTTCATATACCACCACCACCTATGTGTATAATGTATTTATTTCACTCTTACTATTGAATAAAAGTTTAGCAGAATGTGCAACCCTCTAGGTCTCTGCCTGTACACACATGCACATATATATACATATATAAATCTATATATATTCACACACATCCTCATATATATATATACACATATATGTGTATATATAGAAATGTGTGTACATATGTGTACATATGGCAGAAGGTAAAATAACCTCTTTGGAGGAATGTGTTCTCAATCTTGGCTATATAAGAGTTCTGTAATAATCCCTGATGAAGATCAGCCCACAATTACAAAATTACAAAGCCCATGAGGAATAATCTAAAAGCAATAATCAGTATATGTATATGTATATATACATATATCCTGATATATGTGTGTGTGTGTATATATATATATATGAGGATGTGTGTACTTTTTTATCTTTTTTTTCAATTTTTTATATTACTGTGCTGTCTTGGAGTAATTTCTTCAGATCTATCTTTCAATTTACCCATTCTCTAATCAGCTATATATAATCTGCTGTTTAATCTAGCTACCATTTTCATAAGGCTATTTTTTTAATTTCTGGAAGTTTTATTTGGTTCTTTTAAGAATCTGCCTATGCTGATAACATTTTGTTTATGTTTTTAATCCTCTCAATGTCTTTCATCATCTCAAACATACTTATTTTGTAATCTCTAAAAGATAGCTTGGTTATTTGAATATCTTTGTAGCTTAATTCTTCTATTAAAAAAAAATGGTTCTTGCTTTTAGATAATTTCTTACGGGTTTCGTAATTCTTCATTGTGAGCTGATCTTCATCAGAGATTATTATAGAACTCTTACATAGCCTAGATTGAGAACACATCTCTCCAAAGAGGTATTTTACCTTCTGCCAGTCAATCTAATTATATCACTAACCCAGGGCTGTTTTATGTTGATATCTTAGTCTGGGCCACACTGGTAGTTAAAAAAAAAACTTTTTGAACTATAATTACACATGAACAAAAGTATTTTTTTAGGAAGACATTTCTTAATTTGTTGTTGCGTGCGTCTGTCTGTTCCCTCTTTAGTTTTAAAACCCTTAGATGTCGAAAATCAATCTTCCCCCACAACCAAGGTGACTAGAGCTCACATGCTCACTCTCTTGCTATTGATTTTATTATTTATGTTTTTATTTTTCTAGAAAATTTTCTTTCCTTCCTGTAATATTGAATATACACTTGATACAATGTTTGTTATATTAAATATTTAAATATATTGTCTATATTTCTAGGTGTTTCTAAAAGAGGATTTTTGTGTATCCTAATCAAAATATGGTCATAAGCTGAAGTTCTCTACCATTTTCTTAATAGAATCAATTAAAAATATCACCCAAGCAGCCTGACATGTGAATTTTAACATAAGGTACTTGCAGTTGTGAATTAATGAATGACCTTCTTATATTTAGAGCCAGTGTTCATCTGCTAGTTTAATTCTGTGCTAGACAGAGGCTTAATAAGTACTTACTTAATGAATTAATTAATTAAAATATTTCCATTTCTAAGCTGCTGATCTGTTGTGGCTACCCTTTATTTCTCTGTGGCAAGAAGGTTTTTAATTTTTTTTTTTAATTTTTAAATATGTGAGTGAGTGAGAGTAAAGTACTGAGGCTGATTCCACAAACCATGCAAAAAAAATTGTCTTTAGTATTTGCCAATGGCCATTCCTTAAATGATAGACTAACAAATCACTGAATCATGCCCTTTTGCTGTGATAAGGAGATATAGAGATGAAAATTATCTTTTCAGTTTTTCATTTAAAAAATAATCCCTACATTTATCCAGGAGGTTGATTTGTTTTGAAAGAACACCATAAAATTTAGATGTAGAAATTAAGATTACTCATCTTTCTGGTGAACTGAAGACACTAAAACAAGTCCTGTATACTTAGGTAGGACCATATACATCAATTGATAAACAAATAAAATAAATATTTTAAACTCCATATTGCCTTCACAGAACCTAGGCCTGTAACGTATTCACTAAGCAAACTACTGTTTAATTATTGCCTTACTCTGCATACCTTACTCTGCATATGCCAAAAATAGGCTGCATGTTTTAGGCTGTGTGGCAAGTAGAATGACCAATGTTTCTATTTCCCAGGGCTGTGGCAACAGCCCAGTATTTAGATAGCTGCTTCCTTGCCAACAGAACACAAGAGAGCATAAATTTACTACCAAACATAGATGCCAGGGAAACAAGGAAACCCTGAGGTCAATGCCCTAGCCCATGTAGGAAATTTTATTCTTTGGGTGAGTATAAAGAGTTCAGCAAAAAAGGTCAGAGAGGAGTAAGGAGGTATGCCAATTTCAGTAGCTTGTTTAACTACTTTGGGATTCCATTAGCCTACCTATTAAGATAACTTAGTAAAGCTTATTCATCTCAACTTTATTTCCAAGGACAAAAGGCATGACATTTTGAGTCAAGCAAGGCTGGACTGAGTTTTGTAACAACTTACTATTTGAGCGAACCTAGGCAAATCTCCAATATTGGTTTCTCCATCATAAAATAAGACTACTAAAAATACCAATTTCAGAGGATTGTTACTGTAGGATTTGCAAGATAATAATGTAAAACAACACAGTGTCTGACATTAGTATGCACTCAAATGTGAGCTATAACTTTTGTAGCAACAACTGTTTGAATACTTACTATGAGCAAAACTTTGTGCTAGAAAACTCTGATAGACATAAGGATAAATTAGACATATTTCCTCCCTGCCAGGAGCTTAGATTCTAACAGATGAGATAAGAGGAAGTTATAAACTCCAAGACAGCAAAGACTTTATGTTTCTCATTCACCTTTCTATATCTAGCACTGACAACAGTTTCTGGTATATAGTTGGTATACAACAAATTTTATATATATATAACTTTCTACTAGGTAAAAGTAGTAGATTATATATTATACTTATTTATATATAGTATATACTATAAAAAGTAGTAGATTACAGGTGGCTAGATCAATTTTTATATATAAATCTATCTATAATCTACTACTTTTACCTAGTAGAAAGTGCTAAAGTGAATAGGAGAAATAAAGAGAAAATATAGGTATATAAGTAAGAATCAGGACTGTGTAAGAATTTATCCATAGTTTCTCATCTGTAAAAGGATGGTAATTACACTTGCCCTGCTTCCCTCATACAGGTTATTGCAGAGTTCAAATTAAGAGTATGCTTACCTGGAGGCCAGGCGTGGTGGCTCATGCCTGTAATCCCAGCACTACGGGAGGCCGAGGCGGGCGGATCACAAGGTCAGGATATCGAGACCATCCTGGCTAACACGGTGAAACCCCGCCTCTACTAAAAAATACAAAAAATTAGCCGGGCGTGGTGGCGGGCGCCTGTAGTCCCAGCTACTCTGGAGGCTGAGGCAGGAGAATGGCGTCAACCCGGGAGGCGGAGCTTGCAGGGAGCCGAGATTGCGCCCCTGCACTCCAGCCTGGTCGACAGAGCGAGACTCTGCCTCAAAAAAAAAAGAAAAAAAAGAAGAAGAGTATGCTTACCTGAAGTCAGTAGATGGATGAGGCAGGTAGAAAAAGGACAATGAATTAATCCATATAAAATTAATGACGTTTGCCAAGAGTCGTGTAGTGCTTACTATGTGCTAGAGACAGTTCTAAACATTTCACGTGTTAGCTAATTTAATCCTTGCAACAACTCTGTGAGATAGGCCTTATTATCCTCATATTGCAGAAAGGGAAACTGAGGCACGGATAGGTTAAATAACATGCCCAAGGTCATGTAGGTAGTAAGCCACATAAGTCGGATTAAGCAAAGGGATTCTTGTCTCCCAACCAGTGCAGCCAGGAGCTCAGACTTTGCTGTTATTTTGACTTATTGGAAAATGCTGGTCCTTTCCAATCAAGAGCCTCTGAATCCTCCGTCTCTGTCCCTCTCTTTCTAGCAACCCTCTCCAACGCTTTCTACCACAAGCTTAATTTTATTATTTTGACTGCTTGCTAGGAGGAGGAGGAAGAGGAAGAGTGAGCTATAAATATCCCTTCCTAAGTGCCCCCCAAAGTGAAACCACCTGCGCCTGTGTGAGGTAGCAGGAGAAGCAGAGAGCCTCAACTGTGGAGAGAGGTTTGCATCCCATCATTCAACGGAGTGTTTTAGAGACCTCCTGCCGGGCTGACTGCTGCGAAGGGGAGTAAAGTAAACAAGCCACAATGAATGGTGTCACTACAGGGTTTTATCATCTACCTGCTTGATTATGTCAGTAAGAACTCAAAAGCAAGTTCTGGGCAGATAAAGCATCCTGAGAAAGCTGAGCTTTGGGTTTACTGAGCCCCCAGCTATCGAGCACCTTTTGGGGTTATGGGGCACTCAGGCACTTATTAGGGATAGCCTGTTTGCTCTCACTATATCCTTGGGTATGGAAACATTCTGCAAACTGGAAATAGAACAAATATTCCTGCGACCAACTAATAATAGAGGAAAGGCATCAGTGGGGTCAGGCTGTCTTTTCAACTGGAAGAGCAAGTACATTTCCATTCTGCAGGTGTCTGGGTGCAGCCCTTTTATACATCCTAAAAGAAAACTTGCCAAGATTACAGAGTAAATCAGTGATTAACCTCCGTCCACAGCGTTGTTTAATCCGCAGTTTTATAAGGCCAGCACAGTGATGAACCAGCCAACTCTTCTGAGGATTCACTCACTCTGGACAGACCATTCTGGAGGTCAGCTCTAGGGCAGAACTGAGTTAGCAAAAGTTAGCTGTGCTTGCTTTTGCCAAAGAGCAAGGTTTCTCTTGAAACACCCACACATGGTTTCAGGTGCGCCACACACACACGCACAGACAACCACAAGGAATTTTTATTTTCTTCAATCCCAATCCAGAGTCAGAAACAGCTGCCAAATAAGTCCCTCTGACAGCACCTCCTACACGACGAGACGCCAGAGCTGCAAAGTGTACTCGGTAGGCGTTTTAATTGTGAATCCAGATGCTCTACCCTTTCAGTCCTGGGCTCTGACCTTTCACTTGAAAGTCAATTTGTCAGTCTGCTCCGTGTGTCTGAAGAAATCATCAAAGCCTCCCTGCCGAGGGGCTCCCCATGGGCTTCGCGTATGTGGCTGCAACAATGCTACAGTACACTAGCGGAAGAATATAGGGGCACATGGAGACCCCGCAGCTCCCCTGCCCTCATCGCTGCTTGGGTGCATTCTCTCAGCGGAGATTGCTTCACACAGGGATGGACACTGAGTATCTTTGAGGAGGGAAAGAGGAAGTAGAGGCAAAAAGCCATCCTGAACCATTGCTTCCAGCCCCTTCCGCCACCAACCTGCCCAGCGAAAGCCCCGTGGACAGGTAGGAGAGAGAGGCTGCCCAGAGGCCCCATAAGCCCACTCAAGCCTCATCTGGGGAGTTTCCGTTACTGCCAGCACAAAGTTCAAGTCTGGAAATAAATGTTCTTCTGTGCAGAAGGCAAGGAAGATGGGTATCATCAGAGATACTGTTAATGTGAAAACAACTAGAGAGGCACAAGGAGCTGACTGAAGGCAACTCCCTCACCTTAACTTAGGGGACTCTCAGGGACTTACTTTTCTAGTTCCTTGAAAGACATCTAGACCAGACCAGTCCCAATAGCACCCTTCTCTATTCCCAGTTTGCATTAGTCAGTGTTCTCTAGAGGGACAGGACTAATAGGATAGACATATATATGAAAGGGAATTTATTAAGGGGTATTGATTCACAACATCACAAGGTGAAGTCCCACGATAGGCTGTCTGCAAACAGGAGCAAGGAAACCAATCCGAGTCCCAAAACTTCAAAAGTAGAGAAGCCAACAGTGCAGCCTTTGGTCTGTGGTCAAAGGCCTGAGAGCCCTTGGCAAATCACTGGTATAAATCTAAGAGTCCAAAAGCTGAAGAACTTAAGAGTCCGATGTTCGAGGGCAGGAAGCATCCAGCAGGGGGAAAAGATGAAGGCCAGAAGACTTAGCCAGCCTAGTCCTTCCACGTTCTTCTGCCTGCTTTTATTCTAGCCTCACTGGCAGCTGATTATATTACACCTATCCAGATTGAGGGTGGATCAGCCTCTCCCAATTTACTGACTCAGGTGTTAATCTCTTTTGGCAACACCCTCACAGACACACCCAAGAACAATACTTTGCATCCTTTAATTCAATCGAGTTGACACTCAATATTAACCATCACAGGGACTTAGAATTCTTTCTAGTTCCTGTCTACCAAGAGCAGCAGCCTCAGCTTTAGAACTTTTTTTCCTATGCCATCTACAACTACATCTTGCCCACTGCCACACATATACACTACACATATACATGTAAATCACCATCATCACCACAACCAGATTATAACTTCCAGGTCCTCTTGCCAGTCTCATTGAACCCTGTTAAGGGACTGGCCAATCTGAGAAATTTGTTGTGAAGTGCATGCATGGAAAAAGCATCTTCTGAGAGTCAGACAACCAGGACCATAGCCAGATCGGTCCCTGGCCAGCCATGTTAGCTAGGGTATATCCCTTGACAATTCAGAGTCACTGAGTCTTTAGCAAAATGTAGTGGAGTACATTTGTTTCGCTTAAGTTAGAGAATAGTCACTTGGACAATGCTAATATAGGGCAACTAAGTACCCATTGCCCTGCAATCAATATTTGATAGAACTTTTTGTTGTTTGTATATTGCTCATTTGCTATACACAGTAGTGGACAGAGGGAAGGTAGAGAAGGTGGATCATTTTGCATTCAATACCTGGGGATTTCTGGGAGGAAAGGGATAAGAAACCTCTAGCTTGGAGGCCAGGGGCGGTGGCTCACACATGTAATCCCAGCACTTTGGGAGGCCAAGGCGGGCGGATCACCTGAGGTCAGGAGTTCGAGACCAGCCTGACCAACATGGAGAAATCCCATCTCTACTAAAAATACAAAATTAGCCAGGCATGGTGGCGCAGGGTGGCGCATGTGTGTAATCCCAGCTACTCGGGGGGCTGAGGCAGGAGAATCGCTGGAATTTGGGAGGTGGAGGTTGCAGTGAGCCAAGATCACGCCACGGCACTCCAGCCTGGGCAACAAGAGTGAAACTTCATCTCAAAAAAAAAAAAAAAAAAAAAGAAAGAAAAAAGAAAAGAAACCTACAACTTAAACCAGGATTTGTAGCTTGTGAGATGATTTGGGGTAGGTGAGGATGATCCTGATGAAACTCCAGTAACAAAGAAGAGCTATAGTTCTAAAAATAAAATTTCCTATAGAAAAAGGAGAGGCTAATTATCCAGGCTCAGAATAGTATCAAAGGCAGTGTGGCCCATAGACCAAATGTATTAAAACCATTTGTGGAGTGGAGAAAAATGCTTAACAAGAACATTCCTCTGGACAGCCATTATGGAAAACAGTATAGAAGTTCTTCAGAAAATTAAAAATAGAAATGCCAAATAACCCAGCAATTCCACTGTCTTTTGAGTATATGTTCCAAAGAAAATGGAATCAGTACATGAAAGAGATATCTGCATCCCCATGCTCATAACAGCATTATTCACAATAGCCAAGATATGGAATCAACCTAAGTGTCCAAAAATGGATAAATGGATCAAGAAAAGGTGGTATATATACACAATGGAACACTATTCAGCCTTGAAAACAGAAATCCCTCATTTGTGACACATGAATGAACCTGGAGACATTATGTTAAGTGAAATAAGCCAGCCACAGAAAAATACCATATGATCTCACTTACATGTGGAATTTAAGAAAGTCAAACTCACAGGACAGATAGTAGAATGGTGGTTACCAGAGACTGGGGGGAGGAAGGACTAGGGACATGTTGGTCGAAGGATACAAAATTTCAGAGATAGAAGGAATAAGTTCAAAAGATCTATTACACAACATGATGACTACAGTTAATAACAATATGTTGCACACTTGGAAATTGCTTAGAGAGTAAATTTTGTTTTCTTACCACAAAAAATTATAAGTATGCTACTAATGCATATATTAACACTTGATTAGCCATTTCACAATGTATACATATATCAAAACATCATCTTGTACAACATAAACATATGCAATTTTTATGGGTCAATTATAAAAAAGATGTCTTTCTTTCTGGCTATAACAAAGTAATTCGTCCTTATAAACAACCATAAGACGGGAAAAATTATGGGAGAATAGTTATCAGGCATTGGATGAGCAGTGAAACACTGATTCCTAAGGGAAAAAGGAAGCACATGTGGCAAGCCACACAATTGTGCCAGGGACAAGTTCACAATCATAATGCATGGAGCTGGAATCCAAGTAGAGTAGAATAGTCCCACTGAGTTAACTAAGCAGATATCAGAGTCTAGGATAATAAAGCCACTGGAATCTAAAGAATAGGTAATCAGAAAAAGGTGAACTGTTCAAGTACCCAAGTGAGGGAAACTGTGAGTCCTTTGTTGATGGCCAGGCTAAACACGCATGAGGAAAGACTAGTCGAGGCCATCAAGAGAGTGGCCGCTAAGGTTTTGAGAGTGAAACAGAGATAGAAAAATGAGCAGTACTTGGGGATATTGGAGTGGGACTCTCCACAGCCAGAATGGAGAAGCTCTATCAACAATTCATTAATATCAGGAAACTGTCTGAGATGACAGTGAGGCCAAGCCTTAAAAGTTAGAACCACACTTTAGAGTAATTTCTATTCTATACCTGCCCTAAAGATGCTTAAAACTAAGCCCAGACAAAAGCCTTAAAGGAAGCACAATTGGAGATTGCTTTCCCTCACTGCCAAGTTAAAGGATCTTGGGAAATGCTTTGGGCTTTCTATAAATCTGCCATTATAATAAAAAATAAAACCAAGCCTATGTGAGTGTAATGTAAACTACTAGTCATTGAACTTCCTATTAAAACAAAATTCAGCACTCTTCAGATACTCTACAATGTATCATTTACTAAGTTGAGCACACAATCAGAAATATTGAGATATTCAAAGAAAAAAAGTATGACTCACAATCAAGAAAAAAGCAAGTAATGGATATTCACCCCAGGATAGACCAGATGTTGGATATATTAGACTAAGACTTTAAGGAACATGTTCAAATTATTAAAGGAGCTATGGCATTAATGAGTGAATATATCAACAAGAAATGAAACTACAAAATAATCAAATAAAAATGAATAAACTGGAATAATAATTCAAATTAAATTCAACGGATGATGGAAATGGCAGAAAAATAGTAGACTAGAAATGACAGGCTATCAGAAAAATAACAATTGAAGAAAATTAAATACAGGCTCAGTTACTTATGGAACAGTTACAACTATCTCATATACATGTGTTTGGAGCCTCAGAAGGGGAAGTAAAAACTTACAATTTCCCAGATTTTTTTTCAAAAATGTCAATTTACAGATTAAAAAGCCCAGTAAATCCCAAGCAGACAAAATACAAAGAAAACAGCACCTAGGTATATCATAATCAAGCTGCTGAAAACCAAGGAAGTAGAGAAAAATCTTGAAAGCAGGCAAAGGAAAGATGCTTTATATAGAGAGGAATGGTGATAGAAATGACAGCTGATTTTTTATCAGAAACAATGTCAGAGAAAAGATAGTGGAATGTCATCTTTGAAATAACAAAAGGAAAAAAAAAATCTCACTATCAACACCGAATTCTATAATCAAATAAAATAGAGTGAAATAATAACATCATCAAATAAGCGAAAGTTCAGAGAATTTATTGCAAGAAGTCCCAAAGGATTTTCTTCAGAGTGAAGATAAATGTTAGCAGATAACAATTAGAATCCATAAGAAGAAAAAAAGAATAGCAGAAATAATAACTATGTAGTTACTATAAAATATTATATTTAGTTCCCTTGTACAATTTCCTTAAAAGAAACTGACATTTTAAAGCCAAACTAATAGCATTATGAGGTGAAGTTTATAATATTTAAGAAGTAAATGATGTGGCTAAAATTCAAAAGGCTGACAACACCAAACGTTCTGGAGCATTTGGAGAACCAGGACTCTACTACATCGATGATGGAAGTATAAAATGGTATAACCTCTTTGAAAAACTGCTGGACAGTTTCTTACAGGTTAAACTTATATTTACCCTATGACCCATAAATTGCAGTTCTAAGTATTTACCAAAGAGAAATAAAAACATACCTCCAAGGAAGTCATGACAACAGTGTTCACAGAAGCTTTATTAATAATGGCAAAAATAAACAAAACAAACAGAATAATCCAAATAACTATCATCAATGTGCTGGAGGAATAACTTGTGGTATAGTCATAGAATAGGATATTATTCAGTAATAAAATGAATAACTACTGGTTTATACAACAACATAAACAACTGTCAAAAACATTTTGTGAGTGGAAGAAGCCAGCCATATGAGAGTAGACATCATATGATTCTATTTAAATGAAATTCTAGAACAAATATAACTAATTTTTTATGACACAAATCAGAATGGCAGTTTCTTGGGAGCAGGAATTGACTGGGAAGGGAAATTGAAACATTTCTGGAGTAATGAAAATGTATGTTATTTTAAGAGAGGTTGACTCCATGGGATGTATGCATTTGACAGATTTACCCGAGAGTGCGTTTAATAATCTGTAGTTTTATTGTATGCAAATTTTATCCCAATTTTTAAAAACCGTACTTGCCTTGAGAAAAAGTAAGTCAGATAATATTATCCTTTGGTTCCAAATTCTCAAATGTCTTTCCATCTCAAAGCCAAAGCCTAACTTCTTACAATAGTCTCAAGGCCCTACACATTCTGCTTCCCCACTGAACCTCATCTTCTCCCTATTGCTCACTCTGCAGTTGCAGTGGCTTTTGCTTAGATTCTTGAACATCCAAGCATGTTTCTGGCACTCTCCCAAAGCCTTTACCCTGCTCTGTTTCTCTTGATAGTACTTGTCACCTTTGGACATAGATTAATTATTTGTTTATAATTAATATTTCACAAAGTAAGTGTAAGGTATTTTAGTTTGTTCATATATAAATCTCCAGAGACTAGGGTAATGCCTGGTGCAGAATAGCTGCTCAAAAATTTAAAAAATTTCTGGTGATGAAAATGTATTTTATCTTAACAGAGGTGTTGATTACATGGGATGTATTCATTTGTTGAATGAAAAATTTACATGAATTTTACATTTTCCATGAAAAAGATGTTGTGTTTTCTTTATTCTCAAAGGGCCCTTTTAGTTCAAGAGGTCTAACGTAAATTGTATTACTGAGTGGACTTCTGTCTATATAAAACTATGTGTCTATGGCTAATTGTATTACTGAGTGGACTTCTGTCTATATAAAACTATGTGTCTATGGCTAAGGCTCCCAAATTCCCTGTGTTTTTACCAGGGGGAGTTTAATTGTGTTAGGGTAAGGAACACCAAGGAGATAAAATATTTAATGTCCCAAGGGGCTATATGGGAAGAAGAGGGTCGGAATATATTGGCACTAATTGACAACTTTAGGAAGTAAACTTTACATTATAAAAATGGAAGGCAAGTTAGCATAACTTTAACTGGATGGAAAAAGAACTCACCTTGAATCAAGGTAGTCAGAGTGCATCTAATCAGTCCCCAAACAATAGCTGGAATTACTTCAAGAAAAATTCTGCTTGCTTTATAGTGATGATTTCTTCATATTGTCTCCTAACCATGTCTTAAGAAAAAGAAAATGCCATGTTCTCTAAGAGAAAGGCCCTTTTATACAGAAAGAAAGAGAGAGGATAGACAGCCACTACATGGAAAGTCAGGTACTCAAGCCTTTGGTGAAAATAGGAGTGTTTACCAAGGCAGTAACCAACCCCAAAGTGACCATGATATCTTCCAATTTCATGAGAAAAAGGCTTCATTTAGACTTTCCAAGTGGAATAAATGGCATCTCGAGCCTTTGCATCATTGCACAAATAATGAGAATTGACTCTGGCCATGGTAACCAGGAAAAATATTTATTGGAGGAATAATGGATGGCTCTCAAATCAACATGAAAACTGAAGACGCCAATTCATAAAGTGGATAGGAATCAAGGAAGGTCACGCAATCCAAAACAGTTGAGATCACAGCACTGAAACAGTCTGGTCAAAATGTCACCAGCTCTGGGCTGGGCGCGGTGGCTCACGCCTGTAATCCCAGCACTTTGGGAGGCCGAGGCGGGCAGATCACAAGGTCAGGAGATTGAGACCATCCTGGTTAACATGGTGAAACCCCGTCTCTACTAAAAATACAAAAAATTAGCCGGGCATGGTGGCGGGCGCCTGTAGTCCCAGCTACTCGGGAGGCTGAGGCAGGAGAATGGCGTGAACTGGGGAGGCGGAGCTTGCAGTGAGCCGGAGCTTGCAGTGAGCCGAGATCGCGCCACTGCACTCCAGCCTGGGCGACAGACCGAGACTCCTTCTCGGGGGTGGGAAAAAAATTCACCAGCTCTGGACACGTGTTTTTGCTTTCCCTGTCACCACAGCCACCCTAGACGCTAGTGAACCCCACTTCAGGACTCTCAGCAGTGCTGACTTTACTATCATAAACAGCTCCCCACCTACCCCTCAGGCTTTGCATCACTCTCTCAGGTTGCAAAGTCCTGGGTGAGATCCTGAATACGACTGACCAAGGGTGGGCCACATGTACATACTGAGGTCAGGAGGAAGGAAAAGGAAATACCTGCTTTCCTTATCTTCCTAGTGGAAAACAGGGTCCTGCTATCTCACCTGTTTGGGGATTCTTCCCAAATAAGAATATTCAGATTCTAGATAGTCAGGTCTATTATAATCTGTCCCTTTGACTGCTTTACCTCCTCATAAATACTTTCTCCTAAACTTGCACTTCCAAAAATATTTCTATACTGTATAGGTAGCCTGTCTCATGCAACCAAAAACATCCTCACTCTTTCCTCAAACAGAGAAAATACAAAGTTCTTTTTCACTCCATTGAGTTTCAGCCCAAATTCTCTGGCCATTGCCCATTCTTTCTGATACAATCTCATCTTTAATTTCTAAAACTGAAAACTACATGGTAAGTATAGCCACCACCAACACGTTCTATACACAATAGGCATTTCTACAGTTAGACATATGACCATAGCTAGTATTTTCAGCTTTTCCCTTATGCCATTCCATGTCTCTCTGCCTCAGCTAGTTAGCACCCAGTAGGGAAACCAGTTAGCACCCAGTAGGGAAAATATTCAGCCTTTAGAAATCTGAGCACTTGTTGTTCCTGCTTGTATAAACTTGCAATAGTCTTTTGTTCACATTTACCACTCAAAATAATGGTACAAGAGGTGTACTATGGTCCTTCCTTTCCTTCTTTTTAGTAGTCATGATCCGTCAACCCAGCAAAACTCCACCTTCCTCTTTTTATTATTTTCCAGCAACATGAGAACCTTTGAATGTCCAAGTGGTTATTCCAGCATCCAGTTTTATAGAAGTATTACAATACCACTCAGTGGAAGCAATTCTCCTTTGGACACTAAAATAACTTAATCAAAAGAGCCCTGGGACAGAATGCAAATTTCTTTTTTTTTTTTTTTTTTTTGAGACAGAGTTTCACTCTTGTCGCCCAGGCTGGAGTGCAGTGGCGCGATCTCGGCTAACTGCAAACTCTGCCTCCCGGGTTCAAGCGATTCTCCTGCCTCAGCCTCCCAAGTAGCTGGAATTACAGGCGCCTGCAACCACGTCCAGCTAATTTTTGTATTTTTGGTAGAGACGGGGTTTCACCATGTTGGCCAGTCTGGTCTTGAACTCCTGGCCTCAGATGATGCTCCCACCTCGGCCTCTCAAAGTGCTGGGATTATAGGCGTGAGCCACCACACCCGGCCCAGGATGCAAAATTTTAATAGTGGATAATTAGATATAATTTTGACTGGTGGCCTTATATTTTTTTCCCAAGGCTTCTCAATCTGTGTATCCCAGAATAGGAAGAAAGAGTGCCATTTATTCACAGCTAAATGAAAGTAAATGCTTTATCCTAAAGAACAGCACCTAAATGTGCAAGATGTTGTCTGCCAGCTGGCAGCCAGGGGTACCATATCTAAGTCTTCAATAGACCATTCTGTTTTTCCATAAGGTCATTTGCTTCTGGCTAGACCAGTAAATTCTATGGTAATTAGCCCATTGTCTTATTTCTTTCTCAGTAAAGTAAGTTCCTTACTCATAAAGGATCTACTTACAATTTTAATTTTATTATGGGTCAGCTTGTTTAAATTATTTCAAAAGTTTATTTGCATGACATTACCCTTATATTATGAGTCACCTTCAATTTTATTTCAAGAATTTGGAAAATAAATGTCAAGAAAATAATATGATTATAAAACATAAGAATGTAGAATGAGACTTCCATTGTGATGTTTACGAATTTGAGTTCTTAAACATGATGAAAGTGTTAGTAGAAGCACAGTAGAGCAGTGATGGTAAACTTATATATAGAATAGCTATCTATTCCAGTGAGGGTAATTTCTGCCCCTACCACGATGGAAGGGTTCAATATAATTGGCTTCTACCAGGTAGTTGATTGGAACTCTTTGATACAGTGTCATACTGGTTGTCAGACCTGGCTGCTACTCCTGATCAATTAGGAATTCAGCTGAGTCACTAGGCAGGTCACCATGATGAGAGAAAGTCCTTGTCATTAGGCTCCTGCATAGCCTTCATCCCTGCCACCATGGCTGCTCTGGAGTCCATTGGTCTAGCACCAGGGAAAGATTCTGATGGACATCTCTAGGAACAACAACAAAAAGTCATTTTTTCATCTTAATTATTTAAAGTTTTCCCCACAGTGGGAACCTTTGGGGGATCATGCAGATGAAGCACAAATATTCTCATACATTGGGTTCATTCTTCCCTAATCTTCCCCATCACCAATTCTCCAATATTATTCCTTCCAAGCCTCTGACTGTCTGGCCAAACCATTAGCCACTGTCCAGGAATTGGATCTAGATCATTGTCTTAGGCAATCTTTCCTGGATAATTAGATGTACCATTAAACATCTGTTCCCAGGAGAACTTAATATCCTCAATTGTGCTTTGGGACCACCCTTGAGTGTTGTTAATGCACTACAGCAATTTACAACCAAGAAAATTAACGGGCTCATTGCCATATGCTAGAGAGGAGAATCTGCCTAGCCACAGGGAGAACACTGAATCTCTCCAGGACCCAGCAGGGAGTGGGACTAGGATGGGGCCTGGGTGTTGCATGGGCCTGGGATTCCTATAACTGCATTTGAAGGAAGCCTGGACTGGCTACCAGTGTTGTGGCTCACATTCCCTTTGGTTCTGCTGTGCTCCACTGTCACTGGAAAACCCCATCAAGCTGCCAACACACTTGGGAGGTGTACCCACCACTCCTCATCCCAGGTCTACCCTCCAATACAAACAGAGGTTGTCAAAATACATCCTGCCTCTGTGGTGGGCAGAAATCTGGAGAAATTCAGAGGAAAATAATGCTTTGGAAATGGTTTTATTTCTGAGAACTTTAATTTCCAAAACTCCCCCCAGTAACCACATTTTCTTGGAGTTCAAGATCAGAGATAGACTACCCTGGTGGCCTTTTAACCTGAATTAACCCACTAGCCCAGTTGGTGCCCCCACCTTGTTTAACTCTGTGATGTAGCTTATAAAAAGATGTGGCCTCCAGTCTGTCAAATACTGCACATTCCACAGTTCTTGCACAGGCCACTTCCTTCCCTATGGAGTCACTGCCTGACTTTTCCAAAGCTGATATTAATATCACAGACCATTATAATATAGTTATTTTCATGGAAGGCAGGGAGGAAGTCACGTGGCATTAATTGGTCCCACGGGGTCCTGAAAGTCTCCATTTAGCATGTTGTTTTTACTCACATAAGGAGCAATGAAGTGGAAACAGTGAGGAAGTCACTGTGATTGTATTAAATGAGTATTTTTTTCTAGAACTTGTTTGCTTAATGAGTCATTATTTCTTTTTTAATTGTATGAACACAGGTAGGTGCTAGGTCAAAGGTACACGTGCATCTTCTTAAATGCACACACACAGACACACACAAACACGTATCTCTAGGCCACTGTGAGTTTGCCTTATTTTAACCTCTATTGTGATGTCAATTTATTGAAGGGCTGGGGCACAGAGAAGCTAACGAAGGTTCTATGAGTTTTGTAGTTTAGGAAAAAGGTATCAAAAGCTCCCGGTTATAAAAAGATATAGATGGCATCCTCTTCAAATTACTAAACCAAGTGAGTTTTGTATCAAAATGTTGATATCACCACAATTCACTACTTCGTGTTTGCTTCATAAATTTTACTTTTAAAAAGCTCATCACATACATCATTTTTGACCTTGATAATGGGCCTTTGAGGTAGGCTGGGTCCGAATTATTATTCTATTTCTCAAACTAAGAATTGATGTCAGAGAGGTGCATTTACTTTTTAATGATCATGTGACTAATAAGTGGTGGTCTGAAAAACCCAAGGGGACCCAAGAAATGAAGGTGTGACTCCCAAGAGAACTTGCCATGGCATAGAGGACTTCATAAGGTGTATAAGTGGACATAGCAAATCTTAGTGAGCCTGGGCTGCTATAAAGTTCTGCAAGCCCTCTTCCCCCACCCCCTCCCAACCCCCCCAGGTAACTGCATGCACTAACTCTGTGTTCTTAGGAATGTCTTCACCAACGGTAGTGATGAAATTCTATTTTCCCATCAACAATTCACATGAAAATGGACATGAAAGCAGGTTGATGATGAGAAGCCTTCTTGAAACATTTTCCATTTGAAGGTGCTGACATTAGGATACTTCTTAGGTTTCTTTGGCATAAAAAATAATTCTTTTGACAAAGACATGCCAGAAAAAACAACTACTAAATATTCTTCAAAGTGGTAGGGGTCATGGAAAGTAAATTCTACTTCTCTTGAAGATTCTGAAATAAGAAAAATAAGATTCTGATAAGAAAAAATATGTATATTTTTTCCCAATCAGGGAGAACTTCAGTGTGGTTCACCCTGAAGGCTGGATATTAATGTAAACAAACTTTCATAATTTTTTTTACACTACCAATAAAATTTCATTCTCATGGTCAATAGGTCATTCAGGCAGGTAATAAACAAGTGTATGTTGGCTTAATTTACTTAAATCAAGTAAGTAAATTAAGTGTTGACTTAATTTAGATCAAGGCACTAAAATACTTTTTTTTTTTTTTTTTTAGACGGAGTCTTGCTCCATCACCCAGGCTGGAGCGCAATGGCGTGATCTTGGCTCACTGCAACCTCCACCTCCCAGGTTCAAATAATTCTCCTGCCTCAGCCTCCCAAGTAGCTGGGATTACAGGTGCCCACCACCATGCCCAGCTAATTTTTATATATCTATTTTTTTATTAGAGATGGGGCTTCGCCATGCTGGCCAGGCTAGTCTCAAACTCCTGACTTCAGGTGATCCACCCGCCTCAGCCTCCCAAAGTGTCAGGATTACAGGCATGAGCCACCGCACACAGCCTAAAATACTATTTAATTCACAAATGATCCATTCACTTCAGAACAAACAAATAAATGAAAATAGCTCCATAACCACAGATGTGACAACTCCTCCTGGGGCACTGTCACCCAATCTTTACTCAAATGAATGCATGCATTCCCACCAGAATACAGGATGTGGGGACGCGTGGCTCCATTCACATTAGTGCCATTCTCAGAAGCATGACTAGGTGGGTGGCTCCTACAGATGACGTTTAACTGCCTTCATCTTCACAGAGGACAGCAATCACCTCATTGAGCTTTATAGCTTACAGAGGCTAAAAACCACTCTACGGAGGAAATCCAGGATTTCCAGTGGTACTACAGGAGATGAAGCTGTACACAGGCTACTGAGGACTGAAGGACAACTTACTTAGGATTCGGAATGACTACCCAGCTTGTGAGTGGACTAAGGCCTTTGATTCTCCTGCTTCTTCTCCTCCCTCCTTGATCTTTTAATTGCTCATAAAAACTCTATGAGGTCAGCAGAGCAAGATGCAAAGAATGTGTCCAAATAGTCCATTTGGTTTCTTTTGAGTCAATCGAGTTAAAGTGTTTTAAGAGAAGATCAAATCTATTGGCTAACAAGAGGACCAGAGGTCATGTGTGGATTTTGATTGTCCATACCATGCGTGTCCAAACCAGAATGAGACTCACAGAAGCAGAGAATAAGGAGCTATGAGAGAAGGAATAGAATTGTTTTTCAGCTTTACACATTTGAGAGATGCAGAAACCGATGCCCAGAGAGCATAACGGACTTGGTCAACGTCACAGAACTTGTTTAAAGTAGGATAAAAAAGCACGAAGTCATTTAATATTTGATAACTAGCATCAAGTATGTTATATTGAATATATATATTTATATTAAATAATAAAAAGTTTCATCTAAGGCTCTATTTTTAAATAACAGTTGTTTTCCATTATAGATCTGCAAAGACAATTTTATAAGTCATCTGTTAATAATATGTTATTTCAAAGCAAACTATCCATCAGGCAATCATAAAGTATGCTAGGAGGTGGCATGGCTTTTGTTTCACAGAAGAAAACAGAGTGAGATATATTTGATGACTGAAGCATAGAAGTTCCTTTGAGCCATTAGCCAACCTGCTACTGTTCCCGCAAAGATATCTTAAAGGACTGCACAAAGTGAGCACAACTGTTCCTCCTGGGAGGTAGAAAGCAGGAGGGGACAGGCAGGGAAATATGAAAAATGAATCTTTCCATCCCCTCATTTGCTTGTCACTGTACACACTCTCATGAGACATAAGACACACTCTTATGTCTGGAAGGTGTGATTTCAAATTTTACACAACCTGAAAGAAGGAAAGGTTCTCTGTCGACACTGGAGAGGTAATAGGGCTTGGCATGGGGAGAGATGAAATTCGAGTTACACTTGGGACAACTTTAATTTCAATTTATAATAAAACTCTATTACAAGGCTATACTACAGATAGTCAGTAGAAGACTCAACTCAAGAGCAGAGAGGGCTCTGGAGAAATGTAGTAGACATGGAAAATGACTTTTGCATGGGAGAAAGAATACAGAGAAGAGGAAAAAATAAAGCCTCCAGCAGTAAACCAGGTCTTCCTTGACCCTCAGAAAAATCAAGAAAGGAATATTAACAGTACTGTGGATTGAAGAAAAGCCAAATAAACCTTCCGCAATAATAGCTTGTCTTATAGATTTGCAAAAAGTAATCACTGGAGAAAATGACAGGGCCAGCATAATTCCAGAGGAAAGTGAAATAAGAAAGACACCTTTCATTTTCTCTATGGGGACAGAAAATATGTGGTGGCAATGTAGGGTTGTCTCAGAAATCTTATTGGCCACATTTATTCCTCTCATTAAATGTTGATACGTGTGACACATAATATGTTCTGTTAATTAAGCCTCTTAACATAACTTCGTGGACTTCAGAAGTTTGTAGGACTCAGGGGAAGAAGATTCTACAACCCAGCAAACTTCCAAGAAAGCAATTACCCAGAAGAGTTTATCCAAGTGTGCGTGGCTGACAAAGCTGCCTCACCATTTCAGAACAGGTAAGAAACTTCGGATTGGTGTTCTATTGTTTCTGTTTTCCCTTTCTTCTCCTTGCCCCATGTTGCTTTTTGGTAAATTGTGAAGGTAGTGGGAAAGTCAGTAAGTGTGGAGGGACATTAAAGAAGTAAGAAGATACTGGGAAAGGAGTCAGGAGGGAAGAAGGCAGTTTACTCTTGTGAGATAAAGCCTCTGGGATTGACGAGCTCACAGCCTCATGGGAAGCTGCTCTCGGTTTATCACATCCAGGAAAAGTGCTCATAAGAAAGAACAAGTAACGGTTCCAGTTTCCTTCGGTCTTAATATAGAAAGACCCAAAAGGTCCAGAACAATTTTAGAAAGAGAGCCACAGGGTGGGGAGGGAAAAGTATTGTGCACCTCTGAGGAAATGAGGGGGAAGACTAACAATATTGTTTTAACATGGCTGCGACAATCTTTGTGGGCTCTAAGCACTGATCAACTGCATCCTTCTGACCTTGAGACATTTATTGTTAAATTTTCTAAAGAAAAAAAATCTGCTTTGGAAATAACTCCAGGGGTTATTCTATTCCACAACAAACTATTTAAGGCTAAGCTATTAGTACTTTGATGCATTTGTGTCATTTAGAGAGATGAATAGGCAAAATCACAAGTCTCGTTTCCCTTCTCACTGAGTCATTATATAATTAAAGTGATCAAAGAAAGACAATCTGTCTTGACTTTATAGAAAATTTATTTTGCAAATACTCTAACAAATATAATTTTGGAAAAATCATCTGAAATCAATACAAAAAACCTCCAAATATAGTTTTCCTTCCATTCAGTCATTTTCCTTTTCATCATAGGATTTTGAGGATGACCTAAATCTTATGTAAAATTGGGTATGTTGTTACATATGCACAATATGTTTATTAGGTCTTAAACCCAGTAGCCCCTAGCATTATTAATATTATTTCTCCTTCTCCTTCTCCTTCTTCTTCTTCCTTATACTTTAAGTTCTGGGATCCATGTGCAGAATGTACAGGTTTGTTACAAAGGTATACGTGTGCCACAGTGGTTTGCTGCAGCCATCAACCCGTCATCATTAGGTATTTCTCGTAATGCTATCCCTCCCCCTGCCCCCAGTGTGTGATGTTCCCCTCCCTGTGCCCATATGTTCTCATTGTTCAACTCCCATTTATGAGTGAGAACATGCAGTGTTTGGTTTTCTGTTCCTGTGTTAGTTTGCTGAGAATGATGGTTTCCAGCTTCATCCATATCCCTGCAAAGGACATGAACTCATTCTTTTTTATGGCTGCATAGTATTCCATGGTATCTATGTGCCACATTTTCTTTATCCAGTCTATTATTGATGGGCATTTGGGTTGGTTCCCAGTCTTTGCTATTGTGAAGAGTGCTACAATAAACATACATGTGCATGTATCTTTATAGTAGAATCATTTATAATCCTTTGGGTATATACCCAGTAATGGGATGGCTGGGTCAAATGGTATTTCTAGTTCTAGATCCTTGAGGAATCACCACACTGTCTTCCACAATGGTCCAACTAATTTACACCCCTACCAACAGTGTAAAAGTGTTCCTGTTTCTCCACATCCTCTCCAGCATCTGTTGTTTCCTGGCTTTTTAATGATCGCCACTCTAACTGGTATGAAATGGTATCTCATTGTGGTTTTGATTTGCATTTCTCTAATGACCAGTGATGATGCGCTTTTTTTCACGTTTGTTTGTCGCATTAATGTCTTCTTTTGAAAAGCATCTGTTTATATCTTTTGCCCACTTTTTGATGGAGTTGTTTGGGTTTTTCTTGTAAATTTGTTTAAGTTCCTCGTAGATTTAGCATATTAGTCCCTTGTCAGATGGATAGATTGCAAATTTTTCTCCCATTCTGTAGGTTGCCTATTCACTCTGATGGTAGTTTCTTTTGCGTGCAGAAGCTCTTTAGTTTGATTAGACCATTAGTCCATTTTGGCTTTTATTGCAATTGCGGTTGGTGTTTTAGACATGAAGTCGTTGCCCATGCCTATATCCTGAATGGTATTGCCTAGGTTTTCTTCCAGGGTTTTTATGGTTCTAGGTCTTATATTTAAATCTTTAATCCATCTTGAGTTAAATTTTGTATAAGGTGTAAGGAAGGGGTCCAGTTTCAGTTTTCTGCATGTGGCTAGCCAGTTTTCCCAATACCATTTATTAAATAGGGAATCCTTTCCCCATTGTTTGTTTTTGTCACGTTTGTCAAAGATCAGATGGCTGTAAATGTGTGGTGTTATTTCTGAGGCCTCTGTTCTGTTTCATTCGTCTATATATCTGTTTTGGTACCAGTACCATCCTGTTTTGGTTAGTGTAGGCTGTGGGTTTGTCATAAATAGCTCTTATTATTATGAGATGTGTTCCATCAATATGTAGTTTATTGAGAGTTTTTAGCATGTAGGGGTGTTGAATTTTATCGAAGGCCTTTTCTGAATCTATTGAGATGATCATGTGGTTTTTGTCATTGGTTCTGTTTATGTGAAGGATTACACTTATTGATTTTTGTATGTTGAACCAGCCTTGCATCCCGGGGATGAAGCCAACTTGATGATAGTAGATAAGCTTTTTAATATGATGCTGGATTCAGTTTGCCAGAATTTTATTGAAGATTTTTGCATCAATGTTCATCAGGGATATTGGCCTGAAATTTTCTTTTTATGTTGTGTCTCTGCCAGGTTTTGCTATCAGGATTATGTTGGCCTCATAAAATGAGTTATGGAGGAGTTCCTCTTTTTCTATTGTTTGGAATAGCTTTAGAAGCAAGGGTACCAGCTCCTCTTTTTGCCTCTGGTAGAATTCGGCTATGAATCTGTCTGATCCCGGGCCTTTTTTGGTTGGTAGGCTATTAATTACAGCCTCAATTTCAGAACTTGTTATTGGTCTATTCAGGGATTCAACTTCTTCCTTGTTTAGTCTTGGGAGGGTGTATGTGTTCAGGAGTTTATCCACTTTTTCTAGATTTTCCAGAAATTATTTGCATAGAGGTGTTTATAGTATTCTCTGACGGTAGTTTGTATTTCTGTGGGATTAGTGGTGATATCCCCTTTTTCATTTTTTATTGTGTCTATTTGATTCTTCTCGCTTTTCTTCTTTATTAGTCTGGCTAGTTGTCTATTTATTTTGTTAATCTTTTCAAAAAACCAGCTCCTGGATTCATTGATTTTTTTGAAGGGTTTTTCCTGTCTCTATCTCCTTCAGTTCAGCTCTGATCTTAGGTATTTCTTGTCTTCTGCTAGGTTTTGAATTTGTTTGATCTTGCTTCTCTAGTTCTTTTACTTTTGATGTCAGGGTGTTGATTTTAGATCTTTCCCCCTTTTTCCTGTGGACATTTAGTGCTATAAATTTCCTTCTAAACACTGCTTTACTTGTCTCCTGGAGATTCTGGTATGTCATGTCTTTGTTCTCATTGGTTTCAAAGAACTTACTTATTTCTGCCTTCATTTCGTTATTTACCCAGTAGTCATTCAGGAGCAGGTTGTTCAGTTTCCATGTAGTTGTGCACTTTTGAGTAAGTTTTTTCATTTGTTTGTTTGTTTGTTTGAGACGGAGTCTCACTCTGTCACCCAGGCTGGAGTGCAGTGGCGCAATCTCCAGTCACTGCAACCTCCGCCTTCTGGGTTCAAGCAGTTCTCCTTCTTCAGCCTCCCAAGCAGCTGGGATCACAGGCACCCACCACCACACCTGGCTAATTTTTGTATTTTTAATAGAGACACGTTTTCACCACGTTGGCCACGCTTGAGTGGCTTTCTTAATTCTGAGTTCTAATTTGATTGCACTGTGGTCTGAGAGACCATTTGTTATGATTTCCATTCCTTTACATTTGCTGAGGAGTGTTTTACTTCCAATTAGGTAGTCAATTTTAGAATAAGTGATATGTGGTGCTGAGAAGAATGCATATTCTGTTGATTTGGGGTGGAGAGTTCTGCAGATGTCTATTAGGTCTGCTTGGTCCAGAGCTGAGTTCAAGTCCTGGATATCCTCGTTAATTTTCTGTCTCAGTGATCTGTCTAATATTGACAGTGGGGTGTTAAAGTCTCCCACTCATTGTGTGGGAGTCTAAGTCTCTTTGCAGGTCTCTAAGAACTTGCTTTATGAATCTGGGTGCTCCTGTATTGGGTGCATATATATATTTAGGATACTCACCTCTTCTTGTTGCATTGATCCCTTTACCATTATGTAATGCCCTTCTTTCTTTCTTTTGATCTTTGTTGGTTTAAAGTCTGTTTTATCAGAGACTAGGATTGCAACCCCTGCTTTTTTTTTGCTTTCCATTTGCTTCACAAATCTTCCTCCATCCCTTTATTTTGAGCCTATGTGAGACTTTGGACGTGAGATGGGTCTCCTGAATACAGCACACTGATGGGTCTTGACCCTTTAACCAATTTCCCGGTCTGTGTCTTTTAATTGGGGCATTTAGCCCATTTACATTTAAGGTTAATATTGTTATGTGTGAATTTGACCCATCATTATGATGCTAGCTGGTTATTCTGCTTATTAGTTGATGCAGTTTCTTCATAGTGTCAATGGTCTTTACATTTTGGTATGTTTTTGCAGTGACTGGTACTGGTTTTTCCTTTCCATATTCAGTACTTCCTTCAGGAGCTCTTGTACGGCAGGCCTGGTGCTGACAAAATCCCTCAGCATTTGCTTGTCTAAAGGATTTTATTTCTCCTTCACTTATGAAGCTTAGTTTGACTGGATATGAAATTCTGGGTTGAAAATTATTTTCTTTAAGAACGTTGAATATTGGCCCCCACTCTCTTCTGGCTTGTAGGTTCTCTGCAGAGAGATCTACTGTTAGTCAGATGGGCTTCCCTTTGTGGGTAACCCAACCTTTCTCTCTGGCTGCCCTTAACATTTTTTCCTTTATTTCAACCTTGGTGAATCTGACTATTATGTGTTTTGGGGTTACTATTCTCAAGTAGTATCTTTGTGGTATTCTCTGTATTTTCTGAATTTGAATGTTGGCCTGTCTTGCTAGGTTGGGGAAGTTCTCCTGGATAATATCCTGAAGAGTGTTTTTCAACTTGGTTCCCTTCTCCCCATCACTTTCAGGTACAACAATCAAATGTAGATTTGGTCTTTTCAGCTAGTCTCATATTTCTTGAAGTTTTTGCTTGTTACTTTTTATTCTTTTTTCTCTAATCTTGCCTTCACACTTTATTTCATTCAGTTGACCTTCAATCTCTGATATCCTTTCTTCCACTTGATCTATTTGGCTATCAATACTTGTGTATGATTCACGGAGTTTTCGTGCTGTGCTTTTCAGCTCCATCAGGTCATTTACGTTTTTCTCTAAACTGGTTATTCTAGTTAGCAATTTCTGTAACCTTTCATCAAGGTTCTTAGCTTTCTTGCATTGGGTTAGAACATGCTCCTTCAGCTTGGAGGAGTTTGTTATTACCTACCTTCTGAAGCCTACTTCTGTCAATTCGTGAAACACATTCTCCATCCAGTTTTGTTCCCTTGCTGGCAAGGAGTTGTAATCTTTTGGAGGAGAAGAAACAATCTGGTTTTTGACATTTTCAGCCTTTTTGCACTGGCTTTTCCTCACCTTTTTGGATTTATCTACCTTTGGTGTTTGATGTTGATGACCTTCGGATGGGATTTTTGCATGGTAATCCTTTTTGTTGATGTTGATGCTATTGCTTTCTGTTTGTTAGTTTTCCTTCTAACAGTAGGCCCCTCTTCTGCAGGTCTGCTGGAGTGTGCTGGGGGTACACTCCAGACCCTGTTTGCCTGTGTATCACCAGCAGAGGCTGCAGAACAGCAAAGATTGCTGTCTGCTCCTTCCTCTGGAAGCTTCATCCCAGAGGGGCACCCACTGGATGCCAGCCAGAGCTCTCCTGTATGAGGTGTCTGTCTACTTCTTCTGTGAGGTGTCTCCCCATCAGGAGGTATGGGGGTCAGGGACCCACTTGAGGAGGCAGTCTGTCCCTTAGCAGAGCTTGAGCGCTGTGCTGGAAGATCCACTGCTCTTTTCAGGGCCATCAGGCAGGAAAGTTTAAGTCTGCAGAAGCCACGCTCACAGCCGCCCCTTCCCCCAGGTGCTCTGACCCAGGGAGATGGGAGTTTTATCTATAAGCCCCTGACTGGGGATGCTGCCTTTCTTTCAGAGATGCCCTGCCCAAAGAGGAATCTAGAGAGGCAGTCTGGCTACAGTGGCTTTGCAGTGCTGCAGTGGGCTCAGCCCAGTCAGAACTTCCTGGCGGCTTTGTTTACACTATGAGGGGAAGACTGCCTACTCAAGCCTCAGTAATGGTGGACGTCCCTCCCCCCATCAAGCTTGAGCATCCCAGGTTGACTTCAGACTGCCGTGCTGGCAGCAAGAATTTCAAGCCCATGGATCTTAGCTTGTTGGGCTCCATGGGTGTGGGATCTGCTGAGCTAGACCACTTGGCTCCCTGGCTTCAGCACCCTTTTCAGGGGATTGAACAGATCTGTCTTGCTGGTGTTCTGGGTACCACTGAAATGAAAAAACAACAACAACAAAAAAAAACCTCCTGCAGCTAGCTCAGTGTCTGCCCAAATGGCTACCCAGTTTTGTGCTTGAAACCCAGGGCCCTGGTGGTGTAGGCACCCTAGGGAATCTCCTGGTCTGTGGGTTTCGAAGACTGTGGGAAAAGTGTAGTATCTGGGCTCAAATGCACCATTCCTCACAGCACAGTCCCTTGGGGCTTCTCTTGGCTAGGGGAGGGAGTTCGCTGACCCCTTGCACTTCCCAGGTGAGGTGATGCCCCACCCTGCTTCAGCTCGCCCTCTATGCACTGCACCCACTGTCTAACCAGTCCCAATGAGATGAACTGGGTACCTCAGTTGGAAATGCAGAAATCACCTGCCTTCTGCGTTGGTCTTGCTGGGAGCTGCAGACCAGAGCTGTTCCCATTAGGCCATCTTGCCCGGAATCACATTTCTTCTTTTAGATGAAGACCTGGCTTATAATTTCTGCCAAAGAATATGGATCAGAGTATTTGATCACTGACTATTCTGACTATTCTTAAGGATGGCTACTCTGTGATATTTAGCCATCCATAGACTTAGAGAGGTTTGTAAGTTATCAATTGCTATGTAACAAATATGCCCAAAACTTAGCTGTTCAGAATAACAAACATTTACAATCTCACAATTTCTATGAGTCAAGAATCTGGGCATGGCTTAGCTGAGTGCATTCTGGTTCCAGGTCTCTTGCAAAGCTGCAATGATGGTATGAGCTGGGGCTGCAGTCATCTCAAAGCCTGACTAGGGGAGGATCTGCTTCCAAGACTGCTCATGCGACTCTTGGCAAGCTTCAGGTACTCACTGGCTGTTGACCAGGTTTATAAGGGTTTATTTTTTATTTTTAGGTTTTGTGGGTTTTGTTTGGTTGGTTGGTTTTTGTCATCTGGGCATCTCCCCATAGGGCCATATACAATATGGCAGCATACTTCCCAAAGCCTGAAGGCTCCCAGAGAGAGAGATCCAGAGAGGGCATCCAAGACAGAAGCCACAGTCTTTTTCTAACCTAACCTTGTTAAGAACATCCCATCGTTTTCTATCATGTTCTATTCATTAGATGTAAGTTCAGTGATACTGAAGAGAACAGCGTCAATACCAGGAGACAGGGATAAGTGGGGGACATCTTAGCAGCTGCCTACCACACAGTACATGACCTAAAATAGCAGCCTGAAATATCAAAACCTCATACAATTAATATATAAAATGAAGTTACTTCTGTTGCCACTGAAAAATACCAGCTGAACTGAATTTAGGGTGATTTACGTACAGGTAACTTATAAAGGCCATAATCCAAATGATCTGCCAAATATTGGAAACGAAGTATAACAAATTCCTTGTTATCATCACTATTAAATTAAGAGACTAAAGAGAAATAGTGTATTCATTCTGATGCATGGGTCATGCTCCCTTGTTATGGTTACACTTCAGTCATTTGGTGAATGTAACAACTTGACATATGAACTGCCTTTGAGAGAAATTTGGTTGAGAAGCCTCAGGACTTCATCTCAGAACAATTTCTCACTGAACATACACAGTATAATTATAACAAATCTTACCTCAAGTCATTGTGTGTGTGTGTGTGTGTGTGTGTGTGTACGAGTAAGAGAAAGAGGAAACAGTTAACCATATTCTGTATATGAGGTTGAAAATCCTTTCAACATATTGCAGCCATCAGCTTCATATTGAGATAAAAGTTCACCAACCACAATTCAGAAATTTATGGATCTTGCCATGTCCTTCTAGATTGATGGGAGTTATAAAAGCCAAATGCAATTTAGAAATAGCAAAAATAGTCCAGGTGCAGTGGCTCACGCCTGTAATCCCAATACTGTGGGAGGCCGAGGTGGGTGGATCACCTGAGGTCAGGAGTTTGAGACCAGCCTGGCCAACATGGAGAAGCCTCATCTCTACTAAAAATACAAAAAAAAAAAAAAAAGAAAGGAAAAGAAAATTAGCTGGGCGTGGTGGCACATGCCTGTAGTCCCAGCTATTCGGGAAGCTGAGGTAGGAGAATAGCTTGACCCCCGGGAGGCAGAGGTTTCAGTGAGCCGAGATTGCACCATTGCACTCCAGCCTGGGTGACAAGAGCAAAATTCTGTCTCAGAAAAAATAGCAAAAATATTATTTAAAAAACTACAAAGAAGTACTAGTCTATCAGAATTTGATTTCTTAATCTATTAAGGAAGTTTACTCTCTCTAATTTGATTTGTGACTTAGAATTATTCTAGGACATTTTAGAAAAAGGCTAATACAAGCACAATACACTTTCCTACAGCTACAGTGATATCACACTTTATAAAGTGAGGTGCAACATGTTTGGGACTCACCATGTTATCTTTGTTAAACCCAAATACACAAAAGCATCCAGCCAGTAAGTGACAGTCTGGCTACCTGTCCTAACTACCAGTCACTTTTGTTCATCCACATATTCACATTTTCCTTAACCAGGATACTTACTGTCTCTATTTCTGTATGACATGATTACAACTCTGAGAAGGCTTTTGTTCTCTAGTATTTGGAATCCTTAAAAGTACTTCACTTCGTTGTTAGAAATGAAGCAAAATTGTAGTTAAGAAAATTGTTGGGACTATAAAAACATTTGGCTCCTTTTCCCTGATCCAGAAGGTACTGTGTGTTCTTTGGATCTCAGTCAACATTTTGGGCAGTTCCAGATAAGGTATCCAATAACTTCACTTTGTGTCCCCATTTTTCTTGCCCTCATTCCAGAAAAAGTTGGATAGCTGCCTCCCAAATAATTTTATTGTGAGGGAAGTTATTATGAAAACATACTCCACTGGTTTTCACTGACCTCCAAAACACACTCCCTAATTAAGTGCAAATGGGAAACTGACTTGGGAGCAGGTTGTCTCTGATTTTGGACTTGGGAGAAGTATTAAAGTTTATGAACTCGATACGCAAGCTCCATCTGCCAAATGAGGAATTTCTTATTTCATTTGGTGACCACACTGAGATTATATAATGCTCCTCAGAAAACTCTGAATGCTGAAGATGCGTAAACCATCTGTCTATGTTGAAAGGTCAAAAAATGCACTGCCCCCACAATGTGTCTCTGGGCATAACTAATTATTTATCCAGAGAAATTTCATCATAGAGTTGTTGGGGTTTTTTTAACATTGAATTTCTACATAACCATAAAATTTTACAGTACTAAAGAGAGAGTGATCATATTCATGCTCTCACATCCTTTTACAGGAGGCTAGGGTTAGTCAGCTTTAATATTTAAAGAAACCTGAAGACCTGGCACAGAGAAGTGTGAGAAGCAGAGAAAGGAAAGCAAACAATTTCAGCTCTGCCATCGCATCTTTCCCTCCCCAGCCAGCAGGGGGCAGTAGTAACAGAGGAAGTGAAGCTGGCTTACTTCTGCGACTGAAGATCCAGAAACAAGGAGAAAGGGTGAAAGTTGCATGAGGTTTCTCTGCTCTCCAGTGACCCACCCCAGCCCCCCACCCCATTGGTGGGAGTAGACCTCAGGTGTACTTCTGAATTCCAGTTCTCCCATGGTACCAGCTTAAGTTATGACAGATAATTAACTATGTTTTGAAACCATGCTATAAGCCAGGCACTGTGTTAAGCACTTTACATGCATTTTTTTATTCCATCCTTTAGCAAAGTAGGCTAAAGTAGGTTTTGTTATCATTTGTGTTTTAAAGATGAGAAAACTGAGGCTTAAGAGATTAAGTAACTTGCTCAAGGTTACCTAGTTAAAACTCTAGCCACTAACTAGTAAAGAAAACTGCAATATTCATCTTTAACCCAGGGATTGAGTCTTATGTTTATTTAATTTGTTTTTGTGTATTTTTTCATTTTCTAAATTATTTAATCTGACAAAGATGCAGGTATTTTCAGTTGTTTTAATACTCAAAGGGTAATACATGTAATACACAATTATCAGGTGAATTTGAATGCATCAGAGTAATTCAAGAGAAGGAAAAATTTTCCCCAAATTATCAAATTTGCTAACAATGGTGATACTACTGAGTAATGTTATTAACTCAGATATTGTACAGTCACTCTTTCTTTTAGTAGGGTAGCTACAAATTGGATTTATATCATTTGTTGCCCTCTGTAGTCATTTTGCCAAAATGAAACACTCTCAGTTCAGGGTTTATAATCAGACAGACAGTGTTCTCATATCAGCTCTGTGCTTCCTTCTCTGAGCCTCAGTACCCTCATCTCTAAAAGGAATCATTCATACTTTAGGACTCATTTGATGGTTGTGAAGGTTAAACAAGCTAATACAGGTAAAACATTTAGCCTGACTCTGGCATATAGGAAGTAGTCTATAACTGCTATTATTCTGACTCAATGTCAAGCTTGGAAAACAAGTAGAGAATTCAAACAAATGTCCAGCTATTTTGGTTCTGGGTGCCAAAAGTCCAGATGTTTGAGAAACCTCAATTAATAACTATATTTGTTGGTGCTCACTGGTGTAGTTGGCACAATGTGATCACAGGTTACATTTGAGGGCAAGTGGGGGTTAATGTTCTCCCCATTCATGCACAGTTGTCCTTTGTTAGGAACTAAAAATACAAAGGTATAAAGGTTTCCCTTTCTATGTCTGCCGAAAAGATTACCGACAGTCAAGAGGCAACTTTTTTTTTAACAAGCACTTAAATTCCTTTTAAAATCTTAAATGAAAAAAAAGTATTTATTTCCTATACTTTCTTTTCAGCTTTCAAATATATCAGAAAAATCTAAATACAATCCAGTTTTCTTCACTCTAGTCTAATCCTGAGCAGCCCAGCACTGAAAATAAAGATATCCTTTATTTATAAGCATATCTTATAAATAAAAGTTTACCAACCTCCCATAGAGTTTGTGTTTCCAGGATCTTCATTGTTAAATCATTATTCAAATCATAAAAGTTGGGAAGAGACACTTATCCTTTGCAAAAAGCAAAATACAGCAAATGCATCTCCAACTCCTTTGAACTGTCTGGGTTATGTGAAAAGGATAGAAGTGTAGCTGATTCATCCACACAACCCATCTGTTTTCTGACTGGTATCAGTCAGACACCAGTCATATACTACCCCCTAAGTTCAAATGGGATTGGAGTTAGGAGGTCTAGAAACTAGTCCTGATTCTGTGACCTTGAGGAAGTCCTTCAACTTTCCTGGGCCTCAGCTTCCAAGCAAATAAAAACAAAAGGTTTAGAACATGACATAATTGCTATTAGTGTCCTGTTAAACCCTTGTCTTCTATAACCAAGATCTGTGGTTACTTGATCCAGTTGGGGGTTGTAAGATGAGGTAGACAGTCGTCAATATAGTACCTGAAGTCTACTCTTTCAGGGATAGCTCAGAGGACAACACATCAATTTCATGTTTCTCAGACAGGTACATGTGACCTCCTGGATCCTGGCCATGCTGATAGTGAATATGCAAGGCCCCAGATAAGCATAAATTATCTTCCTGGTGTATTAATTATTCTTAAAAATGTTTGAGGAAAATTTATGTTTGTGTTAAAAAGAATAATTTATTGTATAGATTTTTAAATTCTCACAAATGTGTAAGGTAAAACAGGAGGCAGTAAAGGTATTTGTCACTAGGGGTGTGGCTTCTTTAATACCTCTGACATCCTCTACAATAAAAGTACTTTGGTGAAAACGTATGTTAGATAATCAATGGTCATATTTGGAGAGTAAATACACTATTGCTTAGCTTTCTTTCTGAGTCCATGTCAACTAGTGAGTGGGAATTTTGTTCTAGAATGGTAGAGAATCCTAGGATGGGATGGGGATCTAGTGAAGGCCTATAGAGAATGAAAGAATCCATCAAAACTGGTTGTTTCTCAGTTTTTTCAAAGGCAGACTCCTGGACAAGGTGGTTGTCTTTGAAACACCGTTCTCTGAGACTGTTTGCTAAATCAAAATTTATCCCCTGAGTCAGCTTCTAAATAAGTTTTGTCATCCCTGAAAACCCAAATTAATGTTATACAAAACCATAGGAGCTATCCTCCATAACTGAATCATTATCTTACTGGTAAAACTGCAAACTCATATGGTGTTTGCCTTGTACTCTCTTCTACTCTGCTAGGCAAGCATATCCTATATAATTTTACTCCCAGTTCAAACTCCCACAGGATCTGAAGCCCGTTTCCTTGTCTGGTGGGAAGGTGATGAAAATGCTGCTGAATGGTGTGCAGGTGAAAAAAAAAAAAAAAAGTGTGTGTTTTTTGCTTGTTCCCTCCAGAAATCTCCTAATGGGAAGGTTAAGGGGAGGGGCTAGGCTACAGGCAGGTAAAACTATACACAGTGTGGAACAAAGCAGAATTGCCTGAATTAGCCAATGAGTATAGGCCACAGCCTCTTATCCACTTTCCAAACCCACAAGTTTCTTTATTACTCATTTGGTTGACAATACTTAACATGGTCTGAATTCATTTGGTAGTGACACCTGATCTGAACTGATGTGAAGCTATTTATAGTCTTTATTTGAAAAACCTAATGGGAGCATCCATTGATTCTGCTACAGAAATGTCTATGTGTTTGACTACAGGTTGATGCATCAAACCCCACTGGGGATTTTAATACAATATACCATATATTTGCCATATTAGCTTGCTGAGATCCCAAAATTCTGAATTCTGAAATGCTAGCCCAAAGTTTTCATATAAGAGGTAATGAGCTTTTACTACCCTGGCTACCACCTGAAACAGTGCAAATAGACTAATCCTAATCCCTCACATTCAAAGCATCTTCCTGGATGTGACCTCATTTAATGCTAGGATGCTGTGTGAATGGGCAAGAGATAGAGGCATGGCCTGGAAGAAGAAGTGACTGCCCAAGCAAGTCTCCTCAGCAAAGCAGGATGGGGGTGTGGTCATCACATTCTAGGCCCAGCCAGACTGAAGCATTCATTCAATATTTATATTCCCAGGCATTTTCAGACTCTGGAAGACTGGCTGATACTTACCAAATTAACATGAGAGTAATCTATTTGATTGAACCACATGCAATTTCCATTTTTGCAACCAAATGGTCACGGACTTGACAAAATTCCAATACCCTTTTGTGATACAACACTTAACAAACTAGGAAAAGAAGGGAACCTTCTCAATTTGATAAAGAACATCTATGAACAGCCCACAACTAACATCACATTTAATGATGAAAGACTGGATGTTTCTCTCCTAATATCAGGAGTAAGACAAGAATTTCCACTCTCACCATTTCTATTCCATATTGCACTAGAAGTTCTAGCCAGGGCAATGAGAAAAGAAAAGGAAATAAAAGTCCTCTTTCCAGATTGGAAAAGAAGAAAAATGGTACCTTTTTTAAAACTTTTATTTTAAGTTCAGGAGTATAAGTGCAGGTTTGTTACATAAGTAAACTTTTGTCATGGGGGTTTGTTGTACAGATTTCATCACCCAGGTATCAAGCCTCGTACCCATTAGTTATTTTTCCTGATCCTCTCCCTCCTCCTACTCTTTGTCCTCTGAAAGGCCCCAGTGTGTGTTGCTCCTCTCTAGGTGTCCACGTATTCTCATCATTTAGCTCCCACTTATAAGTGAGAACATGTGGTGTTTGGTTTTCTATTCCTGCGTTAGTTTGCTAAGGATAATGACCTCTAGCTCCATCCATGTTTCTGCAAGGGACGTGATCTTGTTCTTTTTTATGGTTGCATAGTATTCCATGGTGTATATATACCACATTTTCTTTATCCAGTCTACCAACTAATTCCATGTCTTTGCTATTGTGAATAGTGCTGCACGCAGTGAACATATACATGCATGTGTATTTATAATAGAATTATTTATATTTCTTTGGGTATATATCCAGTAATGGGGTTGCTGGGTCAAATGGTATTTCTGTCTTTAGGTCTTTGAGGAATTGTCACACTGTCTTCCACTATGGCTGAACTCCCACTTACACTCCCACCAATAGTGTATAAGCAGACCCTTTTCTCCACAACCTCACCATGATCTGTTATTTTGTGACTTTTTAATAATAACCATTCTAACTGGTGTGAGATGGTATCACTTTGTGATATTGATTTGCATTTCCCTAATGATCAATGATATAGACCTATTTTCATATGTTATTGGCCAAATGTATGTCTTCTTTTGAAAAGTTTCAGTTCATGTTCTTTGCCCAGTTTTTAATGGGGTTGTTTGTTTGTTTTCTTATAAATTTATATAAGTTTCTTATAGATGCTGGAGATGAAACCTTTTTCAGATGCATAGTTTGTAACTTTTTTTCCCATTCTGCAGGTTGTCTGTTTACTCTGTTGATAGTTTCTTTTGCTGTGTAGCACCTCTTTAGTTTAATTAGATCCCATTTGTCAATTTTGGTTTTCTTGCAATTTTGTTTTTGGCATCTTCATTATGAAATCTTTGCTAGTGCCTATGTGGTATTGCCTAGGTTATCTTCCAGGATATTTATGGTTTGTGGTTTTACATTTAAGTCTTTAATCCATCTTGAGTTAATTTTCCCACTACTTGTTTTTGTCAGGTTTGTTGAGGATCAGATGGTTGTGGGTGTACGGTCCTATTTTTTAGCTCTCTATTCTGTTCCATTGGTCTATGTGTGTTTTTATACCAGTACCATGCTGTTCTGGTTATCATAGCCCTGTAGTATAGTTTGAACTTGGGTAGCGTGATGCCTCCAGTTTTGTTCTTTTTGCTTAGGATTACCTGGGCTATTTGGGCTCTTTTTTTGGTTCCATATGAGTCCCCGGATAGTTTTTTTTGTCCCTGAGCATGGTGACTTCTCTGTTTTTTTGACAAAGAGTATAGATTACCTCTAGCCAGTGTTGGGCTGGTAAATATTTAATAAATGTGGCTCTGAAAATAAAATGTATATATATGTGCATATACACACAAGTTCATTATAAGTATCGCCAATTTAAAGGATGTGCAGCACATAATTTAGAAATACCTGGGCTATTTGGGCTTTTTTTTGGTTCCATATGAGTCCCCAGATAGTTTTTTCTAGTTCTATGAAGACTATCAATGATAGTTTAGTAGGCATAGTGTTGAATCTATACATTGATTTGGGCAGTATGACCATTTTAATACTATTGATTCTTCCTACCCATGAGCATGAAATGTTTTCCATTTGTTTGTGTCATCCCTGATTTCTTTAAGCAGTGATTTGTAGTTCTCCTTGTAGAGAACTTTCAATTCCCTAGTTAGCTGTATTTCTAGGTATGAAATAAAATGATATCTACTGCTGATGATATGATCTTATATAGAGAAAATCATAATGAATTCAATAAAATTATTAGAACTAATAAATGAGTTCTGCAGGTTGAAAAATACTAGATCAATATACAAAAATAAATTGTATTTCTATACACTTGCAATGAATAATTCATAACCATACAAACAGCAGCAAAATGATACAATATTTAGGAATAAATTTAGCAAAAAAAAACTGTAAAACATATACTCTGAAAACTACAAAGCATTGTGGAAGAAATTAAGAAAGCTCTAAATATGTGTGAAAACATCCCATGCTCATGAATCAGAAGACCTAACATGGTTAAGATGGCAATACTCACCAAAATAATCTATAGATTCAGTGCAATACTGTAGGGAGACCCCCTGAAACTATTGCTATGGAATAAAAGATGAAATGCTCCTGATTATCATAAATACAAAGTTGCATGCAGGACTGTGTAAAGACAATGCCAGGTTGGACTGCCAGAATGAGCCAATAGCACATGATGTGCTTCCCCCTGCAGAGAGCCTATGAATGGACGTGGAGCCAGGGAGGTTTCACATCACCAAGATTCCTATCCCAGAAAAGCAGATGTTCATAGCTCTGGGAATGGAATGTGATCCTTGTGGAGAGCCTATAAACAGATGCATAGGGGGGCGCCTGTCCATATGGATAAGACAGGGCTATAAACGCCCTCATCTTGCCATGGCTTTTCTAGGCCTCTTTAGGGTTAAGGCATACTCCCTTCTGAGAATTTCTGGTCTAACCAGTTGTCTAGCTTCATGTCCTGTTTCTATGAATTGTTTGTAACCAGCTTTTGTTGCAACTGTTACTGCTGATTAATATCTTGCTAATCATAGGTTATGGAAAGACTGTGTTTCTGTTTTAAGGCTCTGTTAGAAATTACTAATGTACACACTATATTGTAAATTCTTATCCCTGTATACTGTACTTCTGCATACAGATGTTACGTTAAAGAATTACTTCAACCCCATGTGACCATCTCACCTCATAATCAAATGACCCTGAATCCCTCACTAACCTACCCCTGCCCTCACTAAACTTAATAATCAATGCTCGTATATCCAGTGCATTGTTGGCACCATGGGACCAGAAGGCGGTGACCCCACTGGACCCAGCTTTCGCTATCTTGTGTGTGTCTATTATTTCTCGACCTGCCAATCCACCTGGGAACAAAGAGAGAGCCCCATTGCATTGCGGGCTGCTGGCCAGATCCCACAATACAATACCTTTCAAAATCCTGTTGATTTCTTTATACAAATTAGCTGATTCTAAAATTCATATGAAATTTCATGGGACCAAGTATACCCAAAACAATCCTGGAAAAGAATAATAAAGTAGGAGGGCTCAGAGGTCCCTATTTTAATACTACAAAACAATAGTAATAAGAGAGTGTGCTACTGGCACAAGTATAGGCATATAAATCAATCAAATAGAATTGAGAATTCAGAAATAAGCCTATACATCTGCAGTTAACTGATTACAAGGGTGTCAAGACCATTTGATGGAGAGATGATAGCCTTTCAATAAATGATTCTGAGAAAACTGAATAGCCACATGCAAAAGAATGAAACTGAACCCCTATATCACACTGCATAAAAACTTAACTCAAAATGGATCAAAACCTAAATATAAGGGCAAAAATTACAGAACTCTTAGAAGCAAATATAGGAGTAAACCTTCATGATCTGGGATCTGGCAAAGGATTCTAAGATATGACACCAAAAGCATGAGCAACAAAAGAAAAAAATAGATAAGTTAGACTTCATCAAAATTCAAAACTTTTGTGCTTCAAAAGACACCATTAAGAAAGTGAAAAGACAACTCACAAAATGAGAGAAAATATTTGCATATCACATATCTGATAAGGAACTTCTATCTAAAATATATAAAAGACTCTAACAACTCAATAATATGAAGACAATCCAATTAAAAAATGGGTAAAGAATCTGAATAGATATTTTCCCAAAGAAGAGATACAAATGACCAATACACACATGAAAAAATGTTCAACGTGACTAGGTATCACAGAAATGCAAATCAAAACCAAAATGAAATACCACTTTATACTAACCAAGATGGCTAGAATCAAAAAGTCAGATAAGTTCTGGTGAGGATTTGGAAACATAACCTTCATACACTGCTGATGGGAATGTTAAATGGTGAGCCTACTTTGGAAAACAGTCTTGTAGCTCCTCAAACAATAAAACAAGTTATTATGTGAGCCAGCAATTCCACTAGTAGGTGTCTATCCAAGAGAAAAGAAAATATGTTCACACAGAAACTGGTACACGAATGTTTATAACCAGTATTATTCACAATAGCCAAAAAGTGGCAACAACTCAAATGTCCATCAATAGATGAACAGATAAACAAAATGGAATATATCCACATAATGGAATATTATTCAGTCATAAACATAAATGAAGTACTGATATATTCTGCAACATGGATGAACCTGGAAAGCATTATGCTAGGTGAAAAATGTCAGTCACTAGAGACCATATGTTATATTATTTCACTTATATGAAAGTCCAGAACAGGGAAATCTCTAGAAACAGAAAGATCTACTAGTGGTTGCCTAGAGGGATACAGATGTGAAGGTAGAAGATATGGGGTTTCTTCTCGAAGTGATAAAAATGTTCTGTAATTGATGGTGGTGATGGCTGCATGTATCTGTAAATACACTAAAAAACTTTAAACTGTACATGTTAAATGGGTAAGTTGTATGATATGTGAATTATATCTCAATAAACCTTTCTAAGAAATGGTGGAAGATTGGCAACTTCATATGATTCAACCAAAGCAAAAACCAGAATAATAATTTTTCATGAGAAATATCAGTAGAGCAGAAGCTGCTGCCCACTGTTTATTTCATCCCTTGCTTGCAGACAAAGCAGCATAGATAGTCCATTTTAAATCAGAACACATTTACCAATCTTCCTGGGACAACAATTTTGTGAGCATCATTTTTTAAATTTTATCAGTGGAAAAAAATCAAAATTTAGAAAATCTTGTGATCAGAAGTTAGGGTACTTGTTTTTTTTTATTCTACCACTAATAATAATAATTTGGTATACTACCAGACACTGTTCTAAGGGTTAGTGTATATCATTGCATTTAAACATTATAAAAATCATATGAAGTAGGTTTTTCAGATTTGAGAAAACTAAGGCACAGTGAGATTAAGTAACATGCTGAAAGTTACCCAGAATTAGATTTGAACCCAGGCAGATTTGAGCCCAGATTAACCCATGGCTTAATCACTGCCATGCTGCCCCTGGGCATGGTTGTTTCTCTGTTTTCTTGACAAAGAGTATAGGTTACCTCTAGCCAGTGTTGGACTGGAAAATATTTAATAAATGTGGCTTTGAAAATTATATATATATATATGCATATACGCACAAGTTCATTATAAACATCGCCAATTTAAAGGACATGCAGCACATAATTTAGAAATAATAAAATATATGATACTATTTATTATAATTTCCATGTATTGAGTCTCACAGGACACTTTCATCAATTTTTGTTAAACTTTTTTGTCCATAACCATCAGTGTACTTTCCACATGAAATTGGGTTGATATTTTCCTTAATGCTATTAACAAGTTATTAATGAGTAAGAGGAAAGTGAAACAATGAAGACAAATCAGAACTTCATTCATTCATCAACTACGAGTGACTTATTCGCTAAATTCAAATATAATTTTCAAATCCTAGAAGAGTACTGCAGCAATATTTGTTGGCCATTTATAATATAACAGGTAAAAACACCATATACTCTTGGTATGGCTCAGTGGCTCACACCTGCAATCCTAGAGCTTTGGGAGGCCAAGGCAGGAAGATTACTTGGGACCAAGAATTCCTGACCATCCTGGGCAACATAGCAAGACCGCTGTCTCTCAAAAAAAAAAAAAAAAAAAACCAACCTTTTTGTAAATTAATTGTGCGTGGTTGTAGTAGTACATGATCCTTGAACCTAGGAGTTTAAGGCTACACGGTGTTAAAAACTGGCTCATAGAACTGCCAGAAATTTAATTGTAAGTTCTCCTGAGCTGGTAGAGACTCCCTGCCAGCACACGTCAGTCTCTAGCTGCTGAACACTAGCTGGACTTGACCCACTGGACATTCTCAGAAGCCATTTGACTCAAGGCAGCCTTTACTACAGTTTACTTTTCAAATAACTGTTTTGCCTCTTCTTCTAGTACCAAGAACCTTCCTGAGCCATTGTCTGTCTTTATTTACTGTTAAGGCCTCTCTCAGAGACTGTCCTAACTTTTTCAACGCTTGAAAACTAAAATTCTTCTGAAGGCAGTAGAGGTTTCCTGAAAATCCTCTTTGCTAGGATGCCTGGGCTTCAGTCAATTTGGTTTCCTACTTACTTGTACAGTAAATATTTTAAAATACATGAGCAGACTAAACAAGAAACTATCTAATTCCAATTTGCTCATTGCTCCAAGAGCAGTTAAGGGACTCTTAGAATATAAGCTGGGAGAAGTTTCTTTCTTGCAGCAGCTTTAAAAGGCCTAACTTCCCTAGTGGGGCCCCTCTACCACCCACTCTGAGTGGTAAGATGTCACTAGGGTTGGCTTATTTACTAATTCAGGGCCCCCTGACACACTCACCCTTGACTTTGTCACCTAATAAATGTGTCACTTCCAGCACTACCTTCCTTTTAAAGAAAATTTTCTGCCCACCCTGAAACATGAAAGTATCTTAGAAACACTGAATCTGAGCCAAGATAAAGGAGTTAATTTACTCAACTTATATTAAGTGGCCCCAGTGCACCAGGTCCTGTGATAGGCCCAGGAATAACATGAAGAATCCCCATCTTCAAAGAGTTAATAGTCTTAACCAGTGATTCTTAATCCAAGGGATACATTCAAGCTTTAAAACCTACCGGTGCCCAGGCTCCACTCCAAACTACTTAAATCAGAATCTCTCAGGGTGGGACCTAGGCAATAGAATTGCTTAAAGCTCTCCATGGCATTCTAGTGTGAAGCCAGAATTGAGATCCACTGGGATAACAGCAGATGGCTCCCCTTCACATAAGCCCAATCAGCCATGTTGTTCTGGATCCCAAGAGCACAAAAAAGCCTCACTACTCAAACTATGGGCCAAGAACCAATTACACTGGCATCACTTGGAGGTTTGGTTAAAATGCAGAGTCTGAGGCCACCCTTCAGACTTACCAAATCAGAATCTGCATTTTAACAAGTTCCCCAGGTGATTTGGAGGCACACTAATTTTGGAAAATGCTGAATGAAGGCAAAAATCCTGTTCTCAAGAAGCTTCCAGCCCATAGGGAAAATGCATATAAATACAGATAATTACAAAACATTGTGGAAGTTCCACAATGAGAAATGCACAAGTTATTCCAGCTGGACCTACCTCCAGGAAGATTAATGGAGTGGATGGTGCTGGTCAAAGATGTACACGATGAGTACAGGTTAATCAGAAAGAACAGGCAACAGCAAACAGCCCTGTTCTACTGGAATGTAAAGTAGACACAGATGGGAGCTGAGGCAGGCTGCACTTGCCCAGATCCTAAGGCAGCCATCTAGAGGCTGCAGGAGTCAAATCTTGTTCATCCCTCCTGCTCTGAAAGAGAATATACTTTCCAAGTCAGTGGTCCTCAAATTGGTCAAGGTGAAGTTTCCTCACAAATGTGCCTTGGAAATGAAAGGAAACAATTACATTAAGTTTTACATACACAATAAATATATACAGTTTTTATTTGTCAATTAAGATAAATAAAAATAAAGATAATCCTACACATATATTTACTCCTTCGTATTGCCTTAGATCCTTCCTATGAACAAAGCTAGGCACATTAGTCCCCAAACAAATCACCAACATGGCCAATACAAGGCCACATTAAGAATACAAAGATGAACTGCTAAAAGAGTGGATCCTCCTAACCCCCATACAGGAGGATTTTTGCCTTGACTCTTTACTCTCCTTCCTTTGTTTTCATGAGCACTCAATGGAAAGCAATACTTAACATGTTCTATTGCAGATAGATATATCCTGCAACATTTCATTTCATGAAATTTGGAGCCATAAAGAAAACCTGTCTCCTTCGTTCATTTTCTCCCAGAAGTTTGGAGTCTTGGACTCCTGAGGGGGAAAATGTTACAGTGGGTACCTAGTCAGGCATGAGCAGGGCAGGGGAGGGCTTCCCTACCACACACACCAGAGCATTGGGCCCAGTTACATTAATTTTTAAGTAGTGAAAAAATGAATGGGCTTGCTAAGCCCATTCCTAAATATTTCCTTATGCTACCTGTGTTAGTCAGGGCTGCCATAACAGAATGTCACAGGCTGGGTGGCTTAAACAACAGAGTTTTATTTCTTACAGTTCTGGAGGCCGGAAGTCCAAGATCAAGGCACCAACAGAGTTGGATTCTGGTGAGGACTCTCTTTCTGTCCTGCAGACAGCTGCCTTCTCTCTGTCCTCACATGGGCTTTCCTCCATGCATGTATGGGGGTGGGGGGTGGGGGGTGGGGGGGTCAGGGGGTGAGAGAGAGAGAGAGAGAGAGAATCTGATGTCTCTTATAAGGTCCTCGGTATTACTGGATTAGGGCCGCCCTAGCAGACTAATACACCACCCGTCACCATTCTCAAGGGACCATCAATGAAAAGGTTATGAGGCTTTAAAAAACATACGTGTTTCCTCCAGCCCCACCCAAATCAGATCCCCAAATCTGTATCTACTCACCCACCTACTCGTTTATCTTACCATTCATCTATTAATCCATTCATTTCTTTATACATTTAACCAAACTTTATTGAGTTTGTGCCAGGCACTGTGCTTGTGTTGGAAATACAGTTATCTGTCCTGTCCTCAATGAATTAGAAATTAGATATGTTCACTGATACATATGTAATTAATTTTTAATTACACAAGGAACACACAAATATGGTCTTCTTTAAAAAGTCATAACCAATAAATTTAAACTCCTCTTTAACATCAACTCAATCACTAGAGTTAGCTCTGTTAGGACTTTTAAATCTATGTTATTTAATATTTTCAAACTTATGTATATGTACCCATAGAAACTGCTACTATAAGTGTCAATCAATACTTACATTTTTCATGCAACAATATGTATTTTTAGCTCTATCTATTGTCATTATATAAATAACCAGTATATTATTTTTAACTTTTGTGGAATACTATGTCTTGTGAATCCAATTATTGGCTATCCTACTATTTGTGGATTGTTTACTTCACCATTATTCCAGAGAACGTCCTTTTACCTATATTATTGCCCACATGTGCAAGTGTAGGCTGGATATTAAAAAAGGGGAAGTCTTAGGTAGATGCATTTCTCATTTTAATGACTACTGCTATGTAGCCCTCTGAAGTGGCATATTATGATATACTCTACATTATAGTCTCATCAGCAATGTATTGGAGTATCTAGTTCTCCACAAACTTCCCAGTTCTTTTTTTTTTTTCTTTTTTTTTGAGACAGGGTCTCACTCTGTTGCCCCAGCTGAAGTGCAGTGGCTCACTGCAGCCTTCGCCTCCAGGGTTCAAGTGATCCTCCCTCCTTAGCCTCCCAAATAGCTGGGATCACAAGCATGCACCACCATGCCTGGCTAATTTTTGTATTTTTAGTAGAGACACGGTTTCACCATGTTGCCCAGGCTGGTCTCAAACTCCTGACCTCAAGTGATCCACCGGTCTTGACCTCCCAAAGTGCTGGGATTACAGTTGTGAGCCATCACACTCAGCCTCTTCCCAGTTCTTATTGTACTTTGTATTTTATTTATATATTTGTTTGTTGCCTATTTAATGGGTAAAAATTATGTCTTATTCATTGTTTTATTTTACGGTTTTCTAGTTAGTACTTAAATTGAGCATCTTTTCATGTTTTGTTGGCCGGCTGTATTTCCTCTTCTGTGTCTTGCCTATTGTAGACTTTGCCTATTTCTTTCTATTTGGATGTCTGTCATCGCAATTTTGTACTGGTTTGTAGATATTCTTTATATTTTTAAGGTACAAATATTTTTGTATGTGAAAAAAAAAGTCTTCTCCCAGTCTGTTGCTTGTATTTTATCTTTTTTTTTTTTTTTTTTTTTTTTTTTGAGACGGAGTCTCGCTCTGTCGCCCAGGCCGGACTGCGGACTGCAGTGGCGCAATCTCGGCTCACTGCAAGCTCCGCCTCCCGGGGTTCACGCCATTCTCCTGCCTCAGCCTCCCGAGTAGCTGGGACTACAGGCGCCCGCCACCGCGCCCGGCTAATTTTTTGTACTTTTAGTAGAGACGGGGTTTCACCTTGTTAGCCAGGATGGTCTCGATCTCCTGACCTCATGATCCGCCCGCCTCGGCCTCCCAAAGTGCTGGGATTACAGGCGTGAGCCACCGCGCCCGGCCGCTTGTATTTTATCTTTACTTATGATGTCTTTTTGTTATATAGAAGTTTTCTTTCTCTTTTATGATATGGTCAACTGTGAATATTTCCTTGTATTTTTGATTTTTGTATTTTTATTTTTTGGAGTTTTATAACATATATGTAAACATTTAGATCTTTAAGCTATTTGTTGTTGTCTGGGGGTAGGTTTTTTGCATAAAATATGAAGACATTGGATTTCTTTTTCCATATGAGGAGCCAATTGTCCTAATATCAATCTCTCCCAATTTTCAAATGTCATTTTTAATTCCAAATTTCTAAATACACATGATTTGTTTTCTTTATTGTATTTTCTTGATGTGGTGCTCTTATCCTGACTCTTACAGATACTATAAACTCATGTTTTGACATACAGTAGGACTAGTTATCTTTCTTTGCTTTCTACCAATTTTATCTTTTTAGAATTCTTGTATATGAATTTCAGAACCAGTTTATGAAGTTCTGGCAATCACATTAGATTTATAAGCTAGTTTTAGAAGAACTGATATCCTTGCCATATTGAGTCAAACTCCCGTAACCAAATTTCTTGAAACATAGTGACACCCATTTCCTTCTAAAGCACCCAGCTAGAAGGGCATTCTCAGAGCAACCACATATTTCAGTTCTCACCAATTGAGTTGAAAGCTTACACACCCTTTCATGACAACTGCACTCATTAATATTATTATGCAATTTAAGTGAATATGATGCAAACCCATAGCAAGCGAAAAAGAGAGTTGTTCATACCAAAGCAAAATTAAATGCTTTGGAAAAGCTCAATGAAGGGAAGTTGCTAAAATAAGATGTAAGTGAGAGATTGGTCAAACATTAAAGCAAGCAAATTGTGAAATTCTAGAGTCTTCTCTCAGATTGCTTCATCATTCGAAGCTACTAGTTTCAATTCAAAGGCAATGAAACTGGACATCCAAGATGACATCTCTATGAATATGATTTATAAAAAAGTCAATGAAGAGCTCCAATCAATGGCCTTGGATAAAGACCATAGCTCTACAGCAACACATTGGTGAATAAATATAAATTTATATGTTGAAAGTTGCAATAAAATGTTTTAAGTTTACTTTTATCTTTTTCTTTAATTTTTCCATGTTTTAAGAAATGTTTTGCCATCAACTGACCAATTATCAGTCCCAATCATGACAGAACATAGGCTGTCTGCAATATTTGTCTCCACTTATCCAAGTCTTCAATGTCCTTCAATAAAACTTTCAGGCCAGGCACAGTAGCTGATGCCTATAATCCCAACACTTTGGGAAGCCAAGGCAGGAGAATCACTTGAGCGCAGCAGTTCGAGACCAACCTGAGTAACATAGTGAGAACCTGTCACTACAAAAAAAATTTTTTTTCTTAATTAGCCAGGCATGGTGGTGCATGCCTGGAGTCCCAGCTACTTGGGAGACTGAGACAGCAGGATCACTTGACCCCAGGAGTCGAGGCTGCAGTGAACTATGATCATGCCACTGTACTCCAGCAGGGTGATAGAGTGAGACCCTGTCTCTAAAAAAATTTTTTAAATAAAATTTTAATTATTTATTCATAAAAATCCTATGTATTTGATTGGTTTTATTTCTTATTGTTATATAGTGCTGCTATTGTGAAAGATTTATATTAATCATATCTTCTAAATTTGTTTTTACTAATTAAAGGAAAACATTTTTGTGCATTGAACTGGGATTTGTCTGCTGGTCATTTTGATAGACTGTCTTACTAATCTTAATATTTTGCTGGTTTATTTGGGAGGGATTAAATTAGATCATAAAATCCTCACTATGGGTTTCAGTTCAAGGTTCCTAAGAAGTTGATTCTGAGATGACAGTTTTCATGCAGGAAGCTTCCTAAGAAGTTCTTCCTGGATCAAATCCCCGTGTGGAAAAGGACAGGCCTTTTATTCTCACCTTAGCCAGTTTTTGCATATGAACCACACTCAGGAATAGGCTGTGGCCTTAAGTAAAACAGTTCTTCAGTCAAGAGCTACCATCACAAGGGAGATGAGTCATCTATTAACTTTCATAGCAGCTGGAAGAGTATTTCAGTCCTGAAAGGAGGAGATCTGGGTAGCACACCACAGAATCCACTACTATATGACAAAAAAAAAAAAATTGTATTGTTTTCTCCCAAATATGTACATATCATTTAGTTTTTATTGCCCTCCAGTATTTGGCTGGCCCTCCAGTATGATGTTGAATTAATAAGACTAGGCATCCTCGGCCAGGCACGGTGGCTCACGCCTGTAATCCCAGCACTTTGGGAGGCCGAGGTGGGCGGATCATGAGGTCAGGAGATTGAGACCATCCTGGCTAACACGGTGAAACCCCGTCTCTACCAAAAATACAAAAAAAAATTAGCCGGGCGTGGTGGGGGGCACCTGTAGTCCCAGCTACTGGGGAGACTGAGGCAGGAGAATGGCGTGAACCCGGGAGGCGGAGCTTGCAGTGAGCCGAGATGGTGCCACTGCACTCCAGCCTGGGCGATGGAGCAAGACTCCATCTCAAAAAAAAAAAAGAGTAGACATCCTTATCTTTATCTTGGAGTGTAATGGGACTTCTTTTAACAGTTCATTGCTACATAATATTTACCACAGTTTCTAGTAGACATACTTTTTGGATTAAGAAAGCTATCTTTATTCCGGAAAAGTTGATACAATGTCTATCATTAATAGATACTGTAATGTATCAAATGCTTTTGTAATATCTATTGGAATGAATGTATGGTTTTCTTCATTAATCTGTTTTGTGGTAAATTATATTTATACTTTAAAAAAACAAACAATCCTTGCATTCCTAGGATAAATCTTACATGATCTCAATATAATTTTTATAATTCTATTATATACTGTCAGCCAATCCTCTTGCCTTGGCTTCTCAAAGTGTTGGGATTACAGGCCACTTTGGGAACCCAAGGCAGGAGGAGTGCTTGAGGACAGGAGTTGGAGACCAACCTGGGCAACATAGCGAAGTCCTCTCTCTACAAAAATTATTTTTAATTAGACAGATGTGGTGGTACTCACCTGTAGTCCTAGCTACTTAGGAGGCTGAGGTAGGAGGATTACTTGACCCTAGGAGTTTGAATCTATAGTGAGCTGTGACTGAGCCATTGCACTCCAGCTTGGGCAACACCCTGTCTCTATAAATACATACATACATACATACATACATACAAATAAAACACTGTTAGATTCTTTTTTGTAAAAATCTCATTTATGATTTTCACACCTGCATTTATAACTGAGTTTTGCCAATACTTATAACTGACCTGTGGTTTTGTATTGCTTTGTTTCCCTTTTTGTTACCTTTGGATTATGGTTATGCTGGTTTCATTAAAATAATTGGGAAACTTTTTATTTTTTTATGCTCTAAAATAATCTGCATAAGAATTCGCTGGTCTTTAGATTTTAGTAAAACATTCTATTTTGGCCCAGTGGTGTTTTAAGATTGGTAGGTGTTTGAATATTGATAGGTTAACTACTGTCCTGATTCCTTTTAAGGTCATGGTGGTCACAGGTTTTCTGCTGCTTCTTGGAACAGTTTTGATGATGTATATTTTCCTAAAAAGTTGCCCATTGCACCTACGTATTTAAATTTATTAGTGTAATTTATCTTATTCTTAGAAAACCCTTAATTTTTAAAATTTCTTTTGATGTAGAACTATGTATTTTTTTTACTTCCTAATGCAGTTTATGACTTTTCTCTTTTTCTTTTGTCATATTTGCCACAGATGCATCTCTTTAATTTGTTTGCAGAGTTCAAGCTTCTGGGCTGTTGATCAACTTCATTTTTACTTTTTTCTTTAATTTCTGCTGTTATCCTTACTGTTTCCTTCTTCTTAATCATTTTGTGTTGACATATTTGTTTCGTTGTTTGCTTGCTTGTTTTTTCTAATTTTCTAAGTTAAGAGTCTAGTTCATTTACTATCTGTTCCCTTGTAAATGCATTTCAGAGGATAAAATTTCTACTAAGAATTATTTTGGCTTCATTCCCACAGATATTAGAAACTCCATACTTTCTTTCAGTTCTAAATATTTTACAATTTCTATTTAATTTCCTCTTTGCTCATGAGTTTATTAAATTGTTTTAAAAATTTATAGATAAATGTTGGTGATGCCATTGGAAAAAACAGAGTTAGACATCTTTTGTGTTTTATTTTGTAATTTTATTGAATTATTATATTTTGGGAGATTTTTCAGACTTCTTTTTTGACTTATATGTTCGATTTATGTAAACAATCTGTCTAGGTTGAAAAGCACATGTATTTTTTCTTGGATGAAGAAAAAATATACATACATACACATAAACATAAATACACATGCATGACTTTAGATATATATGTACTTCTGTATTTATGTATATTATATATACATGTATATATGCAACCAAAAAAGATAATTACATTATTCAAATACCACCCCCTCGATCTCTATCTATCTACTTATCTATCCATCTATCATCTATCTGTGTATTCTATTTATACTCCTTCTGTCATTTTCTGAGAAAGTCAGGCTAAAAATCTTCCACCTAATTATGGAGGGATACATTCTTTTTATAGGTGTATTAGTTTTTGAATTATATATTTTGCATGTTGTCTTTTTTATACCAAGAAACTTTCCTCATTTGCACGTCTGTCACCAACAAATCTGAAGCACTTAACCAAGAGTCACTCAAAAAGCCAGTCCTAAAACCTCAACTTCTAATCTGGCTTTTTACCTGGGTATTCTCTTCAGAAGGACACAGTTAGTGGAAAATTCCCATTAGTCATCAAACGTTCTAAACTGCAAAACTGAAAACCACTTTCTCTTCTCCACTCTCCAAACTCTCAACTCCTCTTATTCCCTTTTCTTAATCCTACATTTCCCCCACCCAAACTTTCTCTCTCTCTCTGCCTCTCTGGCTTTATACTTAATAGGCTCTATAATCCAGTTTAGCAACAAAGAAAACTCAACTAGAGTTTTTTTTTTTTTTTTTTAATACAGGTATCCATGAGATTAAGGTGCTAAAAAAAGAAACCTGGCAGAAATGCAAGGTTGTTAAGGTTGTTTAATATTTGACCATTAATGAATATGATTCACCATTTCAATACCCTGAGAAAAATATGACTATAAACAGATGTAGATAAAGCATTTGACAAAATTCAGCATCCGTTCATGAAAATAACTTTCACATTAGGAATAGAAAGGCACTTCCTTGACTTGATAAATGGCATATACAAAACTCCAAATCTAAAATTATACTTAATGATGAAAGACTGAATGTTTTTGCCCTAAAATTGGGAATAAAACAAGGATATCTGCTTCTACCACTTCGATGAAATATTGTTTTGAAGGTGTTAACCAGGTTAATAAAGCTCAAAAATAACAAAAGGCATAAAGATTACAAAATAAGAAATACAATTGTCTCTATTCGCAAATGACACAATCATCTACATAGAAAAGAGTTTGAGAATGAAATCAATGTTATTTAATGCTTCCTCTTTTATCTATAATTATTTCATTTTAATCTAATCTTTCTTGGGGATTTTCCCTGCAATACTCCCAAATTAATAGTATTAAAAAGAAGTATCAAAATGAATCATAGATTTGGGTAGATAAAGGAAATGTAAGTTACCTAAATTAGAAATCTTTTAGATGGAAAATATTTATTACATCAAAATTAAGAATTTCTGTTTAACAAAAGACACTCTAGAGAAATTTCACAGAAAGTGACAATTAGGAAAAGATATTTTCAACACCTAAATCAATATATGATGAATACCTAGAATACAAAAAGACTTTCTGAAAATCAAAATGAAAAATATAAAAATCTCAGTAGAAAAATGGACAAAGAATATGAACAGGCTACTCAAAAAACATGACACTCTCACAGTTAACAAGTATATGCAGTGATGTTAAAATGTATGACAAATCAGACCAATTTGAATTTGAATTAAAATAAGATACTGCTTTACGTCTGTCAGATCTACAGAAGTAGGGAAGTGGTTTAATGCTAAAAGACAGGAACTCTTGTCCCTGCAGCTGGGAGTATTGCCTGGTATAGCCTTTATGATGAATGACGTGACACTGTGTTGTCAAACTGAGTGCACATACACTCTGTGACTAAGCAGTCCAGTTCTGAGAAGTCTGCTGCAAAAAGCTGCCCACATGGGTCCACAACACACAATAGTGTGCACAGTGGATTTGAACTGTGACAACTAAGATACAACTACTTTTCCTAGAATTCTCTTCTATAATTCTGAATTAATCTGGGCCTTGGGGACATTTCACATAAGATCTGGAAGACAGAAAGGAAGCAGCTAACATAACCTATTCCATTTGGAAATTCTGTGTAGGGCACCAGGCCTACAGGAGCTTATGCATATCGTCCCTGATGTGCTGGCTCACCTTGCTGGCCGCAGTTCCTGCAGTTCCTGCCAGATTTTCTCCTTCACCTTCTCCATCCTAGGCCAGCAATGAGCACCTCCACCTCCTGGGAAACAGCTGAGCTTACACCCCTCCAACTTTTTTTCTCCTCCTCCTCCTCCTCCTCCTCCTCCTTCTCCTCCTCCTCCTCCTTCTTCTCTTTGTTCTCCTCCTCCTCCTCCTCATTCCCCTCCTCCTCCTCCTCCTCCTCCTCCTCCAAATCCTGGGCCAGATAGGTGTTTAGTTCCACCACAATGGGCTCCAGCTTCTCCTGCAGTCACCACACCATCAAGAAGCTTGGAGGCAGCAAGAGAGGTTCAGGTCATCCTTGCAGTTTCCAGTGAGTCTTTGCTTTCCCTTACTTTCTGTCTGTCTTTCCTTCCCAGCTCCCTGCCCTGCTGACTTCAGCCCCAGTACCACCTACAGAAACAACAACTGTATATAAGCCATTTAACCAGCTATAAAAATGGCATAAGTTCAAGACCTGATAATAAACTCCTTATTTTATATCCTTCCTAGTGCATCTGCTTCTCTAACTGAATGCTGGCTGATCCAGAGGAGGAGGTTCACCCCAGGATTTTGTGGTATCAGGAAAAGGTACCTCAAGGAATGGGTAAGCAGAATGTGATGGAAGCTTACCCAGAAATACTACACAGAAGTTAGACATGGCACGTGGAATACATGGCACCATGAATAGATTTAAAAGCAATGCTTTCTTTAAAGCAAAATTAAGAAACTACGAAATTTATAGTGCAATAATTTTTATGAAAATTTAAAAATTCATCCATACATACAGAAAACAACACTATTTCAGGATACATACAATTTGAAGGACACATAACAAATCCTGAAGAGAGCCAGTGGGCAATGGAGAATAAATACATGCAAAAAGTAACTGAATACATATAGACACACCTATAAAGTTCAAAGCAAGAGAACCCTTGCTGAGGGCAATGACGAAAATGTGCCAGGAACCAAGGATTATCTTTCCTGCTACTAAAAGCCCTAGATGGCTGGACTGTGGGAGACAAAAGAGGGAGCCATGAGTTGGACCTGGAGGTGGGGTGCATGCAGTGAATTCAGCCCCAGGGGCCTGCCTTGGACTGCCTATGGCAGTTTTTGACTCCATAGGTCTTGGTACATGCTACTCTTCTGTCTAGAACACTCTTTCCTCCCCTCTTTACCTAGTTATCTCCTACTCAGCCTATTTCTGAGGCCAGTTGTCGCTTTGTAGTGAGAGAAAGAGATCTTTCCTTCATTTCTTGACTATGCTTAATATCTTTATTATGTTTTTCATAAACATATATAAACCGTCTTCAGGGAACTCATTCAGCTTCAACATTACAATCTCTTTCTGTATTTGTTTGAAACTTACCCTACTAGATGATAATCTTCATGTGTGTACGAGTGTTTCTCTCCATGGCAGTGCAAGCCTAACCAAGTGTGCTGTGCATAGTCAGTGCTCAATTAAAATACATTGATGAATGAGTGAATCTATTTGTTGTTGGTCAGTTGATTGCTTGATTAGTTTAAGTTTGTGTCATGGCAGAGGATTAGAAAACTGGATTCAGTGAAAGCCATCACTGGGCATTCCCAAGCCTAGTTGAAGGGCCACGTATATTCATGCATATTCATGAATTAAATCCATATCTATATATTCTAGTTTGGGACTTCATGAAATTGCTAACAATTGTGAAAGCTGCTATCTGTCTGTCTTTGTGCTTTCTATTCTCTTCCTCCACTCTCCTCCCTTTGCTCCTTCTACACAAGACCATGAAGACATGCCATTAGTTTTGTGAATCACCATTCAGGCTAAAGAGACTAAATTATAATCAACTGAATAATTCTCTATCTAGGAGATGGTTCACATTTTGTTAATAATTCTTTCTGGACACATAATTTGATGATTGCATATCATTTCTTTAATGCTCCTGCTAAGAAAATTATAAATTAAGTCCCTCTTTATAAAAAAAAAGATTGCTGTTTCACTAAGCCTGCTGTTAAACTGAGATTAATGTTCCATATCTGAAGTATAAATTACCTAATAGTTCCTCCCACCACACAGCTCAGGAATTTAGAAACCCTGTATCAGGATTTCCTCCATAAATGTGTGCCATGAATCTCTCCCTCCTTAAGGCACATACCAAAATGGCATGTTAGAGTAGTCTAGTACAACAAATTCCATCCCAAATATCTCCATTTTGATAAAACTCAAAGGTATCACACACCAGCACCTTTTCCTCCCCACTTTTCTTTTATTCTCTCTCCCTCCTTGTTTAATTATTGAGCACATGCAGAAAACTTATATACTTTTAATTCACCTATCTTTTCTTTTAAAAATAGTAAGCTACTCACATTTTTGAAAAGTACTTGAATCTATCATTTCTACATAAAACATATTGTAAATTTTTTTTTAAAGAGACACTCTGTCCATTCTTGGTTTTAATAAATGTGAAAGCACTTCCTGGACTGGATTTCAGATCCCAAATCCAAGGCTCTCAAGAACTTAGACTCAGGATTCTATAATCATCTGTGAAAAACAAATCAGAAAAACTTTTTATAAAATATCAAAGAATTCTTCCTATCAAAATATGTATTGCCATGTAGTGACCCATGTACATTTTTACAAAGATTATTTTTCATTTTGCACAATAAAGAAGTTTCTGGCAAAGCAAATAGTTGTATCTTAATTTTTCTTGTAAAATACAAGGAGTATGAAAATGCTTTATAAAAGCAGAGGCATAAAGTGAGTCTATAAAATATTAAGAATACAGCTTAGAAAATTAGGAGCCCCTTCTTTTTTCAAACACCATAGGCAACTGTTCTATTGATTGCTGTGTAACAAACCACCCCAAAACTTTATGACTTGAAATAACAACAGCAACGTGTCTATCTGCTCCACAGCATTAGGGAACACTAAAAGGCTCACTTTTGAGATACATCCCATAGGCCATGTTCTTCAAATGGAACACCAAATACAGTGAAAATCTGGTAATAAGGTATCCCTCTAATGAGGTTGTTATTCCTGTCCCAGCTCATAGACATAGACAGCAAGGTGGAAGAGTGTGTTTTAACTCAAAGAGGCCACATAGTCATGCCCACCGCCAGCTACATTCTAAGCTGTTGCAACTCTTATACTCCTAGGTAAAGCTGTATGTGGCCGAGTTCTGTGGTTTGACAGAGGCTGAGCTCCATGGTTCTCCCCTGGGAATCTCTCATGAGTTGTTTGAATCAATATCAGCTGGGGCTGCACTCTGAAGGCTCACTGGGCAAGACATTCAAAATTGTTCCCTCAGATGGCTGGCAGTCGATACTGATGGTCAACTGGAAGCTCAGCTAAGGGGTCTTCATTTCCCTCACATGGGCCTTCCACTGGATTCCTGAGCTTCCCTACAGGAAGAAGGCATTTAAACGAGGGCATTTCTAGACTAAGCCAACCCACCAAGAGGTACATATGGAAGCTGTAAGACTTCTTATGGGCCCTAGCTTCAGAAGTTCCAGAACAGTATTTGCACTGCTTTCTAGAGTCACAAAGAATAGCCATGATTGAGGGGGAGAGGAATTAGACTCCACTTTTTGATAGGGAGTGGCACAGCCATATTGTAGAAGAATATTTGGGGAGAGAGATGCTTTAGCTCTTTGAAAAATGCAATCTGCTTCACCAGTTCAGCTCATCTTAAATCTAAAATTAGATTGAACTCTCCCAATAATGACACAGACTGATCAGAGGCAGCTTGATCACTAAATGAGATTTGAACTCTTTCCCACTAACAATGCAGGCTTATCAGAGGCAAACAGTTTGATGAATACACTTTACTCAAGAAGATATGGAAGGTAATGTTTCGTTTTGTTTTGTCTGAGACAGTGCTTTGCTCTGTCACTCTGTCTCCCAGGCTGGAGTGCAGTGGTGTGATCTCGGCTCACTGCAACTTCCACTTCCCAGGCTCAAGCAATCATCCCACCTCAGCCTCCTGAGTAGCTGGGGCTACAGGTATACACCACCACACCTGGCTAATTTTTGTATTTTTTGTAGAGACAGGGTTTTGCCATTTGCCCAGGCTGGTCTCAAACTCCTGAGCTCAAGTTACCCACCCACCTCGGCCTCCTAAAGTGTTGGGATTACAGGTATGAGACACCGAGGCCCAGCCAGAAAGGTAATGTTATGGGTTGCGTTGTTTCTGTGAAAATTCTCATGTTGAAAACCTAATCTACATCAGAATGTGACTTTATTTAGAAAGTATTTACAGGGATGATTAAGTTAAAATTAGGTCATAAATTGGGTTCTAATCCAGTATGACTGGTGTCCTTACAAAAGGGGAAAATTTGGACACAGAAACAGATATGCATATAGGGGGAAGGACACGTGAACATGAATGGCATGTGAGTATGAGATTGGGGTTGCGTGTCCACAAGCCAAGAATGCCAAAATATGCTAGCAAACTACCAGAAGTTAAAAGAGAGGCATGAAACAGATTCTGTCTCCCAGCCCTCAGAAGACACAAGCCCATCAACACCTTGATCTCACACTTCTGGCCTTCAGAACCATGAGAAATAAATGTTTGTTGTTGAAGCAACCCACTCTGTAGTACTTTTTAATGGAAATTCTAGCAAACTAACACAGGTAACAATAATAGATGAACAAATCTGACCTTTCCCCAGGAAATACACACATCCATACTGATATTGACTTGCTTTTCTGTAGCCACGAATCTCAGGCAAACACAAGATGAAACAGAATATTTAAAGGAGTTTTTGCTTGAGCCCAATAAAGGATCTGAAATTTTTCCAGCTACACTTGCCCACTAATCCTGAAGTGCATGGTTCATTTCTCTTTCTCATTCTCTCTCTCCCTTACTCTCTCTCTGTCTCCCCCATCCCTTCACCTCTCTTCTTCTCTTCCTATTTCTCTCCTTTTTCCTCCCATCTGATCTTAGGAGCAATTCCTTTCCTTTTCTAGCTGATAGCCTTACGTAAGTCCTTTGGTTTTCTTCACCGAGTTTCACAAGATGACCATAAGCCATGGCTGGGTAACCCACAGAGACTGAATCAAATAATTAAGCCTGAATTGGGAGCGCCAAGGTTTGAGGCATCAGCCTTAAACTGTGGCAAAGACCAGAGCCTCCCAAGAATGGACCTTTAGTACCTGGGAGTTTCCTGAGGGTGAGTCTTTTGGATCTGGCATTAAAGTTGAGATTCCTCCCAGATGTTAAGAGGGCAGCATTCTCCCAGGACCTAGGATGGTTTCAGCTGGAGATTATTAAAAGTTGTCAGGGTGTGTGTTGACAGGACTTTGCAGGTGTGTTGATTAGCACCTGCAGGCCATTATGTAGACACCCGAAGGGCAGACTGCAGCAGGATGCATTCCAAACCCTCCTCCCTAAAGCATGGGAGAAAGTTTGGCTTGGCATAGTTGCCCCATATAAAAGCCTTACCTTATTCTCAGCCTAACTCTACTATTGTGTCCAGGTATAGAGACTGGATTCTGATCAAAGCAACTCCTGTTAAGTATATCTTTCTTCAGTATACTCTATGGTAACTACTGTCAGCAAGTTATATGTTAAGATGACATTGGGATCGGGTGCATGGCTCAAGCCTGTAATCCCAGCACTTTGGGAAACTGAGGCGGGCAGATGACCTGAGGTCAGGAGTTCAAGACCAGCCTGGCCAACATGGTGAAACCGTGTCTCTGCTAAAAATACAACAACAAAAAAAAAATTAGCTGGGCATGGTGGTGGCTGCCTGTAATCACAGCTACTGGGGAGGCTGAGGCAGGAGAATCATTCAAACCTAGGAGGTGAAGTTTGCTGTGAGCCTAGATCGCACCATTGCACTCCAGCCTGGGCGAAAAGAGCAAGACTCCGTCTCAAAATAAATAAAATAAAATAAAGCAAAATGAAAGATGACATTGGCAGCCAGGACCAGTCATGAATCTATTTCTTATAAATATTTATTCAACTCACCAGGGCCTAAATTAAGTATTCCAGGTAGCAGTGGCAATTTTACACGTTCAGGTGAGTAAAGAGACTTAACTTCCACACAGAAGGATCATTTTACTCCCATTAACTAACTCAGGGACTCTAGGAGAAGTGGGTAACCACAGACTATCAAAGAATCTTACAGGTTCTCTTGTCCACATGCTCCATTTTACAGAAAAGGAAACAAAGACTCATTTACCACCCAAGATTACAAAGCCAGCTGATGGCAGGGTCATGAGGGCTGGGAACTTCCATATGTAATAAGATTTTCCACAGACAAACTTGGTTAGAGTCCCACAATGTCCACCTCTAGCCCACCTGCTATCGCTAAAGGATCTGTCAGGAGATTCAGACAGTTTTAGTTTGTTTAAACATGCTGCTTCACACAACTTTCCATAGGGTATAGGAGCTGCAACAGCTTAGAATGTCGATTGCAGTGCATATGACAATGTGAACCCTTTGAGATAAAACACCCTATCTTACTGTCTATGTCTATACTCTGGGACAGGAGTAAACAGCCTCCTTAGAAGGATAGCTTATTATCAGACTTTCACTGCATTTCACTGTACCGTTTCAGAAACATGGCTTATGGGATGTATCTCAAAAATGAGCCTTTCAGAGTTTCCTATCACTGTGAAGAAGACAGACACATTGCTGTTGTTGTTGTTCATAAATGGAGAAAATAACACCCTTCTTTTGCCTGGATCAAAGCAGTCAGAGATAATTTTACATAGTTTGTACTATTATTTTATTCCTTGTGAAAATACTTGGCACCATTGTCATTCCTGTGCTGAAAGTCCTCTTCTGTCCTAAGCATGGTACTTCTTTCTCCCTAGCTAATGTTCTCCTCTATAGTTAAAAATAAATAGATGATTAATAAAATATTGTTGGTGTAGAGCAGTTGCCCTTGTGCTTGAGTGTGTAGCAGGATCACCGGGAGGACGCGATAAAACAGATCACCCAACTTCACCCCCAGAGTTTCTGTCTCGGTGGGTCTGGGGCAGGGCCTGAAACATTTGAATTCCTAACATGTTTCCAGGTGGTACTGATAATGTTGGTTTGGAACTTCACTTTAAGAACCACTGGTATAAGGTTTAAATCCAGAAATTACAGGCAGGCCAGACTACTCTTTAATACACTTTCACCTGTCTCCCACATACACATACACCTGCAAGTGGTACACATTTACGGCACCTCCCTTTTTCTATGCCCCAATCCCTCTTACTTCCTTTCAATTTTCACTTTAAATTCAAGGAAAATGAGACAGAGAGAAGACTTATTTAGCCCTTAAAATCCACACCTAATCCAAAAAGGTCAGACACCAGTTTGCTTCCTATCTTTTGGGTGAATATTGCCCACTCCCTAAATAGTCCCAGTCCATACTAAAAAATAAATGTATTCCCTAAGCTCATTATTCCAAGCAAACCTCCATGGATGTCTGATAGAAAAGAAATTAGAAGAAGAAGCAGAGGAGACTTGATTTCTCCTGGACTGACTTCCTTCAAGACCAGCTGAGTATCTCTTAAGCATTGGGCAGGGGGCACGTGACCCAACTTTTGTGCCTGATAGGAAGTCACTAATGAACTGGTTGTATTTGCCCTTAAACCTCAGCTGTGGTGGAGCAGGCCTCCCACACATCTTGCAGTGCACACAGGTTGCTTCTAGGTCATCGTTGTCTCCCTGATAATTGCTGTTTGGAATCATACTCTTTAGTGGTACATTGGCCAAAGTCAGACATATAGGCAGCAGGCTCCAAACAGAGCTATAAATAAAATAACAAGTATATTTCAAAGGGACCTAATGCAGCTTCTGCTGGTATCCTGATAGAATAATGTGAGCTCCATATGGCCCTGGGACCTGTACAGTCTTTCTTTCTGTGCCTTCCTAGCTGAAGGGCCTTGTGCACATTAAAATACAACAGGTGCACTGCTGAGGTTGTTTTTCTTCCTTAGGTCCTAAGGAAATCATAAACCAAATATATTACTAGAGGATGGTTTCTGGGGTGCCCTGTGAGCAAACGGAGAGGAAAAATGGATCAACAACCAGCCAAGAGGGACAGTAAATCAACAAGCTAAAGGAGGAGTTTGAATAGACTCTCACAGCCCTCCAGGGCACAGCCAAGGACAAGTCCCCTGTCAGTCAGGGCCTGAGCACTAATGTCAAAGCCAGCTGGCGCGCTGGCCCTGAGGAAATGATTGAGCCGTCTGTCAGTTGCTTGTGAGCCACTAGAGGCCAATGTGATGCTGAGGAAGGGAAGGGTGGTGCTCTTCAGCCCTGGGCCGCACTTTCCCCAAAGCTCTTGAGTTCTGTTCATGTTGATCCCATTTGTTCAGTGCCTGCTATTCTCAGCTCTGCAACAATCAGCTAGGAAAAGAGATGAATAATTGCTCCTGCAGCAGAGAATGTGACGGCTGCAAGATTGATTTGTTCAGGTCACACGTACTCTTTCCAGGCAGATGAAAACCATTTTCTTCCCAGATTACAAGGGAGCTCAGCACAGGGGGTTCCTGGAATTAAGAAAGTTGGAAAGTTGACCAGAAAGTGGGTGCTCCTGACAATCAGAGGACTTTCCAAGAAACCCTTGCCCAAGATCATGGGTTTTGACTCCATACGAGCTGTTAGAGACTTGGACACAACTTTCTCACTTTTCCTATATGCAGAAATTCTCCCCCAAATACAGGGTAAGGAGAGGCAGATAACAACCAAGTCAACCTGACCATTTCTTAAAGACATAATTAGATGCATGATCTGAAAATTGAAACATTCCAATACCTTAGTCTCCTATTCACATAGAATGAAAGCAATTACCATGACCATAATAACAACTCAATTATTGTTAAATTGTAATAATAAGTTGTAATAGTAATACAATTTACATTGTATTTTCTATGTGCCAGAAACTATACTAAGGATTTTACTTGCACTCACTCTTTCAATTCTCGCGTCTGCAAGAGGTAGGTATTATTCTTTTTTTTTTATTATTATTATACTTTAAATAAGAGGTAGGTATTATTCTTATTCCTACTTTACAGATAAGAAACCTGAGGCACAGGGACTAATTCTATCACTAATGTATCCATTCATTTATTTAAGAAATATTTATTGAGCTGCCACTATGTGCCAGATAACTTGAAAAAACCAGCTTCAGAGCATCATTAAGAAGGTACAACTACCCCTCAACAAAGGGGTCCTTTGCACCCTTTTTTGGAGGGAATCCAAACTACCCTTCCAAAAAATCATTTAAAATAATTCCAGCGGTAATTAAAATCACTCATTCTTTTCCTAATTTTACTTACAATTTTTTATAATGATTTTACATTGAAAGTACTACAACAATAGCTTTATTTATCATGTTGACAGAAGTTTATTTAAAAGTGAAAGAATTGACAAAATAAAAGGGATTTGGACATATCAGGAACCCCAAAGTCATTGCTTCCTAGTGCAACCTACAGGATGCAAGCATGTATGTACCACAAAACACACATATAGCACACACACCCACATACACTGCCACCACACACACATACACACACATCACACACAGAAAACACACATAAGCACCACAGTGCATACATGTGCAACACATAAATGCACACATGGGCACACACATTAAATACCACCACCACACATAATACCATGTACCCTCCCCCCCCCCACACACACACACAGTATGATTCTTTAAGCCTGGTCCTAGAAACATTAATGCAAGTTCTCGAGCTGTCTGTATTCTTTCAGTCACAGAAATTTCTGGGATCAGGAGATCACAATATTGGGGGACCATGAAAACATCACTTTTCACAGCCTCAGTCTTTGGCTCAAAGTGTTCAGTTTGAGAATATTTTTCAATACATTGGAGCAAATTTCTCATAAGCCTGCAGGAATTGAGCCCAGCTGTCCAGATCCCTATTTTCCATTGTGTGTGGGTATTTAGGGGAACTTATTTACAAGTGGCTGTCAGCAGTAAGTTTAAAACTCAGAAAAGAAGGAAGTCCTGATTTATGACCCAAAGCACTGAGTTCCATTTCAGAAATGTAAATGGTACAAGCATACCCATACCGCACACACCACATACCACTCAGGTACATGCTCATACAAACACAATCATATACCTCTCCTACATACACCCAGATACACACACACACACACACTCCACACACACACCTGCCATGTACATGCATACCATGCCACATACATACATACTATATACACATACACACACACACATTCAGGAAACATGTCCTAACATGAATGTTCAGAAAGATTCTAGAGTAGAAACAGTTAATACTCAAAAGAAGATGAACTGTTCAATGATAGGAATGCTGAATTTGAATAGGAATGTCTTTGTTATTAGGAGTGAGATTTGTAAAAAGGCTGCCTAATAAGATTGTCTCATCTATGCCTGAATCTTCCTCTGTCTATAAGTGCTAAAATAACATCCTATGTGGTAAAAAGATAAAATAGTGATTATTTATATTTCTACTTACTATATGCTAAAAGCAACTAAATGGAACTCAGTTTATTCTTGTTTGTTTGGAGGTTTATGTTGTGTGAGAAGGGGTCATGAACAATTATTTCCACTGACTTTCTGAGATAACTATGTCATAGACAGCATAAACAAGATATATTCTGTTACCTGATTCTTTGAGGTATATTCATTGACCATGTTGAAAATTGTATTGCTGATCAGAATCAGAGAAGAAGCTCCAGGAATAAGAAGTGATGTGATTTCTACTCTTTTCCAGGTTTTTGTTACATTGAAAGAACTTGAAGCCCTAAGTCTCTTCTTTGTCATTTTTTATGGTTTTTTATTTCCTATAGATATTTTTGAACTTTTTGTTTATTATTTTGAACTTGATGATATTACTTGTTTTATAATCTATGCCTAATAATCCCAAATATGATATCTGGGCTGACCTATTTCTGCTGTTGTCTGTTGTTTTTGCTAGTTATCACTCATGTCACCTTGTTTGCTTTGGTGTCTAGTTATCTTTGAACACGTGCTGATCATTGTCCCTGAAAAATAACCTGCAACCTAGGATGAGTAATTCTTTGCACCACAGAGCATTTGTATTTGCTTTCTGCCAGGCATCTAGTATACTACTATGCATGCACTATCTCAAACCAAGGCTTGAGATCTACGCTCACCCAGATTATATATGTCCAGGCTACAAATCTGTACCAGTCTGTAGCTATCTCAGAGATAGGGATTTCTGTTTTAAATTTTTCCCTCACATCCTTCTCTTCTACTGCTGTGCTCAGCATGGATAAACTTTCTTCTACACACCTTAAAATTAAGGGGAAAAGAGTGAGTTTAGTCCTCGTTCAGCCCTAAGTCTGTAGCTCTTTGAGTGCCAACTTAATTAGGGAGAATATCCCATAAAGCTCTCCAACTTCAACATGACTTGGGTCTTGACTTTTGTCCCTCTTACTCCACTGAGCCACTAACCCAAATCTAAATGTGTTGCATGGACAAATAGCATAAGGGCATAAGAAGCCTGTATATGCCAATATTCTAGCTACCTGTCTGGATACAGACTTTCACCCATAAATTGACCTGGAATTTCCTCATCATTCTTTCAGCAATTCAAAGTTAATTTTTAAATGAAATTTTTAACCAGCAATTTTTATTGCTTTTAACAAGAAAGTAGATCTGAATATCCTAGACCACAATCACCAGAAAGTTTCTAAAAGGGCATTTTCAATTTTGAAGTTACATGGGATTCATTACTACTTAAATGAATCTAAACTGCATGTCTCCTGCTATATTATTAATCTTATCAAATAGCTTTTTGGTGTACTGCACGTAAGTTCACATGAGTAGTGTACCTATTCCCTTGACTATACTAATTACAAATGATTTATGGATAAGTGGATTGGGAAAACCCAAAAAATAAATTCCAAAAAAGTTCTTGCATTTGCTACATTTTACACACTGTGTCTTCCATGATGCAATATTCAGGTCTATTGACAGATACCCTCCATATCATTTTCCAATAAGAGATATTTTTGAAGGCACAATGTGGATAGTTTGCAAAATGGCCTGTTTCTGAGTAACTTTTCTCCTCAAGGCTTTTCCCAGATTTATCTTCAGTTACATTTTTTTTATATAACCACATGGTCCACTTTGATTGGGTTGGCTGGTAATGCATTGAAATGACAGACACTATAATTTTCCTTACAAAGAAAAATCTATGCAGTTGGATGGTTTCTTTAAAAATGAACTAATTTTGATTATTTGCTAACTTTCCCAGTTCTTATGTCAGAAACAATAGTCCTTGAATAAAGAAAATGTCAAAGAGTAAAAACAAGCCAGCGCATTTAAATTGTAGAATTATTTTTAAAAAATAAGATTGGACTGGACTGCAATTTTATAACTGAACACATTTTAATTCTATCTTGCATGGGGTCACTGCACACATGATTTGAGTTCTCCTTAGAGCTTTCCCATCTCTTCCTAGGAGGCTGAAGAATTTATGGAGACAAAATAGGCAAGGACATTTCTTAGAGAATATGCAATGCAGTTCATCCAGAATGACATCTTAGAGGTTATTTTGTCCTCCCTGGTCTCATATAAGTCATACTGATGCAGTAAAATATTTGTAAAATGCATAACCAAAGTGTTGTGTTATAAAAAAAAAAATTAAGTACTTCCAGCCAGAGTCCTAATGAGACCAGTTTCAGCTTCATATCCACCATGACTAATGAAAATGCTCCTCTTGAGAAAGTATGAGATTTTAATTTTATTAGTCCTGATGCTAAAATAGTACCCTCATGTACTCATCCTTACTTTCAGTTACCTCTGTGATTATTATTTGGTAGCCCAGGATGGAGCATTTGAAAATACAGTGTTTTTCATACAGTAAACCACTCAGTTCTTTAGTCTATCTCAGTTGTAGTTTCTAACTAGGGCAGTCACAAAAAGATAGATTCCATCAATATTTCATATTAAAGAACAAGGAACTGGATTTTTTTTTTATTTACCTTCTACTGTGGAGCATTCCCAGAAAACCATGCTTTTACAGAGCGCATTAGGATCATAAATGTGTTAATGCATAAAACATCCCATTATTCTTGCTATCTCCTCCAGAGAAGGAAACAGTGATAGAGAGAGATTAATGGATGAACCAAAAGCCATCCAGGAAATTAGTAGCAGGCAGGTCTGGGATTAAACTTCTGAATTCCTGCCACCCACTGTTAAGTGGAAGTCAATAGTCCACGCAGCCTCCCCAGATTCCATTTATAGTGTTGTGGAAATGGGGGAGGGGAGGGCACTGCTAGGTAGCCTGACAGCTAGGTATGCAAATTATCAGCTAAGACACAATTGTGAAAACAATCATGGAGCCTGTTTACATTCCAAATCACTTAGAGGTTTCCTGCTGTGTCAAAGATGTCATCCCAACAAAGGAATCTGAAGCTGAAACTTGGAGAAATGCTGCGGCTATTTAAACTGCAAATCCTCCAACTACATTTCCATATCCATACAGAATGATTCTATGAATACCCTGAGAGTCATGTTAAAGTCATAAACAGAATGTAGCACAGGGAAATGGGGGCCCAGGATTACCTCAATGGCTTCTCCATTGACTTTTTTATATGATGGCGACTGATAACTCACAATGGGCTCATAGCAGTCTTTAGGTACATGGGCCAGTTCTGCTATGCAGGGAGTTATTTATGAAATAGAGAAGAGTGAAGAGACATGGAAGAGGTTAGTAGGTCTGCCTCTTTCCAGAGGAATTACCTTGAGCAAGTTACTTACCTTTTCATAACCTTGTTTTTACCATCTGTGTCTGGAATCCAAATAATTTCAGCCTTATATAATACGTTGGGTTATTGTGAAGATAAAATGAGATAGCAGGCCAGGTGCTGTGGCTCAGGCCTGTAATCCTAATACTTTGGGAGGCTGAAGTGGGATAATCCCTTGAAGCCAGGAGTTTGAGACCAGCCTAGGCAACATAGAGAGACCCTGTCTTTATAAAAAAAAAAAAAAAAAAAATTAGCCAAGGATAGTGGCACATGCCTGTAGTCCCAGCTACTTGCGAGGCTCAGGTGGGAGGATAGCTGAGCCCAGGAGTTCAAGACTGCAGTGAGATATAATGGCACCACTGCACTCCAGCCTGGGTGACACAGCAGACACTGTCTCTACAATAAATAAGTAAATAAGCAAACAAACGATTTAATTTAATTTCAATAAAGAGCAGAAGATATATTTATTTATGAAACTGAAAGCCCTAAGTCCATTAAAAATATACATAGTTGGGTATAAGAGCATGTAGAATAATTCTTCAACATTACAACCTCTTAAAGCAGATGTGCATTTGTATATCTGTTATGAACTGAATTTTTTTTAGTTTTTGGTTTCCTGCTTTTAGAGCAGCAGTATCCTTGGTGGCAGGAACACAGGCTGTGGAGCCAGAGAGACATGAGTTCAAATCCCAGTTCTGCTACTTACTTGCTATGTGCCCTGAGACTTGATTTCCTTACTTGTAAAATAGGAATGCTCATACCTAACCTAAATGGTGCTCTAAGAAAAAGTAACAGTGTATATCCAGATTTGGATCATGGTACATCATTGACACTTAAAATATGTCAACTACAATTATTATCAAAAGGAGTTATATAGAAATGCATTCACCCTGCACATACTAGCATGTCAGTGTAAGTGGTGCCTTAGATCATCATCCAGCTCAGAGTTCTGTATTCTCTTCAAGATTCTGGTTTTGATGGTCGGGTTCACTAGCCACTGGCCCCCCACGCTAGACGCACGAATGGAAATCGCCTGCAGTGGGAAATGGGAGGATTACCCTGGGGTACATCTGAGTGGATGCAGGCGAGGGGACATAGTGAGTACACCCAAACCTGAACGCTTTGAGGAATGAGCTTATGACAATACAGTAATTGCAGAACTTCCAATCTGAAGCTGTTTCTCATTAATTCATCAAGTGTATCTTAAACTCCTTTCATATACTGTGCCAGATACAGAGAAGGGTTTTTAAAAGAAGTGGCATACGTTTTTAAAGTATAAGGCATGCCATTTGCTCTCTAAAAACTCGTAATGTAGTTGGTTCAACGAGACTACCGCTCATGAAACAGCTCAGTTAGAGCCTCCTGCTAACCTTGTGAGACCAGGCAAACCATTGGACTGCTCCTTCTCTGCAGGTCAAATGAAGAGCTCAGAAAGTCATAGTTATGCTGCACTGCAGTGCACGTTAATGTTCCTCCTAGTCACTAGCTCCCTGAGGGCGTCAGCAGAATCCACATGTTCTACCACCCCACCACCTACTGGAAACATAGAATCATACGCAAGATTTCCACTTTAGGTTAATGACTAGTCAAATTAAGAGATGCTGAGAAGAGCAAATGTCATTCCAAATTGAGTTAAAGCACACAGACATGCACATACACACACACACACACACACACACACACACACACACACTTCCAGCTGCTTCTTTTAATGTGACCCAGCACACATTGGAACACTGGGGCTCAGTCCCTGTAAGCAAGAACTTTCTTTCCACTCACATAAACCAGGCACATCCCACAATTTCAATGAACCAAACGCTTGGCCTTCAAAAGACGTGACTCTCCTACATTTTCATCACATTTTAGTTATTTTCCATATCGATAGTTGAAACTGTCCTACAACTTCAGGGCTATAGCTATTTTTTTCCACCTGTCTGCTAAAATGCTCTCAATTTTCCTCCCTAGCTCTTCTTTGCATTGAATTGCGTACCTTTATCGAATGCAAAAAAAAAAAGTAAAGTTTGAAGAGACCAGAGCATTTGGGGAAGTATGATTATTTGCTAAGCCTTACATTTTAAAGTGATTAGCCAAGGTTTGAGAAATTTCTCAGAGTGACTGTCATATGGAACCAAATAAAAAACCACAGAGATATTTGTAGTTTAAATGTTCTTTAAGTAACTGCATTATTACCACAGCACCTCCGAGGCTTCCCCTTTTTGCAGATTGCACATTGTCACCACTTCCTAAATAGCTGGCCTTATTAAAACACTACAGGCTTTGGTAAAAATATCTCTTGCTTTGGATAATTTAATAACTGTGGAGGGGGAAGATCTGGTTTTGTTTCTACAAAATCCTATCTTTGGGTTTACCACCCAAAAGAAAGAAATCAATTTAAAACATGTGTTTGGAGAGTGTACTATTTGCTTAATACCATGCTTGACAGAGAGGGAGATGGAGAAAAGCTTACAAATGAGATGGCAGAGATCAGCAGCACTCTCAAAATGATATAATGAGAGTTTCAGCAATGGGGTTACTCAAAGGGTCAGAAGAAGGAGAAACTCCTAGATGCTAGTCTCCTCACCAAGCCTTTGTTCACTGTTGTTGCTTTTAGTTATCGGCTGTACCCTCAACTGTTCTAATGAAACCAAGTCATCACAATCTATAGTGGGAAAATACTTTCCATCAGCTCAGTTGCATTCTTATCCTGTCATCTTGATATTTATTGGTTTCCCACCAAGAAATCAAAGGTGGTCAGAATGCCCAGTTACGTCCCTGCTGTATCTTGATTTAGCAGCAATGGCTGTTGAAGGCCGGAGACCCAATGATGTAGGAAGAAAGGCTGATCCTTTCCCTGCCAGCTCTGTGCCCAAGTTAATGATTCCATCATGTGGGTTTGTTTCCTGGGAGAAAATATTCCTTTTGGAAGGGGAGGGAGGATGAGTGCAGTCTGACTTCATGGCAGAGCATTTTGCAGTATGCTTTTTTTTCCCTTACTGCTAATTCCTGACCTCAGCAGATAAATAGAAATGAGACTCAGGCAAGTTAAAAATAATTTTAAGCTCTTCTCCCAGAGGCAAATGCTATATAACAGGAGACCCAAACAGAACACTTCGGCCCGAGTCCTAGCCATGATCTGGGTTCCACAATATGCTAGTTAAAATTCTTATCATCGCTTGATGACAATCAGTCCCTGGGAATTCTGGAATGGTTGCAAATCCGCCATTTCCTGCAATTCATCAAAACCTGGCCTCTAAATGGTTATGACTTTCTTCAGAAATATCATCATACATCACAGTCATGGGAGTCCCCTGTGTTCCTCTTCCCTACTATGACTGGGTCACCTTTCAGAATGCTTATTTTTACCAGAGGAAAATGTAGGATGGAGTGACCTCTGATGAGACGTGTCTAATCTAAGAAGGATGGTTGTTCATAATCTAAATTGCAGATAAATTAAATGAGCTTATCTCCCAGAAGGGCTAGAGCAAGATAAAACAAAACAAAACAACCCCCCTCCCCAAATGTAGTGTGTATTCAAACATTCTGTGGTTTAAGACAGCAAAAAACAAGAATGCCTAGATTGGATGAAAGCAGGAAAAAGATTAAGGTCAAGTAGAACATTCTCAGAGTGATGTGGAGAAAAGAACACTGGACTCAGAGGAAATCTGAATATCAGAGTTCTTGTTCCAAGTTGCTGAGTAACTTCTCTCTGGTCTGTTTCCTCAGCTCCATAGCATTCCAGTACTAACATTCTGTGCTTCGAATCAATCAATCACTGTAAAATCTGCCCAGAAGACTCCATCATCTCTTTCCTCCAAGGCAAGAGAAGGAAATAGGACAAAAGCAGATGCTACACTGAACAGATGACTTCTTCCCATCAGCACAGCCATTGCTCACACCCTGACTGCCATCCTGCCATCTTGTTCAGGGACCTACATGGGCTTCATTGAAAACTCAAAAACAATTCAAATTCTTATTTGTCCAAAAAAGCCCAGAGCCTTCTCCATCTAGTCCCAAGCTGAGAACAATCTACGGCCCTTTCATCCTTTTATCCTTTTATTTCACACTTCTTGGACACCTGCCATATTTCCTTCCTTCATTTTGGTATGAAGTCAGAGGTCAAATTCAAGACCTGTTAGAAAAGCATTCCAGATCTCACAAATGATGATCAGTGCATTTAGCCCACATCAGGGAATCCATCGCTTTTACTCCATTAATTCTCATTTCTGCCCACTGGGCACAGAACCTTACAGGAAGCACTAGAAGCTTGGATTGTGCCACAAGGACGTTACCATCTAGTTGGAGAGACCAAAGCACAGGAAATAAGGACCTCCTTACAAGTGAAACATGAATCCAAAATGCCAGCTGGGAAGAGCAAAAAGCAATTAGGAAGTAAGAGAATTGTAGTTCTGTTTGTTTCTACTCCCACAGCCATTTAAAGTCATTGGACTTATGGAATTGGAAGTGGCCTCAGAGACCATCTAGCTACCTCTTTTATTTTAAGTAAGAGTTCTTTAATAATTGGTTCTTATTTGTATGTTTTATGCAAATTTATAATGTTTTAAAATGATTCAAGTTTAGAATAAGACTTCTAATTAACACCTGGAAGTCAAGTTGAATGATTATTTAATACACTTAACCATAATGTAATTAACCATAAACATACAAATGAATGTTTAAGTTTCAGAATGGAAATACAACCAGAAACACAATAAATATATATGGAAACTATTGTTTTCTGCTAACTATAGAGAATATTAGGCTACAAAAAGAAATGATACTCCTTATGAAAATCAGCACAATATGAAAATTAGGTATCTTCAGCTGCTTCTCCTTTACATTCTAATTATGCCTTTTAAATTTGCCTTATTTCCCATTTCTTTAGTTATCCTTCATTTCTTACTTACACAAATGACACATCTTCTGATTAATCATTTTATAGCAGCATTCAAAATTCCAGTGTCATGGAGAGGAACTTTTAATTTTACTCTATTATTTATGGAATATAGCTTTTCCCTGCTTGACCTTTTTGTGTTCACAAGTAATGCTACCCAAACCATGAGTCACATATCAAATCCACTATGCCTGGCCCCTCAGGATCTCCTTCACTCTGAGTGGAAAATCCCTGGCCATACACAAGACTTTTGCTGTTGTAATTTACTGGCTGATAAATTAGAAAGGCAAAGCTCTGACTTGTTTAGTCCTGGGTTAGGGAAAGAGAAGTTGCGCTTGATTAAACAGATTGTTTAAAAAAAAAAAAAAAAGAAAGAAAGAAAGAAAAAGGAATGTTATCTAATCTATATTGCAGTGGGTCCTTAAACCCAGCTGAAGGATTCATCCACCACAAGGCATGTTTCGGGAAATCACATCACATGCCAAAACAACACTCAAGTTGAGATTTGGGTGGCAGTCATTTTAATAAGGCAAGTTATGAAAGAATAAAACTCTATAGGGATGTCTTCATCCATTTACAGACTTTAACTGAATGCCACAATGGGACACACTGTTGGGGATACAGAGGTGAATAAAATACTCCTTGACCTCAGGGACCTCACAGTCTAGGGCATTCTTTATTGGAAGGTAGGCATATACTTAAACTTATCCTATCAGAAATTGGTTCTTAATTTTTGCTCCCACAAATAAGAGAGAACATGCAAAGTTTGTCTTTCTGTGCAAAGTGAGGTCTCCTTGGTTCTTGGTTGAATGGAAACTAAGATTCTGTAAATTAATTGAGGCCAGTTAGTCAAGAACAAAAGCTACTGATGAACAAAACTTTATCACTTTCCTTTTCTCTTCATGACCCCAGGTGAAACTTAAAAACAAAAATCATTTCTTTTCCTATCTATACAAAATGCATTTCTATTTCACTCACGATTGGGTAAAATCTTCTTTGCAAAGATAAACCATGTATGTCAAAGCCTGAATTTTTAAATTTCCTTCTCTTTTGCTGAGCCCTGTAAGGGTGGTGGCTGGGTATTGGTCTTGTAGCAGCTTTTCAGTTTCTTTATTTGGTCCATAAGCATATAAATGGCTCCTCCCATATATTCACCAAGCATCTCTACCAACTGCTTGAGGGTAATGTCCTGGGGAAAGCCCTGTATTTGGAACCGAGAGGCTAAGATTCCAGTCCCAGCCCTGCTGCTGACTAGCTTTGTGACCTTTTAACCAACCACTTTACACAGTTACTTTACTCATAGACTAATGAGTTACATTAGGCAATCCTTTTACTCCCTTTCCATCTTATGAGTCCAATAGTTGTACATTTGAAAGCCAATTATATCTTTAGGACAAAGTATAAATATTCCACTCTCCACGGTAGTATATTAAGTGTTGACAAATAGGAAAGGGAATTTTAATCTCCATTCATATTGGAAATAGACATGTAATTAGATTTACTACTCTTGTCTAACTTTTCAGAACCACCCTCCATTTTTATAAATACTCTTACTGACCAGAGAGTCCTGAGTTGTTTCTCTCTCACTTTTCACTCCGTAACCCCTCCTGCTGCCCAATTTCTATTGACTCTTACAATATTCCAGGGATAAGCTCCAAAGCCACTGTCCCCAGGAAGCCTTCCTCAATTGCCTCAGCCAGAAAAAAGAAATCTCCTTCCTTTGCATTTTTCACCGATTGTGCAAGGTAGCACAACTTATGTCATTTAACTCTTTCTATTGTGTTGTATAATGGGGATGGATATTTTCCAATGTTCCTGGGATTCCTGGCAGGAAAACCCTGAGAAACCATGAAATCCTATTCCCTGGGCTGTTGCTGATGTTCTACTTAGACACCAATAAAATGTGCAGTGACTTTCTCTGATTGGTGGTACTACCACTCAAAGCTATCATATTTCAGAGCCGTTAACAAGCTCACCTTCTGCATTTTGTTTGAGTCTTAGTCACTTAGAGGGCTATGCTCAGATGTGACTTGGGCCCCAAAGATGAACCAAATGCCCAGCAGACATTGTGGTGTAAGAGTTAGAATTCTGATTTGATGTCTCAGAAAGGCTACTTTTCAGCCCCATTTTTTCTTTTTTTCATTTCTAAGTTATTGTTTTCTTTTTTCCTCCCTTCTCTCTTTCCTTCCTTTCTTGTTTCCTTCATTTCTTTCTTTCTTTTTTTTTTCTTTTACACAAAGTAAACACAATCATGGTTCTACTGCTTTATTCTGAATCCTGCTCCATGCGAACAGGAAGTCAAATCCTGTAAGTAGCTGTGGGTTGGGTTCCAACTGGTTTTACCAAATAGTTTAAAGATTTGCCAAGGCTGGCAGCTTGTCTTCCAAATCTTCATCATAGAATTTGCTACACAACAGCAAAAGTGACAAGTAAGCACAGGGCTGAGCAGCCAGGAACACTTGGACTTTCTGCATTTTCAATTATTTAGGCCAAAATGAATCACTTGTTTTCTTTTCTTTTTTCTTTTGGAAACAGTTTTACTTCCCATTTCCTCACTGGACACATAATTTTGATTTATCAGCCCGACAGTCCTGAGTAAAAGGAAGTTTTAAACAAAGCTGATGCCATTGCCCTGAGTTGTTTTTTTTCTTTTCCCAGCAATATCTTCAGAAAACACTTTGGCCTTCTTAAAAATGCAAATCAGCTTGTGCCTAGCAAGCCTCATGAGCAAACCTCATGACTCCCCAAGGCTTCTGAGTCCTCATTCAAGGACTTTGTCTTATAAATTCCACTGGAACCTTCTTCAACAGCAGTCCACTTTCAACTGGGATAAATCTGTCTTCCAATATTATGTCTTGTAAATCTCACTCTGCAGGGGTATTTCCAATCCAGCTACTGCATGCTTTCTTTATTGACTAGGAATGGATAAATCAGTTTTCCATTTCTCTTCATTATCCATTGCTGATATTTTGATGTGGGAGCTGTTTAGAAGTTTCTGATCATAGTACATTATTATAAAAACATCTCTTGACCTGAAAATTTTTAAGACACAGACAGTGTAATTTACATCTCTTTTTGCTACATTCTCAAAATGAATCTCTCTATGTTGGAATGGAAGGATGACTATTAAATGGGAAGTTTGCCTTGTTGGCCTAAAAACATCACACGCATTTTCCCATACTCCAATGTTGCAATAGATTTAGATTGTCAATAACAATTATTGGGTGCTTATTATGTTTGCATGTTTCAACTCAATTAATGCTCACAATAATCTTTTGTGGTAAGTATCATAATTGTCTTCATTTTACAGATGAGGAAACTTAGGCATAGAAAGTTAAATAACTTGGCCGGGCGCGGTGGCTCATGCCTGTAATCCCAGCACTTTGGGAGGCCGAGGTGGGTGGATCACGAGGTCAGGAGTTCAAGACCACCCTGACCAACATGGTGAAACCCTATCTCTACTAAAAAAAATACAAAAATTAGCCAGGCGTGGTGGTGCATCCCTGTAATCCCAGCTACTCAGGAGTCTGAGGCAGGAGAATTGCTTGAACCCAGGAGGCGGAGATTGCAGTGAGCCGAGATCACGCCACTGCACTCCAGCCTGGGTGACAGAGCGAGACTTTGCCTCAAAATAAAATAAAATAAAACAAAATAAAATAAAATCAAAAAGTTAAATAACTTGCTAAAGGTTCAATGGTCTGTAAGTGGCAGAGGCTGAATATAAACCTGGGAAGCCTATCTCCAGCATCTCTGCTTTTAACCATTATGCTAAGCTATCTCTCTAGATTTAAGTGTTCAACTGGGCAATCTCAATTCTATGTTTTTAAACATTATTTTTGCAATTATATAATGCTTTTAACTTTCTAGACCGTTATCTCATTTTTGCCTTAACAGTTAGGTAGCGATATTCTATGTACATATTATATTCTATTACATATATATTCTATTCTATTACATATTATATTACATATAATATATATATTACATGTATATTCTATTACATATATATTCTATTACATAGAATATAATATCTCCATTTTATAGATAAGGAAACTGAGGCTGGGAGAAGTTTAGTGACTTGTTCAAAGGCTAAATGGAAAAGTTGGTTTCTGAGCCCCAGTCTTCCAACTCCCAATATGGTGCCTATAATTGGGCCTCAATATCCTCATCTATGTGCAAAGTAGCTAAGAAACCCTCCAGTTCCCAAAGAATTGGTCTCTGTACTACTCTTATTTATTGAACACCTTCTCCAGACTGTAAACCCTATAATAACAAGGGCAGGACCTAACTCGTTACCTCCTGTGACCCCCTTCACCTAGCACAGAGTAGGTGTTCAGTAAGCATTTGTTGCAAATATAAATGTGCCAGGTACAGTGCTAAGTACTGGGGTGCAAAGATGAATACTGGTTAGCCCTTATATTGCAAGTGAGGCACTCAAGAGGCCCCTTGCAGTTATGTAGGTTCTGCAAGCCCCACAGTCATTATGTGGACAATGGCTCCCACTGTGTTGAAGTCACCAAGAGATAATTGACCATGACGTGAGTTATGTGTCCCAAGTTGAATGGCGTCAGGGTCAATTACTTTATTTTAAAGACCACAGCAAAGAGGCCCATTTGCAATGTGGTGCTCACATCATTAAAACAACATTTAGAAATTTCATTTTAATCTAAATGATGGGTTTCCAGTGCTGTGTAGCTATCAAAGCATAATAACCTGTGTGCTAAACACACCTCCCCAGCTCTCAACACAATTTGGAGAACCCCAAGGAATATAGATGTGATTGATAGAAACACCATGTCTGATCTGTTTAACCCAGTCTCCAGCCTGACAAACTTAAAGCAAGTTTTGTTTTGTTGTTTTTTTTCCAACACCTCCAAGAGATGAAAGAGTGATTTTTACAGTGCCAGCATTCAGGTTTGAAGCTTAGCTTATTTAGGAGTGCTAGATAAAATACAGGAGACCCAGTTAAATTGGAATCTCATATAAAAAACAAATTATTTTTCAAGTAATTATATACCATGCAATATTTGGGGTACATTTGTACTTTTAAAAAGTGTTTGTTGCTTATCTGAAGTTCAAAGTTATCTGAGTATCTTGTATTTTTATTTGTTAGGTATGGAAATCTTAAGATTATTACAAAAATTAATAGAAGCAAATTAAAATCTTCTTTATGTGATTGACCTTGCCTATATGGAATTGAGTAAGATATGGAAGTCAAAGAAGAATAGAAGATGAGGTCTTCCATTAGGTCTATCTTTTAAGTCTGTCTTTTCAAGGACACAGACATATTGCCCCAGAGGATGTCCCTGTCATTCTTGGATGCACCATAGTGTAAGGTCATTTATGGTATTTAAGCATAGTAGTTAAGAGGTGGGCCCTGGAAACATACTGCTGGGATAGAAATTCAGCGTCCATCAGTTACTAGCTGTGTGACCTTAAGCATGTTACTTTCATTTTGCCTCAGTTTCCTGATGTGTAAAATGGAGATATAAAAAGTACCTACCTCACAGGATTTTGTGAGGATTAAAAGAGTTACTATAGTGGCATTAATAAGCATTCAAGTAAATGTTTATTTTGCTCCCACCAATATCATCATCATCTTCATCATCACCATCATTCTCACTCCCACAGACAAATTGTTTTTTAACTAACTCTTCAACTGGCTTCAACGTTTCCTTTAGATGTCTCTATGTTTCCTCATTTTAATCATCTAATTGGTAAGGAATTGCTGATTATTCAACTGGTGGCTAGTTACAGAAGTTTGATCTGAAAGTCCTCACAGAAGTAGGTGATTATGTTGGGTCTACATGGTGCTAAAATAACCATGTGAAAAATGAAAAGTGCACTGAGAAATTCAGTAGAGATAACTGTTTGGAACACCTTCAATCTCCCAAAAGATGTTTTGGTTAAGATTTAGTCTTTAGTGAAATAGGTTTCTGAAGCCAGACACAGCTCACAAGTAACTCAAGCATCTGTACATTACTAAGAATGGCTAATATATGGCTGGCGTATTTGTTCATGCCTTTAAATTCACACCTTCTGTTCAAATAAGCAGAGTCCAGTAGTAATTCTCACCGGAAGGCTGCAAAAGTGTGGGAAGGGATATCACTTTAAGGGGCTCCATTTATGATATAAGAAGCCATTGTGGCATGTTGTTAATTTTATGCACATGGTGGACTGTTGAAAAGCAAGGAGCACTTGTGGGGAGCCGGAAAAAGATCTCCCGAGATCGCTCTACTAGGTGATTGAGTGTCCATGCCTGGTGCTTTTCAGCAGTCAGGACTAGTTTGATATGCGAGCTACATGCTACACACTACTTTAACCTTTTGAATCAACTTAGTAGCTCCAGCTTTCTCGTAATTCTTTAGTATACCTCATAAACCAGTTTTAAGATGCCAGAAGATTTTTATCCAATAAGGCTATATTGATACATAATGCAATATTTTTCAACTGCCTTGTGTAATGTTTTTAGGGTTTCAACATTTTAATTTTTTAAAAAAATAAAATGAACCCCAAAAATATTTTATCATATTCAGATTATACAACTCCAATATCTTGTGGCTAAGATGAATTATATTTTGATTAGTTTTTTTTAATGTCTTAAAATTGCTTTCTAATCATTCTTTTAGATGTGCCTCACAACAGTACGTGAACCTCATTAGTGCTTCTCTAGACTACCATTGTTTGATGCATTTAGTGAATACAAACTTTTATGCAAATGTCGTTAAGGGACTAGCAGGTGCAATAACAAGAATGATGTTTACACAGTCTTTGCAGATATGACTGACTGAGGAATCACTCATATGTTGCATCATTAACTGCTAGAAATTAGGAAGTGAGAAGTGGTTTACAATTTCTGCATTTTATTTTAATATGTACTGAAACTGCTTTTCATAATTCCAAATACATCTTCTAACATTTTCTTTTAATATAATATTCTTTAAAATCACACTCTAATACTGCCATGGACTTAACGTCTATGCCAAGAAAACAAAATATTTTTAAATATTAAAAACCAATGGAACAGGTCACAATACAGATCTGAGGCATTCCCCAATTACCTTGAACTACCTTTGCCGTTTGGAGAAATTTCCTGTGAGAAGCTGTCTATCTTGCTTTCTTCAGCTATGGTCTGGTTTTGTTTTTATTTTTGAGGAAGACCTAAGCAGGTCTTTATGAAGGCACTCTAAACGTGTGGTCTCATTCTCCCTCCTTGTTACTATTCATAAATCTATCTACCTGCCACACTGACGATGCAGATTGACTTCTGTTTAGCCTTCTATTGCAATCTCTGATTGTTAAAGAAAATTTTGACTAAAGCCAATAGTAAATTAACTTATGTCAATGTGTCAAGGTTTGTCTTTTTCACTAGGGTTCCAGTTCACCAAAGGCATTATGATCCTTGGAGGGCTGGCAAACTGGCACTCAAAAGAAAAAAAAAAATCCTAATTTGTATCCTTTGTTTATTTCCAAGGTGTGAATATTCCCAGCAAAGCCAATTTTAAGTTACAAATGATTTAACAACTGGCTGGCAAAACCCCTGAATATTCTCTTAAATCCATACAAACTAGCTGTAAAAATTCAGCAAAGACTTTTGTCAATAATGCTTCTACAGATAATCTGGGAAATTGTGAATTATTGACTTAACAGTGGATATCAGTTGACATTTGGTTCTTAAGCATAGCAGAGACAATTTATTTTATTTTTATTTGTATAAATTTATGAGATACAGGTATAATTTTGTTATACGCATAGATTGTGTGGTAGTAAATTCAGGGCCTTTAGGATATCTGTCATCCAAATAAGGTTTATTGTGCCCACTGAGTAGTTTCTCATCATACACCGCAGTAAGGAATTCCTGCTATATATGAGGTGCTTTCTAGTTCTGTGGGAAATGCACAGATCCAAAGATGGCTCCTGATTTCCAAAAACCCACAGCCCCTCAGGAAGCAGAGAATATATAAGAAGCTATAATAAAAATATGACCATGAGAAGTGCTATAATAAAAGCACAAACTTAAATAGGAAAGGAAGAAATACCACGTAAACATAGCAGAGAAAAATTATTCTAACAGTTTTTAGATTAAGTTCAAGCTGGTGAGTGATTAATTTTTAAATGAAAGCAGAGCATTTGTACATACTTTGAGTTAAAATAAGGAAAAATGAGGGTTTACAAACAGGCATGAAACTTGTAACCAAATTTTTCAAAAGACGAGGTGGCCATCTTGCCCCAAACTGATTGATAAGCATAGTGAGACAAGTGTTCCTTTTTCTATTTCCAACATCAAAGTCATATTTTTTTCTTTCTTCCTGGAGTTAAGCTTAAAATGTCCTGCAACTAGATCAACATGCGGTTATGTTTCACCATCTCCAAATGTGGCAAAGAATTCCTGTTCCAACCTCCCAAAATACCATCCCATAATAAACCAGTCCTGGATAGTACTAATTATTAAACATTAACATATGCAGGCACTGAAAAATGGTTTGTATATATCATCACATTTAAATGTGAGAGATCCTACTTTTTCCACCCACTTCTTTTCCCTAAGCACCACTCCCTAATAAATCTTCCTCACAATATTATCCTACAGTCACTAGAAAAAGGAAAAGTGTCTCTTGCAATGATTGTGAGCTGAAGATGGCTTATAAAGAACAGGAAGAACCTGGGGACTCTGCAGTGCAGACCCCAGGAGAAAAAAGACGTCCCAGGAAGAGAAGGCCAAAGTATGTTCTGGAGATAGCGTTAAGGGAACATGACAACATTTAGCCCAAGGGTAAAGGAAAAATTTGGTGCAGGGCCAGAGAAAAAAATGGAGAAAAGGAAAGAAAAATAAAATAAAAGGAAACCATATCCACATGAGGAGTTTTCATTGTGCAAAGCTGTGGGATCTAAGACGGAAACAACAGATAAGACACTTGGCAAAAATCTCTACCAAAGCAAAACACCTGATAAGGAGATAAATGATGTAGGCATAAAGAAAAAAAAAAGGAGAAATAAAGAGCAAAGTGGAAGTGGGAGGATACAGATAAAACCAAATGGGAGACTACTAAATTGATCCATGAAAATTACAAATAAACACAAGCAAGTTTGAAGACAGATGACAATGGAAAAAACCTCAGTAATAGCAGCAGATGTTTTCCCTCAAGAACCAAAGCAGATAGGAGACCCTAGAAGACATGGCACACGGGAGCATCCAGAGACTCTGTCTTCCTCCAGGCCATGCAGACACCAAGGACAGCAGCAATAACAGAACAGCCAACTCCCCACCCCCAATCATTCTCACCCCAGGATCAAAGCTAGCTTCTAGTCCAGTAGGAAAAGAGTGAAGTTCTTAACTGCCACTTTTTTCTTAAATGGAAGAAAGAACTCACCTAAACCTAACATCTTTTACCTCTGTTAACTCACACAGGCCCACCACCAACTCTGAAAGAGTTGCTATTAAACCCATTATAGAAATGAGAAAACTAAAACTCAAAAGAGTTAAGTAGCTTGCCCCAAATTATTTGCAGTTGCGATTTGAACCCATATCAACCTAAATCCAAAGCCCATAATTATTCCTCAACAACACACAGCTCCCCCATCTGGTTTGTAATGATTTTCAAAGCTATTTCTTGTTTGTTGCTTATTTTCACTACCCCAGGAGGCTTGTAGTGTCCTGCACAGGTACCATAATTCCTTTTCGAATAGTTGAGGAATGGAAGCTCAGTAAGTTACAGAACCTTGTCTGTGGTCAGTCCCAGCTGGAAGCAGGGGAAGGACGGCCACCACGATCTTCTCATTTCTAGGCCTAGCTCTTTCTAGGACAATATATCTCCCGTGTTATGATGAAGAAACTCAGTAGACAGCCATATACAGAGAACTCACCAAAACACAGCCAAACTGTACAATATTATTTACCCAAATTGAAAATGCAAAGATTTCTGAAACACACACCATGTTTCTGGTAATGTGCTAGATAGAGCCCAATCTCCTGCCCAGTTTCATAGAGACTCCACTAATATCCAACATAAGAAGACGAATGCACTCTTTTACTTCTAAAATAATCCTTTTCTATAATCAGTGATGATTTTAGAAATGATCATCTTTCTAAATACATATTAAACATTCTACTAGCATTCAAAAATCAGATTACTTTATGATTGTGTATTTCACTAAACGTGAAATCTCTTTCTTTTTCATCCCTACTGCCACTGCCCTTAGTTAGACCTTCCTTACTTCCCAGCCAGATCCCTCAGATGAAATCCTGAAGGTCTCCAAGCGTCATTGTGCCCTTATCTATTACCCATAAAGCTCATGTGACAATCTTTTATAATACAAATGTGATAAAATCACTTCCCTGTGCAACATTTTCTTATTGAATTCCATGGTTGAATTCCATAGTCAGGGAAAGGAGGTCCTTCAAGACCTCTGCGTCCTCATGTCGTCTCTTCATTTACACACTTTTTCTTCAGTCACACAGAACTGCAGTTTGCTAAATGAAAGTCATACTGTTTCTTGGTTCATTGAATTAATATTTATGGTCTTTGCATGGGATGCCCCTCCCATCTTCTTCACCTGGCCAGCTCCCACTGATCTTTGAGACTTAGGGAGGGCACTGTTTCCTAGAGAAAAACTTGGAGGCACTTTGGGAGGCTGAGGTGAGAGGATTGCCTGAGCCCGGGAGTTCAAGATCAGCTTGGGCAACATAACAAGAGAAAAAACTATCTATGAGAAAAAACTAGGCGTGATGGTGAGTTCCTGTGGTCCCAGCTACTCAGAGGCTGAGGCAGGAGGATCTTTTGAGCCCAAGAGTTCAAGGTTACAGTGAGCTATGATCATGCTTCTGCACCACAGCCTGGGCAACAGAGCAAGATCCTATCTCAAAAAAAAAAAAAAAAAAAAAAAAAGGCCGGGCGTGGTGGCTCATGCTTGTAATCCCAGCACTTTGGGAGGCTGAAGCGGGCAAATCACGAGGTCTGGAGACCGAGATCATCCTGGCTAACACGATGAAACCCCGTCTCTACTAAAAAAAAAAAAAAACACAAAAAATTATACGGGCGTGGTGGCAGGCGCCTGTAGTCCCAGCTACTCGGGAGGCTGAAGCAGGAGAATGGCGTGAACCCAGGAGGTGGAGCTTGCAGTGAGCCGAGATTGCGCCACTGCACTCCAGCCTGGGCGACAAAGCGAGACTCCGTTTCAAAAAAAAAAGAAAAGAAAAGAAAAGAAAATCTTGGAGGAACTCATATTTCAGTCTGAGCCTCTGTGCTCCTCGGCACCCTGGACAGATATCTATTTTATCATAGTTCTTATATTTCTCTGATCTTCCATTATAAGCTTACCAGGCTGTCCCTTAAAACTAGATCATGAGCTCCTTAAGGACTGAAATTGTTCTCTTTCTGTTGTTAAAGCAACTTCTCCAACAAGTTGACTACAAGCATATAACAGAGATTTTCCCAAATTTTTCACCAGGGAGGAAATTTTTCCAAAACTCCGATTCAAGTATGTCTCTCTTATAGAGAGGGGGAAAAAAGAACTATAAATATCTGATTATTTAATTAAAATAATATCTAGTTAGCTCCCAACTAATGGTCAACTAGGAGAAAAAGCAATCTTGTTGTTGTTGTTGTTGAATCAGAGTCTCACTCTGTCGCCCAGGCTGGAGTGCAGTGGTACGATCTCAGCTCACCACAACCTCCGCCTCCCAGGTTCAAGCAATTCTCCTGCCTCAGCCTCCCAAGTAGCTGGAATTACAGATGCCTGCCACCATGCCAAGCTAATTTTTGTATTTTTAGAAGAGACAAGGTTTCACCATGTTGGCCAGGCTGGTCTCGAACTCCTGACTTCAGTTGATCCACCCCCTTCAGCCTCCCAAAGTGCTGGGATTACAGGCGTGGACCACCACACCCAGCCTGAAGTATTTTTATCAGTTATACTGATAGTATCCCAAAAGAAGGTAACATATTACATCATGCAAAACTTTCTGCCCCACAGCTCTGTCTCAGTGCCCAGCAGGATGTTACATGAGTAGACACTCATAAGTATTTGAATGAATGGAAGATGCATCAAAGTACTTAGTTATAAAAATTCCAGTATATTTAAAAGATAATGTTTACTACCCCCTTTACAATGAAAATCTTGTGTTTTTAAAATATCTGATTTTAAGCTATGCAAATTACATGTTAATTGTTCACCTAGTGCATGATGCACAATTACCTGCTCTGCCCTCTAACAATATGAGTGACTCCTTGGTAATTGTTGATGCTAATTTAGGAAAGTAACCAGGATTCAAACTCTCCTTCCAATATATTTCCACATATTTTTTAATGAGATATAGCAACTGTGTGAAACTTATAAAGATTCTCCAGGATTTGAAAGAAGCAATGGAAGAATAGAAGAAAATGGTAATACCATTTTCTTGGTCCTACCATGACTAAATTTCACAGATCCATGATTATTGGACACTATTTTTAAAACTACATTATAATATTTGACCTATGAGGATATGAATAGGGTGACCAAATAATATCTCATCAAAATCAGGAAGATTAAACAATTGTTTAAACCAGAGGTTATGATTTTTAATATGATTACTTGCTAAAAGCAATTGTACCATTATATCTTCTTCTCAAAGTTGGGATTTTCACTCATCCAAACAACCTCCATTACTATAGTAAAGAGTAAAATACTTCTGTAAACATCTTAATGATCATTAAGATCAGGAAGTCTCATCGTGGTGACTCCTAGTTAATAACCCATCAATTACCTATCAACTCACATTAAAATATCGTATCAACAAAACAAATTTTTTTATGGTAGATGGAATAATGTTCCCCCCAAAGACATTGACATCTTAACCCCTAAATCTTGTGAATATATGATCTTATATGGCAAAAGGAACATTGCAAATGTGATTAAGTTAAGGACGTTGAGATGAGGAGATCATCCTGCTTTATCAAGGTGGGCCCAATGTAATCACAAGTGTCCTAACAGGAGGGAGGCAGGAGGATCAGGGTCAGAGAAGGGCATGTGGCAATGACAGCAGAAGTCAGAGAGAGAGGTTGAAGATGCTATACTGCTGGCTTTGAGAATGGAGGAAGGGGCCAAGAGCCAAGGAACATAGGCAGCCTTTAGAAGCTGAAAAAGGCAAGGAAGTTTCTTCTCCCATGCAGCTCCAGAATGAGTCATCCCTGCTGACACCTTGACTTTAGCCTTCTGTGACTGATGTTGAACTCTTGACCATCAAAACCACAAAGTAACAAATTATTTGTTGTCTTGAGCCACTAAATTTGTGGTAACTTATTACAGCAGTAACAGAAAATTAATATATTAATTTCAAAATTGTTGCAAATTAGACAACATGCTTAGCACTGGGGACACTAAAATAAGTAAAATGTAGCCTGTGCTATCAATGTTTTTGTTATTTTCATTTGATGATTAGTATGTGTCAATCATCAAACCTCAAGAAATATATATCATATGGCCTGAAATCAATAGAGGAAAACAAGGAAAATGCCCAGGGAGAAGAGCAGTTTTGACTTGATAGTAGAATTTAAATTCTTACATACAAATCTATATAGATGAAAGCTTAAAAAGGATTATTATCAAATTGTATAACTGCCATGTTAAAGAACAGGAATGAAACATAAATTTAAAACAACTAGCCATGGCTGGGCATAGTGGCTCATGCCTATAATCCCAGCACTTTAGGAGGCCGAGGCGGGTAGATTGCTTGAGGTCAGGAGTTTAAGACCAGCCTGGCCAACATGGTGAAACCCTGTCTCTACTAAAATTATAAAAATTAGCCAGGTGTGGGTGGGGGCATGCCCCTGTAATTCCAGCTATTCAGGAGGCTGAGGCAGGAGAATAGCTTTAACCCGGGAGGTCAAGGTTGCAGTGAGCAGAGATGGTGCCATTGCACTCCAACCTAGGAGACACAGTGAGACTCTGTCACCAGCCAAATGACATTACTTTCTAATAATCCCAGTGATACTAAAACCAGAGGGATCCCTCCATATTGTATAGATCCATCTATCAATGACTAGAATCTCATTTTGGTCCAAAAGCCTTAAAACCCTTTTATCATCCTAAATTCGCCATCCACACCTGGTCATCTATTCCAATCCACTCTTCATATGATAACCAGAGTGAAAACACAGATCTTACCATTTCACTCCTATGTTCAAAACTCCCAAAAACTCTAAAGCACAATCTCTCTCTCTCTCCTATTTTCCCATAGCCCTCTATCTATACTTCAGTTTTGTGACTTAAAGATATTACAGTGTCTAAGCTACCTTTGTCTCCCCACTACCTAACACAGTTCCTGGTACAAAGTGGATACAGTATATTAATAATGACATTTTTGCTTCAAAGTAACAGAAACCAAAATCAAACTCAATTAAGCAGAAAGCAAAAGGAATTTGACCTCCATACCTGGGAAGAGATCAGGCATGGCTTCTGAGACCCAAATGATATAATCAAGGCTTTGTCTCTCTACACAATTTGCCTCTTGTTTCTTCTGTATGTTGGTTTCTTTCTGCAGACAGGCACAATATTATAGAGAAGATGGCTATACATAACTCTAGATTTGTACCCTTCCAGCAGAAAGTGAACTTCTCTTTACCAGCCTGGCCTTGCTTGAGTCACAGTCTCATCCTTGGTCAGCCTCCACAATTGTCCCCATCTGGATTATTACCCATTTCTGTGACTGGGGTGGGGAGTAGCTGTCACAAACACTGCTATAGGCCACTAAGACCACGTACAATTGGGGAGGGGAGTTTTCCAATAAGTAATAGAAGTACTGAGCAGACAGAAAAAACAAAATAACCATGAAATTCAACACATTTTTACTGATGGACAAATAAATCAATGCCTTAAGAGAGTGTTCTGACATATGCCCAGAAACCACATATTGTGGCCACGATGGAGAATTAGTATCACTGTATGTTTGAATTTGACAATTAACCTCAAAAAGTTTTACTTGGGACGATACTAAAAGAAAAGCTTTCCTCATGGGGAAATATCTGCCGAGAGCACTCTAAATAACAGCCTTTGTTAGGCAACACTATGATGAGCTCATGCGTTCCTCAAGACAGCTAGCTGAACCTTATTCTAACTGGGAATATTGTGCTTAAAGGATCTCTCTTTAGTTGATTCTCTGAGCTCAAACTAATACCTTTTCCCAGGTTAGAAATTCTGTCTGTCTGTGAAGAGGTGACTGAGATTTGACCAAGCAATTCAAATCTAATCCAAATGCCTCTGAACATTTAATTCCAGCTGTCGGGGGATGGGGTGGGGGAAAGCATTTATAATACAGAAATGATAGGGTTCAGAGGCTGAATTTGGCAGGCTACTCAGCCACCTCTAAATAGACCTTCCAGATGAGGGTGTATGGTCACAGAGTTCACAGAGGTGTTAAGTACAAAAGCATTCCTGAAAAAAAAAGTTCTTTGGAATGCAACGCAGGTTTGAAAATTATACTTATTTGAAAACTGAGGGAAGCCTGAAAACAGAGACACTTGGAGCTGTCTTCCTTTGGCAAACACAGCAGCATCGTCTGTTCCCAGAGGACAAAATCCTGGCAGTGATGCCTTCGTTTAGACTGTCTACAGGCCAGTCTAGTCCCCAGTGGCTTCCTGCAACCAGCAAGAGAAGGAAGGACACTCAGCAAAGGGATAAATGACGGGTTTCTTGGCTTACCAGTCTTGTCCTGCCCCACAGCAATCAAAAGCTTATATGGTCAGAGGCAAAGTATATTTCCATAAAAGATTCCCCAAAACCAGACATTTTCTAAAAATGATTTGCTCAAGATGATAGATTCTTGAAAATTTCTTTCAAGAATCTTGAAAGAAATTTTCCAGGCAATAGCTTCACAAGCTATCCATAGCACTTTATTCTCTCCATGAAGACCAATAATAAAAGTGAGGAATAAAAACCATCACAGAAAAATCCACTTCAGTTTGTTTGTTTCCTGCTAAGTCAAATGTGAGTTTCTGCCTTCATCCAAGAACATCACAAACACTATGCTTAAGGAGTAGGCCTCGTTGATGGTAGACCAGATTTCAAGCCTCAGCTCTGCCATGCATTAGCTCCAAGACCTTGGACAAATTACATAAACTTTATAAGCCTCAGTTGTTTCACTTGTAAAATAGAGGCAATAAATCTATTTCACAACATTGTTGTGAATATTAAATTACATAATACAGGTAAAGTACTTAGCATAGTGTGTAGCATAGAAGAAAATAACCAATAAATATTGTCTGTTATTATTTATTTTACTAAATATTAATGAGAGCTCCCCCATAAAAAGTGTGCAGATAATTTCAATCAGTTCAATGGCTTGTTCAGTTGGTGGAAATTTGTGCTTATGATTGTGATTTTATGCTACATACATATAAGCCAGTCACGTTGTCTTCTGCTGAAGCTGTTCCTCAATCACAGAATGGAAACAAATATGTCAGTCATCTGACACTGGTCCACAAAAAGCACCAGTCTCACCAAGGCTTCCATGTTCTGACCCTCACCAAGGCAGAGCCCCTGGAACAAGTTGGAGAATCACTGTTAGGAAACAAAATCAATAGCCACTCTGCTTCTAGAGCAGGTAGTGACTCCAGTGGGAAAAGCCCCACAAAAAGATTTTAAAACATTTTTAAAAGGCACTACCTTTTTAAAGGTCATGCGCAGACTCCAGCAAGACAGGAGTTAGAACTTCAGTTGTGGTAATCGCTACTAGCAGGGAATGAGAAGTATGTGTTTCCTTCAGTAACTAATGCAGACCCTTTGGGGAATAACACAAGTAGACAGGCAGAAAGGAAGGAAAGCAGAGGAAGGAGGTGGAAGAGAGAAGGAGCCTGGAGACTTTTAGCAGCAGTAGGACATAGCCTTGCTTTTTTAATATTGGGGGTAGAGTTGCAAGACCTCTGAAGCTAAAGGTGGTCCCCCTGTATCCCCCTGTGATCAACAACATGACATAGTTGGTATCTACAAAAGATATTTTTTCTAGTTTTGTGGTCCGTGTTGGAGATAAGATCCAAGACTTGGGGCCGGGTGCGGTGGCTAGCACCTGTAATCCCAGCACTTTGGGAGGCCGAGGCGGGCGGATCACTTGATGTCAGGAGTTCAAGACCAGCCTGGCCAACATGGTGAAACCCCGTTTATACTAAAAATACAAAAAAACGGCCAGGCATAGTGGCACATGCCGGTAATCTCAGCTATTCAGAGGCTGAGGCAGGAGAAACCCTTGAGCCTGGGAGGTGGAGGTTGCAGTGAGCCGAGATCACGCCACTGCACCCACCCCAGCCTGGATGACAGAGTGAGGCTCTAGCCACTACGCCCAGGCTAACATTCTTTCAAGTGCATCCAATTTGCAAAACTTAGATCACCAAGAGTTCAAAAACTCTTTAAAAAGTTCCAAAAAAATTTTCTTATTCTCTTTTTCCTTAAGGGATTTAGATTATATGTAGATATTTTTCTGTGCTTTCTTGAAATATCTGTAAACCATATTAACAGTTAAATAAACTTTCTTTTTTTACTTTAAAAATAAAATAAAATCCAAGACTTGGGTCTCATTGGCTTACTTGCTTAAATGTGATGGTAAATATTACTTACATCTACCACAAATAGTGCTCTCCATCACTAACCTGAGACGTTTCCATGGAAATGTGGCTTCCTGGTTCTCTCTAATATGGGAGAACCACCCCTGCCATACCAGTTGCTCCTCCCTCATAACTCTTCATACTTATTGCTACAAAAGTTGCCCTTTTCCTTCCCCTGAGACCTATGTCAGCTTCTCAGAAGCCCAGGAGAGCTCATGAGCCAATCCGAGACCTACCTTTTGTGACTAGATCCAGGGATCCAAGGAGAGAGAGAAGGAGATCGGAAGAGCAACCCCAGCCATCCCTTTTGTTCTCCTACTTATAACTTTTTCACCCACCATCGAAGTCTCCCAGTATCTCAGAAGACAATAAAGCTACAAGAGTCAAGACAGTACTGCCATAAAGATAGATAATAAACACCAATGACACAGAAATAAACCCTTAAGTTATAGTCAATTAATTTTCTTTTCTTTTCTTCTCTTTTCCTTTCTTTCCTTCCTTCCTTCTTTCTTTCTTTCCTTCCTTCTCTTTCTTTTTGAGACAGTCTCACTCTGTCACCCAGGCAGAAGGTCAGTGGCATGATCTTGGCTCACTGCAATCTTCACCTCCAGGGTTCAAGTGATTCTTGTGCCTCAGCCTCCCGAGTAGCTGGGATTACAGGCATGTGCCATCACACCTGGCTAATTTTTGTATTTTTAGTAGAGATGGGGGTTTCGTTATTTTGACTAGGCTGGTCTCAAACTCCTGGCTGCAAGTGATCTGCCTGTCTCAGCCTCCAAAAATGTTGGTATTACAGGCATGAGCCACCTCAACCAGCCTGTAGTTCACGGATTTTCAATAAAAGTGCCAAGGCAATTCAATGGGGTAAGGATAAACTATTCAACAACAGGGGCTGGAACAATTGAACCTGGGACTTTTGTTTGTTGCTATTGATGTTGGATAATTATTTAAGAACCATATCAGCTTATTATTTATTTTATTTATTCATGTTTTCTTGTGACAATTTTTGGCATTTCATATTTTCTAGGAATGTATTTCATCTAAAATCTTAAAGTTATCTGTTTCAAATCTTTGTTGTATCTGTAGTGATGTCACTCTTTCATTATGTGCCTTGTTTATTTGCTTCTTCTTTTATCTTCATTAATCTTATCAGAGGTCTACTTTGTTAATCTTCTCAAAGAATCAGTTTTTGGTTTTGTTAATCTCCTGTATTGTTCTTCTGTTCTTGATTGTCTTTGTCTACCTTTGTCTTCATCATTTCCAGCTTTATCTTTATCATTTCCTTCCTTCTTGTTTCTTTGGTTTTGTCACTGCTATTTTTCCCACTTCACTAGCTGAAGTTAGTTCATTTCTTTTAAAACTTTATTATTTCATGTTATTTTTGAAGCTATAAATTTTTTCTGCTTAACTATATTCACAAATTTTAACATATGAATTATTTTGAAATATTTAGCTTTCAAATATATGAGATATGTTTTAGTGACTTTTTGTAATTTATGTTTAATTTTACTGCATTATGCTCAAAGAACTTGGTGAAATTGATTTATAGTTTATTGTTATAAATGTTCCATGTGTGCTTGAAAATGATGTGTATTCTCTGTTGGATACATAAGTGTATGCATATATATTTAGATATATTAGCATGAGCTAATTTATTATATTTTACTGTTCAGGTCTTGATCCTGCTGCTTATTTGTGTGTATGTATGTGTGTATGCTTGATTTATGGTTTCTTGAGGGGTGAGTATGAAATTTCCAGCCACACCTGTTGATTTATCTATTTCTTCCTAAAATTCTGCTGGTTGGTTTTTGATATTATTTACAGCTGTGTGATTAGGTGCGTAACAGATTAAAATGGTTGTATCTTTTTATTCTATTGCTCCTTTACTGTATATAGCATCCTGCTTTGTCCCTATTAAAATTTTTGGTTTTTCAATTTTATTTTGTCAGCTATTAAGATGTCTACCCCAAATTTCTTTCAATTTATATTTTCCAAATATCTTTTTTATTTTTTTTAACTTTCTATGTCCTTTATCTTAATTTATCTTTGGGACTCAACATATTGTTTCATTTCTTAAAAAATCTAATCTGTTTCTTTCAACAAAAGTGTTTAACTCATTATATTTAATGTAATTTTTAAAATTGCTATTTGGTCTTTCATTTTATATTTTTCATTTACTGCATGTTTTGCCTTCTTTTTCTCTTTCCTATTTTCTATTGAATAGACCAACTTATTTTCTCTTCTGGTTTAAAAGCTATGTGTTCTATTTTTGTTCTTATAGTGATAAGATATGTATCATTACTGGTCCTTATTTGTTTCTTAAACTTAGCAATATCTAGATGTGGTATTCAAAGTACTATATAACAATTGAAAACGTCACTGACACTGACCAACAGAAAATCAGAATGATCACTGGTTAGTATGCTTATGGGCATGGGTTTGGAAGACATCAGTGTTACAGGCTAAATGGTGTCCCCTCAAAATTCGTATGCTGAAGTCCTAACCCCTGTACCTCAGAATGTGACTATATTTGGGGATAGGGTCTATACAGAGATTTTTAAGTTACAATAAGGTTGTTAGGATGAGTCCTGATCCAACATAACTAGTGTCTTTATAAAAAGAAATTAGGATACAGATGCATGTCTGTGAAGACGTAGGAAAAAGACAGCCAACTACAAGTCAATGAGGGAGGCCTCAGGGAAAACCCACCTTGCCAAGACCTTGATCTGGACTTACGGCCTCCAGAATTGTGAGAAAATAAACTTCTGTCATTTAAACCAGTCAGCCTGTGGTACTTTGTTATGGCAGCCCTAGCAAACTAATACAATCAGTCTGTCAAGATCTGTGTCTTCTCCCTAAACATAGAAGTGGTCTGACAGGTTCCGTGGTCCCTTAGTGTCCTATGATCCACATCCTACATCATGTTGATATTGTCTAGAATCCCAAAATACTTTCTCCTTCTCTCTTTCAGCATATATCTTAAGTATATTTACTTCTAAATATACTTGAGTATATCTGAGTATATTTACTTCTAAACAGTACTTTCCCCAAAACATTTTCAATGTATCCTTTCATAAAACAAAAATTTGAGACCTTCCATACCTGGGAATATTTTCATTACCCTTCACAATCAAATGGCAATTTTATTAGATGTAAAGCTTTATGTTCAATGTTATTTTCTTTCAGTATTTTAAAAGGACTGCTTCACTGGCTTCTCACACCGTGTTGCTGTTAAGGAATCTGATACCAATCTCATTCTTGTTTATTTTAGTTAATCTTCACTTTCTGGCAACTTGTAGAACTTTTTCTTTGTACTTGATGTTCTTAGATATTATCATAATGTGTAGGGTGGGTTTTCCTTTTCTTTTATGTTTGACAATTCATTAGCCCTTTCAAACTGAAGTCTTCTGTCTTTTTTTTAAGTAGGAGTAATTACCTCTATTCTTTCTCCAGATTATTTCCTTCCATATATCTCCACTTTCCTTCTGAGTGTTCTAATACTAGATATTGGCACTTCTATCCACCATGCCTGTTAGCTTTTTAAATTTCTCTATTTATTTTCTTTTTTATATACATTCCTGCTGCCTTCTGGAAGAATTTCTCAATTAACTGTTCTACTGCATTAATTTATTTTTTCAGTTATATCTGTCCTCCTATATATTTTTCTTCCTTTTAAGCCATATTTTATTATTCCACTTGTTGTCATTGCTTTGTCTTACACTGCTAGTATTTTCCCTTATCAGCTTAAGTGTTTCTATCATATTTATTTTAAATTCTTAGTCCACTTCTAATATTTCCGTTTCAGAGAATGCATGTACCCCTTAGATGTCTGGTCATTTTAGCCCAGAAGTCTTCCCGTGAGGATACCAGCTACCCTGCCCAGTTTAAGTGAGTTAATAAAGAGAGAATGAGCCTCCATGTGGAAATCCCAGACATCACCAAACCACTGTGAATTACCCTGATTTGTAGGAACCCATCATGTAACTCTATTGCTCAGGTCTTGACCTTAAACCTTAAGGAGAAGATGCATTATGAGAAGGTAGCCTCCCTAGATTTTAATCCACGAGCCCTGTGGGTCTGAAGGGTAGGGGTAAGGCAAATGGGTCCAGAAGCCCTTGTTTTCATTAACTCCTCCCTCAGCAATATTTATGCAGCCTCTCTGTGATCCTGGGTCACCTCTGCAGTGAAGAGGCGAGTGATGGCTGTCTTGAAGTAAAGCCAGAGAAGGACAAGAGCAGAATCCAGAAAGCTCCACTGCCACCTTGGGCCACCTTCTTCCCCTGGCTGAAACTGACACACGCAAGTGCAAATAGTCTTCTGTACCCTCAGGGTGTTCCCACAGTCTGTTGGTTGGTTTTATTCATTGTTAGAATTCATGTTTCACTTCTGTTAATTTTTTTTCTTTTCTCCAGGATTAATTTGAGAGAAGAGGGCATCATCCTTGTTGGAACCAGAAATCTTCCTACACAGGTTAGAGAGAGACTTCCCACAGTTTATAAACGCATGTGAAATTGTTTGTTCACCTGTAATAACATAGATAAATTATTAAGTTAAATGATGATTATATTCCAATCCCCCCACTCAAATTCCAAATGTCCTCATATTGTGTCTTCTCTTCTATTCAAAAATCAGTCGCTAAAAGTGTGTGCCCTTTAAGAGGCCTGCCCTGTCAGCCTGTGTCGTTCATTCACTGCCTCCCTGTCGGGAGCACCACTCGCCACATTCCTGACAGGATTTTGACAGGGTCTAGGATGTCAGACATGCTTATTAGCATTCACTTTTCTCATTAGACTGTTAAGGACTTGCTAATTAAAATGACTTCTTAAAATCTTCTAGTTATAATTAGTCACCAGCATAAAGTTGTCCACATTGTTTCTGCCATGGCAATAATTTTCCTCTCAGATCCATTTCAAACTGTCATTTCCTCAGTACTCAGCCTCAGGCATCCTCAGTATTGGCCATGCTCACTTAACACAACTTGGTTCCCTCAGTTCATACCCCATTAGCTGAATTCCTTCACAGGCACACTCCCTCTCAATTAGCTTTGGAATGTTGTATAGAGGAAACGGCATTACACCAAAGGGTCAAGTTCTAATCTGTGTTCTTACAGAAACTCGATGTATGACAATAGCAAAATCATTTCATCTTCCTCAGTTTTTTATAATCTACAAAATGGGGTTAAAGTTGGAAAAGATGGAAATAAATTATTGCAAATGTTCCAAACTCTAAACCTCTATGATTTAGTTTAAGGTTATCTATGCTCTACTTAAGATTAGGAAATATGCACATATTTCTAGAGACCTAGTTCAACTTACTAGAGAAAGCTTATATTACTCCATTCTCATGCTGCTAATAAAGACATATCAGAGACTGGGTAATGTATAAAGGAGAGAGGTTTAATTGACTCAAGAGTTCAGTATGTCTGGGATGGCCTCACAATCATGGCGGAAGGTGAAGAAAGAGCAAGTCATGTCTTACATGGCAATAGGCAGGAGAGCGTGTGTAAGGGGACTGCCCTTTATAAAACCATCAGATCTCATGAGACTTACTCACTATCATAAGAACACCATGGGGAAAAACCCATCCCCATGATTCAATTTCCTCCCACCAGCTCCCTCCCACAACACTTAGGGATTATGAGAGCTACAATTAAAGGTGAGATTTGGGTGGGGACACAGCCAAATCATATCAAAGCTTCAGTAGCTTTCTAAAGACTACTTCTAGCTGTCCTTTTTCCCTTCATACAATTCAGTTCATCTCACCTCTAGAAGAGTAATATAGATAGATATCCTACTCATAATTTATTTCCACCAGCCCAAATCATAAACTTACAAAATTTATCAAAGACTTACTCAGCCCTCAAATAAATAGTAAGTTCAATATTAGAGTTTTTATTATCATAACTTAGCAGTCCACTCGCTCTAACTAATGAGTAGAGCCCACCATTAACAACATTACTATGGCTGAGCTTCCAGCATCATCCAGACCACCATCTCTGATCAGTCTGAAATCTTACAAAATACCATTTATTAATGTCTTCATTTAACCTTGACCACTGAAACAGAAATCCACATGCACTAGAGGCCCAGTCCCCACCAGTGCATAGTATACCCATGTAACAAATATGCACATGTGCCTCCAAATCTGAAACAAATAAAATTTAAAAAATAAAAAAATTAAAAAGAAATCAGAATAAGACTATTCTGATGACTTTCTTGCTTGAAAATGTTCTTGGAAAAGCATTGAATTATTTTGAAACTTCTTAAAGAAGCTGAGCGCAACAAGCCTGTAGTCCCAGCTACTTGGGAGGCTGAGGCAAGAGGATCACTTGAGCCCTGGAGTTTGAGGCTCCAGTGAGCTATGATTGCACCACTGCACTCCAGCCTGGGAAACAGGGCAAGTGCTTGTCTCTAAGAAAATTTGGATCTAGTGTAAATGTGGGGCAAAGGAGGGCATTGGTTCCTATTTTAGTAAAGGCAATTGCCTGTTTCAAAAGTGGCTGAGCCAAACTACTACACAAAGTTCATTCTGCCAGGTTCTTAGCACAAAGCAACTACTACTGGAAATAATGCGTTTTTCAGCAGCATAATGCTTATAGCTTCTGGAAACTTCAGAGAGAATTTCCTCAGCTCTCAGGAATGATTGGATTCATGATAGCATTGGTCCAGTACATACATCAAAGTAAAACAGGGAAGTTCCAGCCAGGCAGTCCCAAAGCAACACTCAGCTTCTCTTTGGAGTCTTTATTCCCAAGAAGTTCTTCAGGCCAGCTCCTGGAATTCCAATACCAAAGACTTTTTAAAATTGTGCTCCAAAGCCCTATTCTTTGTGTTATACTCTCTATGAGCTTACAAAAATTAATAACTCCCTTGTGACTTTATTAGACAAAATGCACACAGTCTTTATAGTATTTGGACTTTCATTCTGATTACTGTAATTGGTAAACTCCAGAATTGCCTTATCTTTGCTAAACATATCCTCCCCACATATGATTAGGTATGGCTACACACTATAGACATTTTTGTGTAGGTCAAGATGTCAGCAAACTTTTCCTATAAAGCACCAGATCTTTTGCATGTTGTGGGTTATACGGTCTCTGTCACAACCACTTAACTCTGCCGTCATAGCTTGGAAGCAATTATAGACAATACATCAGTGAATGGACATGACTGTGCTCCAATAAAACTGCAAAGTAGATGGTGAACTAGGTTTAGCCCATCGTCCAAGTTTGCTGTGCCCTTGTCGAAGCAGCCTTAATAATCAGCTCAAATAATTTTGTACCTGCTCTAAAAATAAATGAGTTTTTAATTTAGCAAAGTATTGAACTTTCTCTAATGATGGAGACTATTTTGTACTTTTATTCTGACATAAATAGATAAGCAGAAACATAGTCCAGATTTAGACTTTCTCATAATTGGAAATTTAAACACAGTTTGGCTGAAATACAATAATAACTAGAATTTATCTAAGGCATAATAATTTATAAAGCTCTTTGACATACTTTATTTAATCTAGTCATCACAACACTATTAAATAAGTATTATTTTTTCTTTGCTTTTTGTAGTGTAGGAAACTACATAAAACTAAGTATAATGGTTCACTTAGAAACAGCAGGGATTTGAACCCAGATCTGATATCAAAACCATACCAACTTCACTGTTCCAAAACTAAATATTAATAGCAAAATTAGCAGCCATTCTTTGAACGATTGGTCAATAAGTTCTGAATCCAAGTGAAAATTCTAGTTAGTCAACATTTCTTCATTTAGTACACAACGTTGCCATGAAAAACTACAAATCAGTATGTTATTGTGTATACACAATATTCAGTACACAAAGCACTCTCCTGGTATACATCTGATAATGCAATTCAAATTTTTAAATAAGGTTGATTCTAGTAGTCTATTTAGTAGGCCTTTCCTGCTCCCTAGTGATGATCAGTTTCATTTTCTAAATATTAAATAACTATATTCTAAGAATCCACTTTACAAGTTTCTGTTTAGAAGAAATTTCAGATGTATTTGTCTGTAGTTTCTGCATTACAGATTTATGTGTTTTGGCATATCTCCAAGTCTTCACAGTAAGTTGACAGTTATTGAAGTGATTCTTTTATTATATCTTCTAACTGTTCCAGTACATGATATTGAACAGGGTCTAGGCTTAGGAACTCATTGAAAGCAGCTAAATGCTCCCATAATAGTTCCTCTGTAAACTTTGAGTCACAATTCAATCTTAAGCAAGTAAGTACCAAATTATATCATTTAAAGATTGTCTCCATGAAGAAAAAAAAAGGTAAGAGAAAAAAATTCAAGTGTTTCTGCCTTTTCTGCTTAGGTTAACTTTATGCCACCATCTCCAAGTAAAAATGTCCTTCCTTTATTGTTCTTTATTACTATAAAGATAAATATTTAACAATTCTTATTATAAAGATAACTGTTTCTATGGTTTCGGAATTTTTTTTAAACCTCAGCACATTCATCATCCTTGTTACCCAGATCTCATTTTTATTGGCTGTACAACTTTTATCTATTCACCATAAGATTTATAATTCTGCCCATATCTTTTTAAAATATGCTATATATTAATAACTCCAAGGACAAAGGAGGAAAAGTTTATTTTTTTCCTCAATAACCATTGTATTTTTCATTTAAAAATCAAATACCATTGTTTTTCAGGTCCCTGCATGTGTAATCCTGTAACACAATGGTGGTGTGTTTCAACAGAAATGTGACCTTGTGTGAATCCCTAAACCTCTGAGTCTTGTCTTATTGGAGTCCTCCCCAAATCAGACCCCAAGGATTTTGGTGCATGTAGCTTATTTGTGGTGGTGATGGTGGTGGTGGTGCAATTTGAGAAAACACTATCAGCTAGTGAAGAGTGGGGCAGGGAAGGGAGTGTTGGTGAACATTGTATTCCTCAGGACAGCTGTTGCTTAATCCACCCCCAAACCACACCCACAACTCTCTGAGACACTATGCAGGACATAGCTCAAAGTTGTCCCACCACATCGGGGAAGAAGCTGGGAATTTACCCACCTACTCCTGTTCAGCATTAATGGGGGTAGCTCTTGAGGTGTTATCTCTCCAGCATTTTTGGCCTGCCCCAAGGTCAAAGGGCACCCTCACGCAGACAGACCCAGGAAGCTGGCCAAATGCAGGAGAAGCATCTGCTGGCAACTTCTCACATGAGATAAAGGTATATGGGCTGGGCACACATAGCACTTGCTACACTAAGGCTTCTTACTTTTAGATGAGGATAAAAATATTTGCCTCAATTACTTCATGGGATGGATGAAAAGATTAATCACTACTAATATTTATGTACTGCTTTAGAATTCACAAAATATCTTCACAGGCATTTTAAAATGCATTCCGGTTGGGCGCAGTGGCTCACCCCTGTAATCCCAACAGTTTGGGAGGCCGAGGCAGGCGGATCACCTGAGGTCAGGAGTTCAAGACCAGCCTGGCCAACATGGCAAAACCCTGTCTCTACTAAAAGTACAATAATTAGCCGGGCATGGTGGAAGGTGCCTGTAATTCCAGCTACTCAGGATGCAGAGGCAGGAGAATTGCCTGAATCCGGGAGGCAGAGGTTGCAGTGAGCCAAGATCACACCGCTGCACTCCAGCCTGGGCAACAAAAGCGAGACTCTATCTCAAACAACAACAATAACAACAACAACAAAAAAAAACTGCATTCCTCACACAAGAATGGTATACCTATCTATAATGACAGTCTCCATTTAACACATGAAAATCTGAGGCTCAGAAAGATTAAATCATTTGCTTCATATCACAGAACTGACAATTAGCAAAGGCGGGATTTGAACCAAGTATCCTAACTATCACTACCAGGCTTTTTCCACCACCGTATGTGTGCATGTGCTCTTTCAAGTACAAAGCATTCTATGTATGTAAGGCATAGTTACTCCTCGAGAGGGGTCACATTAACAAAACAAATGCATAAACAAAAATTCTTCCTATTTATCAACTGTGTGTGTGTGTATATAGTTTTAAAAATATATCAATTAGTGCTGGGTGTGGTGGCTCACGCCTGTAATCCCAGCACTTTGGGAGGCCAAGATGGCTGGACTGCCTGAGGCCAGGAGTTCGAGACCAGCCTGGCCAACATGGTGAAACCATATCTCTACTGAAAATACAAAAAATTAGCTGGGCGGGGTGGTGGGCGCCTGTAATCCCAGCTACTCGGGAGGCTGAGGCAGGAGAATTGCTTGAACCCAGGAGGTGGAGGTTGCAGTGAGCCGAGACCTTGCCACTGCACTCCAGCCTGGGCAATAACAGCAAAACTCCATCTCAAAAAAATTACATATATATTTATAAATATATATAATTATACATATATTTATTTATAATTTACTCTCTCTCTCTCTCTATATATATATATAGTAAAATGCATACAGAGAGGAGTGCTTTCTGACTTTTAACCCTGGTGTGGCCATCTGCACATTCGTGTGCATCCATGTGACCAGGTGCTTTGGCACCCACTTCATTTTGTTGAGGATGGAACAGAATAGAACTAAGTCCACCAAAGCACAAGCAGGGTCAAAGTGAACAACCAAATGAAAGAAGTGTTTATGGGGAGATTGAGAACTTTCCCATTGGGGTAGACTCAATGCATACAATCCTTTTCTCAATGGAGCTAACAAGAGAAAATTAAATTATTCCTCAGCCTGAATATATTCTTGTCCACCCACAAACTGAACTGAGTGAAAGGCTGACCTACCTTGACTTCTGGCCAAGGCACTTCATTCACTAGAAGAGGGTCAAAAGGCTGCTCTTACGAAGCAAAGACCCAGGAGTAAGGTAGAAAACATGAACCTACCGTATTTACTAAGTAAAATATTTTTTTTCACCTTGTTTACATTACTGACTTGTTCTAAAATTATTTTTGTTCCTGCAAGCAGACAGGCACTTTGAGGTTTTTCTCTGAATAGTATTGGCCCATTTACTTTTTACCCTGTACGTTTATTTCCCTTCATTTATTAGATTTCTTTAAACATGCCCACTGCCCACAGGCCTCCGGGCATGAGTTCAAAATTAAATGCTACAATTACATGAAATGCAATGGCCAAAGAATATAATTTCACATAAGAGAAGGGTGGATGGGTAGGTTGGAAGTGGAAGGAGTTCATCAGGGAAGCCAATGCCAAACCAGAAAGGTACATCTTGTACCACACCCTGTAGGCACTAGGCATGAGGAATTATATGCTGGACTCAGTACGCTAGCAAAACCGTTAAAAACCTGAGGTTGGATTTAAATTTAGATGCCAGCAATTTAAAGTGGAGTATAAAGCTGGCCAGAAAACTATCCCTCTCCCCTAATCAGTGGCTATATATCTATGTTCAAGAAAGCCAAAATGGAGTCCTGGAGAGAAAGCCACTAGACTCATTACATAAAGACAGGGGTGATGTGTGCAAAATGGGGAAGAAGGACTGGTTACAATAACAGCTAATATTTATCCAGTGCTTACTTTATGCCAAGCACTACTGTAACTAACAGATATATACACAGAGAGATACATTTATCTAATACATATAAGCACACTTCAAGGGGCAGTAGCACAATCTGAGGAGACAAGTATCAGGATAAAATTCAGATATAATATAGCCACTGGAATTATCAGAGAGGGAATTTTTTTATATAGATTTATGGAGTACAGGTATAGATTTGTTACATGGATATATTGCATAGTGGAGAAGTTTGAGTTTTTAGTGTAACCATCACCCAAATAGTGTACATTTTACCTATTAGGTATTTTCTCATCCCTCACCACCCTCCTGCCTTTCTAGGTCTCCGTGGAATACCACCGAAGCATAAAAAAGAATAAAATCATGTCTTTTATAGCACCATGGATGGAACTGAAGGTCATTATCAAAAGTGAAATAACCCCAAAACAGAAAGTCAAATACTGCATATTCTCCTTTATAAGTGGGAGCTAAATAATGTGTACACATAGATACACAGAGTGGAATAGAAAAGAATTTAAAATACCTATGATTAATATGTTAAAGGCTTTAATGCAAAATGTACACAATGTGCAAAAACAAACACAATCAAGTAATCAGGTAACATAAGCAGAGAGATAAAAATTCTAATGAATCAAAAGAAAATGGTAGAAATTCTGTCCCTCATTAATTGGGGGTGGCTCCTGAGAGGTTTGCTCATTTTTTTCTTTCTTTTTTTTTTTTGATGTAACAGAAATAAATAATGCCTTTGATAGGCTTATCAGAAGACTGGACATGGCCAAGAAAAGAAAAAACAAAAACAAAACACCACTGAGCTTGAAGACATGTCAGTAGAAGTTTCCCAAAGCAAAATGTAAAGAGAAAAAAGATGGGAGGTGGTTGTCAGATGCTAGTGGGAGGGACTCCATTACCTTAGGAGCTGGAGTGGTCTGGACTTCCAGGCGTGGTGGGCCAGAGGCACCTCTCCTGCAACCTCTCAGTGTCTCTCTGGTGGGGTTCGGCCCAAGGTGGATTGACACAGCCTTTGGTGGATTTTAAACAACCTGAACATTAAGCAATACACCTTCCTCAAATCTTTGGGAATTTCAGAATGACTGACACTTCCAAAGCTGTTCCAACTTTTGAAGAGATGTTTGCTAGTAGATTCACAGAAGGTGACAGGGAGTATCAGCAATACCTGAAATGCCCTCCTGGGTCCCCTCTAATTGTTGAGGAATGGAATAGCAGAGCTGCTGGGAACCAAAGAAATAGAGACAATCAGTCTCAAGATAACAGACAGTTCAGAGGCAGGGATAGCAGCCAGGGATGGCCAAGTGACAATTGATCCAATCAGTGGCATGGAAGATTCTGGGGGTAACATTACCCATAACACAGACAAGAACCTTACTATCCCCACCAATATTGGCACTATGGTTAAAACCAGCAGCCTCCTTACGGTTACTACTGATAGAAATGTCAGCAGCTTTTAGTAAAACCATTTACTTTGCTACCGTGACAAAAATTTGGGTGTCTTCTGTTGGTCATAGTCTTACATCTGATTTTAGAGACTAGATTATTGATATTTTGGAACTTGAGATTTTTTTTTTAATAGATCTTACTTGTGAGATGTGATGGTTGCTGGGAATACCTAAAATTATGAATTATATTGTTTGACTTGTACCTCAGAGTCTTCTTTTTTTCATGACTTAATAGTGCTTTGAGTTTGGTATAATTTTCTTATTTGACCTCTAGGAGTTCTTTGTTTTACACAGAAATAAAAAAATTAATAGAAAATGCTTGCTTTTACTTTGTAAGGTAGGGCAGTATCCATATGCTTACATGTGCTCATCTCTAAAATTCTACAAGTTAATAGAATCAGCTCACGAATCTCATGAATGCACAGCTATGCTTACTTGTGATATATTATACATAATATCAGCAGTTGAAAGGTAAAACAGTTTTTAATTTTGGGTTTGTTTTTTTTTGCTTTTGTTATGTGACTAAGGTACTGTGTGATTCCTTATTCTATAGATAGGAGGTAGCCCCACATTTATTTTGGTCTCTTTTTACAAGGAAACCCATAATAAATCTGTAAAATAAGAAGGGGACAGAAAAAGAATGGGGAAAAAAAGAAAATATCAGAAAACAAAATATCAAAAAAATACCAAAACTGCGATAATCTCAAAGGTATAATAGATACATAATTAGAATACAAGAAGAGGAAGAAAGAGAAAACAGAGAAAAATATTTGCTGTAATAATGACAGAGAATTTTTCAAAATTAATGAGAACACCAAACCACAGTTCCAGGAGACTGAGAGAACACCAAGCAGAATAAACACCAAAAAAAAAATGTAGACATATTATTTTTAAACTTCAGAAAAACAAAAGCAAAGAAAAAGTATTAAAAGAAGCCAGAAAAAAGAGCACATGACCTATAGAAGACCAAGAACAAGAATTACAGTGGACTTCTTATCAGAAACCATGCAAGCAAGAAGAGCGTGGAGTGAGGTACTTACATGTTGAAAAACAAAAACCACCCATTGAGATTTCCATACCCAGTGAACTTCTCCTTCAAAAAGGAAAAAGAAAGACTTTCTTAAACAAACAAATCCAACTCAAATCCAGCAGTGGGCCCTGCAAGAAATGTTAAAAGTTCTTCAGAGAGAAGAATAATGATATAGATCAAAAACTCAGGTTTACAAAAAGAAAAGAACCTTGAGGAAAAGTGAATAAACGTAAAATAGTCTTCAGTTTTTCTTATTCTTAATTGATCTAAAAGGTAACTCTTTGTTTAGAGTAATAATAGTAATAAAGTTTTGAGTGATTGTAGTATATGGGTAATTTTAATTAGTGAAAGCAACATTGTAAGAAATAGGAGGAAAAAATAAGAACTACATTGTTTTAAGGTATCTGCACTACAGGTGAAGTGGCATATGATCTTATATTAGTTGTAAATATATATTGCAAACTCTAGTGGATGAAAAGAAATTTAAAGAGAAGAATAACAGTTATACTAAGAGAGGGGAGAAAATAGAATCTTATGAAATACTCAATTAAGACAAGAGAAGGTAGAAAGAGAAGGTGTGAGAGGTTGAATTTTGCCTGCCCCCAACCTGCCAAAGTCATATGTAAAAGTTCTCAGAACCTCAGAATGTGACTGTATTTGGAGATACGGCCTTTAAAGAGATAATAACATAAAATGAGGTCCTTAGCATGGGTCCTAACCCAATATGATTGGTGTCCTTTTAAGAAGAAGAGATCAAGACAAAATCATACACAGAGAGAAGACCACATTAGGACACAGCAAGAAAGCAATGATTTGCAAGCCAAGGAGAGAGGTCTCACAAGAAATAAACCCTACCAACATCTTGATCTTGGACTTCCAGCATCCAGAGCTGTAAGAAAATTAATGTATGTTATTTAAGACATCCAGTCTATGGTATTTTCTTATGGCAGCCCTAGCAAACTAATAGAGGGGAAGAAAGAAAAGAAGCAACGAATAAGTGTAATGATTGCAAAACAGCTGCAAACATGGTAGATAATTAATCCAACTTTATCAATAATCATATTAAATGTGAATGATCTAAATAAACCAGTTTTAAAAATAGATATTGTTGGAGAGGATTTTTTTAAAGGGTCCAACTGTATGTTCTCTAGAAGAAACCCACTTTAAAAACATGAAAAGATTAAAAGTAAAGGAGTAGAGAAAAAACTATCATGTTAACATCAACCAAAAGAAAGCTGGAGTAGCTGTATTAATTTTAGACAAAATAGAGTTCTGAGCAAAAAAAAAATTATCAGAGATAAAGATGGGCATTACATAATGATAAAGGGGTCAATTCTCTAATAAGACATAACAACTATTAACATCCCTAACAACATCCCTAATATCCCTAACAAAATACGTGAAGCAAAAACTGCTAAAACTACAATGAGATATAGAGAAATAGACTATTTATAGTTGGAGATTTCAATATCCCTGTTTCAGCAACTGATAGAACAAGCAGGTAGAAAATCAGTAAAAACAAACAAACAAAAAGCAAAACAACAACAACAAAAAATTGGCCTGAATAGCACTAGTAATCAACTTGATCTAGTTGACACTTATAAAATACTACATCAACCAATGACAGAATACACATGCTTCTCAAGTTCACATGACACACTCACCAAGACAGGCAATATTCTAAGCCATAAGCCACACTACGAAATTTAAAAGAATAGATATCTTACAATGTCTGTTCTCAGACCACAGTGGAATTAAACTAGAAGTCAGCAACAGAAAGATGGCTGCAAAATCCCAAGATATTTGAGGATTAAACAATATACTTCTAAATAACATGTGTAGAAGAAGAAATCTCAAGATAATTTTAAAATATTTTAACTAAATGAGAATGAAAACTTACCAAATTTGTGGGATGCAGCAAAAGCAATGTATAGAGGGAAATGCATAGCATTAAATGGATGTATTAAAAAGAAGAGAAGAGAGATGGAAATTCAATAACTTAGGCTTCCATATAAGGAAATTAGAGAAAGAAGAGCAATATAAGCCTAAAGTAAAAAGAAGACAAGAAATAATATAATTAAAGCAGAAATAAGTAACAATGAAAACAGGAAAACCACAGAGATAATCAAATAAACCAAACGCTGGTTCTTTGGAAAGATTAATAAAATTGATGAACCTTCAGAGAGTCTAACAAAGAAAAAAAAGAGAAGACACAAATGGCCAATTTCAGAAAAGAGGAGTCACCACAGTGATTTCATGAATGTTACAAAGATTATAAAGAAATGCTACGTGCAATTACATGCTCACAACAAAGACCAATTCCTTGAAAGAAACAAATTTATCAACTCACACTAGGAAAAACAGACCTTCTGAATAGGTCTATAACTATTAAAGAAACTGAATCAATAATTAGTAAATTTCTAAAAATGTAATCACCAGACCCAGATAACTTCACTGGTGAATTATATCAAATATTTAAAAAGTAAATTATGTCAATATTTCACAATCTCTTCCAAAAATGGAAGCAAAAGGAACACTTCATAACTCATCCTATGAGATCTGCTTTGCCCTAATACTAAAACCATACAAAGCCATTACAAGAAATGAAAACTGCAGAACAGTATCTATAATGACTATAGATGCAAAAATTCTCATAGCATATTAGCAAACTAAATACAACAATGTGTAAGAAATATTATACATTACAACCAAGTGGGATTTATTCTAGGTATGCCAGAAGGATTCAACATTCAAAATCAATTAATATAATCCACATCAACATGATACAGAAGAAAATCTAATGATCATATCAATTGATGCAGAAAAAGTATTTGACAAAATTCCACATCGGTTTATGATAAAAACTCTCAATAAACTAGGAATACACAAGAACTTGTTAAACTCGATAAAGAACAGCTACAAAAAAAACTATATGTAACATTTTACTTAATATAGAGAAACTAGATGCTTTCTCTCTAAAGTTGGGAACTAGGCAAGGATATCCCCTCTTTCCACTCCTATTCAACTTTGTAATGAAGCCCCTAGAGAGCGAAAAAAGATTTAAAAAGGAAATAAATTGTATACAGATTGGGAAGGAAAGAATAAAACTGTCCTTGTTCACAGGAAACATAATTTTCTATGCAGAAATTGCCTCCCAAGAATCATTTTAAAACTACCAGAACTAATAAACAGTTATAGGTCATAGTATAAAAGGTTAATATATAAAACTTAATTGCTTTCCTACCTATCAGCAATGAATAATTGCAAATTGGAATTAGCAATACAACACAATTTACAATTACACCAAAAATAAGAAATACTCAGGCATAAACCTAAGAAAAAATATGTAAAAGGTATATATGAGGAAAACCACAAAACACTGACCAGAGAAATTGAAGAAGAGTTAAATAGAGAGATAACTTATATTAATGAATTAAATTTTAAAAAAATTTTAATTGCAAATTCTATTTTAGATTCAGGAGTACATGTGCAGGTTTGTTACATGGGTATATATTGCATAATGCTGAGGTTTGGGGTACTAATGATCCTGTCATGCAGGTAGAGAGCCTAGGACCCAATAGACAGTTTTTCAGCCCTTTCCCTCCTCCTCCTTCCTTCCCATGTCTACTAGTCTCCAGTGACTGTTGCTCTCATCTTTACGTCCATGTGTAACTAATGTTTAGCTCCCACTTAGAAGTGAAAACATGCAGTATTTGGTTTTCTGTTGCTGAGTTAATTTGCTTAGGATAATGACTTCCAGCTGCATCTATGTTGGACAAAGGACATAATTTTATTATTTTTATGGCTGCATAGTATTCCATGTTGTATATGTACCAAATTTTCTTTCTTTAATGCACTGTTAATGGGCACCTAGGTTGATTCCATGTTTTTGCTATTGTGAATAGTGCTGCAATGAACATACTAATAGATGTGTCTTTTTGGTACAGCGATTTATTTTCCTTTGGGGATATACCCAGAAATGGGATTCCTGGGGTCAAATGGTAGTTCTATTTTGAATTTTTTAAGGAATCTCCAAACTGCCTTTCACAGTGGCTGAAATAATTTATATTTCCACTATCAGTGTATAAATGTTCCCTTTTCTATGCAGCCTCGCCAATATCTGTGGGTTTTTTTATTTTTTAATAACCATTCTGATTGGTGTAAAATGATATCATGTTGTCATTTTGATTTGCATTTCTCTGATGATTAGTGATGTTGAGTGTTTTTTCATATGTTTTTTGGCCACTTGGATGTCTTCTTTTGAGAAGTGTCTGTAGAAGTTTTATATCCTGAGACTTGACTTTCCTATCCTTTGCCTGCTTCTTAATGAAATTGTTTGTTTTTTGCTTGTTCAACTGTTTAAGTTCCTTATAGATTCTTAATATTAGACCTTTGTTGGATGCATAGCTTATAAATATTTTTCCTGTTCTCTAGTTGTCTGTTTACTCTACTCATAGTTTCTTTTGCTGTGCAGAAGCTCCTTAGTTTAATTAGGCACTATTTATTAATTTTTAATTTTGTTGCAATTGCTTTTGAGGAGTTAGTCATAAATACTTTGCAGAGGTTGATGTCCAGAATGACATTTCCTAGGTTTTCTTCTAGAACATTTTATAATTTGAAGTCTTCCAGTTAAATCTTTAATCTATTTTGAATTTACTTTTGTATATGGTGAAAGGTAGAGGTCCAGCTTCATTCTTCTGCATATGGATAGTCAGCTATCACATTACCATTGATCAAATAGACAGTCCTCTCCCCACTGCTTATTTTTGTAGACTTTGTTGAAGATCAGATAATTGTAGATGCGCATTTGTATTTCTGGGCTCTCTATTCTTTTCCATTGATTTATGTGGTATATGTATCTATTTTTGTACCAGTACCATTATTGTTTTGGTTACTGTAGCCTTGTAGTATAGTTTGAAGTTAGGTAATGTAATGTCTCGGCTTTGTTTTTTTGTTTGTTTGTTTCAGTTTTGTTTTGTTTTCTTTTGTTTTGTTTTTGCCTAGGACTACTTTGGGTAGTCAGGCTCTTTTCTGGTTCCATGTGAATTTTAGAATAGTTTTTTTCTATTTCTATGAAAAATGACATTGGTAGTTTGATAGGAATAGCACTGAATCTATAGATTGCTTTGGGCATCATGGCCATTTTTAACAATATTGACTCTTCCAATCCATGGGTATTCTTCCATTTGTTCGTGTTATCTATGATTTCTTTCAGAAGTACATAGCAGTTCTCTTTGTAGAGATCTTTCCCCTCCTTGGCTACATGTATTCCTAGGTATTTTATTTTTTGTGGTTATTGTAGATAAGATTGCATTCTTGATTTGGCTCTCAGTTTCAACATTATTGGTGGACAGAAATGCTGCTGATTCTGTACATTGATTTTGTATCATGAGACTTTACTGAAGTCTTTTATCAGCACTAAGTTCCTTTCAGTGGAATCTTTAGGGTTTTTTAGGTATGGAATCATATCAGCAATGAGGGACAATTTGACTTCTTTTCATATTTGGATGCCTCTTATTTCCTTCTCTTGTCTGATTGCTATGGCTAGGACTTTCAGTACTATGTTGAATAGGAGTGGTGAGACAGGGCATCCTTGTCTTGTTCCTGTTCTTAAGGAAATTGCTTCAAACTTTTGCACATTTAAGATAATGTTGGCTGTGGGTTTGTCATAGATGGTTATTATTTTAAGTATGTTCCTTCAATGCCTAGTTTGTTGATGTTTTCTTCATGAAGAAACTGAATTCTATCAAAAGCTTTTTGTACATCTATTGAGATGATCATATGGTTTTTGTTTTTAATTCTGTTTATGTGGTGAATCATATTTATTGATTTGTATATGTTGAACCAATGTTGCATCCCAGGAAAAAGCCTATGTGGTCATAGCAAATTAACTTTTGATGTGCTTCTGTATTCAGTTTGCTAGTATTTTGTTGAGGATTTTTACTCTATGTTCATCAGGCATGTTGGCCTGCAGTTTTCTTTTTTCATTGTGTCTTTGCCAAATTTTGGTATCGGGGTGATGCAGGCTTTGTAGAATTAGTGAGTGAGTCCCTCCTCCTTGATTTTTTGGAATAGTTTCAGTAGGATTAGTACCAGCTCTTCTAGAAGATAACAGAGGAAGAATGCTAGATAACCATGGGTTTGGACACCTTGTATAACACTGAAAGCATACTCCATGAAAGAAAAACATGATACATTGGACTTTGTTAAAATCAAAACTTTTGCCCTACAAAATATACCGTAAAGAGAATGAAAGACATGCCAAAAACTTGAAGAAATTATTTGCAACACACATATCTGATAAAGGACTTGTGTTTAAAATATACAAAAAAAACTCTTAAAACTAACAAAAAAGAAAAAACTTTACTTAAAAATAAGCAAAAGACCTGATATATCACCACAGAAGATATACAGACTTTAAAAAAAAAAGTATACCGAAAGAAAAAAATGCGCAACATCGTTTGTCATTTGTCATTACAGAATTGCAAGTGAAAACAATAATGAGATACCATAATATATACATTAGAATAACTAAAATCTTAAAACACAATGTAAATTACTGGCAGAGCAATAGGAATGCTCGTTCATTGCTAAGAGGATGCAGCCACTTTGGAAAACAGTTTGGTGTTTTCTCGCAAAGCTAAACATAATCATGCCATATGTCGCTGTGCATTTGTGATACTGTAACAGAATGCCACAGACTAGGCAGTTTAAGAAGAATAGATATTTATTTCTCACAGTTCTAAAGTCTGGGTAGTCCAAAATCAAGGCACCAACATCAGTTATGGGCTTCTTGCAGCCTCACATGGCAGAGGGCTGAAGGGCAAAAGAGGAAACTCACTCCCACAAGCCGTTTTTATAATAGCATTAATTCATTCCTGAAGACAGAGTCTTCATGACTCAAATGCCTCTCATTAGGCCTCATATCCCAAAATTGTTGCATTGGAAATTGTTTCCAACACACAAATTTTGGGAGACACATCCAGACCATAGTGCCCTATGATTCCACAGTCAAGTTCCAAGCTATTAACCCAACTGATCTGCAAAATTATGTCCACACAAAAACCTACAGATGAATATCTTTAGAAGCTTTATTCATAATCACTCAAAATTACAAGCAACAAAGATGTTCTTCAATAAATATTAATAAACGGATAAACAAACTGTAGAGTATCCATTAGATGGAATGTTATTCTGTAACAAAGAATGCATTATTAAGCTATGAAAACATATGAATAAACTTTAAATTTATATTACTAAGTAAAAGAAGGCAACCTGAAAGGCTTTATACTGTAATTGCAAGTATATGACACTTTTGAAAGGCAAACTTAGAGACAATAAAAATACCAGTGGTTGCCTGGGGTTTAAGAGGAAAAGAAGAGGACTGAATAGATAGGGTTCAGGGGCTGTTTTTAGGACAGTGAAGCTATTCTGTATGATACTGTAATGATAGATACATGGCATTATGAATTTTTCAAAACCCATTGAGCTTAATAGCACAAAAGGTAACCTACATGTAGGCAAAATTTTAAAAATCATTTAGAATGTTGGAAGAGCTCAGAAAGGAATGCAGGCAGCAATAACATAACCTATTATGAATTTATGAAACCTCACTGAAAAGGATGGGGAAAATGGTACTGACTCAAGCAATGCTAGAAATGACTCGAGTAAGACTAGAGACAAAAGAAACTGCACATAATCACTGTACTCTGAAGGATGAAGCTATTTCCCAGGTGGGTATGGGTTAAAAATTCTGATGCTCGTATCTATGTATACTGGAATTTAGCAATTAATAAACTGAACTTTAGCACATAGCGTAAACTTAAATGGGGATGTTGAAGACCAGATTGCTCATTGTTGAAGTGGGATTGTATAGACAAGTAAGGGGAACAGCTAGAATAACCCATGTGGTAATGCTTAGCATTAAAGACATCAGTATGAACCCACACTTAGCTTAATATAGATACAAATAGTTGCAATAGAAAGATGTATAGATACGTGTACATGGGTTAGTATACACACATATATTTCCTAACTCTATTAGCTGAGACGGCCTAGAATCGAAGACACTCCAGTAGCAACAAGTACTCTACACACCAAGATCTTGCTTTCTAATACCATTCTGCAATAAAAGGAACCTGGGCTCCTTGAAGAAATGGCTGATTCTAGGACTGGTGCAGAAAAGATACAAGATGATCTTGAAGCATTTTGTAATATCAGAAAGTAAGAAGTGCTAAAATAAATAAATGCATACATATATACATACACACACATATTAATGGGGGTATGTCAAAGAAGCAAAGTAGCCATTTGAAAGGACTCCTAATGGCCAAACTTGGAACAATTTAAGGAACAGAATATAGTGTTGGATTATAACTAAAAGTGGAAAAATAACTATGAGTCCATACTGATATAAGTAAATGATTGAATGAATTTATTTATTCACTTCATTCATTTATTCATTATTTATTCATTATATTCATTTAACAAATGAATAAATAAATAGGGGAGAAGAGACAAATCTTCCATGTAGAATTGCAGATATTTTGTCCTCAAGGAGGGAGAACGCAACTCCCACTCCTCAGCTGTGGGCTGGACACAGTGACTTCCTTCCAAAGAGTACAGAATGGAACAAGAAAAGAATGACTAAACAATGAAGAAACCTGATAAACATTACCTGAGCCAAGTGATGGAGGTCAACATCAACAGTGATAATCAGTCCTATTGATAATGTACCCTGCATGTGGCACATTATCAACATATGTTGCAAATAGCACTTTTCCTCTGTGGTCTTCCTCTCAAGAACCCATAACCCAGTCTAATCACGAGAAAAACATCAGACAATTTCCAGTATAAGGACATTTTATGAAATTCCTGACCAGTACTTCTCACAACTGTCGAGGCCATCAAAACCAAAGAAAGTCTTAGAAACTGTGAAAGCCAAGAGGCGCCTAAAGAGACATGACAATTAAACATAATGTGGTATTCTGAATAGGATCCTGGAGCAGAAAAGTAACATTAGGTAAAAAACAGGATATCTCAATAAACTATGGATTTTACTTAATAATAATCAATATTGATTCATTAATTGTAACAACTGAACTGCACTAATGCAAGATGTCAATACAGGAAAAATTACATGTGTGGTATCTGGTAGCCTCTTTCTATAAATGTATAACTGTTCCAAAAAGTAAAGTATATTTTAAAAAAATAAAGTAGCATGAAAAACTAATGTAATAAAAGGGTTTTGTATTTAGAGATATTGAAACTACCTGCTTATAAGAATCAAATTCAAGTGTCAAATTAGTTATCTGGATCTTGACTTGAGACCTCCAGACTTAGACTAAAAACTGTACTTAGAGAAAAAAAAAGAGGTCAAAGAAGGTCATTATCTAAGTTATTCATGTGAATGATCAGCTAGTGAGGAAGAAAGTCTGAATCTGAAAGATCCTGATTATCCACAATCATTGAATTCATCAAGACATGGCTCTGCTTCCTTTGCTTCCAATCCTCTTGGGAATATTCAGTGTTGCAGCCCATCATCCCTGAGATAATCCCACTGAGACAGCCTGCCAGTGATGGCTCTGGCTGGTGCTAACCCATTCCTACTCTCACCCAGGGACTGGGACACAAGCTCACAAGACCAAGATGGCTGCCTTGGTCTCCTGAAGAGAATGTTTCCCTGTATGAAGGAAAATGAATTTAACAGGACCCTAGCCAATGCCACTGGGTCCATTAGCTTCAGGTTCTAATGAGCTTCCTAAGCCAGACTCCCTGTTACCACCACTACATCAGGCTGCCGATGATAACTCAGGATTTACACTGCCAAAAGTCAGTGAGCCTTTTTTTTCCTGCCACCTATCTTTGAAGCTGGTGCTCCACCCCAGGAAGGCCCCTCCTCAATAATAGACATAACACAGTTAGTTCCCAGGCCACACCAGAACGTGGAGAAAACAATGAGATAGACTTACTGCCATATACAGACTCTAAGACACCATGGTTTGGTATATGGGTGTGGAGTGCCCAAAGGTAAAGTGATCTGAGATTTCCTGGCCTGACCATGGTGGACTCATTTTTTCCAGCCACTTTCTACTAAAGCCAAAAATGTGACCAGGGTTCCCTCAGGGTCTCTAATTGCCCTGGTGGCTTTAGTAATTGCTCTGGACTCTTTCCCCAAAAGAGTAAACAATGATGTGTCCTTTTAGATTTCCCACATCCTCTCAGTTCACACTCTCCTCAAATAAGTATGTATGAAAGGAAACAAATACCCTTGTAACTTGCATAATAGATAGTTCTTTTCCACATAGTGTCAAGTGCCTTTGTGGTTCATTTGTTCCAATATATTAGTCTACACAATTAATTATAAGAGTAGGATGACTTTCGTTATCAAACAAACCTTTTAAATGCCTACACTGTAGATTGCAGTAACAGCTCAAATTTATTTACTCTTCCTTATATTCTTTGACAGTGTCCTCTCACACTGACTCTAGCTTTAGCCATGTGACTTATTTTGGCTCATAGGACATTAGCAGTTGTGATACAAGCAGAGGCATTAGAAGCACTTGTGTATTGAAGCTTGCCTGCTTGCCACTCATGGAACCAGCCACCGTGGGAGCAAGCACAGGCTATTCTGCCAGAGGAGAGCTGAGACACCCAGCTAACAATCAAGCAGCCCTCAGCTATTATGCCAATTGACTATAGAAGCGTAAGTGAATCCATGGCAAGATCAGCCAAGATTGGCCCAGATAAACAGTACTACCCAGCGAGCCCAGCCTAAATTGCTGACCCACAGAATCATGAGCTACATAGATTTTTGTTGTTTTAAGCTACTAAGTTTCGAATTGGTTTGTTACACAGCAATAGCAAACTGATACATCTATGAAGTACTCAGGACTTCCCTTTAGGATATACAGAAGAAATGGAATTGCAGGTGAAAAGACAAGACATACCATATGGGATATATCCTGCACTATAAGTAAGGAGAAAAATTTTACCTTTAGTTGCATGAAATATAATATTGATACCAAAGAGTGAGAAAATTGCACACAACCTGGAAATGATAATATTTATGTAATTCCAGCATTTTGTATCTCATTTAGGATGAAAATTAATAAGGCTCATAAGAATTAATAATGGGGGGAAGATATCAGGGACGTTTATTTTGCATCCAAGAAAATTTTCTCTCTATGATTCAATTTACACTTTGGGAAACAAATCCGATCACTTTTGTTTTATCCAAACTAGTTTGCCCATTCCTTGAAATTACATATGATGACATAATTCAAGTCTAACTTGGCAAAATAGAGAAAGTGCAGCTCGAGTCTGGTTTCTCTTTAATTTTTATTTCCCCTGGGTCCCATTCATATTCTTACAGACACTTTCCCTTGTGACCCAATCTAATTTGATTCCCTACCACATCTCCTCTACCGAGAGCATCCAAAGCTATTTTTCAGAGATCCTATAAATAATCTTTTGACAATACTTAAAAGGTAATATTCAGAAGAAAAAAAACTTTAGCTCCAAAAGGAAGGGGGCATGGAAAAAAGACTCTTTTCAGGACAGTGTCTAAGATTGTACCCGGATATTATCAACCAATCCAAATGGTCTGTTTTTCCAACTGACTTGACAGAATTGACCCATTTTCTTGGCTTTATATAGAAAAAGCCATCATGAGGTAAAATGAGAAGGAAAAACTGACCAGTCAGAACAAAGTTACGGAAATAGAGCAGGCATCCTGAAAGGGCTGATGTTTTATGACAAAGCAAAACGACAAAACTAAGGACAGTTATCTAGGTACAATATTCCACCATCCTTCCATGAAGTTAGAGAAGGAACTGATGTTCTTCTTTGCAGACAGATCTGACATCTGAGAAAAATCCATTCTTTGACATTCGAATAATTTTGAACTTATTTTTCTATTGTCCCTACTAAGGTTTGAATGTTCACTCTCCTCCCAAATTTCTGTATTGAAATGTAGTCACCAATATGATAGGATTAAGAGATGAGGGTCTTTAGGAGGTGATTAAACCATGAAGGTGAAGCCTAAGTTAATGGAATGGAGGCTTTTATAAAAAAGGCCTCATATGTACCTTTTTCAGCTTTTTTCCTTTCTGTCATGTGAAGAATCAAGGCATCATCTTGGAACCACAGAGTAGCCTTCAGAGACACTGAACCTGCCAGCACCTTGATCTTGAACTTCCCGGTCCCTAGAACCATGAGAAAATAAATTTCTCTTCTTTCTAAATTATCCAGTCCCAGATATTTTGTAATAGCAGCTTGAGCAGATTACGACAGTCTCCTGTGTCCCCTCTTAGCCCCATGGGTCTCTCCCGACTGGCCCCACTGCCTGTCAGGCTCATTCTGCTCCAGTATGCAACCAACACCTTCTATTAGTTTGCTAGGGCTGCCATAACAAAATACCACAAACTAGGTGGGTTAAACAACAGAAATTTATTTCCTCACGGTGTTGGAGGCAGAAGACCAAGATCAAGGTATGCCATGGACTGAATTGTGCTCCCTCTCCAAAATTCATATGTTGAAGCCCTAATCTCCAATGAGATGGCATTGGGGCCTATGGGAGATTATTAGTTTTGTATGAGGTAATAAGGGTGGAGCCTTCATGTCGGGATTAGTGCCCTTATAGGAAGAGGGAGAGACACTAGAACTTTGTCTCCATCACACGAGGACACAGGGAGAATGGTCATCTGCAAGCCAGGAAGAGAGACCTCACTGAAGAACTGAATTCACTAGTCCCTTGATCTTGGTCTTCTCAGTCTTCAGAATTGTGAGAAATAAATTCCTGTTGGATAAGCCACCCAGACTGTGGTATTTTGTTACAACAGCCCAAGCCGATTGACACAAGTTTGGTTTCTTCCTGGAGCCTCTCTCCTTGGCTTGTAGATGGCCATCTTCTCCCTGTGTCTTCAGTTTTTTGCTCTGTGCATATCTGTGTCCTTCCTAATTTTATTTTCTTATAATGACACTAGCCACATTGGATTAGGGCCCACCCTAATGACCACATTTTACCTCTTAAAGCCCCTATATTCAAGTACTGGGGTTTAGAACTTAAACATATGAATTTGGAGAGCAGGGGGACACAATTCAGACCATAACACACCTTAAGGTCCTTGCCTCAGAGGTCTATTTACCTTTCACCTTATTCCTTGATGTTAAACTAATTTCATCGGCTTCCTAACTGTACAAGAGGGAATGAAAACACTTCTTCCAGGTTAAATATACATATCAGTTGATTTCAAGGTGCATCCTAATTTTGGACAAGTGAAACGTAAGAGAAATAATTATCTTTTAAGAAATATGATAGTAAATGACTTTGAAAACTTAAAATTCTTGTAAAATTTATAGAACTGAAGCTCTAAGAGTTGGAATTATGGCCGATGAAAAAGACATAAGTAGATGGCTCTCCACTGAGTGAGCCGTTTAGATCATTTAACTTCACATTCTCAACACTTGTAACATCACTGAGGATATTTTCAGTGTGGACTGGAGCAGAGGGTGCAAAGGCAGAGGCAAGAGGACTTGCTCAGTTTCTTCCAGTTCTTTCATTAGGAAGTAGTACACTACACACTGACAACTCTATTAGCCACAGGCTTTTTCTTTCAAGGTCCTTGTTTTTGAATCCCTACCATGCTCCAGTTTCTTTTTATAGGAACTGTGTAAGTATCAAGCAGGCAGCCAGTCAATGCTGACTGACTGATTTAGTACTATCATCACTTCAGAGATATTCACATGAGAGCACTAGTAATTCCAAGTGGCCTTCATTTTTATTTTGAGGGTGAGAAGGTGTAGATGTGTTCATTTTTATCCTTTCATCCACCCACCGCTTACTTCTTTCTGAAAGGAAAATTTCCCTGCATGGACAGCCACTTCCCAGGGGTGGATATAAAATCAAAATCCCCAGTCTCTTTCAAATACTCCTCCTCTTTCTGCTTCAACACTTTACTCCTCATCCCCAAGTACATAACCTTAATGTTCATATTGAACATTGAACAAATAGAAACTGAACTTTAGATATTTATCTTGAGTGACTTCCCAAAGAGTATCTGACAGACTCCACCCTGTACTGTGCTTTCTCCTTGAGACACTGTCCCTCATCTCCCGAGCTTTGTCACAAGCTTACTGCTTGCTTTCTTCAAAAATATTACTAATGACAAACGAGAGGTAAATATCAAGTTCTATTTATTCTTCCCCTCTCAGAGCACTTTTCTGTTTCTGCACTTTCTGTCTAAAATAACCCTTTTTGGAAATCATCATAAAAGCTTGTCACTCCTATTTTGATGTTTCTTAGCCCATAACCCATGATGGGACTGCCCTATAACTGTTTTTCTTTGATGAACTGATCAAAAGTTCCCTGGCTAATTATATCATCTGGGAAGCAGAGGCAGTAGGGATTGGGAGGGGCAGCCAGCACCATTCATACTAATTTGGCTTCAGCTACTACATTGCCACTGTTCAAAGGACTAATTCTCCTTTGGATGTTGACCAAAAAGAAACGAGAGGGGGAACAAGCACAAGCAAGACAAACAGACTGCTATTCCTGGACACATAAAAATATACCTTTGGAAGTGGTTTAGTGAGGAAAAAATATTTTTTAACTCCCACCACAACATTTGTCAGTCTAATTTCTTCTTGAATAAACAGTTCTTTTTTGGAGCTAAATGACACAAGGAGTTTTTCAGCTAAATGGCCTTTTGTTTATCAAGATTATTTATCCATGTGGATTGTTGTCTCTGGTCACTTGTTCCTCTGGGTTGAAGGCAAAGGCATAAATTGTGCCCATAGAATCTCTTAATTTTAAGAGAAGGGACACAGGGACAAGTCATAAGACATTTAAGTGCTGGGAAACCTCTTAGCCTGGTTTTCTTTCTCAGGAGTCAGCTTACTCCACCAGTGCCTCTATTCATGTGGGATATAATGTTATTTCATTTTCCTCTGGTCATTTTACATCCCTGGAGAGAGCTTGACTCATGATATAATTATATGCTTGGCCAGTTCCCACTGAGAATCACTCCAGACTGCCACTGACCTGCCCTCCGGCTGATCTTCCACTCCAGTGCCAAAGAGAGCAGAGCTCTGCCAGAAACAGAGTGACACTTTTTGCAAAACTGTTAATTATTAAGTTCTCAGACAACAGTTTGCAATGGCTGTTCTCTTTCCTCCAAGGGGAACATTGAGCGCTAGAGGTTACTGACTCACTGCAGAATCAGCCCGGTTTGTGGTCTATTGGGCTGGTCAGTGCAGCCTGCCTAGTTCTCTTTGGTGGTTCTTAAAATGTTTCCTGGAGGACAGATTTTTAAATGTTTGGGAATTAAGACTTGTTTTACAGAAAATATAAATACTGCCACTAGAGTTGAATAAAACATAGTATTGTATAAAGCCACCTTGAGGAGGTGAGAGGATGACCCTGGCAGCCTCTCATAATCAATGGTTTGTTACCTGTCCTTCCATTCCATTTGTCCTGAATGGAGATCAGTCAGGGCTGTGGAATCCCATCTCTACAGGCGACATGGAGAAGTCATCTTTTCTAGCTGCTTGATTTCAGATAAGTCTTCTCACTGTTTGCAATTACTTGCAGGGCTGGAAGCTTCTTAACCAAACCATTTGAAATCCATGCCAGAACTTTATCTCCTAGCATTTTAATGTCTTTTTCTTATGTCCACCACAAATCCAGACTGTTTCCATTGGATCTATTTTTTCTGGTCTCCAAGGCTTTAGGGCTCATGTCAAATCTTACTTCCTCAGAGAAGCTTTTCCTGACCCCCTAATCCAATTTACATGTTCCCCATTATATTTTTAATCATAGCATCCCATTCTTTCTTCATAGCTGTATAATAACTTGGAATTATGTATTTTATTGTTTAAAGTATGTCTCCTTCCATTAGGTTGCAAATTTTATGAGCAAAGACATATCTGGTTCTTTTTAAAATTTTACCACTATTAAACCAGAGGTTTCACATAGCACCTGGTACAAAGTTAGCTCTCAATATACATTAGTTATAATTAACATTATTATTATCATTAATTGAATCAATAAACTTTTCTGCAGCCACTCAACTAAATTCTTCATGCTTTTGAAAATTATGGCCACTTCCCTCTCCTCCATTTCTTTCCATTTTTCTTTTATATTTATTTCTACATGTGCCTTAAAAGATCCTGGATCTTTTCTAAATGGAAAACCATATTTTTTTTTAAAAAGCTCATATATATTTCCGTCATTTTAATATTGCATCTCCCTCATGGGGAGTATCCAAATTGCTTTCTCCCAGAAGGTCTCAGGAACCTCATATTCATAGTGCAATTGCATCAAGAACACCCAAAGCATTGCGTCAAAATAGCCCACTTTTTCCAGCCAGTGATCCTCTTTACCCCAAATGATCTCCCTGTATTGGCTGGAAAGCATGCCACTGGATGACCTTGTGTTGCTGCTGCCTGAGACTAGGCCACGGGGCTCAGTAAGAAAAGAAGTCAAACGGTCATAAATAAGGGTAACGTCAGTCCAACACTGCTCCTCCCCAGGAAAGCAGGCTGTGATGACTGAGGAGGGCTGTTGTCTGAATGCAGTGTGTGGCCTTACACCCCACTCCTCAGGTGCCCTTTTGTTAACTCTTATTTCCTGTAACACACGTTCCTCCAAGATCCAGGAAGGAAGGGGCCCTACAGTGCCTTCATTCCAACTGGCCTACCCAGCAGAGATGATGTGGCAGTCATCTTACCTGCCTGCCTATTTCTGAGAAGCTATTACAAAGAGGCAAGATCCTGGGCTTTTATCTCAGCTCTGCCACTTATGAATTGTGTGTATTTCAAACAAAGATTTCACTTCTCTGAGTCTCAAATACTGTAACTATAAAATAAAGATAAAGATAACTTCCTTATAAAGTTAGTGATCATTTAAATAATAATAATTATGATGATTATACTAACAACAACAATACTAATGTTTCTGAAAGCGCAGTGCATAACCCTTCATAGGATCCCCATAAGTGTTTATAGGATCTATTGTGCCAAACTGCCCAGGATAGTTCATGAGTTGGTTGAAATATAATTTTTAAAAAATTTTTATCATTGTCATCAATTTTTTTTTTAACTACCACTCCTGCCAAAGCATAGGGAATGCAATTATGAAAAAGGCCTTAAAAAGCTCCTGACTTAGTCAAGGAGACAAATCTGATAGATTATGTGGCCCATGGCAAAAAATAATAATAATAATAATAATAATAATAATAATAATAATAATATGCATTGAGCATTAAATGAATGGCCTGAAAAACAAATGCCTCAAATATCACAGATGGCAGCTATTCCTGTGGGTGGAGCTATTGTAGACATTTCCTGGGAGGACATAGCAATGCTTTTTTTCAGTTAGACTCCAAAACTCAGTGGCTTAAGAAAGATAATTTATTATTTTTTGTGATCCTGTAGATTGGCTGTGACGCCCTTCTGCTGATCTTCTCCGGGCTCACTTCTGAAGTTGCACTCAACTGGAGGGTCTGCTGGTCTAGAAGTTGCCGATGGCTACTGACTAGGGGGCCTTGATTCTCTTCTAGGTGACCTTATATCCTCCATTAAGTCACCCTGATGTCCTTACATGGAGATCTCAGTATAGCATTACAAGAGGGTGAAAGTGGAAGCTTCAAGGTCTCCTGAGGCTCGGGCTGCAAAACTCACATGATACCATTTCCACTTCAGAAGCCTAGTCCAGATTTAAGGATGAGAAGTGAAGTGGAGTGCCAAGGTTACATTGCAAAGTAATATGCATATTCTAATAAGAATTGGTGACTATTAAAAAATTTACCAGAGCTTAGTTTTGTTATTATTTGTATGTAAATGTTCCTTGTCACTACACTGCCACTCCATTGGGGGCAGATAAAGTGACCCCTGAATTGTTTGCAGTAATTAATACAGAATCTAGAACAGAGTAGCATCTCAATAATGGTCTGTAAATATGTAAATGAAGGAACAAATTATGAGCAAATATAGTATTATAAGTAGCATACTAATAGAGTAATAATGAAAATTATATTGCTCGCTTCCACTTCTGGCATGAGAAAGTAACAGAGACTAGAATGATCCTTTTTACTTAATGAAATAACTTGGAAAATATGTAAAACAGCAGTTTTCAGACAACAGGCAGTATAGGACAGTGAGCCCTGAAACATGGGAAACAAACTAAGTGAGGCCTATGAGTGCTTCAGATTACTGCCCATAAAGAGTGTACAGGGTGTAATCCAGGAAGAGAGAGCTAAATGGAACCTGGTGACTGGTAATTTCATTTGAGTTGAGAAGACAGGGTTCAAAGTTCAAAGAGTCCTTGGTAGCTAGAGTTCACAGAGAAGAGTACTAAAGAAAGAAGAGTGCCCAGGGAGAGAGAGTCCTGGAGATATGCAAGTTCCCTTTGAGCATTTAGCTAAGGACTGATCAGTAAAAACATATGAAAAAAGTATCAAGGCCAGGGAAAGAACAAGTAGAAAAAGCAGGCAGAACAATCTCCAGGGCTCATGCAGTCTCAAAATAGTCAGTAGTCCCACTAGCCATGGTGGAAAGGCCTCATAACATATGAGGTATTAGATAGAGTTCTCAGAAGAGTATTGACTCAGAATTGGGCCCAAGTTAGCCATAGACTGACATCTGTCATGTAACAAAGTTCAAAGCAAGCCATAAAGGGATCAAACTATTTTCAAGTAACTTATGTGTATACCAGTCCAAATGTCAAAAATATTTGAAGGAATATTTTAAAAATGAAATCCAGGATCCAATAATGTAAAATTCACACGTCTAGCGTCCCATGAAAACATTACCAGGCATGCAGAGAAATGGGAAAATAAAATCCATAATAAGGAATAAAATCAATTAATAGAAACAGATCAAGAAAGGGCACAGATAATAAAATCACTATATACAAATATGAAATAGATATTATATCTAGACTTTATATGTTTAAAATGGCAGGAGAAAGCAGGAATATAATAGGGATACTTACTGAAGATATTTATAAAGATTTCAGAAGATGGTTATGAAAAGATAGTTATTGAAAATATTATAAAGACCCAAATTGAAGTTCTAAGATGAAAAATATAATGCCTGATATTAAAAAAAATAATGAAATTGAAAACAGATTAAACACTGCAGAAGAAAATGAGCAAATAACTAGTTATTAGTTAGTGGTAGGACAACATGGAGTGACCTAAGAGATATATAATTAGAGTTCTAGAGAAGGATAAATAAATAAAGAACAAAATATTTTAAGAAATGATCACTAAAACATTTCCAAATTTGATTAAAATTATAAATACACAGACCCAAAGAGTTCAGAAAATGTCAAGCAGAAAAGAAATGAAAATTACAGCAACACATATCATATCAAATGGTTTAAAATGTATAACAAACTAAAAATCTTTAAAAAAAGCCATCAAAAAAAGACATATTACATACAGAGTAAAAAAGATAAAAATTGCAGATTTCTTGTCAGAAGCCATGCAAACCAGAAGACAGTGAGGTGACATCTTTTAAAAACCTAGTGGTAGGGTAGGAAGGGAAGGCAAGAGAACAATCAACTTAATATTCTATACCCAGAAAAGATATCTTTCAAAAACAAACATGAAATAAAGACCTTCTTAGTCACACAAAATCTAAAAGAATTCATTGCTTGAAAATTACACTACAAGAAATGTGGGGAAAAAAGCCATTCAGGAAGAAATAAAAGGATAGCGACTAGAAACTTGAATGTAGAAAGGAACAAAGAGCACAAGAAATACAAGATGTGGGTTTAAACATAAAAGACTTATCTCTTTTTTAAAATTGGCTATTTAAGTATCACTTTTAAATGTATCATTGGACCTATAACATATGCAGAAGTACACTGTATGACAATAGTAATAATAAGGTGAGGAAGGGAAAAATGGGCATACCCTTGTAAAGTTCTTGTAGTTTATATGAAATGTATACTATATCTTAAAGGCAGCCTGTACTAGGTTAAAGATATACATGACAAACCATAAAGCAGCCATTAAAAATACAAAACAAAAAGGTATAACTAATAAGACAACAAAAGATAGAATCTAAAAAATATGCAACTAATCTAAAATAAGGCAGAAAAGGTATGAAAGAGTGGAAAAGCAAACAGATAAGACAAGTAAAAACAAATATCAATTATGTTAATAATTATTAAATGTAAATAACAAACATATCAAGGAAAAGGCAGAGATTGTCAGATTGGAAGTCAAACAAACACAAAACAAAGAAAACAAAGACAACTTACTAGAAGAAATAAATTAAAATATAAAGACACAGATAGATTAAAATAAGAGGATTTAAATATATATATATAATTGCACAAATTAAAGAAAATAGAAGTGGCTATTTCAATATCAGACAAGGTAGATTTTTAAGTAAGAAATATGATAAAAGATAAAAGGGGTCATTTCATAAGGAAAAAGTACTAAAATTATCAGGGGGACATAGAAATCCTAAATATTTAGGCAGCTAGTAATAAAGATTCTAAATATGTGAAGCAAAAACTCAGAGTAGTAAAAGGAGAAATAGATAAATCTACATATATTTCATATATTTCAACATCTCTTTCAATAAGTGATAGAATGAATAGACAAAAAGTTACTAGAATATGGAAATGGACAACTTTTCAAACAACTTTACCTAATTAACATTTATAGAACACTTTACCCAACAACAGCAAAATGCAATTTCTTTCCAAGTGCACCAAGAACATTTACCAAGATAAATCTGTTCTAATCCATAAGAAAAGTCACCATAAATTTAAAAAGATTCAAGTTATATAAAATATGTCATTTGGCCACAATGGAATTAAATTAGAAATCAGTAACATAAAAATCTTTACAAAATTTTCTGATATTTGGAAATGTAATAAGACATTTCTAAATAACTAATGCATCAAAAGGACAAATCAATGAAAAATTAGAAAGTATTTTGAATGGAATAAAAAGGAAAACAGGATATACCAAAATGTGTGGGATACTACTAAAGTGGTACTTTCAAAGGGAGATGTATAATTTTAAATACTTTTGTTAGAAAAGAAGTCTCAAATCAGTTACTCTAACTTTCACTTTAAGGAACAAGAAAAAATAATAAATACAGAATAGAAGAAGAAAGAAAATAAAAATAAGAACATAAACCAATGAAACAGAAAACAGAAAAATAATGTAGAAAATCAATTAAACTGAAAGCTAGAACTTTGAGAATATCCACAAATTTTATAAAGATCTAGGGGGGAAAGTGAGAAAATGTAAACTACCAACATCAAGAATCAGAGAGGGGATATCACTACAGATCCTACAGATATTAAAAGGCTAATAAGAGAATGTTTGCTGGCATATTCTGACAAATAAGATAATATCTATGATATAGATTATCTCTACTATATACAATGCACTCACAATCAAAATTCCAACAGGCTATTTTGTGCAAATTGACAAGTGGATTCTAAAATTGTTATGGAAATTCAAAGGCACTAGCATAACCAAAAAGCTTTGAAACAAAAAGAATAAAGACAGAACATTACACTATCTTATTTCAAGGCTTACTATAGATCTACAGTAATCAAAACAGTGTGGCATTGGCATCAAGATAAACAAACAGATCAAATAGAGAGTCAAGAATATATAGAAATGTCAGTCATTACCCAATATATAAAAATTAACCCCAAATTGTCAAAGACTTATAGGTAAAACTTCAAGCTATAAAAATCCTAAAAGAAAACAAGTGAGACTACCTCAGTGATCTTGGATTTGGTAAACAGTTTTTAAATAGGGCACGAAAGACACCATTTATAATCATAGGTATCTATTCTTTTTAATTTATGATATCTATAATGTTGGACTTAATAAAAATTAAAAACTATTGTTCTTCAAAAGACACTGTTAATGGCTAGGTACGATGATTCATGCCTGTAATCCAACAATTTTAGAGGCCAAGGTAGGAGGATCACTTGAAGCCAGGAGTTTGAAACCAGCCTTGGCAACAAAGCTAGACCCTGTATCTACAAAAAATAATAATAATTTTTTAAAAGGACACTATTAATGAAATATAAAGCAAGCCATAGGCTAAAGATAAGATTTGCAGATCTATGTCCAATAAAGGGCTGGTGTCTAGATGTAAAGAACTCTTACAACTTAAAAACAGAAAAAAAAATTTTTTTAAATGGGGAAAAGATTTGAACAGATATGTCACCAAAGAAGGTATATGGATGGCAAATAAACACATGGAAATGCAAATTAACATCACAAAATCACACTACACATTCACTAAAATAGCTAAAATGTTTAAAATTCACCATAGCAAATATTAGCAAGAATGCAGAGCAACTGAAACTTTCATACACTACTGGTGGTAATTTAGGGCATGTAAAATTTTATGACCACTTTGGAGACTATTTTAGCAGTTTCTTAAATAACTACACATTCACTTATAATACTCAACCATTCCATTCTTCAATATCTATCCAAGAGAAATAAAAAATATATCCACACAAAACTTATATGTAAATGTTCATAGCAGATTTATAATAGCCAAAAACTGGAAATAACTGAAATGTTCACCAATAGGTGAATGGATAAATATATTGTGGTATATCCATAGAATGAAATACTACTCAGCAATAAAAGGGAACAAACTCATGATACACATAGCAACATAGATAATTCCCAAAATTATGCTGAGTTGAATAAATATAGTCACAACAGAGTGTAGATTCCATTTATATCAAATTCTAGAAAGTGCCATCTACTCTATATTGATGGAAAGAAGATCAGTGGTTACCTCAATTTGGGGACCCTGGAGAGAGAGAGATGAATAACAAAGAGGCATTAGGAAACTCTGAGAGTGATGGATATGTTTATTATCTTAATTATGATGATGGCTTCATTATAATATACATATGTCAAAACACATCAAAGTATACACTTACATATATGAAGTTCATTTTATGATAACTATATTTGAATATAGATTCAAAAATTAATAATGATATTAATACCTAATAATTATATAGGGCTTATAAGCAGTTCTCAAACTTTTTCATTTCAGGGCTCTTATATACCCTTATGGGTTACTGAGTACATCAAAATATTTGTTTATATAAATTTTATTTATCAATATTTACCATATTAGAAATAAAAATAGAATTTTTGAAATTTGAATTTGCTAACTCATTTTAAAATAGCTATAATAAACCCATGTCTACAAAAGATGACAACAGTATCTATCCCATTGAGTTGTGATAAGGATTAAAATTCAGCAAAGTGCCTAGGACATGGGAAGGCTCAATAGCTTGTACTTATCAATACGTAATCCTATACTCTAAATAATTAATAAATGTGCTATATTTTACTAACCTGTGTAAGATGCAGTGTAGAACTAAAATCCTACCATACACATAGACTTACAAATAGCCTTAACATAGATGGAGCATCATAAATAAATAAAATTTATCACCTCTGAGAACACAACCTTATTTTTTAAAGGCATTATGAATCCACTGAAAATTAACAAATTATTCCACAATGGCATAGAAAAAATAGCTAACAAGGTAGGAAACAAAGTCAACACAAAAACCACCTCAAATCACACACTAACATAAGTTCTGAATGTTTCTAAGTGAAAATAGAAAAGTTCTATGAAAAAAGGAATTCTGAAGTTTTAAAGCAGTAGGAAAACATACCAAAGAAATTAATCTAAATTTTACAAGAAAAAAAGCAAGTTTCTGTAGGTAAAAACTCATAACATAAGCAAGTAACCAAGTGGGAAGTATTTCTACAAATCTATAGCATATATGTCTTCAGTATGAAATAAACTTATGCAAGTTTTTGTCATATTCAATGTTTTTGTTTAGGGCTTTGTTCAGTAAAGTGAAATCTACAAAATTATTAAAGAATGATTATACTATAATAGCATCAGAATATTTAAAAATATTTTGGTTACCAGATAAGGTACTATAAAATTAATATTTTAAAAAGAGAGCCCACTTTTATTTTTAAAATAAGCTGTGGCAGTTTCTTTTTCTTTTCTTCCTTTTCTTGGGCATTGGAAAGCTTAATAATCTTTTCAAGATTTTGGGTTTTTTTAATGTTATTATATATATTTAAGGTGTATGTCATGTTTTCATACACATACATAGTGAAATGATTACTACAGTCAATCTAATTAGAATATCCATCATCTCGCATAGTTACCTGTATATGTGTGTATGGTAAGAGGACCTACAACCTACTTTCTTAGCAAATTTCCAGTATACAACCCAGTAGTAACTATAGTCTTCATGCTGTACATTTGCTCTCTAGACTTATTGATCCTAATCAAAACTCTGCACTCAATTTCTTCCCATTTGCCCATCATAATCTCAGCCCCAGATCCCAGCAACCACTATTCTACTTTTTGCTTTTTTGTACTTGACGTTTTTAGATTCCACATATAAGTAAGATCATGCAGTATTTTTCTTTCTGGCTTATTTCACTTAACCTAATGTCCTCCACATTCAGGCATGTTATAAATAACAAAATCGTCTTCTTTTTTAAGGCTACATGAAATTCCACTGTGTGTGTGTGTGTGTGTGTGTGTGTGTGTGTGTAACATTTTCTTTATCCACTCATCCATTGATGGGCACTTACATTGATTTCATAGCTTGGTTATTGTTAATTATGCTTCAATGACTATAAGAGTGGAGATATTTCTTTTTTTCTTTTTTTTTTTTTTGATGGAGTCTCCCTCTGTCACCAGGTTGGACTGCAGTGGTGCGATCTCAGCCACTGCAACCTCCGCCTCCCAGGTTGAAGCGATTCTCCTGTCTCAGCCTCCCGAGTGGCTGGGATTACAGGCATGTGCCTCCCCGCCCAGCTAATTTTTGTATTTTTAGTAGAGGCAGGGTTTCACCATGTCGGCCAGGATGGTCTCCATCTCTTGACCTCGTGATCCACCTGCCTTGGCCTTCCAAAGTGCTGGGATTACAGGCGTGAGCCACTGCGCCCAGCCGGGAGTGGAGATAGTTCCATGAAGTGCTGATTTCATTTCCTTTAAAAATATATAGAGAGGAGGGATTGCTGAGTCATGTGGTGATTCTATTTTTAATATTTAGAGGAAACTTCATGCTGCTTTCCATAATAACCGCACCTGCAAATATTTTTTAAACTAAGGAATTTATTTGATAAATGGATCAAAACATTGAATATATAATTCACAAATAAGGGGGAAAATGCTTAGCCTCACTAACAAGCACAAATGTGTATGTGTGTAGAAATTTCAAGGAAAGAAATACAATTTTCCTTGTCCAAACAGTAATTGTTTTATGTCATTAACATTTTCTGGTTTGATAAAAATAACGTGAAGGCACAATAAGGACTCTCCATTAGTGTCAGAAACTCAATTCAAACCAATTTAAATAAGGAAAGAAAGAGAGTGGGAAGAGAGGAAGGAAGGGAGACAGGTAAAGAGGCAGGAAAGAAGACAAGAAGAATAGAGGAAAAGAAATTAATTTGTTGGCTTATCTAAGTGAAAAACATACGGGTAGAACTAGCTGGTTTTAACTCTCAGGTGAATCCCAGCAGTCCCACCACATAACCATTGTTCAACCTTTCCCTCTCCATTCATCTCTGCTTTTTTAAAGGGGAGATGAAGAGTGGAGAGGGAAGCACTGAACCCTTTTCACACACAAAGGTGACTATGCGAGATGGGGGATATTCTAATTAGCTTGATTACAGTGATCATTTCACTATGTATATATGTGTGGAAACATGACATACACTTAAATATATATAATAACAGTTTTTTAAAAAATCATAAATAGATTGAACTTTCTAGTGGTCCTCTTCACAGCTCAGAATTTTGAAGAAAATAGGAGAAACTTCCCTTTAAAAAAATCTCCAATGGCCCAGACTGGGTAACACGCTGACCCCAGATGAATTGCTGAGTTGTTGCTGTTGTTTCTCTTTTGGGACTCCAGAGAGTAAGTTCTCTAATAGGTTGCTCTAAGGGATGGAGATGATAGCATGCAGTGGCAACTCCATGTGAGTCACAAAGCAGGAGGGAGAACAGGTTCTTAATAGGAAGATATACCAGAAAAACAACCCAGAACAGATTTTCCCTTATAGTAGAAGGATGAATTGATACAAATTTTTGAAAAGCACTTTGAAAATGTGTATCGAGAACTTTAAAACGTGCCTATTCTTTAACCTAGCACAAGGCTACAATCTCCTCAAAGACAAGAATCATATCTATTCATGGTTCTGAATTATCAGCCCCAAGGACATTACCATAAAAGAAAGTACCAAATGATAAACAAACAAGCAAATTATTTCTCTTCTTGGACTCTATCTTAAGGAAATCAGTCAAAACTGCTACAAGGATTTAAACACAAAAATGTTGCTAGGACCCAAAATGACATATAATAGGAGACTTATTCGGCAAGCTGTAGAGTAATAACATTAATAGTCATTAAAAATAATGTCCACAAATAATTTGACTAACATGGGAAATGCTTACTACATATGTTAAGTAAAACATGTAGGCAAAAATAAATACTATGGATATTAATATAAACATACAATATGTTCACATACTGTAAAAAAACAAAAACATTTGTACTAGTCATTTTTGCATGTTATAGGTAATTCTTTTATATTTCTGTTTCTTCTGTATTTCTAATTTTCTAACGCAAATATATGCTATTTTTTAAACCAAAGCAAAAAAAATCTCATTAAAAAATAGTTGACAAAACAGCTGCTCTTCATACAGTATGATTTGAGGGTCACCATATGGAGGCATGGGTGCCCAGGTACACTAAAAGGTGAGCAGGTAGGGTGCCATCTTCAGAACAGCCTCCAGGGAAAAAGGGATCCAGGCCTATGGATCAAAGAGAAGAGAATGTTACTCAAGGCTACATGAGTGGGTTCTGGGGCAGGGAGTCAGAATTTTAGAGGAACTGAAGCTACTAGGAAACAAACAATAGAACAGATCAAATCTAAAAGTGAAGGAATAAGAACAAAAAAGTCAAGCCTGGTAGGTTCTATAATGGGGAAGTGATGACTTCTTAAAGTGGCCATACCAGGTTAAGGTGGGAGTGGCCCCAAAGGTAAACTTCACTGAAGATTCCATATTTCTGTAGCTTAAAATGATATACATGAGGCGTGTTGGGTGGTGTTTGTCTGGAGGAAGAAAGAGATTTATTCCCTTGGGACATGAAAGAAAAAAGACAAAGACATGTTTGCTGGCTCTTTATGTTTCTACCCTGCCCCGCCTTACACTGATTGGGGGCAGGGGCAGGGAGAATGAGAAATGTATTGAAAGATTAGATAAAGAGGGTAAAGCAATCTTTACCTGAGAGGCCATGTGAGACTTGGAGCACAGGTGACCAAAGAGTTTCCAAGACCTGAGTGATAGATTTCAGTCCAGAAGCCATGAAAGGGACACTCTCCCCACTCCCTCTATACCTCCACAGAAATCCCAGTATGGTTTTGGCTGAGAGAACACACGTGCTTTTGTACAACCCAGGTCTCTAACCAGAACCTCCTAATTCCCCTCTTCAACTAGTTAATTCCTACCCAAACTTCAGACAGCTCTGTCATCATATTCCAGACCTTCCTGACCAGGTTAAATCCATGGTGAAGTGTTGTGTGCTGTGTATTTTGCTTTCATAGAATTTGCTTACTTGCAATTGACATTTCTTTGGGATGCCTGGATAATTGTCTGACTCCTCTACAGATCACAAGTTGTATTATAGTCCTGGTGCCTAGCACAGTGCCTGGAGTACAAAACCTAGAAGCAAAAAAAATATTTAACGAACAGGTGATGGTAAAGAACTACTATGCTTGACCCACAGTGTAGGGAAGTAGTTCCTTCTTGCAAGATCCCAGGAAAAGACAAGGGGCAGATTGTCATCTGCAAGTTGCTGGCAGGCAGCATCTGATGCCACACTCCAAGGGAGGGAAGAGGTTTGAACATCTGAGGCATGCTAGACTCCACAGAATAATTATCAAGTCACAGGAAAGTGCATTCATATAGAAACTCACCCCGTCTGCATTCACAACACTCATGATCGAAGATCTCAGTTGTCAAAGCCTCCTGCTCCTGTTCCTGTAATACAAATGAATCTTGCCCATAGCGTGAAGTGGGAAATTCAGACTTACCATTGAGTGGATTCTGCTGTCTTCTTATCATTTTCACTTCTTGTCCCTTTTTCACCCAGTATCATCTATATTTTTTCTGTCCTTACACAAAATCTCCAGTTTTTTCTACTAATTTCAGTTTTAACCTATTTCTGAATAGTAGAAACTCATATGCTTAACTAAATGAATTCAATTCTTACAGGAGGTTCTCCAAACTTTCAGCTTCCAGTTATAGAAGGGAGTGACATAGAGATCATCTTTAGAAGGGCAAGATATGGGTTTTCATTTAGGGCACAGGAGAGCATGGGCATTCCTGAAGTCAGAAAGATGTGGATTTAGCCCAAGAATGGCTAAGCAGCCATTTTTGTAGTCATTTTTTCAAGGAGGATAGTTTCAAGACTTTCATTCCAGATTTGTCAAGATAGTAATTGACACCTAGGGCACCTCTTTCTGTCCAAACAAGGAATGGGATTTCTAAGGCACCTCATTCTGTCCAACTGAGGAATGGGATTTCTCGGGATTTTTGCAAGGTGATAGGAGTCTCAAATAACTAATACCAGAAATTTCATAAGATAGCCAGATCCAAGACAGCTTACCAATTGGATTTGCATCTGCTTATCCCACTGGAGCCAAGCTCCTCACATGTACACATTTGTGTGGGCTTCTAGAAGGCCTATTTCTGAAATCTTACCTTGGTTTTTGGCTCTTGGAATAAATCTCACAGAACTGACTCACAAAAGGGGAATAAGAAGAAGAAGAAGGAGAAAGAGAAAGAAAAGAGGAATAAAAGAGAAGGAAGGGAGGAAGAAAATCGCTAAGTAGCCTAAATTATTTTTTGCCTTGGTTAATCTCTAAGTTAATCACTAAGGACTGAAATGATTGTAATGATGATTATGATGATAATGATGATGAAGAAGAGAGGAGGAGGGGGAGGAGGCAGATCTAGTTCTAAGTTGCTTACCAGGAACTACAGACAAAGCCTTGGTCAAACACTGCGTAAGTGGAATTACTGTCATGACAAATCTAGAATGAATGTCTTGAAACTGTCCTGCTTGAATAAATGGCTACAAAAATTGCTGCTCCGTCATTCTGGGGCTAAATCTATAGCTTTCTGACTTCAGGAATGCTCATGCTATCCTGTGGCCTAAAGAAAAACCTATATCTTGCCCTGTCTAAAGATGGGACTTTTTTTTTTCTTCTTTTTTCTGAGACGTAGTCTTACTCAGTCACCCAGGCTGGAGTGCAGTGGCATGATCTTGGCTCAATGCAGCCTCCGCCTCCCGGGTTTAAGCAATTCTCCTGCCTCAGCCTCTGGAGTAGCTAGGATTACATGCACCACCACACCCGCACACCTGGCTAATTTTTTTTTTTTTTTTTTTTTTTGTATTTTTAGTGGAGACGCGGTTTCACTATGTTGGCCAGACTGGTCTCAAACTCCTGACCTCGTGATCCGCCCACCTTGGCCTCCCAAAGTGCTGGGATTCCAGGCGTGAGCCACCACATTTGGCCTAAAGATGACTTTTATACCACTTCCTTCTATAACTGGAAGCTCAAATTTTGGAGACCCTCCTGTAAGATTCAATGCATTGTGTCAAGCGTATGAATTTCTACCACCCAGAAACAGGTTAAAACTGGTATCAAACATGTTGATAACTGTGGGGCTTATTTCTGTTGTAAGTTAAGCTTCAACCTAGAACTAATGTACCTGTTGTTTGAATACATTTTAGTCCTTCCACAAAAAACAAACGATTCAACTTTGTTCAGCATTTTAACTAACTGAACTAGTATTTTCCTCTTGCATGATCTCTTGTGTTTAAAATCCCCATGGACAAATGACAGGCATCGAACAAAATACAGGAAAAGCCCACAGAGGCAATGGAATCCATGTGATAACTCAAGTCAGTCCGGCTCCAAACTCACTCCCTTGGAAGGAAATAGCTTTTCAGAATACAGAAATTGGCTATTTACCCTTCAAATTTATTTTGCTTTATTGACTTGAACATGGAAGCCGAAAATATGCAACCACCAAAAGTTTTAACTCTATAGATCTATGTTGTGCCAATGTTAGGTACTCTATCTAATGTGCCAGTATCAATGAAGAAAAATGGCAGAAAGAAAAAAAATGAAAACACATTTAAAAAAGAAAATATCTCTTTGCAAGCAATCTCTTTACTTAGCAGAAGCCACAACTTTATGACTTTTTCAGCAGAGACAGAAGTGTATTTTTCAATTCTCTCATTCCTTTGGGGCAATAAAGCCACACTATAAAGCAGTGGGTTGTCAATCAGTCATAAAAAGCTTAACAGATGATGACATAAATGACAAGAATATGATCTATAACTATGTCTTTAAACCATAGACTAATTCTTAATTGTCCAAACTCCTTATAACAACAACAAAAAAAGTCTTCTGAAAAACAAGGAAGAGTTAACATTAGAAAGGAGAAGGAATACTTTGTGTTGGTTTCCAACCTCCAATCTCCTCCAAGCTGAATATTGCATACAAATCTGTATTTGTGAGGCACCCTCATCCACCAGTTAATCAGAGCCCTGGAAATTCAAGGAAACCTGTGTTTATGGAAATCTGGCATTTCTGTAAAGTTTTGAATGAGGGCTAAATAGAGCAGTTCATCTCATTTTGAAACTAATGATTCCTGCCAAGTGGTTTTCCAATGCTGGGTCTTCTGGCTCAGTCAGCATTTAGGAATTCATTTATGAGTTGGGTTAGTAGGAGACTCTGGAATTCAAATTTATGTCTGCAACTCACTAGTTTGCTCCTGATAGGTCTCTGAAAAGAGATTGTAATCAATTTAACAAACCCAGACTTCAGGAAATTTTCATATCCCAAAAAAAATTTCTGGTTTGGAGCTTTGTCCCATATTGGAATCAGCCCTCCTCCCCCTTCACTCCACGCTAAGCACTGAGTCTTGCTGTCTATGGCCCTTTCACTCAGCTCATCCCATCATTCAAAGCAGCCTTGCCAGGTGCACTAGAATCTACCTCCCTTAATAGACCTGCTAGCAGATTATAAAATGGCAGAATATATGTGTGGTTTGTCACCTCAGACGGTTTCTATATTATCTGTCTGTTTCTTGATAGAAGTGGCAAAGGTTCTGATAATTATTTATCCAATTTGTTTTAAAGATTTATCTGCCCCGTAATGTTCCAGGAAATTGGAATATGGGGTGTGTGTGTGTGTGTGTGTGCGTGTACACGTGTGTGTGTGTACATTTTCCCCCAGTCTTATAAACCCACACTTTACTTTTTAGCAAGGCAAAGGGCAAGCATTGAGCAGCCTTTCAATGTAACCATAAATTTACTACTTTTTAAAAAATTTCCTTTGAAGAAGTCATCAAATAAATTAGCAAAGCTGGAAAGGTGCCTCTAGTTTGTGTTGGCTTTGGGTCTTAGGGAGTTACTTAATAAACAAAAGTCAGTGAATTCAAACAGTAACAAAGTAATTTCAATGATTAATCAAGTGTTAAAACTAGTTTAACCTCTCCTGTTTTACAAACTCTATATCACCCTGACTAAACTAATAGAGGAATAAGACACCCATCTGGAAATCTCATCTGAAATATTAGATTGGGAATCTAAAATTCAGCCAAATAGTGTGGCTTGTAGGGATATCCTGTTGGATAATAAATTGCATTAATCTTACTTAAATTTTCCATCTAAATCATGTCCTGAGGCCATATTACTCTGAGGAAACTGTGCCTTACTTTAAATGCATTGTGCTACTGAAAACGATATTAAAAGAAGGGGGGAAAGAATTTTTCTCCTTTTTTTGTTCTCCTGCCTGGTTTTTCCAACATTAAAAAAATCCATGTGAAACCTTCTGGCTCTTCTAGAAGAACCAATGTCTACTCAAATCAGCACTAGCTCTTTCCAGTCACTTACAGGAAGCAGTATCAGTCACAGAACATTTTCAGGAACTTTGCTCTAATTTATCTGTTTCTTCCCATCTGTGAACTCTGAGTCATGGTGGCTTATGGCAAACGTTTTTTCTTTTTAGTAGTGGCAGGCGGAGCATCTTTTTCTTAGCCACTTTTTGACTTTCACATGTACAGAACTGCAACCACTGTCTTTCCTGAAGATTCTACTGTGGCCTTTTTATTCCTTCCATTTTTTAAATAAAAAACATTAAAATCTGCTTAAATGTTTAAACTATTTAAAAATTTCCAAGGTGGGGAGAAATATCATAGAGGCTTTTGTAGAGCTTCAAGAAAGGACTCGGCTGGCTCTGAAGCCACACCCAGCTCGATGCCATTGTCTGCTACCTACTGTAAGCTTAATTATTAAGTGCACTAAAAGGTGATAGCATAATGTTGACTCAAACCCACAAACCCTCAGAAATGCTGAGTTTTCTCTGCTTATCCGGAGCATCTGCTTTCTTAGGCTTTACAAAGAAAGGGGAATCTTGGGACAGAGCCCCGCTATTTCTTAACACTCTTGAAAACGGCTGAACAGAGAAAATGACAGCCATCACAGAAGTGATGCTGCTCATCAGGACCCGAGTATTGTGTGGCCTTTCACAGCCACCTCTGCATTACTCCTCCCAGCATCCTCTAGGGCAGGCATCGCTTTCACCACAGGCAGGTGAGAAAGGAGTAATAAGTGAAACGCCCACCTGTGGTGGCGGGATTACCCGGAAAGGAAGGAGCCAGGACCAGAGCTGAGGCCATCAGTCCTCTGACAATTCAAACCACTGGTGAGTGGAAGGAAGTAGACTCCCATCCAGTCCTCTGTAGAAGAGATGGCACAGAGGCCCCTCAAACCCATCCTGTCAAACCCCAGGTGAGTTGGAAGCAGTGCCATTCGCTCAGCCATCAAAGCCGAGGGTTTTATGGTTAACCTAGCCTCCTTCCTCTCTCATCTAAACAAAAAATGCTTTCAGGACCCACCCCTCCTCTGCCTCAGGCAAATCCTCAGCACCTCGAACTTGAACAGTTACTCAACCGATAACAGCCACAGCTCTCACTCTACCTTTTCTCACACTATTACCAGATGGATTCTTCCAAAATTCCATCATGCTGATCCCCTTCTTGGACTTTTCACAGGCTCCCATTCCACACAGGATAAGCTCCCATGGTGAAAACACAGCCCCTGACTGTCTTCTCAGTCACATTTCCTGCCGTTCACTCACCTCAACTCAAACCCGATGAACCACCAGTTCAGACACACTAACAGTTTCAGCAAACATCATGTTGTTTCTGTTAAAGCAAACTAAATGTGGCCAGAGAAGGACTCTGTATTTCTATATTTGAGTCCTTGGGGACAAACTGCAACCAACTTAATAGGTAGACAAGATTGAGAACGTAACTTGGGAGTGTGTGCCTGTAACAGTGGTTGGGTCTTGGCCAATCCCAGCAGCCATGTCAACCACTCAAACACTGTAGAGTGTTCAAACTGTGTTCAAATAAGCCAAACGCTGAGCTGTAACCAATCCAGTTGTTTCTGTACCTCACTTCTGATTTCTGCATGTCACTTCCCTTTTTCTGTCTATAAATCTTCTTCCACCACGTGGCTGTGCTGGAGTCTCTCTGAATCTGCTGTGATTCTGGGGGTTGCCAGATTTGCGAATTGTTCATTGCTCAATTAAACTGCTTTAAATTTAATGCTGCTGAAGTTTTTATTTTAAGACCTCCTTTATGTCTCACCTGAACTCCCTATAGTCCCCTAGACCTGTCGCGCTCCTCAAGGCCATGTTGGGCCCTGAGCTCTGTGCTTCCATATTGCCCTGTGCGTGCCTCTAGCCCAGTGCTTATCACAGTGCATTGAAATGATCCATTCACAGTTGTCTCTGACTAGACCGAGGCCCTTCCCAGAAGGACCACTTCTTACTCACCCTCGTTAGCCAACATGTAACCCAGTGCCTTGCCTATGGCAGATGCTCAATCAATGTCTGCTGCACTGAGCATGGATTCTGCTTCGTTTTTACCATCTTACTTAAAACTGTTTGATGATTCAGAGAGCTTGTAATACTTTTTTCCCTGAGGGAATTTTAGCTGGGCTGCTTATCTCATGGTTTCATTTCCCTTCCATTTCCCACAACTCATTCCTCCTTCCTCCTTAACTTCCTCTATGACCCTCCCCAGGCCAAGGAGAACACTCTGTGTACTCTTTTCTGTTGACCATAACTTCTAGTCCTTTCATTCACTAGCTCAGGACTATCTCCCTCAAGGATTTCCATGCTAACCCTAATCCCACATGGCCCAATCATTCGGGCCATCCTTGAGCCCAACACTATTTGGTTACAAGCTTGTTTCTGGGTTCCTCCTATTTGTGGAGTTGAGCGTCTCTGGTAGCTTGTTTGGTTATCTTAGATTGTGTGCTCTGTGAGGGCAGCTCAAATCTCTCAAGAAGCACATCCCCGAGGCATAGGCTGACCTTGCAAGAGACTAGGGCCAACTCCAGAAAACATTCCGCTGGTTTTAGTCACTGAAAACTCCCAGGCCCACTGTGGTAGAGCTGTGCTCAAAGTGAATGGTTTAAAGTAGAGGTATGACAGACCACCAACATAGAAAAAGCCATCTGCTCAGCTATCACACCGCCCTGCCAGTAGAGGATTACTCAGAGCCTACTGTCTATTCCTCTGTTTCAACGAGCTACCCTCATAACATTCTTTGAGGTTACATGCCCCCACTGAAATGAATAATGGCATAGTTTATGGTAAATGGTGAACTGAAAAAAGAGCGGTGTCATTATTGCTGTAAGTACCCACAAAAGATGTTTATTATTGCACACAGACACAGCCACAAACACACAACTCATTGCTAATAAACTCATTTATTTCCACATAAAGTTGCACAATGTTGTGCAACCCAGCAAAAGGCTGAGAAATGTCAGCAATTCAGACCAAGACTATTTGTCAACAAAACCAGTCCATTTCACCAGCTTCAGCAAACCATTTCTTGCGAGAAGCTTTTTTTTTTTCATAGAAGAAAATCATCACACATAACCTTAAATAGAAAGGACAAATGCTCACAATCCCACAGACAAAGCAAACAACAAGTTGAGGTAATATTGAAGGGACACTTGGAGGTTGTGGGGTGGGGAAGAGGACATCACTTTGTTGCCTGAGTTGCCTAGATCAACATTTTTTCTGTTACTAAAGAAAAAAAAATCGAAGAAAAATTACAGGAAAAAAAGTCTTCTCACTTATTACCAAACAGTTATTTAAAGAAATCTTAATTTTTTTTAATGTTCTACACACATTCATTGTGGCTTTACTACGCACCAGAGACTATATTAGGTACTCAGAACATAAAAATAGATAAAGCCAAGTTCACAGACTAATAGAAGAAAGAAACAGAGGCACAGATCACCATAATAATACAAGATGACTGATTATGATAGAGATATGTCATTGGGAATTATAAGCTCAGAGAAGAGGCATTTTTAGTTTGCCTCTGGCAAACTTTTTTACTCAAGTCAGCCTGTCTGCCTAATTTTTTATTCTTACAATAGTCTTTACAGATCTTGAAAATAAATACCTAAGACAATTTAAGGGGAAAATACATATATGAGAAGCAAAATAATTATTGCTATAACTCAAAGAGAAACAAAGTTATTCAGAGGAAAGAGGCCATGAAATAAAGCCAGAGAAACTGGGGAAAGGAGAACACCCCAGGGGCTGTCATTTCACTGGTGGTAATGAGAATTCAAGAGTCAATACAGTGAGAGTCACGTCAACTAGACAAGGTCTGGAATAAGAAATAGAAGCAGCTTCTCAATTTGATTCTCTCCCCCACGCTCAAGTGAATTTTTTCTTCTCAATGTATTCATGTCCTTTACTATAATCTAGTGGTCCTGAGGACACTTATGGGCAAAGTCTTGCATTCCCTACCCTTCCAGGCTTAGTTGGGGAGACAAGGCCAGATGATACAAGAATCAAGGTGACATGGACGTGGGCATGAGGGCCTTGGGAGTTAAGAACCAGGAAGGGCCGGGGACGGTGGCTCACGCCTGTAATCCCAGCATTTTGGGCGGCCAAGGCAGGTAGATCATGAGGTCAGAAGATTGAGACCATCCTGGCTAACATGGTGAAACCCTGTCTCTACTAAAAATACAAAAAACTACCCGGGCGCAGTGGTGGGTGCCTGTAGTCCCAGCTACTCAGGAGGCTGAGGCAGGAGAATCGCCTGAATCCAGGAGGTGGAGGTTGCACAGTGAGCCAAGATTATGCCATTGCACTCCAGCCTGGGTGACAAGAGCAAGACTCCATCTCAAAAAAAAAAAAAAAACAAAAAAACAGGAAAGATCACAGCAAGTTAAGACATCTGTGAGAAGGCAGTGAATATTCCAAAGGCAGGAACAAGATGAACAAAAAGATGTGGAGATCAAAATTAACAAAGTTTAGAAGACTTTTAAAAGTTTGAATTAGGCCAGGCGTGGTGGCTCATGCCTGTAATCCCAGCACTTTGGGCGGTCAAGGCAGGTGGATCACAAGGTCAGGAGATTGAGACCATCCTGGCTAATATGGTGAAACCCTGTCTCTACTAAAAATACAAAAAATTTACCTGGGCGTGGTGGTGGGCACCTGTAGTCCCAGCTACTCGGGAGGCTGAGGCAGGAGAATTGCTTGAATCTGGGAAGTGGAAGTTGCAGTGAGCCAAAATCGTGCCACTGCACTCCAGCCTGGTGACAGAGTGAAACTCTGTTTGAAAAAAAAAAAAAAATTTTTAAGTTCTTTGTAGATTCTGGATATTAGCCCTTTGTGAGATGGGTAGATTGTAAAAATTTTCTCCCATTCTGTAGGATGCCTGTTCACTCTGATAGTAGTTTCTTTTGCTGTGCAGAAGCTCTTTAGTTTAATTAGATCACATTTGTCAATTTTGGCTTCTGTTGCCATTGCTTTTGGTGTTTTAGTCATAAAGTCCCTGCCTGTGCCTATGTCCTGAATGGTATTGCCTAGGTTTTCTTCTAGAGTTTTTATGGTTTTAGGTCTAACATGTAAGTCTTTAATCCACCTTGAATTAATTTTTGTATAAGGTGTAAGGAAGGGATCCAGTTTCAGCTTTCTACATATGGCTAGCCAGTTTTCCCAGCACCATTTATTAAATAGGGAATCCTTTCCCCATTGCTTGTTTCTGTCAGGTTTGTCAAAGATCAGATGGTTGTAGATGTGTGGTAGTATTTCTGAGGGCTCCGTTCTGTTCCATTGATCTATATCTCTGTTTTGGTACCAGTACCATGCTGTTTTGGTTACTGCAGCCTTGTAGTATAGTTTGAAGTCAGGTAGCGTGATGCCTCCAGCTTTGTTCTTTTGGCTTAGGATTGTCTTGGCAATGCACGCTCTTTTTTGGTTCCATATGAACTTTAAAGTAGTTTTTTTCCAATTCTGTGAAGAAAGTCATTGGTAGCTTGATGGGGATGGCATCGAATCTATAAATTACCTTGGGCAGTATGGCCATTTTCACAATATTGATTCTTCCTATCCATGAGCATGGAATGTTCTTCCATTTGTTTGTATCTTCTTTTATTTTGTTGAGCAGCGGTTTGTAGTTCTCTTTGAAGAGGTCCTTCACATCCCTTGTAAGTTGGATTCCTAGGTATTTTATTCTCAAAAAAAAAAAAAATTTCAATTAAGTCCACTAAAAGCAGAGCTCCTGTTAGGGGTGCATGGAAATTTGAAGCTGCTAAATCAAGTAGGGGCAGATTGAGAAGATTCCAGAAAGTCAGACAAAGAGATTTTGGCAGGAAAATCTTCTGTTTCCAATTTTGATAATAGCCAATCTGTATAACTGATCAGACAGTTTGCAGAGATGATCAAATCTGGGCATTCGTATTTTTGAAACCTACATTATAATCAGATCTGGTATTTTCCATCATAAGCCTGAGTAAAAACATTTATTCCTATGAAATATTTTCCTATAAGTTAAACAGATATCCAATACCCCAAAAGAGACTCTTCAAGGTGCAAATATGATTTTTTTGTTTCCACTTCTTTTAGATATCTAGAGAACTGAGTTTGATGACCTCGTGAGCCAGGTATTTTCAGGCTATTCAGTCATGGCTATAACTTTTCCTGGGGGGCCAGGTCATTAAAACTTCGCACTGCATTGGTATTATATTCAGGAGGGTCCAGTGTCTGAGCAGTGGGGAGAGAACTTAAAAAGCTAGACTCTCTTCTGCTCCCAGCTATGCCACTGACTGCCACATGGCATGGAGAGGTCACCATCTCTCTGAATCTGGCTGCTCATTTGCAAAACAAAGGGTTTAACTAGTGATAGTTCAGTCTCGCTCAGATCTAAAATTCCATCATAAACAATGCCATTGGAGATTGAACTAAGTTTTCCTGGCCCTAGATTACATTGCAAAAGTCACATTTTAATAAATCTTGCTATCAACATGTTTACTTGTCATGTGTCTAGTGCACATAAAATGGGAGTGCAGCCTGTACCCTCAACAAATTGGGTCTTTTAAGCTTCTCAGATGTTTAGATTCCAAATAAACAGTAGTAGGCAGTTTGAAAATGACAGCAGAAAGTCATTGCTCCAGGGGAAGAAGCTGAGCTTCCTAAACCACAGACTGGGGAGTGTGAGCTCTCTTCAAATGCCTTGGGCAAGGCAGCCCCAACCCAGGCAGTGCAGCGTGGTCTGCCATAGCTCTGTGTGTACCCGGGGGTGATCAGGGCTGGATGTAATCTAAAGGAGGTAGATAAGCTCAAGATACATGATCTGTTTCCCTGCCAAGAGCAATTTGCTTGACAAGCCTCCTGCTTATAAAATACTAAGGCATTCTTTTTGGTATTAAAAAGTTTTGGTCTTTATAAATGAACTATATCTGCAATGGGAAAGGAAAAAATTGAGCAATTTGATTTTTTAAAGAACTAGATGGATAGTGAGCACAGTTTATAAGTTTCCCAGATGAAGGAAATGAAAATCAGTTGTAGTTTTCAGATACTGGTGTGTCCACATATGGGAAATTTTTATCTTTACAGGAATCAAAATAATCTAACTTTTAAAAATACATGTTTTAATGTTTTAAAAAGCATTGATAATCCACTTTTCTTTGATCCTTACAACAAGTTTATAAGGTAAGCAGGGAAGGAATTATTCTTATTTTACAGATGAGGGAATACATCCACAAACCTTAAGATACTTCCCCAAGACTTTGCAGCTAATAAATATGTCTATATAAGTGAACTTGACCCAAGTTCAGTTTGCTGATGCCTTTCTACAATACTCTGTGCTCCTGCAACACCTCAACTTTTCATTTGCATTTTGTATTGATTTGTAAGGTAAACCACTTTGCTGTCATTTATTTTAAAGTTATTTACTGTGATGATTCTTCCTAAATTAATATATAAGCTTATAACCAAAATTAAAAAGTGATAAAATCCCAATAGAAAGCTTTTGCTAATTTATTTTTTTAAGTGATTTTAAAGTCACCTGGAAAAAGGTAGGCCACCTAATTTTTAAATGGGGGTAATAATGGGGCAAATAGCAATAGAAGCTATTAAAATAAGTCTATAACAGTTAAATAAGGATGGTACTGACACAAGGCTACACGAAAAGATGGAACAAAATCAAAGTTTCAGTAACAGTCCTTGGTATAGATGAATATTAAATATTTATAAATTGGAGCATCACAAATTAATGGAAGATAGAAGCATTTTTCTACAATTTGTCTTAGGATAATATTTTTAGATATTAATGAAAATAATTTATAGCTTTCAATTATACTTATACACTTAAAGATCAGATAGAATAAAGAGTTAAAATATTTTAAAAAATTAAAGTCAAAAACTCAAAAGAAAATATAGGTCAATATTTATCTGATCTGTCTGAATGTAGAAGAACTTACTAAGCTCAAATTCAGTGGAAGAAATTACAAAGGAAAAATATAAATAAAGTAGGTTTTTTTTTGTTTTTTTTTTTTGTTTTTTTTTTTTGAGACAGAGTCTCACTCTGTCTCCCAGGCTGGAGGGCAGTGGCGCGATCTCAGCTCGCTGCAATTTCCGCCTCCCAGGTTCACACTATTCTCCTGCCTCAGCCTCCAGAGTAGCTAGGACTACAGGTGCCCACCACCACGCCCAGCTAATTTTTTGTATTTTTAGTAGAGACGGGGTTTCACCGTGTTAGCCAGGATGGTCTCGATCTCCTGACCTCGTGATCCACCTGCCTTAGCCTCCCAAAGTGCTGGGATTACAGGCGTGAGCCACCGCTCCCGGCCAAGATGATTTTTAATATTTTAATTTCCGTATATCACAAGACATGCCAACCAATATAAACATAGTAAGATGGGAAAAATAATTGTATCACATACGGGAGACAAAGTTATATACTCTCACTATATACAGAATTCAATCAAACCAATTTTAAAACTCTAAGAATTAAGTAGAAAACTAGGCAAAGGATGTAGCAGATAATTCAGAGATGCAAATGACTAATAAGTGTACAAAATGTTTAACCTCGCTAGTACTCTAAAGGCAAATTAGTATTATACAGCACCTTTTGCCTATCAAATGAGTAGAGTCTAAAAAATTATCATCCTTGAGGGTTGAAAAGTTGACATGAAGTTACACCCTCACTGCTAAAGGGCGAGACTGGAGCACCTCACTACAAAACAATTCGACTATGTTTCTAAAGTCCTTCAACCGTTCACACCTCTGACGTCAGGAATTTCTCCTAAGGAAATAATCAAACATATAACCAAAGATTTGTAGACAAAGATTATCTCCCGCAGTATTATGTATAATAAAATGAAAATATGAAAAAGCACTTAGAGGTCTAAAATTGTAGGATGTTTAGAAAAATGATGGCTTGAAAAGAAGATGAATGTTATGTACCTAATTGAAGGAGAAACAAAGAATTTGTATTACATGAAGAAATACTTTTGACATGATGTTCACTGAAAAAAATTCAAGCAGCAAAATCCATAACAATATGAGTTTAACAATTTGTTTAAATGCCTAAAAGAATACAAAAAGGAACAAGCCAAAAATGTAGAACTGGCTGGGCGCGGTGGCTCACCCCTGTAATCCCAGCACTTTGGGAGGCCGAGGCAGACGGATCACGAGGTCAGGAGCTGGAGACCATCCTGGCTAACAGGGTGAAACCCTGTCTCTACTAAGAATACAAAAACTTGGCCGGGCGTGGTGGCGGGCCCCTGCAGTCCCAACTACTCGGGAGGCTGAGGCAGGAGAATGGCGTGAACCCGGGGTGCGCAGCTTGCAGTGAGCCGAGATTGCGCCACTGCACTACAGCCTGGGCGACAGAGCGAGACTCCGTCTCAAAAAAAAAAAAAGCAGAACTACTTCTGCATGGTGAGATTATAATTGATTCTTTTATTCTGCTTCTTTAAATTTTTCCATTCTAAACATATTTTCTAAAATAAACAATTCACATCATGGGTATTGCGCTCTGTGCTTCATTCTGTTATTGTGCTGAAGACCTCTGATTCCTATGCAAATTTTCTGCTCTTTTAAAAATGTTTTTCATACTGAAAAATGAATTATAAAAACCAGTGGGACAGAGGGCTTCCTGAAGGGGATGGTGAATAGTGCTCATACAGCAAAGAGATCAATACTTAAAAATGGAAACACCCCATTAAACTTGGCATGTTGGAAGTCATTGGTGACTTGGATAAGTGTCAATGAGATAGACACAGGACAGATGCCAATGGATCAAAAGTGATTTGAGATGAAAGAGATGACAGCAAATATAGATTACTATTCCTAGAACTGTGACTGTAAAAAAAAAAAACAAAAAACAAAAAACGACAACAAAAAAACAAACAAACAAAAAAAAAACAAGGGTTTTTTGTTAATGGCATCTTGATTGCACTGGTTACCCAGCCTCAGCATCTAGTCATCTTTGATACTTTATCTCCCTTGCCTCCTATGTTGGAATTACCAATTCAATGAAATTTGTAGAAATCAATGCCTCTAAAATGAATAAATGTTTTTTTGATTTTCATGGCTACATCTTCATTCAGACCATCATTGTTTCACACCTAGACACTTCGAGAACTTCCTAACTTTTGGCCTAGCACTTCACGCCTGCAACAATCTGCAAACTAACTCCCTTGTCAGGTTTACCTACCTTGACGACCCCATTTGAGTGCTTTTCTCCAGCAAAACTCTCCACCAAAATCATCCTGCATTTTTTCACATCCTTAAATTAGTGGGAACGATGATTATTATTGTTATTGTCCTTGACATAAATTGGAGAGGGTCAATGATCCTGAGTTGTTAAAATAAGGCCAAAGAGTTTAAGTGACTTACCCATGATCTCACTTGGGCTGCAAAGTCAGGACCAAAGCTCTGAGCTCTTTTTGGCTGCTCCATCTGAGGTGCACACAGCTGCCCCATGTGTTCCAAGAGGCATGAGCTGAAGAGGAAGGAAGTTGGTCCCAACGAACTTTACTGGCTACTGGGACCATGGCATAGTTGACTTATTTTATAGGTGCTGTCTGATTGTGATGCTAAAACCTTAACAAGGCTTGAACCTCTTCTTTTATTTTTATTTTGCTGTCTAGAAGTATCATAGAATCACTTGATATAATCACTTTGAATTTTCTTGTTATTTCACAAGCAACATCCAATAGTTTAGTATCAGATTATTAGATAATGATTAATAATTCCTGGTTTATAATTACTTATATTAAACTATGGCCTGCTGTACAATTATGACTGTCAAAACCTCATCACACAGCAGGGGTCGAAACTAGTAAGATATTGCCCTGGGATTAGCCATTAAATCATCTGGAAATTGAGTAACCATCATCATATGGCAGTGATTTACTTATTTTTCACAAAAAAAAAGTTTATGTTACTCTAGCATTCTCTGAGATAACATTTTAGGACTCTTAAGAATCTAGAAAAGGTGATAAATATCTGCAGTTCTTTTCTTGTTCCCTATGGGGAGAAACTTTATACAATCACAGATATATATGTAGAGAATATCATGTAAGCCGTTGGTTTGGATCCATAAACATTTTAGGTTTGCTTTCCTGGATACCTAAGTTTGAAGGGAGCGTGGTTTCATCCACTTATTTAGACAAAAACATGAAGAAATTAGACTCTGATAATTTCTGAAATTTGCCTCAGAGAACTCACATTTTTGCTTTACAGACACATGCCTTGGAAGTTTTAGTAAGTGAGGTCATCTTCCTCTAATGTTTGCTATGCTTAATGACAATACAAATATGTTGAATTTATTAATTCACTTGTTCATATAACAAATATTTTAAAAATGTCTGCTATGCTGTGTTGTACTTGTAAGGTGACTCTGGATTTTAAAAAGGCCTGATTTGTAACATTTGGTGACTCCTGGGTGTATACACTCCCCTGTGGCTGATTTCAAGCTCCCAGTGCAATGTCGCTGAACACAGACTAGGAAGGAGATGAGCAGAATTGGCTCTGCCAAGCTCGTATGAGGCAGCGCCAGCCCACCCCTGATGCTATGTGTTTTATATATATATATGTTGTGTGTGTGTGTATGTATATATACATGGCATATATATGTGTGTTATACATATGCTATATATGTGTCTGATATATATGTGATATATATGTGTTACATATATGTGTTTGATATATGTAATATATATTTGTGATATCTGTACCATATGAAAATAGAAAAATTTATCTAAATCATCAAAAAAAGTTAAGATACTTTGATTCATTTCTTATTCAGGTAATAAACTGGAGTTCAAATTGAAGAGAGTAGTGAAAAAATTCTGGATGCTTTATTAGTTCTATACACAGGTTTTATTTCTGTGATTGACACAGATAACTCTGTGGCTGAAACTGCATCAGTAGAAATGTAATTAGTTCATAATTTCAATCATTTAATTGAATACTTGTAAATAATATTGAAATAAAATTTACATTTTCATTCCTTGGATATAAACCATTGACCAGTGTACACCTATGATTTTAGTTCATTTAGGATTGTATGGTGGTGAAATTAGTGTCATTTCATTAATATAAGCACATTCTTTATGTCAACTGGTCAGAGTAGTCTACTAAATTTTAAGGTTTGAGGTTTAATATTCTATGTTCTGTTGCATGGCTAGAGTACATCTACAGGCATGCCAGTAATCTTGTAGTGTCACAAGAGAATTTGATAATAGGGAATTGAATGATTAGTATAATCTATCCTCACTATTAAAAAAAAGTCAAAGGTAAGCCCTATGGATGACAATTTAAACACGTGCAGTGTGTCCAACATAATGCTAAGTTTATCATAAACTAATTTCTATAATGGTTATACAGGGTAAATATTATTATCTTAATTTATGTATGGAAATAGCTAAAGCTTAGGACAGTTTAGTAATCTGTTCCAGGTCACATAACCAACAGGGGTTGAAGCTCTGGTTCTTCCCTAGTACTGTCTGACTCTAAAGCCTAGGTTATCTTCAGAAGACAGAATAACCTACAATTTATACACAAGACAGTATAACCTACAATTTATAGAATCGTTATAAAGAATCAATAAGACCAGGATTGGAAAAGCTCTTGGAAAATTACAAATTGCTCCGTAATTGTTTTCAACTATAAAGTAATCCTTGTTAATTACTCAGAAAAAATATTTGCTATGTGACTAATATAAACATCCAGTGGGTTGCTCCATTCTAGTCAATCAGCTCCAGTCACCAGTTAATTTCTTCTCTGAATAAAAAATAAGTAGCACAATCTTAGCTTTTTCTGATTTCAAACACAATCAAATAATAAACCTTAATGCCAATCCCAATGCCCAGTAGGGTCTGTTACATGTTTTATAAGTATTTATGAGGTATTTACTGAATCCCAAAGAGTGATTACTGAATTGCTTTTCCATTAGAAGACTCAGCTCTAGTCAAATGGACTCACAAGCAGGATTAATAATTTGAGTTCATGTGGCTCATGCTCCCCAGTAGATGCATACATTCTAATGGGTTGTTTTTTAAAAACTGTGACTTTCTAAAAATTCTAAAGGTAGTACTACAACTATTTTATTTAAGAAAAGTATTGCAACTTTCCCTGGAAGTTTTATATTAAATGTTTTATTCTGATAAATCTTGAAGATGGTAGAACAAAAGCTACCATTAATTAAGCACCTTCTGAGTACCATTCACTGTATTACGAATTTAACTTTTTTTTTTTAATGAGTTAGAGTCTCGCTCTCTTGCCCAGTCTCAGCTCACTGCAACCTCCACCTCCTAGGTTCAAGCAATTCTCCCACTTCAGCCTCCCAAGTAACAAGGACTACAGGCACACACCACTATGACCCAGCTAAAATTTTTTTGTATTTTTAGTAGAGATGGGAGTCTCACCATGTTGGCCAGGCTGGTCTCAAACTCCTGACTCCTGGTGATCCAGCTGTCTCAGCCTCCCAAAGTACTAGGATTACAGGCATGAGCCACCGTGCCCAGTCTTTAACATATGTTTTGACCTATCCTAACAACCCTGAAAGATCAGCATAATTAAATGATAAGTACTGACAGGCGCTGGTATTGAAGCACTCCAGTATCACAAGAATAGGGGCCACAGGTGTACTAAACTTGTGTCTAATCAGCTAAAATGAAAGAAAAAGCTGAAAAGTACTGTGACCCACAGAATAAATTTCAATAAGGCACCGTTCTATATCGCACTGCCATCCCTCAGTTCTCAGTTGATTGCAGAGGTTTTCTCCAGCAGCATTCCTCAACCTCTGCCCTGTGTGCTGATTTCGGGTGCATTTTATCTGACTTTTTTTCACATTTACCAGAAAAAAAAATAAAGAACAACAAAAACTTTCCAAGAGGCTTACATTTATTTGAAAAATTGGGAAATTTGCAGATACATTTTGTCCTGAGGTTATAATGCCTACCTTAAAATAATTGGAAACCCTTATATCCAATCCTGAAGATTGAAGTCCGTTTATTTGTTAGAGGAAGGATATTTCGCAAATAGTTCTTAAAATTGACTCCCTGTTTGGCCTTCCCACTGCTAAGTGGCTCCTGGGGTTGTTTATTTATTAGAGTGACCAAACATAAGTATATCTCTTCTGACTAGTATGTCTCTCTTTACTTTTTTTTTTAAATATAGGAGTACAAATGCAATTGTGTTACAGGATATATCGCATAGTGGTGCAATCTGGGCTTTTAGTGTATCCATCACCCGAGTTGTGTACGTTGTACCCAATAGGTAGTATTTTATTTCTCTTCCCCCTTCCATTCTCCTCTTGGAGTCTCCAGTGTCTATCATCCCAATCTCTCTGTCCATATGCACCCATTGTTTAGCTCCCACTTATAAATGAGGACATGTAGGTTTTGACTTTCTGTTTCTCAGTTATTTCACCTAGGACAATGACCTTCGGTTCCATCCATGTTGCTGCAGAGATAGAGAGAGAGTACAAGTGCAGGAGCTGGACTTTCTGCCAGTTTGGGTGCAACACAAGCATCCCCAAACCTGCCTTGACTGCAGAATTTTATTGCTTTTGATGGTAACGGAAAACAGAAAGACTGCAGCTGGGCCTGAAGTCCCAAGTGGAGTTTAATGTGGCTGCAGATGAAAAAGTTGTGTTTTAACTTGCAAAATGAGAAAATATGATACAGTAATAAACATGGGTGGTGCCTAAGCATCAAATCTGTGTACAAAATTGCAGCATAATGAAACCAACAGAGGGGAACATCTATTTACTTTCACTCTTTTAACCACAATAATTTAAGAGCTTTAAATACTTTTGATGGAGTTACAGGCCTAATAAATGTCACATTCCAAAGTTTGAAAGCCTAAAAGTTACTCTGGATCCCTGCAGTTAAAACAACAACAAATATCCACAACTCAATCACTCAAAGTTCCAGTGATCTTATAAAGCAATCCAATTCTGCTCCCTTGAGCCGATGATATCACTTGTTAGACTTGTCTAATAAATCACTTGGTCAAATTTAATCTCTACTTGCACAATATTATTTAGCACCTCATACATTCTGTTCCCTGTTTAGGGCAATTCATTAATTAGACATTGTCATATCTGTGAAATCAGGATTATACTTGCCATCCTCATTTTTCATGTAAAGAAACAAAAGAGCAAAGACTTCTTTGCAGTAATGCCTTAGGCAAAAAACAATTCACATCATGGGTATTGCGCTCTATGCTTCATTCTGTTATTGTGCTGAAGAAGACCTCTGATTCCTGTGCAAATTTTCTGCTCTTTAAAAAATGTTTTTCATGCTGAAAAATGAGTTATAAAAACCAGTGGGACAGAGGGCTTCCTGAAGGGAATGGTGAATAGTGCTCATACAGCAAAGAGATCAATACTTAAAAATGGAAACACCCCATTAAACTTGGCATGTTGGAAGTCATTGGTGACTTGGATAAGTGTCAATGAGATAGACACAAGACAGATGCCAATGGATCAAAAGTGATTTGAGATGAAAGAGATGACAGCAAATATAGATTACTATTCCTAGAACTGTGACCGTAAAAAAAACAAACAAACAAACAAAAAAAAAACAAGAAAACAAACAAAAAAAACAAGGGTTTTTTGTTAATGGCATCTTGATTGCACTGGTTACCCAGCCTCAGCATCTAGTCATCTTTGATACTTTATCTCCCTTGCCTCCTACGTTGGAATTACCAATTCAGTGAAATTTGTAGAAATCAATGCCTCTAAAATGAATAAATGTTTTTTGATTTTCATGGCTACATCTTCATTCAGACCGTCATTGTTTCACACCTAGACACTTCAAGAACTTCCTAACTTTTGGCCTAGCACTTCACGCCCGCAACAATCTGCAAACTAACTCCCTTATCAGGTTTATCTACCTTGACGACCCCATTTGAGTGCTTTTCTCCAGCAAAACTCTCCACCAAAATCACCCTGCATGTTTTCACATCCTTGCCTTTGTTTTTGTTCCAAGCACCCCATTAAATGCATCACCATCCTTCAAGATCCATTTCAAGTATCATCTTCCCCATGAAGCTGGCCTGCCCTTTCCAGGCAGAGATGGTCTTTCTTGTCTCTGGCTACCTTAGACCAACATGTTACTCATCATTCACTATACATTCATCAAGGCTTCTTGAGTTCCTTCATAACAGGGACCCCAGTATTTAGCTCTCCCCTGAACTTAAACAGTACTCTTCATATTATATAAAAAGGCACCTGACACAAAGTTGGTGGAATGGTATTTCTTATTTGTAGCTACATGACAGAGATAGCTAAAAATGTGGCTTCTGGTTGTTTTCGCTAACAGTTACTCATTTTGTACCTGGTTCCTGATTGCAAAGTTATGATGTTTCAGAGTAAAACCAGCCACTTTCCTAAGACTCCAGAAAAAAAAAACAGACTCCTATGAACAAACTGTTTCCAACACTTATGCACAGTAATAACAAATCTGTTGAAAAACCAGTTAGTTGGTACAAAGCAGTTATCACTTGAACCAATAATATTATCAGGTCACACCTTTTAGTTAACAAAACTGAAGACTATGCAGGAAGCTTTATGCAGGGAACTAAGTGTAAGATTCTTAACTGTTGGAGATAATATGTTGACATCATTTAAATTTGTTCTTTCATATTTACTCATTTATTGAATATGTATTGGTTGCATATCATGTGGACAGCACTGTATTAGGTATCACTTTTTCTTCCACTTTTTAAAAAGTTTCCAAAGCTTACTGATGTTGGGGGAAAACCTCGTCCCCAGAGCCTTGGCCTTGAATTCAGAGGTTTCTGAACTGAACTCTGACTGCTTCTAACTCATAGCCATGCCAGTCCACTTTCCATGCCTTCCTTTCCTCATCCATTCACTAAGAGGTGGAGAAAAAAGACAAAATAATTCCATTTGTTAAAAATGAATCTAGGGTCCACTGTGCATAAGAATAGAGCTACAAAGGGTGTATTCGGAAGCAATCTACAACGATCACAGTAAGTACATCTTGAATAAGTCAACAGAAACAAGAACATTTTGAAGTGTTTCAGGAAAAGTAAAGAAATTAATGTAAAATAAATGAAAGAGGAATATTCCCGTGCATCCAGCACCCAGATCCAAAAATAGCGCCATAGAACATTAACAGCAGAAAGGATAGCCACTATCCTGGATTCTAACAGGAGTCTACATATTTTTTAAAGTTTCCTAGCTTATTAGTTAGGTTTTGAAGCAACTGTTTTAGGAAAGTTAGCAAAGAATACCTTACAATCTTAAAGTTATTTTCAAGTTCTTTACATAGGGGTGTGTGTGTGTGTGTGTGTGTGTGACAGAGAGAGAGAGAGATCAGATATGCTTGGATCGCCTTCCCCTGCCCCAAGGATCTGGAAATATGATACATGGACAACAATTTATTTTCCATGGATATATGATTGAGTTCTTTAGCAGAGGTGGAGAAGGAGGTGACATGATAAGAATAATGTCTTAGAGTCTAATTCCATCATCCAAAGGTGTGGGTTGAAATTAGGGACAATTGGAGCCAGAGAGACAAGGGACTAAGCTATTTTTATAATACAGGTGTGAGATGACAAGGGCTGATATTAAGCTAGTGACTGTGGATATAGGGAAGAATGGTTGGTTGGAGAGATATTGCGGGCACATAATAAATTCCAGAGGATATATTGGCAGATGCCAAAAGACAAGATTTCCCAGAATTAAATCCCGATGCTCATAAACTCTGGTATGTTCCTTTATCCCACAGTGTGGGACTGTGTGTGCATGTATCTATGTGTGTTTGTGTGCCTGCAGCTTCACCCCAAAAGATCAAAGCCTAATTACTGTACAAACAGACATAAACCACATGAATACAAAACAGTCTCTGTCAACTGAGAAGTGTTGAGGACATCTTTTTGTAAGTTTCATGCCTCTTAGGTAGAGTTCAAAATGAATATCATCTAATTTTGGATCTTTATTCCAAGGTGAGACAGGATGCCCTGTTTTAATCAAGAGTTTATAAAATTAAAGGGTGTGAGATCACCTATTCTGTTTTCTAAAAAATTGATGTAGATAGATACTATGAATGCTACCACACACACCTCATTCCCATCCTACAGAATATATCCTATACCATTCTGGAGGCCTCTCCCTAGAAGCTAACACACTATGCCAAAACATGCAGTGGTTTAGTGAAGTTAACAGACATCTGAGAAAAGGATGAGACCACTAGACATATTTCCACTAGTAAGAAGAGCCAGGCGTTCCAATGAGACCTCCAGAGGCAGGCATCTGGCTTGGTATTCACCCACCAATCCCACCTACAATAGCACTTGTAGGGTTTCTTCCCATAAACGAGTGTGTTCATTGGCTTCAATTTATGTTTGTTGAAGGAAAATCATACTGCTCAAGTAATGGAAATGATTCTTTTCATAAATTCAATGAACACAACGATGTAACAGTAGATCAGAATCCAACTTAAAAGAAATTGTTTTCTGAAGGTAAATGGAGTCATGGGATTCTTGATAAACAATAAGAAGGTGGGGGTCTAATCGCATCATATCTCAAACTTTGATAAAGAATAACCTTTACTGTTGTCACCATGAAAATTAAAATGCAGAAAGTGTTACTCTCTCTGGTCCTTTTACAAACCATATGAGCAATACTTATGGCCCAAATCTGCCAAACAAAACACATTCAATCCTTAAAGCTGAAGCTCATAGATATATATATATGCTTTATGAATTGTACATATGTGTGTGTCTGCACATGCATGTGTGTGTGTTATCATTTGTTCAGCTGCCTCAGGGGAGATACTAATTCTTTGCCTACCTGACTTTAGGCTGGGCCACATCACTTTCTTTGGCCAGTGGAATACGAGCAGATGTCTTGAATATGCTGTGAGCTTGGTCTTTTGTGTTCCAGTGATCTTCCATGAACAGAACATGCTTTAGGTAATCATTATACCTTTATCCCAGATGCAGGACAAATTCACATGGAAAAGACCTTCACTCAATCTGCAGCCTGAAGTAAAAAATATATACGTGAAGCAAGGAGCAGAAAAATACCTCAAACTATTATTAATATCTCAGAGAAGCCAGGTGTAGTGGCTCATTCCTGTAATCCCAGCACTTTGGGAGGCCACGGTGGTTGGATCGCTTGAGGTCAGGAGTTCAAGACCAGACTGGGCAACATGGTGAAACCCCATCTCTACCAAAAACACAAAAAAATTAGCTGGGCATGGTGGCGGGTGCCTGTAATCCCAGACACTCAGGAGGATGAGGCAGGAGAATTGCTAGAACCTGGGAGGCGGAGGCTGAAATGAGCCGAGATTGCACCACTGCACTCCAGCCTGGATGACAGAGGGAGACTCCAACTCAAAGAAAAATATATTTATATTTCAGAGAAATAAGAAAAATATTGTGCTCATTTAAAAAGCAGGATATTGTATTTGAAAAGGAATATTCAGAGAACAAGAGCTCTTGAAAATAAAAAAAATCACAGCCAAAACATAATATTCACTAGAAAAGTGAATACTTATTATCCAATAAAGAAACTTCCAGAAGTAAAATCAAGAGATAAAGAGAAAACAGGGGATAAAAAGATAAGACAACTAGAAGATTAATTCAGAACATTAAAGGTACAAATAATAGGAGTTTCAGAGAGAACAGAGAAAATATAATGGACCAAATTGCCAAAGAAATAATATGAGGAAAATATCCTAAGACTGTAGTATTGAGTATCCAGATTAAAAAGCACACAAACAGCCCAATAAATGAATGAAAACATCACCACCCAAGAACATCACTGTAAAATTTAAGAACATCAGGCAAATAAAGGAGATCCTAAAAGTTTCCAGACAATAATTCTTGGGAACTATTGGATTGGAAATTAGATTGGCATCTGACTTCTTATTAGCAACTCTGAATGCCATAAGACAAAACAGTGTGAAATACTTTCAGAATTTGAGGTAATTTCAACCTAAAATGCTATGTCCAGGCAAATAATTAAAAAAAAAAAGATTGAAGTAGAACTGATGTTTATACTGTATAAGGTAAGTCAGAGGGACTCTGTTGGAGGATGTTTTCCAGTAAAACAAGGGAGGAAATCAGGAGGGAGATATCTTACATGCTAAGAAGCAGGAAATGAGAGAAATTGTTGGGATGATGGTGAAAGGAGTCCCATAACGTCAACTGTGCAGCAGGCACAGAGGGAAGCTAATTGCAAGTGGAATAGGAGAAGGAGGGCTATGACAGGAAGGTCCCTAGGGGAAAAATTAAAAACTGAAACATTGATTTATAAATGAATTTGAGTGTCTGTAAAAATTATTGATAGAAGTTTGATAGGTCTGTTGGAACATTTAAGAAGAAAAATGTGATTGATAATAATAGAAAATTTTAGAATAGGTAATTTTTAACTCAAGGTGTGGCTGGGAGTGGAGGATGATTTTTAAAAAAGAAGAAAGAAAAAGCAATGAAAAATTATAGTAAACTACTTGACCCAGCATAAACAATATTAGATAAACATGGCTATTGATTTAATCAAAGATCTAATTTAACTGTGAGAAATGGGGGATGGAGAGTTGGTAGTAATACATGAGCATTAAATCCTCAACTGCATTAGTAGCAAGTAAATAATTAATGTCTAAAATTGACTTAGCTTGGCTTATCTGCCAAGCCCAGAGACCACCAAAGCCAAATCCATACAGTTCCCATAAGTAAGCCCTTTCCTGTCTCTTACCCACCTGAAGCTACAAACCTAGAAGGAGTCAAACACAACAACAGGCAAAGATAAGGAGAAGATGTGCCAAACGAAGAAATTGGGAAAATACCTACTGCGGTCTCCTTCTACCGCAGAATGACTGGAAAAACCATGGGAGCTGGCACATTAAACTAGCTCCAGGACAGGTTGAAATAGGCAGGGGGTGATGACATGTTTGGGGGTATAGTTGCTTCCTGTTGGCACCCTTTGGAGTTGTGCTCCATTAATCTTTAGTCTGGCAGCCACGAAAGTGCCCTAAATAGCCAAAGGAGAAAAAAAGAAGGATGAGAGGAGCGAATTTTGCCAAAGTTTCTCTGCACCCTGCCAACACTGATGGCCTTGGGACAGAACTAAGCTAATTGGGCCACAGGGGATAGAATCCAATGCATCCATGTCATTAGCCTTTGGACTCTTTCCCATGATCTGTGGCACATATGGACAGACATGGCCCCACCCAGCCTCTCTCAAGGAAAGAGAACTACCTGACTTCTCTGCCAGACATGTGAGAAGGAGACAAAAAGCAGGAGAGTGGGGCAGCACCTCCATCTCTACCACAGATGAGACTGTGAATATGAAGCTAGGAAACTTCCACCGTCCCTACACCCCATATTATCTGAAGGCTGATCAGGAAGAGTGATGCTTGTATTCTAAAAGCCTGTGTGAAGGCGGGGCTCGGTGGCTCACGCCTCTAATCCCAGCACTTTGGGAGGCTGAGGCAGGCAGATCACGAGGTCAGGAGATAGAGACCAGGGTGAAACCCCGTCTCTACTAAAAATACAAACAATTAGCCGGGCACCTGTAGTCCCAGCTACTCGGGAGGCTGAGGCAGGAGAATGGCGTGAACCCAGAAGGCGGAGCTTGCAATGAGCTGAGATCGTGCCATTGCACTCCAGCCTGGGTGACTGAGCAAGACTCCGTCTCAGTAAATAAATAAATAAATAAATAAATAAATAAATAAATAAATGCCTGTGTGAAAAGGACAGCCCCTTCAGGATGGGACACCGATCTATCCTCGCCTGGTAAGATGGTTAATTTTTTATGCCACTTGACTAGGCTACTGAGCCAGGTTGTGTTCAGTCAAACATTTGTCTAGATGTCGTTGTGAAGGTATTTTTTTAAAGGTGATTAACATTTAAACAAGTAGACATTGAGTAAAGCAGATTGTCTTCTACAGTGAGGGTCAGCCTCATGCAATCAGTTGAAGGTTTTAAAGGAAAAGATTGAGGTCCTCTGAAAAGAAAAGAATTCTCACTCCAGACTGCCTCCAGACTTGAGATTGCAACATCAACCTTTCCTAGCTCTCCAGCCTACTGGCCTGCCCTACAGATTTAAGACCTGACAATCCTAACAGTTGTTGGTATGACCTAAATCCTTAAAATTTTATAATAAATCAATGTCTCTCTCTCTCCTCTCTATGTAAACATGCAAATATATGTTTGCATATATTTATATGATTTGCATACATGTGACTTATATAAATGTATGTGCATGTAAATAAACATAAATTATCTCTCTCATATGTATATCAATATATACACACATATACATATGTGTGTGTGTGTGTGTGTGTGTATAAAATATTGGTTTTGTTTCTCTGGAAAACTCTGACTAATGCACCTGGCATTATGCTAACATCAACTTCTGGAAGAGACATCTGACTTCTTGCCATCAGTAGAGTCCTATGTACCCAATCCTGGAAGGAAAAATTATTATTCAAACTCCAAAGGTTTGATGTTTATCATCAAATCTCAAGAACACCAAATTTAGAAAGAAGCAAAGAGGCAGAGCCCTGACAAACCTGAACACGATGGTGACCCTTACTCCTCAGAGGCCAGCTTTTCTACCAGGGTGGTTCTAGTTTCACAAGATTTACCTCAGTGTAGCTGATTTCAAAAATTGCTCCTTCCAGGAAAATGAGTTTTTGGTATCCTTCTTCATCCACAAGGATGTGGGTTTGTTTATCCTCCAACCTCCAGATTTTCGTTCTTTCTCCCACTTCTCACCTCTAAAAAACAATAGTTTTGAGTACAATCATTGAAAAAAAAGAAAGAGGAGTAAAGAAAAAGAAACAAACAGAAGAGCCATGGGTGTTGCTGGTGGTCATTTGAGAGCAGCACTTAGATCTCAAACCTACCTTTGTCCATCAGTTTCCTCTTCTCAGCCCCCTTTTAATCATTGATGTTCTCGGCTGCCCTTCCTGTAAGAACCTGTTCCAGAACCTTCCTGGGAGACTTCTCCACGGTCATTGGCCACTGTGCTTGAAAGACCTATTTTGCACTAGATGGAATGCTGCTAATATTGCTATTTACTATTAAATTGTGTTGATTTGCTGGGAAAACATTTTTAATAATTTTCCACTGGAAAGTACATAAAAACACAAAGACGTAAGTAAAATTTATTCAAAAACATGAACATGTCACTTTAAAAAATTACACCAAACACAAAATAAAAGGCTTATCAGGAGACATTTTTGTGTATTACTTAGAGTATATGCTTCATTTTCTATACTTATAATTTTATGTAAATATTTTATCATCTACCTTACCACCCAACTAAACCATATGGCTTTAGAGAAAGGAGACAATGTCTTTTTTTTTTTTTTTTGAGACGGAGTCTCACTCTGTTGCCCAGGCTGGAGTGCAGTGGCACCATCTCGGCTCACTGAAACCTCTGCCTCCCGGGTTTAACTGATTCTCCTGCCTCAGCCTCCCAAGTAGGTGGGATTACTGGCATATGCCACCACGCCCGGCTTTGTTTATGTATTTTTTTTTTTTAGTAGAGATGGGGTTTTACCGTGTCGGTCAGGCTGGTCTTGAACTCCTGACCTCAAGTGATCTGCCCACCTCGGCCTCCCAAAGTGCTGGGATTACAGGCCTGAGCCACCGTGCCCAGCTGACAATGTCTTATATACCACTGTATCTGCACCTTGTTATGCAGTGAGCTAAATATATAGAAGTTGCTCAGACAACAAGAAAACACCTGCTGAATGAATGCAATCAGTGTACTTAGTTCATACATTTTTCTTTCATTTCATGTCTAGGCTTCCAATACCTGTTCTGAATTTCATTTGGGAGATTAATGCAGAGAGGCTAGGTGTGTTGCTAGTCAAACAATTCTTTCTCACAAACAACAGGCTTCCAACTATCAGTTGTGTCTCTAATTCAGAAACAGCCCCTCAGTGCTATGAAGACTTTTTCTAGTATCTTGGTCATTGAACTTTCAGGTAAAATAAAGCCAAAGTATATGACAAAATAGTAACCACATTATCTTTCTTCATGTCTGGGCAGTCCCTTCCTGGCTCCTTGGAACTGCTGGCTGCCTTTCCCCTTGATCAAGCAGTAGCAGCAGTAATCCTTGCCTCCCTGGTGAACTTCTCACCACGCCCAGAGCGTATGGGATAACTCCAGAAGGCATAATGAGAAGTTACAGGGCCCAGGGTAAATGTCAATGTAAACATAATTGGAAAGATATTAACTGAGACTGATGGAAGGCTTCCCAAAATCTTTAACATGACCTAATCATAAAGTAACCACCAGATGTTTATAATTACTATTCAGCCTTATTCGCCTCCTATCCACTTTATGAAGGGAAAGGAAAGGGACAGCTACCCACAGCATGGGTGGCTGTGGGCTTATGCAGGGAAAGATGTGACCTGTGTTCCCTATTGGCTGGACCCAAACATGACAAGTCATTCCAACTATGGCCAAAAGTTATTAAGTTCCTGAATGAAAGACTGCAGCTCATGAGTTTCTTCCAGACCCATATCAAAGCCCAATTAATTTAGAAAAAGGAGGAGGCCACTTTCCATCATCGTGTGTTTTGAGGAGCACTAAATAGGAATTTGGCACCAAGTATTTCCTTCAACCAGTTACAATTCCAGATATCTATTTATTAGAGAATTACTTCCTGTGTTCCTGAGGCTTTGGAGGTCTAAAAATGCCCTTGCTATGCATGTGCCTCTCTTTCATAGCAGTCCTCACACTTGTGAAAGCTGGCATTCTGTAGCCTGGAAACCGGAAGTTGCAAGCGAAGTTATGAAGAGAAGAAGGAGAGGGAAGGAAAGATCTTGTTAGTGGAGATAGGGAGAGAGGGTGCTGTAGTGAGAAAGGAGGGCTGGAGGGAGGAATCAAAGGGATCTTTACAATTTAGCTAAGGACTGAATCAGGCAGTAGGCTTTCCTGGGTAGAAACCCTGGCTGACATTATCCTAAACAAATTGATTCAGGAACAGACAACCAAATACCGCATGTTCTAAAGTGGGAGCTAAACACTGACCACATAAGTGGGAGCTAAACATTGAGTACAGATGGACACATAGAGGGGAGCAATAGACACTGGGGCCCACTTGAGGGTGGAAGGTGGGAAAGGCCAGGCGCAGTGTCTCACGCCCATAATTCCAGCACTTTGGGAGGCAAAGGTGGCCAGATCACTTGAGGCCAGGAGCTCAAGACCAGCCTGGCCAACATCGTGAAACTCTGTCTCTACTAAAAATACAAAAAATTAGCCAGGCGTGGTGGCACATGCCTGTTAATTCCAGCTACTTAGAAGGCTGAAGCAAGAGAATCACTTGAGCCCGGGAGGCAGAGGTTGCAGTGAGCCGAGGTTGCAGTAAGCCGAGATCGCCCCAGTGCACTCCAGCCTGGGTAACAGAGTGAGACCTTGTCTCAGAAAAAAAAAAAAAAAAAAAAGGTTGGAAGAATAAAAATTAAAATTTAAAAATGAAAAATAAAAACATGGTATTGTACACTTTAAATGGGCAAATTTTAATATATGTGAATTACATCTCATTAAAATTTTTTATTAAAAAATAAATTTAAAAAAGAAACTCTGACCTGGATTCAAATTTGTGTTTTAGCCCCATTTTACAGATGAAAGAAATGCCGCACAAGGAGACTAAGTAACTTTCTCAAGGTCACAAGGCCAATATGTATGAATCGAGATTGTGGAAAGCCAGAGTCTGTGCTCTTACCCATTCAGTGGCACAGCCCCTTCCACATAAAAGAAAAATGATACCTACTTTTTAGAGTGGTGAGAATTTAATGTAATTTAGGTAGAGCACCTAGCCCAATGGCCATTGTACAATAAGTGCTCAGTAATGAACATCTATAGTTACTTTAGTTAATGATAATATTCTACCAGTCTTTTTCCTACATTGTGTGGGCTGCAGATGCCCATATAGTCCTGCCCCAGGCCAGACCTGCACAGGAAACTGCAAGACCAAACAGGCTTCATTTAGATTTCAGGGGACTACACCTTCCTATGCTTTCTCAAGTTGCTTTATCTCTTTCCTAACTACGGAAATAAACTGAAAGTTACATACAAAAGAAAAACAGCCACCAGACAGGAAAAAATCATTGTCTTTAGCATCCAGGAATTAATAGATCAATTTTGTATTTCCACTGAGAATTTGTTTTTATCCTCAGCACAAGCCTTCTGCTCAGAGCAGAGTTACAGTTTTACTCACAGTGAGTGTGCTGGTAAATTCAGCTTTCCTACAGGAAACGTGAGACTTGTGACAAGGTTATTGTGAAATCTAGACAAGGTTTCTTGCTTCTGACTGCTGTTGGCTTGCAACCAAGGGAAGACCCATCAACTCAACAGTCTTCAGAGCTGACATGTAAACAGGACAATCTGCATATTTGCTAATGTCTCCTCTTGCCATGCCCCTGGGCTGTGGACATGTACTGGTCTGTGGCCTATTAGGAACAGGGTTGCACAGCAGCAGGTGAATGGCGGGGAAGTGAGCATTACCACCTGAGCTCCACCTCCTGTCAGATCAGCAGCAGCATTAAATTCTCAAAGAAGCAGAAATGCCACTGTGAACTGCATATGCAAAGGATCTAGGTTGTGTGCTCCTTATGAGAATCTAATGCCTGATGATCTGAGGTGAAACAGTTTCATCCCGAAACCATCACCCAACCCTGCCCACCTCCCACCCCTGCTCAGCAGAAAAATTGTCTTCCATGAACCAGTCCCTGCTGCCAAAAAAGTTGGGGACCACTACCCTAAAAACCTGAATTCCAAGAAAAAAAAAAAGCAAAATCTTATAATATGAGGTCCCAATGTAGCAAATGTCTAATTGCCTATTTAGCTTATATAAAATAAATTCTTACTGGAAGCCTCAAAATATCCCATGTCAGTCATTCAAATTAGTTGTGATACTTTAGAACAGGACTTCTTTATCTTTAGGATCTACAGATGTATTTTAATGATCTGAAATTGTACCCAAATCCTCTAGGTACCTGTATAGTTGTTTTCGTGAAAGAAGCAGCTTTACTTTCTTAAATAAGATCTGCAACCCAAAAAATATTGAGAATTATTGACATACACATGTACTCTGCACAGAAAAAAATGTTCAAAATCCATTGCTAAATCACAAAAAAAAGTTGCTGTGTATTTCTGTGTTATATGGTACTTTTTTGAAACAACAAATAAATTTATAGAAAAATATTATAAATATACACCAAAAATAACAACAGTGAATATCTCAAGATGTGAATTTGTGAGTGATTGTTTTGTTATGTTTGCTTTTAGCTTTTGTATGTTTTGCATGTTTTTCTACAATAAGCATGTTAGTTTTAAAATGTGGGAAATCCCAGTAAGTGTTATTTTCAAGCTAATTTCAAAAAGCCTTTATAAATCGTAGTCCATATACCCTTCCTTACCATTATTACCCATGTTACTGCCAAATACCTCTCTGTCAGTATTATGTGATCTGGGTCATAAGAATACACACTCCAGTCTAGGAAGGCCTTCCATGGACTGGTCAGATGGCCATTTCTGGGTCGCAAAATCTGGATGGCACAAATGTTGGTCCTGGTTGAGACTTGAAGAGAGGTCATACTTCTGTAAGAAAAGAAGACTAGAAACTTTGAAGAAGAAAAAAACGGAAATAGAAGAAAAGCTGTGTAACCCAGAAACAGCTCAAGCTACACCTTAAGTCTGTGAGCAAGCAGTGCATTTCAGAAAGGTGGATGTTGCCGGTAGGACCTTTCTAACTCTTCAGCTCTTCAGCCAAAGCAGTGAGGAAAATAATGTTTACATCAAATGCCCATTCATGTTTTGTTTTAGTGGCAGAACTAAATTATTCATCCAAATGCTAGAAGGCAAACACATTCCTCAAGGAGAGTCTGGCAAGCTGTCCAGAAGTTAACTTACTGTTGAAAGTCTTGTCAGTGTGCAGGATTTAGAAAATGGGAGCTTTGGGAGATTGGGGATGCGAGAAGTATCTACACTATGGTTGACAGATTTAGCAAATAAAATACAGGATGCCCAGTTAAATTTGAATTTTAGCTAAACAGCAAGTAATTGTGCATAAAATATATCCCAAATATTGCATGGAACATACTTCTACCAAGAAAAAATATTGTTGTGTATCAGCAACCCTAATGCTTAGAAAACAAAGAAGAGCGTATCTGCATGGGCATATTATCTCACTCAAGACAGACAACGTACATACATACTGAAGGGAGGGTGGGTAGAGGTACAGAAAGTCTAGGGCTAAGGACAACTTCTTTCTGGACCTAGAAAAGGCCCCTAGAAATAAAGTGAAGCAATGAGTTGAATAAACTTCTTGCTTTCATGTAAGAAAATTGGGTCTTTCTAATGTTGTACTTCTTGGTTTAATATTGGTTAAACCAATATTACCCCAAAAGCAGAAGGCAGAGAAAACCAGGAAAGTCCCAGGGTACATAGTGTGCAAGCAGACAGCAAAAGGAACGTGCTAAATGGCAAAGGGTAAGTCTCAGAAGTGTTGCAGTTGGGGTTGAAGTAAGTGTTGGTTGGTTATGCTTAACTTTTCCTACAGCCAAGATTTCAGCACTTCATCTGAATACCTTGCACCTTGCAAAATTGTTTTCCAGAAAAAGTGCACTGAAAAATAAAATCATGTTTTTTTAAAGTTAAGGGAAAAGAGATATGTGTTGATGCCTAGATCTATGTGACACCAAATGAATAAAAAGTAGAAAAATATCATCTTCCAGATGTTTCATCTAGGTTATAACAGCATATTTTCACTTTCCATGCAGATGTTTGGCATGTAAATGTAGGCTGTGACTAAGATACTGAAAAGCACTGATTGAGAAATCAGAAAAATGTCATTTTTATATTGTCCACAAACGGCCACTGAAATATTTTTTCAACTTATTTTTGGCCTATCTTAAACATATAATTGGCCATGAAATTACTAGCTCTGTAATCTCATAAGCTAAATGAAACATTGATATGACTTCTCAATTTTCTGTTTTGCTCATGTATATCCCCTTGCTTTGTTCTCTGAGCATCTGATTAAGGAAGTACTCAGTTTCCTAAAGCCAGAGGATTCCAGTCCCACTGAAACCTGCTCGTGCCTTCACCCTCATAGTCTCCCAGTGAGTGCAGTATCCTGGAAATTTGGAGTCTGACAAACCATAACAGCTAAAGTTTGATCATGGAAGCACAGCCACCACAAGTGATATGAAATAAATGGTTTACTGAAGAGGTTAGACTCGACAGCATTGTGGGAACTTATAAAGAAGCCTATGGGAGGCTGTTGCCTTTGCATCTGGCAGTAGCCTTGAAGTCACTAGAGGTCAAGAAGGCTGGCAATCAGGAAGACAAGCTGGACATGAACAGAGAGACAAGACAAACTAAAACCCACATCTGTATCTCATGGCCTCCAACCTCAACAATATAGATAACTTGCAGAAGAGACTGGTGTCCTTTGCCGTGAAGCTGCACAAGGTTCCTGCCATGGCTCAGGACTCAAAGAACTGAAAGGAAGAGATCTGCTGAAAACTAGAGAAGCTGTGGACCCAGCCATTGCCCCACACCAACGAGGTGAACCAGCAGATAAGTGATGACGTGTAAGTTGACACTGTCATGGTGCCTGGCATCCATATGTCCATCCTCTGAGCATAACAGCTGCTGCTTCACTTCTACCTTCCATATCTCATGCAAATTTTTCTTGTGTCCAACTCCAACCAGGGCCCACACAAGGGAGGGGATTTGGGTATGCTGAACCTCTGGCAGGGAACAAAATCTCCCCATAGCGTCAGGCCTGTTTCCCTGTTCTGGCGTTATCTGGCTGGGGGAATTTGGCAGAGTATTCAATCTCTGCAAAACTCTGTTTCTTCATCCATAAGGTTAACATTTATTAAATCATTTGAAAAGCAAATGTGCCAAGTGTTTATTGTATACAAGTGAACCCAAATTGCTACTCATTCTGCTTATATTCTTGTTGATAACAACATCTTCACTGGGACGTTGTTGTTTGGATTTAATAAGAAGGTAAAAAAGAATCTAGCATATAGGAAAAGCTCAATATATGTTATTAACCCTGTGTGCATGCTCATGACATGTTCATTTTTAGAGTAAGCCAACCTTTGGTGCATCTAATGAGTCAACCTTCCCTTGGAGCTTCCTATGCATGAACCTGAAGAACTACCATCAGGGGCAACCAACTCATGATTGTATTCCCAATGCCATTTGCAGTCATTCCCAGATTTTTAAGGAAATGTCTCACTATGCTGTCTTACCATAGGCAATATAGATAGCCTTGGCTCTCCTCTCTTTAGATTCGTACTCAGAGAACTATCTGCTAGTGAAAAGGAAAAGAGTGCAATCTACCAGGCAAAATAGAAAGTTAAGGTATGGAAGGTGCTCACTTTCCAAACAGCTGCTACAGTGCTATTATTAATACTGCCATGGTTATTTTCACGTAGGATATCTAGCACAGAAGGAAAATCAATCTCCAGCCAGGTCTGGGAGGACTCAGAACAGAGCTTCAAGGAGAGCATAACAAATGCCCCAAACTCCTTCTGCTTACTTCACTTAAAGTCTTATTAGTATCATCATTTCCAACTGGGCAACAACCACATCTGCCTCCCTTCTGCTTTCTCAGCCATCGCCAGTGGCAAGTTGGTGGTTGGATATTTTAGGTGGGTTCTATATGGTGGTTTTCAAAATTTTGTAACCCAAAACTTAGCTCTCCCTTCTGCATGGAACTATTGTGATTTAAAATTAGTAGTCAAGGTAGTTCCTCAATTAAGGAGTATTTGGAACAGGGAAAGTCTGCCTGAATAATGTCTGATTCTATACTTTCACGTGAATGTACTCCAACATGTACATCCATAGGTAATTCTGTATTATGGGGGTTATTAAAAAATATAAAGTTTGAAGATATCTTCGAGTCATTTTACCTGCTAGAACAATACTTGTCTAGTATCAGTTAACTGGTCACAAAGGAGAGGTCTTGTCTTACTCTCAACAGTCTCTGATGGTGTCATTTGAACACTGACACATGCAGATATTTTCTCTCTTTCTTTCTCATATGTGGTCTTGTTGAAACTCCACAATAACTGCGTTTGGAATCTACAGTCATATAAATTTAGATCATCATGGGAGATAATTATACTGTGGAAATGATACGATATTTACATGTCGAAAAGGAGTCATAATTCTTCGAAATAGATGCCTGCTAGCTTTCTTAAGAACTCATTTCACAAATTCAAGTTGAAACAAATGAATACATGTTCCTCTTTTTGCTTCCTCTTTTGAGCAATTTTATGATTGAAAAAAAAAGACACATTACCACAATGGAAAATACCTCATTTTTCCATTAAAATGTGCTCTTTTTAAACAGCTATCCCCCCACCCACTTCCCTGTTTATTGGGTTAAAAGGAGCCATTTCTAGGAGACCAAGCCAAAGTCTCAGCAAGGAGGTGGAAAGCTAGGTGCTTGGAAGGCTAGTCTGTTACCTACCCTACACTACAATGACTGTGGCAGCATCAACAACAGCACCAAACCAGCCAGCTGGAAAGTGAGAACAAATCATTCTAGTGACTGACAGTTTGGTCCCCTCTGTGTCCCAGGAGAGGCCAGGCTGATTTTCACCCACAGCGGGAGGCACTGGTTCAATCAGGTCTTCTTGCAGCTAGTGGATCCAGAATCAGAATGTTCTTATACAAATACCACTTTGTGTCCTGAAAAAGAGAGATTCCACATGGACCCAAACTACAGGTGTTTGTACAAGAACATTCTGTGGAATCTCTCTTTTTGAGGATGCAAAGTGCTATTTGTATAAAATGGCTTCATTTCACCAGCAATTTTGATTTCATTTTTCAGCCTAATTTGGGTAAAAAAAATGAAACCAAAATTGCTAATGAAATAAAAACCAATGTTTCATGGGTTGAATTTTTAACTTTTTGTATTAGCCCAACAGCGTCCATCTCTTCTAGTTAAATATCGACTTCTCTCCAGGTAGATATTCTAAAGACAAATGGAAAATTCAAACAAGTATGCTGACCTATAAAATGATGTCGACAAATAGTTTAAAGGGTTGACCAAATACTTTGCTCCTTAACTTGATTCTCTCCTTTTTAGTTAGACAGTTACAGTGTCATCAGAGAGAAAATAAGGAAACTAAAGATTGTTCAGGATTTGGCTCCTCACACTAATTTTATTCTCATGAGTTAAGATTTCCTTGATTCAAAATAGGGCTCTTCCCCTTTTGTTCATCTTTCCACAAGGTTCACACTCTCCTAAGGCCTGGGATTTCTCCTTAGACAGCTTCATCCCTACAATTATCTCAGGATCTGTGCAGATTCTCCACACATGGTGTTATTCATAGCATGCAGATGGGGTATTCCTATTCCTAATAATTTAGGTTAGAAAAGTACATTATGGATAAAATACAGCAATCTCTTAATGATCTCTTCTACATGGATAGCAAGCAGAAGTGCTCATGAATTCTAGGTAATTTAAGTTTATACATATCAGAAAATATTACCAAAAGCTTCCAACCATTTCTCTCTTCTCTCTCTCTCTACATACATTCTCATTCTCTCTCTCTCTCCCTCCCTCAAAAAGTATCTCTGCAGCATTTCACACAAGAAATTAATTAAATCCCATTGATTCTTTCTGGGAAATATGCTACTGAGCAGGAACATCCACTTAAGATGAAAAATACTAAAGGTGAGGAAGAGAAGCAAAAGTTTAGGATAATCTTCATGCTGGATTATAACTTAAATCCTGAATAACCTGGATTTGGCTGAACTTCACTCTTTTTTATGTTGTTTTCTTTTTTCAAATAAACTTCAAGGCATGAGATCGTGGTACTAAAATAGAAATACAGTGGAATCATGTTATTGCAAAAATTTGGCAAAGCTACTGGTGAAATCATGTCCCCTGAAACATAACAATGACATACAGTAAAAGCACAATTCATTTCAATGTGCCCATAAAGAGAGTGTTAGCTGTTCCTCAGAGTCTACACTGTAAAAGGGTTTCAGCATATTTAGTGAACCAACATTCAACTCAGTAATTCTTATCTTGCCAATAGCATATGTGGTATGTTAAAATCCACCTCTCAGTAAATTGCCGTGTGGCATATAAAATGTATTAAAAGTACACGAAGCAAAGTTGTTCTAAGGGTCTGCATTTCATTTTGATGTCTGATCATCGGTGTATTATTTTCCTGTTCTATTATTGTTATTATTTAATTTGTCTATGGTGCTTGATCTTGATGGGGAGAGGAGAAAGAGAACTAGTGGGTGGGATTTTTTTTGACATGTATCAAAGGGGTGATAGACAAAAATAGAGCTGAGATTGTTAAGCCTCAACACACCATGCCTTCTGACACCAAGATTTGTCCATGCCACCAGATTGCTGGGATTTTGCCTCCTGCTCACAATCTAATTACCAGGCTCCAAACACAAATGTGCTAGCATCCCACACAGAACATTAAGTTGATGCTGCTGAGCCAGCCTGCACTGAGGCACAGGGTGACAGGAGTTTCCAGGTTTCTTTCACTGCTTGCTTCCAGTTACATGGTTCCATAGCCCCAACCTCTGCTGGCACAACCAGATTCCTTCCACTGAGCACCATATCATTTCACTCCAGTTAGGTGCAAAGGAATATATCTGAGAACGTGTGAGAAGCCCACAGATTTTCCAAGCCTGTGTTTAAAGCATTTGTGAAGACAAAAAGAAGTGAGATGGCTTACATGTTCCATTCAGTGACATGAATTATCTACGGTGATGGAGGGCCTGTTCCAGGAGGGAGAGGGGAGTGAAGTTGAGGCACTGGCCACTTCCTGCTCTTGATGTCGCTGGTCCTGAGACTTCTGAGCTGGTGACTTGTCCCATTCCTGTGTGCGAGGTCCACAAATAAGCTGACATCAAAGATTGTTACAGTGAGAAGTAGACGGGCAGCTCAGTTTAGGATGAGGAGTGGAGAGAGAAGAAAGGAAGTCATTTCCATATAACAGTTGTTTAAAGGAAATTTAAAGCAGATGCTTCCAAGACTGGACACTAGACAGAAACTAGGCCTTTGGGGAGGCTAATAAAATTCAAGTGATGAAGGTCTTCTTTGGGGAAAAGCTGTGTTTTTCATAGGCCCTATGTGAGACCACAAGAGTCAAAGAATTCACTGGAAATATGAAACTGATTTGCATCATTTCTATGAAGAGGCAGACAAAATGTATGGCAATTTAAATATTTTGTCTTTCAACCACTTAAGATGATACGTCACTGGACACAGTCTGGCATTCAGAGTGTCTTAAGAGAAAAAAGAATGTTCCTAGAAGGTGAATGTACTAAGTCCAGAAATCATAAGACCCAGAAGACACTTGAGGCAAGGAATTTTAAAAGTCAGAATGCACGTGCTAATGCCTTTCCTAGGATCCAACTAGAAAACCTCATTTCCCTTCTTGAATATAACCTTTTCAAGTTTTATTTCTCCAAAATGAAATCTTACTTCCTTCCCAATTTGCTTCTCTCCTGAGTTCAGCAAAATTTGTCTTAGCATGAAGACTACCCAGAAAATTTACCCAGGAGAAACAGATTTATATAAAAGATGATCTTATATTTCATCATGGATAATCCTGTGTCATTCATTCATCACTAAGCAATTAACCCCTATGTACCATATAATATGTTCCATGATACTATCAATGGCCTTCTTTCTCTTCTTGGTAGTTGGGAGTTTTGTGTTAAATCAGAAGTTTTATATGCTTTCTGAGTATTTTGCTTCTCAAAAACTGTATTATTTTTATTTTAATTACAAAAAGGATACATGTTTTGTGTAAGTAAAAAAATATAGCAATACATGAAGAGAAAGCTAAGCCCACCTTCCTAAGGTAACCCATGTTAGTAATTTGGTGTGTATCCTTCTGTTCTTTCCCTCATACTCATACAAGCATATGTTGATGTAGAGAAAAACTGTCTTTATGTTTGGTAATGAGCTCATTCTATAAACATTATTCAGTATCTTGCTTTTCTTTGCTTTTTTTCCACAGCAGAATATTATAGACCTATTGAAAACACTGGCTTCTCAAATATGGCAAAAAACACTGAATTCCAGAAAACTTTAAATTACTCATATTTGCTTATGGATAGGTAGAAACCTGCTACAATAAGGTAAGAAAATACCAATTGTAATACTAACTAAAATACCCAGATTCAAAGTTATTTTCTTTAAAGAAATAAACTGTCTATTTTAGCAAAATAAGTTTAAAGGAAGGGAGGTCCCATAGAATGTTTAACACTCATTTCTTTCCCTCTTTCTTTTAAATATCTTTCTCAGAGACTGGCACCTGAATCATTTCCTACCCCTAAACTTTAATTGTTTTCATTTGCTTATGAACTTTAAATTGTTCATATTTGCTTATGGATAGGTAGAAACTTGCTACAGTAAGGTAAGGAGATACCAATTGTCCCCTTTCTTCAAAATACTTCCTCTGGCTTCTGAAGCTCTGTATAAACTGCCCACATTTCTGAAAGTAGTTGAAAAAACTGCCGATGCCCCTGGGAAAGTGAGATCATAGGGAGCCATCGTCATCATCCATGGACATCGGGCTAGGAAGACTGGCTGTCAGTACATAGCTGAGTCCTGAAGGAACACGGGAAAGACTCACAAGTGTTGACAGGAAAGAGGATGGGCCAGTAGGGGTGGGAAATCATTCAGATGCCAGTCCCTGAGAAGGATACTTGAAAGAAAGAGGCAAAGGAATAAGGGTTATAAAAATGCAATGGGACCTCCCTTCCTTTTAACCTATTCTGTTAAAATAGACATTTTATTTGTTTAAAGAAAATAACTTTGAATTTGGATTTTTTTTATATAGTATTGCATCAATGTTAATCTTTCTGAATCTGGTCACTATATTGTTGTTATTTAGGAGACTACCCTTGTTCTTTGGATATGCATAATGAAGTAATTATGGAGAAGGGTAATAGTTATTGCAACTTACTCTCAAATGCTTCCAAAAGGAAAGGGAATAAAGAGGGGAAGGAAGAGGAAGAAGGGGTAAAAGAGAAGAACAGAAAAAAAAAAGGTAATAAGTGTTCCTATAATATTGACTAATTTCTTATTTGCTTCAATGCTTTTTGTTTGTTTCAATGCTTAATCTAAATTAAATTTCTTCATTCTCACTCTTAAAAAGGAAGGAGGAAGAGAACCCAGCACAGAAAGTACAGGAAAACATCATTCCTTAACCTCTTTAAAATTCTTTCATAAAGTAAACCACCTCATTCATCAAAGATGTGATTTTATGTACAATAAAGTATTTTTAAAGGTTTTGCAATTTTGTGGATCTTTCAGAAATTTAGCCAAAAAAATTCAAGAGTGCCATGAGCTCAACTGAACAGACCTTTGAGACAATCAAGTCCAATCCCTTCATCATACATTATGCAAGTAAGCAGACAGGAAAGGAAGAAACTTTTGACAAAATTTCAGAATGGTTTCTAACCATATCTTTTTAGGATTAATTTCCTCTCTAATAGTTATTTTGAAGGCCAAATTCTCATTTTGAGTTACATGGTAAGTACACATTCCATTAACTATGTATTTTTAATGGAGAAAAAATGCTGTCCACATTTATCTGTATATGATAGTTGCTTCAAAATATTGTTTCATGTTAAGTGTCTTTGGTTTGTTTATTTCATGTGTTTTTTTTTTTTAATTAAACTTAAGAGAAGGGAAGTCAGTTATATTGTATCCGTATTTTTACTGACCATGTTCTTTCTTCCTGATGTTCTAAGGGTTCTTCTTTCGGCATTTCTTTTCCATGTAGAGAGCTTCCTTCAGCTGTTCTTTTAAAGCAGATCTGCTGGTGACAGATTCTTAGTTTTTCTTCATCTGAGAAGGCTTTGATTTCCCATTGATTCCTGAAGGATACTTTGACTAAGTATAGGAATTCTAGGTTAACAGTTATTTTCTTTCAGCACTTGAAAAATGTTGCACCACTTCCTTCTGGGATCTATAGTTCCTGGTGAGAAATATGTTGTCATTCAAATTATTTTTTGCCCTGCAAGTAAGGTGTTATTTTTCTGTCACTAAGCACTTTGAAGCTTTTTAAAATTGTCTTTAGATTTCAAGTTTGACTCTATTGTGTCTTCATATGGATGTCTTTGGATTTATCTTCCTTGGAGTTTACCCAGCTTCTCAAATTTGTAGGTTTACATCTTCTGCCAAATTGGGAACATTTTCAGTCATTATTTCTTAAAGTGCTTCTTTAGTCCTATCTCTTTCTTCTCTCTTTCTAGGTCTCTGATTACACATTATATCTTCTATTATATTCTCCCAGGTCCCTAAGGCTCTGTCCTTTTTTTTCAGTTATTATTTTCTCTACATTGTTCTAATTGAGTAATATCTGTTGTTCTGTCTTCCAGTTACCTGATTCTTTTCTCTGTTCCCTCCATACTGCTCTTTAGCCTGTCCATTGTGTTTCTTATATTGATTGTTATATTTTTCAGTTCCAAAATTTCTCATTGAATTATTCTTTATATTTTCTCTTTCTTTCTTGAGACTTTCTATTTATTAAAGTTTTCTGTTTTTACAATTTGTAATTTTAGTATATTCTGTAATGTTTTTAATTGCTTGTTGAGGCATCTTAGGACAGCTGCTATAAAATTCTTGATCATTCTAATATCTCTATCAGCTTAGTGTTGGCAACTATTGATTGTCTATCTTCATTCAGTTTCAGATCTTCCTGGTTCTTGGTTTAAGAAGTGATTTTCATTTGAAACATGGACAGTTTGGGTATTAAAAGACTCAAGATGTTATTTAAACCTTCTGTTTTAGCTGTTTTCTTCTGACACAGTCCTGGCAGGGAAAGTAGGGTGCCACCTCATTCCTAGCCAATGAAGGTAAAAGTCCAGGTTGTCACTTAGCTTCCATTGCCACATTGGGGTGGGGGATGCCACTTGTTACCGCTGGACAGAGGTAGGAGCTGCTTCTCCCCACCTGAGCTCCTCTAATACCAAGGGAGCAGGGTGGCCACAAGTGGTGGTAAAAGTCCTGACTCTCCACTAAGCTTTTTCTGACACTACTGCACCAGTGGCTGTGGGTGGAAGTCTAGAATCCCCATGTAGTCTCCACTGACATCAAAAGTAGAGGAAAAAGGAGGCAGAGGGAATACTCAGTGTGGATGAAACTCCCAGCTCCCTGCTCAGATTTTTCTGACATCACCCCAGTGGAGGTGGCATACAACACTTCACTATCCCTCTGAAGGGAGCAAATCTATGCTCCCCACTTGGCCTTTGCTGGTGGGAGTGAGGTTGGAGCCGCTGTATTTTTCTGTAGCATTGGCTGGAGTACAGCAGTTATTGTCAAAGTTTTCTATCTTGCTAGGCTGCCTATTGGCTGGCCTTTGGCTAGAGAAAGTAGGCTTTTGGAAGGGACATTTTTGTCTGCTCCTATTGGCATTTCCAGGTTGCTGGCTTTGTTAGTTTCAAGTCTCAGATACGTGAGGCCAAAAGAAAACCCAGGGAACTTTCCACAGTGTTGTTTCTTGGGTTCCAAGTTCCCTAGTTCTGCCTTCTTCTCTTGACCTTTAGAGTCTTCTTTTGTTTGTGTTACATATTTTGTTCAGGGTTTTTGTTTTGTTTTGTTTTGTTTTGCTTTTGGAGATGGAGTCTCGCTCTGTCACCCAGGCTGGAGTGCAGTGGTGCGATCTGGGAAGAGTATATCTATTTCATATTCCCGAAAACAGAAGTCCATTTTAGGTGAGGTTATTTTTTTTTAATTTTTTATTTCCATAGGTTTTTGGGGAACAAGTGGTATTTTATTACATGAGTAAGAACTTTAGTGGTGATTTGTGAGATTTTGGTGCACCTGAGCAGTATACACTGAATCCAGTTTGTATTCTTTTATCCCTCACCCCTCCCACCCTTTCGCCTGAGTCCCCAAAGTCCATTGTATCCTTCTTATGCCTTTGCATCTTCATAGCTTATCTCCCACTTATGAGTGAGAACATACAATGTTTGGTTTTCCATTCCTGAGTTACTTCCCTTAGAATAATAGTCTCCAAGTTGCTATGAATGTCATTAATTCATTCCTTTTTATGGCTGAGAAGTACTTAGGTGAGGTTATTTTAAAGTAATTAATATTGAGTAAAGAAGATTCATCCATAGTGGCAAAGCCACATAACTTCTGAGTATCTTAAACTATGTCTAAATGGTACCAAAACATGCAGTCAATTCTAAAAGTTCAGCTAATGATATTTAATAATATAGAAAAATATTCACAATGTATTTTTGTGTAAAAAAGGAGATTTTAAAATGGAATATGTATTATGATTCCAATCATGTAAAAGTTATACATGAACACATACAAAGATTAACAGATATAAACAAAGGGATGAATGAATGGAGAGATAGATGATAGATTGAGTAGCGGTAGAGAATAACAGTTTTTTAAAAAAAGTTTTTGCCTTTCTGTATTTTCAAAACCATCTAAATTAATAAGCATTACCTTTGTAGTTAGAAAAGAATATGTATTTTAAACCCATAATTCAACTATTTATCTGCATGATGCCAAACTAGCTTAGGTTGAATTATCAGCCTGTGAATAAAATAGTTCCTTCATCCCTAGAGAAACATCCATTTATAACATTCTTTGAATTCCTCTTCTACTAGAATTCTTTATGAATTTAAAATAGAAACATGATCAGACTCAAGATTTCAATACAAAGATTACTTTTTCATGTTCAATAATAAGCAATTAAAAGAATTAATGAAAAATCTGATTCATAGTATCAACAAAAGCTGTGAAATTCTAAGAACAAAAATAAAAAGAGTTATGTGTAAGACCTAGAAATATAAAGAAAACCATAAAACATTAGTGAAGTAAATATAAAAGACCTAAGTTAATGGAGAGACATAGTATGTTGCTATTGATGAAGGATTAATATGCCAATTTTTTCCATATTAATAGATGAATTCTATGTACAATTCCAACAAAAAATATAAAACATTTTTATGAGAAGGTAGCTATTATGTTTCTTCTACAGTTCTTCTGAAAAAATTAATAAATACTGGCAATACACTTTTTTTCTTACAAAGAAGAATGAGAGAGTGCTTAGTTTACCACAAATCAAAAGATACTATAAAGGTACCACAAAACTAATATAAATAGCTGCATTAGAATAAACAATTTAGTGAACAAAATAGATGCATCATTAGACAAAAATATAGGAATGTAGTATTTCATAAAAGTGGCATTTCAAGTTAGAGGGAAACTGTAGATTGTTTAATATTGGGAAAGTTGGCTAATAATTTCAGAAAAATAGAATATTATACTCTGCTTCAAATCAAATTTGTAAGAGGGCTCCAGTTAAGATTTAAACACTTTTAAATGTTATATTTTACAAGAAAATATATGAGACGATTTTACATTCTTGAAGTAAGAAAGGCTTTTAAATAATTACCCAAACTCACTAGTTATAAAGTCAATGGTTGATGTTCAACTTCATAAATATTTAAAATGTGTTTGTGTTGAAAGACTCCATAAGCAAAGCCAAATGACAAAAAAAACTAGGAGAAAGTATTTTAACACATATAACAAACTAAATTTAATAATTTAACATTCATAAAATATGAAAAATCCCTACCATTAGAAAGTAAGTAAACAATCCAATAGATAAACAAACAAGGCACAGATATCATAGAAAAAGAAATATACATGGCTAATTATGCAGTGAAAAGATTATTAGTGTCACTAATATCAAAGAAAAGTATGTTGAAAAGAATGAAGTGTTATTTTCATCTATCATATTGGCAAAAATTTTATAGAATTCATTGTTAAGGACACCTTGAAATGAACATTTTCATATACTGTTGCTAGGAGTTTAAATGTAGTAATTTAAATTTTACTTTTTAGAGGATATTCTTATAGAATTTATTAAAGTTTCAAATGCATACATCTGGAACTCAGCAATCCCACTTGAAAAAACTCACCCTACAGAAATATGAGAGTATGTTTACAAAGATTTATATGTGAGTTAGTTCACTGCAGCACTGTTTATGTATAACAACAACAAATTGCTAGCAACCAACATCCATCTACAATTAGGAGACAGTTAAATAAACAAAGTTACCTTTAAAAACAGTATGCAGCTGCTTGAAAAATAAGATAGTTCTTTATATACTGACCTGGAAATAACTTCACGATATACAATTAAGTGGAAAACAGGAAGTTGCAGAAAAATACAATTATTGTGTATAATTCACATGCTCCCAAATTCTCCAAACTTATTCTGGCTCACATTTCCTTTAATGGCTAAATAACCATTTCCTTCCTGTTTGAAGAAGTTCAGTCTTCCATCAGATTCCTCTCCCTAGGTATTTCTGAGGAATCTCTGGAGAATACCTCTAGGTTCCATGAGTCCTTCCTGGTTTATAGCTTCTTACCTCAGCCAGCAATCTTGTTTTGGATCCTGTCTCTCTCCCTGAGGTGTCTTCTTAGACTCTTGCAACCAAGTCTTCAACTGCAGTCATTTCTCACTCTAAACGTGGAATTTGATCTCAGTCTTATTCTCAAATGTAACTGCAACCAGGCAGTCAGATTAATAAAGATGTACTGAAGGCCTGAGAATAAAAGAACATAATTATAAAGTAGAAAAGAGTAATAATAAATAATAAACACTTGTATAACATACTGTTCTAAGTATAAAAGATACATGCATACATACATACATACATACATACATACATACATACATACATAGACACATAGACAGATTACTCCTCACAATAGCCCTAGGGGGTGAATACTACTATTAGCCTCATATAATAGACTTGGAAACTGAGGCATGGAGAGAATACTTTCTTGCCCATGGTTACACAGGCTGCAGACTGTCCCCAGACTCAATGAATACCATTCTGTGTCCCTCACCAGCAGCTCCCTGCCCAGCCATCTCTCCTTATAGTCTTCTGGCCCCAGAAAATCACTAGCACGCTGTCTCTTTCCCATCCCCAAACCCACCTCTGCCCTACAAGGCTCCTCACATTCCTGAGAGATAGAAAGAAATCATTCCATCTCCCAGTCAACATGATCATCTTCTCTGGAAAGATGTGACAGCCCTTTACCTGATTTTGAAGGTAATTCCCCATTCCGTGACAGAATATAGCCAAAGGGGCTACTGAAAATGTCTTCCTAATCCAAAATGCAGTCTAATAAAGCCATATGCCTATACCCAACTGATTTTCAGTAATATAAAAAAAAATTTACACTGGACAAAGGACACCATATTTAATAAATGATGCCAGGAAAATAGGATATCCATATGCAAAAGAATGAAACTGGATCCATATCTTTCACTATTAAAAAAAAAAACCCTAGATGGATTAAAGACTTAAATATAAGACACAAAACTATAAAACTTCTAGAAGAAAACCTAGGAAAATCTCTTCTGGACATTGGCCTAGGCAAAGAATTTATGACCATGTCTTCAAAAGCAAATGCAACAAAGACGAAAATAGACAAATGAAACTTAATTAAACTAAAAAGCTCTGGCCGGGCACGGTGGCTCACGTCTGTAATCCCAGCATTTCGGGAGGCCGAGGCGGGCAGATCACGAGGTCAGGAGATCGAGACCATCCTGGCTAACACGGTGAAACCCCGTCTCTACTAAAAATACAAAAAAAATTAGTGGGGTGTGGTGGTGGGCGTCTGCAGTCCCAGCTACTCGGGAGGCTGAGGCAGGAGACTGGCATGAACCCGGGAGGCGAAGCTTGCAGTGAGCAGAGATTGTGCCATTGCACTCCAGCCTGGGCAACAGAGCGAGACTCCGTCTCAAAAAAAAAAAAAAAAAAAAGCTCTCCACAGCAAAAGACACAATCAACAGAGTAAACAAACAACCTACGAAATGAGATAAACTATTTGCAAACTATGCATCCAACAAAGGGCTAATATCCAGAATCTACAAGGAGCTCAAACAACTCCACAGGAAAGAAACAAATAACTCCATTAAAAAGTGGGCAAATGACATAAATAAACATTTTTCAAAAGAAAACATGAAAGCAGTCAACAAACATATGAAGAAATGCTCAACATCACTAATCATCAGAGAAATGCAAATTAAAACCACGAAATAAAATCTTAGACCAGTCAGAATGGCTGTTATTAATTAAAAAGTCAAAAAACAAGAGATGTTGGCAAGGATGCAGAGAAAAGGGCACACTTATACACTGTTGGTCAGAATGTAACTTAGTACAACCTTTCTGGAAAATAGCATGGAGATTTCTCAAAAAACTAAAAAATAGAAAAACCATTTGATCTACCAATCCCATTACTGGGTAAATATCCAAAGGGAAAAAAATAATCAGATCAAAAAGATACCTGCACTTACACATTTAGATGATTGGACAAAGAAAATGTGATATTTATATATCATGTAATATTACTCAGACATAAAAAAGAATAAAAATCATGCTTTTTTGCCCCAACCTGGATAGAACTAGAGATCATTATTCTAATTGAAATAACTCAAAAACAGAAAGTCAAATACTGCATGTTCTCTCTAGCTAAACAATGAATACACATTCACATACAGAGTGGAATAATAGACATTGGAAACTACAAAGGGTGGGCGAGTGGGATGAGGGTGAAGGTTGAAAAATTACCTTTTGGGTACAATTTTCACTATTCGAGTGATGGGTTCACTAAAAGCCCAGATTTCACCACTAGGCAATTTATGAATGTAAGAAATCTGCACTTGTGCCTGCTAGATCTATTTTTTAAATTTAAGATACAATAAATTTGAAAAAGAAAGAAAAAATGAATATTTTAAAAACAAAAAAACAAAAATGCAGTCTAACACTGCTCCCTCTGGATAAATGGCAAACTGTTGAATCTTTGAAAGCATAGAGTCCCTTGCTTCTGGTCATCAAGGCTTCCAGAATACTAGAGTCTGGTCTCAAAGCAACCCATTCTATTAATAACAAAATGGATAAATCAATTTTTTTAAATATACTTATTTTATAGAAAGAAAAGTTCAGAATAACACAGAAAGGTAGTAACAGTGATTACCTCTGAGAACTAGGATTGAATGGAAAGAGGATTTTTACTTTTCATTATATATACTTGTATTATTTGTTGTGTTAAACATAATTACTTTAAACTTAATTAAACTAACAGCTTTAACTTAAATTTAAATTAACTAAAAATTATATTATTTAAACGTATGTGGAAATGTGATCATTCTGACCATATGTATATAATATCAAGAAATAAAAAATTAAGTGGATAAAATCTGACTGTAGTATAACAAACAGTTCTTTTGTATTTTAATTTTTTTCATTTTGCTCACCAAATATTTTAATATCATATTTGAAAGAGACCAACTCTATGTTCCCAATTACAACAGATTATCAATTCTTGGAGCAGATAATAGATCTTCACCCTTGGTAATTAAAAAGCAAGGGCTATTTTTGATGTTATGTTGGATGCCAGGGGACCCAGGGGTTTCAGCCCATAGAAAACCAACCGAGCCTCACTCAGCAAGTAGAGGTGGGGATTAAATTCCCCACATTGACTTCCCCTGGCCCCTGAACTCCAGTCACACCGCTGAAGCCTGACTGACACCATGTGCTCCAGAGAAAGGGCCTGCCAACCCCAACAAGGTGAGGAAGATCACAAAAGTCCTCGAATTCTTGGCTGAGCCAGCTGATTTAACAGTCTCTTTATAGATGATGTTTTTATTTTTGATCCTATAACCCAGAAATTTGATTTTCTTGGAATAGAAAATTTGAATGTGGGTGGGCCTACTTATTTCATATTCCCTCTCTCTCTCTCTTTCTCTCTCTCTCTCTCTCTCCCTCTCTCTCTCTCTCACACACACACACACACACACACATGCACCCTTGTGTCATAGGCTCAAGTCTTTTTCTCCAAGCGTTTGCTTCTCTCTGGAGGTCCTGCTCCCCCTCTGTTCCCCTCAGAGCCTTCCTTGATGACTCTCTTCACTCCCATAAATGGTTCTATCCATCCTACACCCAGCAATTGCCCAAATCACTTCATGGCATCAAGATGACAACAGTAAACAAGCAGAATCATCTTAACATCTTAAGGATGGACGGAGGTCAACTGTGTCTAAATTCACTGTTATTTTTAAATGACTGTTTTCCAACACTGATAACTCTCCCCTAAAAGGACAACAAATCCTCAGCATTTCTGACAACTACACTGAGTCTGTTGGAATACAGTTTCAGCGTTCTTCTACACTTTCCATTTCTTTCTCCTCTCCTTACCCATGTGGCCAAAGAGATACTATGAAATGATTTTCTCGAAGATTTTATTCCAGTCACCATAATCTAGACACAGAGAGCAAGAGGTTAAGGAGTGAATCTCATCCCTAATCACAGTCTTACTCCCAGCCATCCCCTCTGACTCCCCCACACATAGTTTGTATATAAAGCAAAATGTAGGTTTGGTAGGGAAAAGGGCCATAGAACCACAATAGCTGTGAAAACTTAAGTCAAGTCCCCTGCCTTCTTTGCACCACAGTTCCTTATAGTTAGTTATTAAAGCCATTCATAAATAGTCCTCTTCTTCTCTCCTAGTTACATGCTAGAATTTTCTGTCCTTGCTCCCTCTAAAGTTAGGCATAGCCATATGACTTGTTTTGTCTGACAAAATGTGAGCAGAAATGCCACACATCACTTTCAAGTGAAAACTCTCAGAACCAGTGCACGAGATTCCATTTTTCTTCCTCAGAGATCAAGGAAACGTAGTTCAAGATGGGCTCTTTGTCAGCCTTGATCCCTGTATGACTTCAGTGAGGAGAGGCCCCTCTTCCACCCCATGTGGTAGAACTTACAATTTAAATGACTGAGATTTGAGAGTTATTTGTTTTGTAACATAGCCCAATTCATCCTGACTGACACATTATTTATCTATAAAATGGAGTGATGATAATAACACCTAAAAACACCCAGTGTTGCCCTGAAGATCAAATAGATGACTCTCACACAGCACTCAAGCAGCATGCGGCATGTAGTAAATGCTGGATAACTGTTGGTTATCATTCCTTCTAGAAGACACCTCCAGCAAGCCAAACAGATGATTAGAAGCAGATCAAAGGTGTTGTCTTACAGCTAACGTTGAACAACAGCAACAGAAGTATAACTCAGCACCACTCAGAATCATTCTCAAGAGAAAATTCTCCAGACTTCCCCATCCCCATCTCCTCACTGATAACCAGTTACCACCTTATGCTCACTTCTGGCCTGCCCACACAACTCACCCTCATGATGGACATGCCCTTCCCCCACTTCTTCACCTTCTCGGGATGTCTTCCCTGACCAATGTCGACTCATGCAGATTATCCCATATCATACAGCAAACCACTCTTTCAAATGCATATCTTCTGTATGGACTGTATGCATTTCCACATAGCTTTCCTCAAAATAAAAATCTCTATTTTGTAATTGCCTGATTTTCATTTAAAGACAGGAATCATGTGCTTTGTTTCTCTGATGCTTTGCCATTTCCATAGATCCCTCAACATCCCCTCACCATCATTTCACATGAATCCTTAACCCACCCGTTCTGTGGCAGAGACTGGCATTTAGCAGATACTCCATTAATGCTGTCTCCCAACTGGTTTAACATGTGCCAAGATCCACAAAACAAGGTGAAACTAAGGAGGACTTACTGTCAGAGGTGTTTGAGCTAGATCAATTTCATCTTGAATAGGAGCCAGATAAAATGAGGCTGAAACCTACTGGGCTGCATTCCCAGATGGTTAGGCGTTCTAAGTTTCAGGGTGAGATAGGAAGTCAGCACAAGATACAGGTCATACAGCATACATGTTTGCTGATAAAACAGGTTGCAGTAAAGAAGCCAGCTAATTCCCACCAAAACTAAGATGGCAATGAGAGTGAGCTCTGGTCGTCCTCACATCTACATTCCCACCAGCACCGTGACAGTTTACAAATGCCATGGCAACATCGAGAAGTTACCCTGTATGGTCTAAAAAGGGGAGGCATGAATAATCCACCCCTTGTTTAGTATATAATCAAGAAATGACCATAAAAATGGGCAACCAGCAGCCCTCAAGGCTGCTCTGTCTATGGAGTAGTCATTCTTTTATCCCTTTACTTTCCTAATAAACTTACTTCACTTTACTCTATGGACTCACCCTGGATTCTTTCTTGTGCAAAATCCAAGAACTCTCTCTTGGGGTTTGGATCGGGATTCCCTTCCTGTAATGTTAGCAGTGATTAATCATCAAGGTGATTGCAAGGCTTCTTTCACCTACAACAGGATTTCTTTTTTTTTTTTTTAAATTATACTTTAGGTTCTGAGATACGTGTGCAGAACGTGCAGGTTTGTTACATAGGCATACATACACGTGCCATAGTGGTTTGCTGCACCCATCAACCCGTCACCTACATTAAGTATTTCTCCTAATGCTGTCCCTCCCCTAGCCCCCCACCCCTCGACAGGCACTGGTGTGTAATATTCCCCTTCCTGTGTCCATGTGTTCTCATTGTTTAACTCCCACTTATGAGTGAGAACATGATGTGTTTGGTTTTCTGTTCCTGTGTTAGTTTGCTGAGAATAATGGTTCCCAGCTTCATCCATGTCCCTGCAAAGGACATGAACTCATCCTTTTTATGGCTGCATAGTATTCCATGATGTATATGTGCCACATTTTCTTTATCCAGTCTATCATTGATGGGCATTTGGGTTGATTCCAAGTCTTTGCTATTGTGAACAGTGCCGCAATAAACATACGTGTGCATGTGTCTTTATAGTGAATGATTTATAATCCTTAGGGTATATACCCAGTAATGGGATTGCTGGGTCAAATGGTATTTCTACTTCTAGAACCTTGAGGAATTGCCACACTGTCTTCCACAATGGTTGAACTAATTTACACTCCCACCAACAGTGTAAAAGTGTTCCTATTTCTCCACATCCTCTCCAGCATCTGTTGTTTCCTGGTTTTTTAATGATCATCATTTTAACTGGCATGAGATGGTATCTCATTGTGGTTTTGATTTGCATTTATCTAATGACCAGTGATGATGAGATTTTTTTCATATGTTTGTTGGCCACATAAATGTCTTCTTTTGAGAACTGTCTGTTCATATCTTTTGCCTACTTTTTGATTTTTTTTTGTAAGTTTGTTTAAGTTCCTTATAAATTCTGGATATTAGCCCTTTGTCAGATGGATAGATTGCCAAAATTGTCTCCGATTCTGTAGGTTGCCTGTTCACTCTGATGATAGTCTCTTCTGCTGTGCAGAAGCTCTTTAATTAGACCCTATCTATCAATTTTGGCTTTTGTTGTCATTGCTTTTGGTGTTTTAGTCGTGATGTCTTTGCTCATGCCTATGTCCTGAAGGGTATTGCCTAGGTTTTCTTCTAAAGTTTTTATGGTTTTAGGTTTTACATTTAAGTCTTTAATCCATCTTGAGTTAATTTTTGTATAAGATGTAAGGAAGGTGTCCAGTTTCAGTTTTCTGCATATGGCTAGCCAGTTTTCCCAACACCACTTATTAAATAGGGAATCGTTTCCCCATTGCTGGTTTTTGTCAGGTTTGTCAAAGATGAGAGGGCTGTAGATGTGTGGCATTATTTCTGAGGCCTCTGTTCTGTTCCATTGGTTTATATATTTATTTTGGTACCAGTACCATGCTGTTTTGGTTACTGTATCCTTGTAGTATAGTTTGAAGTCAGGTAGCATGATGCCTCCAGCTTTATTCTTTTTGCTTAGGATTTTCTTGCATATATGTGCTCTTTTTTGGTTCCAAAAGAAATTTAAAGTAGTTTTTTCTAATTCTGTAAAGAAAGTCAATGGTAGCTTGATGGGGATAGCATTGAATCTATAAATTGCTTTGGGCAGTGTGGCCATTTTCAAGATATTGATTCTTCCTATCCATGAGCATGGAATGTTTTTCCATTTGTTTCTGTCCTCTCTTATTTCCTTGAGCAGTGGTTTGTAGTTCTCCCTGAAGAAGTCCTTCACATCTCTTGTAAATTGTATTCCTAGGTATTTTATTATCTTTGTAGCAATTGAGAATGGGAGTTCACTTATGATTTGGCTCTCTGTTTGTCTACTATTGGTGTATAGGAATGCTTGTGATTTTTGCACATTGGTTTTGTATCCTGAGACTTTGCTGAAGTTGCTTATCAGCTTAAGGAGACTTTGGGCTGAGACGATGGGGTTTTCTAAATATACAATCATGACATCTGCAAACAGAGACAATTTGACTTCCTCTTTTCCTAATTGAATAGGCTTTATTTCTTTCTCTTGCCTGATTGCCCTCGCCAGGACTTCCAATACTATGTTGAATAGCAGTGGTGAGAGAGAGCATCCTTGTCTTGTGCCAGTTTTCAAACGGAATGCTTCCAGCTTTTGCCCATTCAGTATGATATTGGCTGTGGGTTTGTCATAAATAGCTCTTATTATTTTGAGATACGTACCATCAATACATACTTTATTGAAAGTCTTTAAGCATGAAATGGTGTTGAATTCTATCAAAGGCCTTTTCTGCATCAATTGAGATAATCATGTGGTTTTTGTAATTTGGTTCTGTTTATGTGATGGATTACATTTATTGATTTGCATATGTTGAACCTGCCTTGCATCCCAGGGATGAAGCTGACTTGATCGTGGTGGATAAGCTTTTTGATGTGCTGCTAGATTCAGTTTGCCAGTATTTTATTGAGGATTTTCATATCAATGTTCATCAGTAATATTGGCCTGAAATTTTCTTTTTTTGTTGTGTCTCTGCCAGGTTTTGGTATCAGGATGATGCTGGCCTCATAAAATGAGTTAGGGTTGGAATAATTTCAGAGAGAATAGTACCAGCTCCTCTTTGTACCTCTGGTAGAATTCAGCCATGAATCTGTCTGGTCCTGGTCTTTTTTTTGGTTGGTAGGCTATTAATTACTGCCTCAATTTCAGAACTTGTTATTGGTCTATTCAGGGATTCAACTTCTTACCAGTTTAGTCTCCAGAGGGTGTGTGTGTCCAGGAGTTTATCCATTTCTTCTAGATTTTCTAGTTTATTTGTGTCGAGTTGTTTATAGTATTCTCTGATGGTAGTTTGTATTTCTGTGGGATCAGTGGTGATATCCCCTTTATCATTTTTTGTTGTGTCTATTTGATTCTTCTCTTGTTTCTTCTTTATTAGTCTGGCTAGCAGTCTATCAATTTTGTTCATCTTTTTAAAAAACCAGCTTCTGGATTCATTGATTTTTTGAAGGGTTTTTTGGCATTTCTATCTCTTTCAGTTCTGCTCTGATCTTAGTTATTTCTTGTCTTCTGCTAGCTTTTGAATTTGTTTGCTCTTGCTTCTCTAGTTCTTTTAATTGTGATGTTAGAGTGTCAATTTTAGATCTTTCTCACTTTCTCTTGTGGACATTTAGTGCTATAAATTTTCCTCTAAACACTGCCTTAGCTGTGTCCTAGAAATTCTGGTACATGGTATCTTTGGTCTTATTGGTTTCAAATAACTTATTTATTTGTGCTTTAATTTCGGTATTTACCCAGAAGTCATTCAGGAGCAGGTTGCTCAGTTTCCATGTAGTTGTGTGGTTTTGGGTGAGTTTCTTAATCTTGAGTTCTAATTTGATTGTGTTGTGGTCTGAGGGACTATTTGTTATGATTTCCGTTCTTTTGCATTTGCTGAGGAGTGTTTTACTTCCAATTATGTGGTCAATTTTAGAATAAGCGTGATGTGGTGCTGAGAAGAATGTATAGTCTGTTTGGGGTGAAGAGTCCTGTAGATGTCTATTAGGTCCACTTGGTCCAGAGCTGAGTTCAAGTCCTGAATATCCTTGTTAGTATTCTGTCTCATTGATTTGTCTAATATTGACAGTGGGGTGTTAAAATCTCCCACTATTATTGTGTGGGAATCTAAGTCTCTTTGTAGGTCTCTAAGAACTTGCTTCATGGATCAGGGTGCTCCTGTATTGGGTGGATATCTATCTCGATGGTTAGCTCTTCTTGTTGCATTGATCCCTTTACCATTATGTAATGCCCTTCTTTGTATTTTTTGATCTTTGTTGGTTTAAAGTTTGTTTTATCAGAGACTAGGATTGCAAACTCTGCCTTTTTTTCTCTCTATTTGCTTGGTACTTATCCCTCCATTCCTTTATTTTGAGCCTATGTGTGTCTTTGAATATGAGATGGGTCTCCTGAATACAGCACACTGATGGGTCTTGACTCTTTATCCAATTTGCCAGTCTGTGTCTTATAACTGGGGCATTAAGCCCATTTACATTTAAGGTTAATATTGTTATGTGTGAATTTCATCCTGTCATTATGATGTTAGCTGGTTATTTTGCCCGTTAGTTGATGTAGTTTCTTCATAGTGTTGATGGTCTTTACAATTTGGTATATTTTTGCAGTGGCTGTTACTGGTTTTTCCTTTCCATATTTAGTGCTTCCTTCAGGAGCTCTTGTAAGGCAGGCCTGGTGCTGACAAAATCCCTCAGCATTTGCTTTTCTGTAAAAGATTTTAATTCTCTTTTCCTTATGAAGCTTAGTCTGACTGGATATGAAATTCTGGGTTGAAAATTCTTTCTTTAAGAATGTTGAATATTGGCCCCTACTCTCTTCTGGCTTGTAGGGTTTCTGCAGAGAGATCTGCTGTCAGTCTGATGGGCTTCCCTTTGTGGGTAACCCGACTTTTCTCTCTGGCTGCCCTTAACATTTTTTCCTTCATTTCAAAATTGGTGAACCTGACTATTATGTGTCATGGAGTTGCTCTTCTCAGGGAGTATCTTTGCGGTGTTCTCTGTATTTCCTGAATTTGAATGTTAGCCTGTCTTGCTAGATTGGGGAAGTTCTCCTGGATAATATCCTGAAGAGTGTTTTCTAACTTGGTTCCATTCTCCACATCACTTTCAGGTACACCAATCAAACGTAGTTTTGGTCTTTTCACATAGTTCCATATTTCTTGGAGGCTTTTTTCATTTTTTTTCCCTAATCTTGTCTTCACACTTTATTTCATTAAGTTGATCTTCATTCTCTGATATCCTTTCTTCTGCTTGATCAACTCAGCTATTGATACTTGTGTATGCTTCATGAAGTTCTCATGCTGTGTTTTTCAGCTCCATTAGGTCATTATGTTTTTCTCTAAATTGGTTACTCTAGTTAGCAATTCCTCTAACCTTTTTTCAAGGTTCTTAGCTTCCTTGTCTTGGGTTAGAACACGCTCCTTTAGCTCGAAGGTGTTTGTTATTACCCACCTTCCAAAGCCTACTTCTGTTGATTCATCAAACTCATTCTCTGTCCAGTTTTGTTCCCTTGCTGGTGAGGAGTTGTGATCCTTTAGAGGAAAAGAGGCATTCTGGTGTTTGGAATTTTCAGCCTTTTTGCACTGGCTTTTCCTCATCTTCGTGGATTTATCTACCTTTGGTCTTTGATATTGGTGACCTTCAGATGGGGTTTTTGAGTGGACATCCTTTTTGTTGATGTTGATGCTCTTCCTTTCTGTTTGTTAGTTTTCCTTCTAAAGTCAGACCCCTCTGCTGCAAGCCTGCTGGAGTTTGCTGGAGGTCCACTCCAGACCCTGTTTGCATGTGTATCAGCAGCAGAGGCTGTAGAACAGCAAAGATTGCTGCCCGTTCCTTCCTCTGGAAGCTTCGTCCCAGAGGGGCACTCGCTAGATTCCAGCTGGAGCTCTCCTGTATGAGGTGTCTGTCGATCCTGCTGGGAGGTGTCTCCCAGTCAGGAGGCATGGGGTGCAGGGACCTACTTGAGGAGGCAGTCTGTCCCTTAGCAGAGCTCGAGCGCTGTGCTGGGAGATCGGCTGCTCTCTTCAGAGCCAGCCAGCAGGAATGTTTAAGTCTGCTGAAGCTGTGCCCACAGCCACCCCTTCTCCGACATGCTCTGTCCCAGGGAGATGGGAGTTTTATCTATAAGCACCTGAATGGGGCTGCTGCCTTTCTTTCAGAGATGCCCTGCCCAGAGAGGAGGAATCTAGAGAGGCAGTCTGGCTACAGCAGCTTTGCTGAGCTGAAGTGGGCTCCACCCAGTTCAAACTTCCTGACAGTTTTGTTTACACTGTGAGGGGAAAACTGCCTACTCAAGCTGCAGTAATGGCAGACACCCCGCTCCCCACCAGGCTCGAGCATCCCAGGTCGACTTCAGACTGCTGTGCTGGCAGCAAGAATTTCAAGCCAGTGGATCTTAGCCTGTTGGGCTCCATGGGGGTGGGATCTGCTGAGCAAGTCCACTTGGCTCCCTGGCTTCAGCCCCCTTTTCAGGGGAGTGAATGGTTCTGTCTTGCTGGCGTTCCAGGCACCAGTAGGGCATGAAAAAAAACTCCTGCAGCTACCTCAGTGTCTGCCCAAACAGCCGCCCAGTTTTTGTGCTTGAAACCCAGGGCCCTGGTGCTGTAGGCACCCAAGAGAATCTCCTGGTCTGTGGGTCATGAAGACCATGGGAAAAGCATAGTATCTGGGCCGGAATGCACAGTACCTCATGGCACAGTCCCTCATGGCCTCCCATGGCTAGGGGAGGGAGTTTCCCAATCCCTTGTGCTTCCTAGGTGAGGTGACACCCCACCCTACTTCTGTTCACCCTCCATGGGCTACACCCACTGTCTAACCAGTCCCAGTGAGATGAGCTGGGTACCTCAGTTGGAAATGCAGAAATCACTCACCTTCTGCATTGATCTCACTGGGAGCTGCAGACTGGAGCTGTTCTTATTCAGCCATCTTGCCATTCACCTCAGGATTTTGTACAGTCTGAATGTGGGAGGCCGAGGTGGGCGGATCAACTGAGATCATGAGTTTGAGACCAGCCTGACCAACATGGTGAAACCCCGTCTTTACTAAAAATACAAAAATTAGTCAGGTGTGGTGGCATGTGCCTGTAATCCCAACTAGCTGGGGGCTGAGGCAGGAGAATCACTTGAACCTGGGAGGCAGAGGCTGCAGTGAGCCAAGACCATACCACTGCACTCCAGCCTGGGCAACAGAGCAAGACTCTGTCTCAAAAAACAAAATGAAATAAAACAAAAAGTCATTTTGTAGGTTTGCAAAGCATTTCTCCAAGAGCCCTAAACGATCTGTCACTTTGCTTACCTCAGTACAGTAAGTAAGAAAGTACATGAGAACCTTGGCTACTCAAGCATCACTGGGTTCACCAGAGCAGCAGCAAAGTTTTCTTATAATAACACATTCCACAGCATGGCTACTTCTCCCTTCAGAAATTTGCTGTGTAACTGAGCCTTCCCAGAGCAGGAGAAAGGCAGCTATGGGACAAGGCATGACTCAGTAGTTTCCATAAATCATTTGTTTTTGTTTGTTTGTTTGTGCCAGCAAACTAGCTCTCAACAACCCACTAAAGCGTGGATGAGGAGAGAAGCAACAACAGGAATCCACAGATAACTGCCCAACTGACTTCTGTCTCAGACTTCTCCTTTCTCTTTTAAATAGGCAATGTGCTTTGTTTATGTTTGACAGCTCAGCAGTGGCTAAGCATGTTGGGCACAGAATCTCTTTCACTTCCACATTGCCCAGTTTCCCAGAAACTAGGCTCAGATCTCTTAAGCCACAACAAAGAGATGCCCCTTTAGCAAACTGACCCCCTTTATCACCACAGGAGTTTCTGTATTTTCAAAATGATATTTTCAAAATAGCTATACTATACCACACCTGAGGGAAAAGAGGACATTTTAGACTGCTTGTTTTCAGCCTGAATATATTACCTGTTAGATCCACATGTTTATAAGAGCTAGAAATAATCTGGAAGAATCACCATAGCAGCCCCAACCGCACATTAGCCAGTACCTTCAACATGTGCCCCCATGACTAACGTGACTTACAGGAGATCCACTTCCGTCCTTCCTTGGTAAGGCCCCTTATCCAGACAACCTCACCACTTCCTATTTGGTCAATGAAGAGAATAGATAATGTGTATTACCCCCCTCTGATTGATCAAGTGAATGGACTTTATATGTTTGTGATTTCAAGAGACAGACAGGAAGATAGACATGCATTCACATTGTCTGTCTACACGAAATTGGGGTTAATCATTTTATGTTAGCAAAGCAAAAGTTTTTCATACAAGTGAATGTACATGCACTGATCAGTAAACACATTCTATTTTATTATTAAGTGAAAATGATAAACAGCAATTTTTTAAAAAGCATTGTGCAGTATTCACATATATCAGATCTCTAATAATTGTGGTGCTGACCGTAATCCTCAAAGACACAATCCTGAATGCCATAACTGAATGTTGAAATTCTGAAAGATCAAAATTCCTAAAGTTTAAATTTCTAAAGTTTAAAATCCCTAATGTCTAACTGAATACCCAAAGCTTAACAACAGATTTGGAATTAGGTGCAATCAAGGCTTCTAAAAGTGAATTTCAAGGTGTTATCAATAAAGTTTGTTTTTTCCATTCAGCCCAATGCATTTGTTGGAAAATTCAGATGAGTGAATTGGCCATGCAATATGTTGATGACAACAGCTTTAGTCTAAAAATATGTTATTTGTCTGTATTGGCATTCCTCGCAGCTGATGTAATTATTCCAGGTGTTTTTCATAAATTAAGGCTTCATTTGCCTGAAGAAGCCAGCAAAGTTACTGACTGGTTTGAAAATAATTATACGTACAGTAGGATAAGAAGACATATTAGTGTTTCTGTTCAATCAGCAGTATCGTTTTCACCAAATATGTGGTCTGTAAATGAGTGAATGCAGAATGCATTTCCATATCATTTTGTATCTAAAACAATCTAGAAGCCTGACACAGAAGATGGGAACATTTAATAGGGAATGCTCATGTTAGCATCTATAAAATCATAGGAGAATTTCAAAAAGAGCAGTGCCACATAGAAGATGAATGTGAACGTATTCTTGAGGAGAGCCATGCCCTAAAAGAAACCGAGAAAAGCAGCTATCCATCATGATGCAAGACTTCAAAATACAGTTAATGATCATGAAAGTTGCCCAGCTCTTAGGGACTACCTCCATGCAATTGTCTATCATCTATTCCTGTAATACACTTTTTCATATATCAGGATTTTTTTTTTGGATTTTTTTGGGGGTGTGGGGGAAGTGGGTATGGATTTTTTTGTTTTGTTTGTATAGGTTTTTCCCACTATTTTAAGTTGTCAGCATTATTTTTTAAAATTCACTATACTATGCATTTCATCTTCACATCCTTTCCAATACTGAAGGGATAAATTGTGTAAAGACCTTCACAGAGTTCTAATTCATTTTATACATTTCTTGCAAATTTGACTCCATGGAAGTGCACTATCACCACATTGACTTTGTGTATAAGCATTGTGAGTGTATATAAAAATGTTGAAACTTCCCCAATAAATGAAAAGATGTCCTTTTTGCACATCTGCATTTGTGAAAGATAAAATTTCTCAAGATTTTAGTCCTTTGGGTGACTGTATATATGGAGGTGACCCATAGCAATTTTTGGTTGATCTTGTCAAAAGATCTAATTGTCTATCACAACATTTCAGATGACCACTGTTATATAAACTATTTATTTATGAATACAGTTTATCTGCTTATAAATGTCAATTAGTATACCTGAGTGCTGATGCTTGCACAAATATGTATGCTATTATTTATATGCCTATTTTATTGTGTAAAGTGGCCTATAAAGTGTTCTGTCATGTTTCCCAAATAAATTTTCTTCTAAAGTGTAAATAAACGTCTTTTAAAGAATTTTTAAGTTTTGTTCAGTATTATATTTTCAGGATTTTGATGATCAGGGCTTCAATATTTGAGATTATGGCCTTCAGAATTGTGTCTTTCAAGATTATGGCCCAAACCCAATAAATGCTATCTCCTTAGAGACTCCTTCCCAAACCACTCTACCTAAAATAATGTTACTTTAGGTTCATTACTGTTACTTTCTCTCTCTGTCACTTTCTGTACTCTAACACTACTTTATTTTCTTTACAGAACTTAACATTGTCTAAAATTATTTTGTTTGTCCATTGGCTAATTTATTACTTTTTTCCACTATTGGGGTATGAACTTTAAAAGTAGAAACTTCGTTGAGTTTATGACTTTCTAGGGCCCAAAACAGTTCTTAGCATAGAGTAGATGCTCAGTAAATATTAGCAAATTGGGAGGGGGCATGGGGAATGTTTACATACATATAGAAAATTCTAAACTAGTAAGCAAGAAACTATTGCCAGTGGTTACTTCTGGGGTATTGACCTAAGAAGTCCAAAAACTGGAAGGAGAGCTTTTATTTTTAATTCTATACCTTTGTGAATTACATGACTTTTTACCATGGAGATGTATTTATTTTATAAGAAAGACATTAAAAATAGAAATAAATGTTTGACTATATAAAAATTTAAAATTTCACATGGCAAAAAATATAATAAAGTCAAAAGACAATAGATTAGAAGAAAGAATAATTTCAACACAGCAACCACAAGGGGCACCTAAAAATTGATTGAGAACAGATGAGTCAACAGAAAAATAGGTAAAGAATATGAACAGGCAATTCAGAAAGATAAATTTTAAGAAGGCCAATAAATCAGCAAAAACATACTGATTTCAAGGATGATTCAAGAAATGCAAATTAAGATAAAATACCATTTTTTTATCCATCAGATTGACAAAGTTAAAAATAAACAATACTACTGGCGGGGTGCGGTGGTTCATGCCTGTAATCCCAGCACTTTGGGAGGCCGAGGTGGGTGGATCACGAGGTCAGGAGTTTGACACCACCCTGGCCAACATGGTGAAACCCCGTCTCTACTAAAAATACAAAAATTAGCTGGGCGTGGTAGTAGGTGCCTGTAATCCCAGCAACTCAGGAGGCTGAGGCAGAGAATCGCTTGAACCCGGGAGGCAGAGGTTGCAGTGAGCCGAGATCGCGCCATTGCACTCCAGCCTGGGGGACAAGAGTGAGACTCCGCCTCAAAATAAATAAATAAAATAAACAATACTGATAAGGATGCAAGGAAATGACTTCCCCATGTATTGCTAAGGGTGGGAATGGAGAAGAGAAGTGTGAATTGCTACAAACTTTTTGAAAAGCAATTGTGTGATTCCTATTAAAATTTAAGGCTGGGCATGGTGGCTCATGCCTGTAATCCCAGCACTTTGAAAGGCCAAGGTGAGAGGATCATTTGAGGCCAGGAGTTTAAGACCAGCCTGGGCAAAATGGTGAGACCCTGTCTCTACTTAAAAAAAAAAACAAAAAAACAAAAAAAAAAAAAACATTAAAATGCACACGTCCTTTGACCCAGCAATATTGTTTGAACTCCTTCCTATAGAAATAAAAAGAACATATGCATAGAATTTTTAAAAATGTTAATACAACCCAGTTTTTAACAGCAGAAAAGTGGGAAAAACCCAAAGTCCCATTAATAATCATTTGAATATATATATCCACATAATGAAACATTTTAAATATATTAAAAACTGTGAGTTCAGTCTGTAGTGACTAGAGGACTGTCTATGATACTATGTGAGAAAGGACGTTATAGGGTAATATGTAATTAATAATTTCAGTTTTTGTAAAACGTACACTATTTTCTCCAAAAACCTTACATATACCTATTATATATGTGTATGTGTATGTACATGTGTATATATTAATATATGCACACACTTATATAAACATACACACACATTTACATCTATACACGTGCATACATGTTTTTATGTTTGCATGAATGTGGAGAAAACTGGAAAAGGATATATAGACAGTTTCAAACTTACAGTGGTTCCACAATAATTTTTTTACTTTATGGTGGTGCAAAATCTTTCTGTTTTTCACTTTCTGTGCAGTATTTGATAAATTACATGAGATATTTGATGCTTTATTATAGTCTTTGTACTAAATGATTTTGCCCAACTAGAGGCTAGTACAGGTGTTCTGAGCACATTTAAGGTAGGCTAGGCTAACCATGATGTTCAATAGGTTAGGAGTATTAAGCACATTTTTGACTTTGGGTATTTTGAGTTTACAGTGAGTTTATCAAGAGGTAGCCGTGTTGTAAGTCAACAAACATCTGTTTAAGAAGCTGGTAAAGGCCAGGTGCTGTGGCTCATGCCTATAATCCCAGCACTTTGGGAGGCTGAGGCGGGCAGATCACGAGGTCAAGAGATCGAGACCATCTTGGCTAACACAGTGAAACCCCGTCTCTACTAAAAATACAAAAAATTAGCTGGGCATGGTGGCGGGCACCTATAGTCCCAGCTACTTGGGAGGCTGAGGCAGGAGAATGGCGTGAACCCGGGAGGCCGAGCTTGCAGTGAGCTGAGATTGAGCCACTGCACTCCAGCCTGGGCCACAGAGCAAGACTCCGTCTCACAAAAAAAAAAAAAAAAAAAAAAAAAAAAGAAGCTGGTAATATTAGGACTTTAGAAAAACAGGTTCTAAGTAGGAAGTAGCTGAGGAAAATATTAAAACTTTTTACCTCTTTGAGTTATTTAACCCATTAAATAAGTAAAAAACATTTATTAATTTTAAAAATTAGTATAGGGAAAGATAGCAAAATTAGTTGCAAAGAAAACAAATAGGTTTTCTCATTCACAGCAAAATCTTTTAACCTAGTTCCATGCTGTAGTTTCCCTCTATTGGGAAAAGTCAGCCCTATTATGGACCTGTTTGTCAGGAAGAAAAATTCCCATTGGCTAAGATTTAACCAGTCCCATTCACCCTGACAAATAAGAGGCACAAGACTCTAGCTGTCACAGCATGAGAGTCCACATCCTGATGATCACATTCACCCAACACTCCCCTGGAATTTGAGCAAGGTCCACACCTAGCCAAGAGTGTAGAGGAAACATCACCACTGGCATTCTTGGGTGAACTTTGTTTCTTGGCTCAGATTGTGTGTGTAGCCTCCAGTGTACTCCAACCTTGTTGAAAAACCTCTCCTAGGAGCACTGTGACTTCCGGATATGACCTTTCAAGTCCAGAAGATGTGAGTTGCGCCAGAATTCCCATCCAAAACTGCCTCTGGCCATCCCTGAACTGTCTCAACCTCCACCTCATTCCTTTCACTCCCTCTTTCCAGAATCACTCCACTCAGGGGATTTAGGTGGTGATTTCATTTTTCCTCAGAAAAAACTTTCTCCAGCATGTAGCTCCCCAACATCCCTTCTGCCCTGAAGTCAGAAAAATCCAGAAAGAAAGATGAAGTACACACTTGAGGGAAAAAAATGCTGATTTATAAAGAACAGCTGAGGAAGCTGGGAAACAGTTTTGCTTACTTGAACTGGAAGGCCCCAGAGAATTGCAAATTATTTCATGTCCCTACCAGTGTGCTGATCCAATTAATCCCCTAGAAGTAAAGTTATCAGATACAATATAGGACACCCAGTTAAATTTATATTTCAGATAAATGGTAAGTGATTATTTTAGTATAAACATGTCTCAAATATTGCAGGAGTTCTGTATTTTTGTTTGCTAAATCTGGCAATCTGATCCAGAAGGGAACTGATTATCCTCTTTTTCCTATTCTCAGGATACCTTTATTCTCCATATTAAAATTATTCATTCACAAATGCCTTAGGTCCACTCAAGCATTAGCAACAGCTCCATTATCCCTTATCTCTCAGAAACATGTCTTATTTCACTGAGATAGTGATAGGGAAACGCAGTCTAAATTCACCAATTGCTACTGACACTGCATCTGACAATGATAACAGTTTCCATCCTGAGCAATGTTCCATCAAGGAAACAAGAAGTTTGCCTTGCTTATATTACATGATGACAAGAAAGCCAGCTAATTTATACATCATTTCTTATCAAAACATTGGCAAGCATTTATTTAGATATGGTATTATATCAAAAAATAAAACTCTAGTTCTAGGGAACATTGCTAGGAAGAGGTAATTGGCAATTATTGGGTTTATTTAATGTCTATAAAGAGTTTAATTAGATCATTCAGTTATCAAAGAGATGTGTAAGACCTGCACTGGCCAGAATTCAACTGAAATGTGCTTCATTATCTTTCATGGTATGATCATGCTCCCAGCTCATTTTGGAGAGCATCTGCTGAGAGTGTTGGTGCATTACAATGAGTCATCCCCATTCTCTTGCTAGGTCTCCCTGTGACCAACAACACACAACTGTGGGACTGCAAGCTGGAGCTAAAGCAATTGTCTTTGTGTGAATGTTACAAATATTCATGAGAAAGGTCGGCTTCTGAGATTTAACCATTGGAGTTAACTGGCTGCCACTTAGGCCACATGAATTGACTAATTAGCTAATGTCTACTTTCTTTTGGCTAGTGGATCTTGTTGTTTGGTTGTTGTCTATTAATAGACTATGTTCCTTTTATTTAAAAAAGAAAATTAAAGAAATCATGGATTGATGGAAGGAGAAAAATGGATAAGTGGGAAAGATGATATGTAGAGGAGAAAAAAATGAAAAAGTTGAAATTTAGTATAAAATAAAATGTGTTTAACCATGCCTATTGTGTTGTCCCTCCCCTCCTCTGTTCTTTCATGACACACCATGCCTGCCTCAAATGTGAATAATTATGCCAGCCAACCTATATGCATGATCCCATTTTGTTTAAGAAATATTGATATTTAGCAAAACGTTAACTGGATTCTTTTAAGTTGTGGTAATATAAATGATTTTGATTTTTTGCTTGTTCCGTTTTCTAAATTTTCCATTTCTACGTTGACATGTTATTGTTTCATTTATGTATATATAAAGAAGACCCTCTCCTTGGGTCTCCTTCCTCTAGGTCCACCTGGGGATGTCATGTTTCATATACTGGTCAGTCTCAGCAGCCCTTTGGTATTTGGAAAAGCAGAGGGAGAAGCAGCAGCCCATGCAATTTCTACCCAATTTGTGTGGGAGAAATGTCCCAGACTTAGTGGAAGAAGGGAGGAGGCTGAGATAAGTGACATTCAAGAATGACTTTCAATCAAAAACAACTTAGTGCTTGATAATACTTCGTGTTTACATCAAGATTTTTAGTTTATTATGTGCAAAATTAAAAACAGTAGTTAGAAACTAGATATTGATGGAGCATACCTCAAAATAAAGAGAGCCGTCTATGACAAACCCACAGCCAACATCATACTGAATGGGCGATAGTGGGGAGCATTTCCCTTGAAAATTGGCACAAGACAAGGATGCCCTCTCTCACCACTCCTGATATTCAAAGTAGTATTGGAAGTCCTGGCCAGGCCAATCAAGAAAGAGAAAGAAATAAAGCCCATCCAAATCGGAAGAGAGGAAATCAAACTATCCCTGTTTGCAGCTGACATGATTCTATATCTAGAAAACCCAAAAGTATCAGCCCAAAAGCTCCTCAAACTGTAACTTCAGCAAAGTTTCAGGATACAAAATCAATGTACAAAAATTACTAGCAATTCTGTACACCACTAACAGCCAAGCCAAGAGCCAAATCAGGAACAAAATCCCACACACAATTGCCACAAAAAAAGAAAAAAAAAATCCAGGAATACAGCTAACAAGAAAGGTGAAAGATCTCTACAGTGAGAACTACAAAACACTGTTCAAAGAAATTAGAGATGACACAAACAAATGATAAAACATTCCATACTCATGGGGAAGAAGAATCAATATCATTTAAATGGCCATACTGCCCAAAGCGATTTATAGATTCAATGCTATTCCTATCAAACTACCAATGACATTTTTCACAGAATTAGAAAAAAACTATTATATTTTAAAATTCATATGGAACCAAAAAAGAGCCCAAATAGCAAAGGCAGTGCTAAGCAAAAAGAACAAAGCAGGAAGCATCATACTACCCAACTTCAAAATATACCACAGGACTACAGTAACCAAAGCAGCATGGTACTGGTACAAAAACAGACACATACAACAACGGAACAAAATAGAGAACCCAGAAATAGAGAACACCTGCAACCATCTGATCTTCAACACAGCTGACAAAAGCAAGCAATGAGGAAAAGACTCATTCAATAAATGGTGCTGGCATAACTGGCTAGCCATATGCAGAAGATTGAAACTGGACCTTTTCCTTATACCATATACAAAAATTAACTCAAGATGGATTAAAGACTTGTAAAACCCAAAACCATAAAAACTCTCGAAGACAACCTACACAACACAATTCTGGGCATAGGAAAGGGCAAAGATTTCATGACAAAGACAACAAAAGCAATTGCAACAAAAACAAAAATTGGAAAATTGAATCTAGTTGAACTAAAGAGCTTCTGCACAGCAAAAGAAACCATTAAAAGAGCAAACTGACAGCTGACAGAATGGGAGAAAAGTTTGGCAAGCCATGCATCTGACAAAGGTCTAATATCCAGCATCTATAAGGCACTTAAACAAATTTACAAGAAAATAAAACAACCGCATTAAAAGTGGGCAAAGGACATGAACAGATAATTCTCAAAAGAAGACCTACATGCAGCCAACAAACATATGAAAAAAAGCTCAACATCACTGATCATTAGAGAAATGCAAATCAAAACCACAATAAGATACTATCTCACATCAGTCAGAATGGCTATTATTAAGAAGTCAAAAAATAACAGATGCTGGCGATGTTGTAGAGAAAAAGAAATGCTTACACACTGTTGGTGGGAGTCTAAATTAATTCAGCCATTGCTGAAGACAGTGTGGCAATTCCTTAAAGACCTAACAACAGAAATAATGTTCAACCCAATATCCCATTACTGGGTATTTACCGAAAGGATATAAATTGGTCTATCATAAAGACATATGCATGTGTATATTCATTGCATCATTATCACAATAGCAAAGACGTGGAATCAACCTAAATGTCCATCAATGGAAGACTGGATAAAAAAATGTGGTACATATACACCATGGAATACTATGCAGTTATAAAAAAGGAGATCATGTTCTTTGCAGGAATGATAGAGCTAGAGACCATTATCCTTGTCATACTACTGCAGGAACAGAAAATCAAATACCACATATCCTTACTTATAAGTGGGAGCTAAATGATAAGAACACATGGACACAAAGAAGGGAACAACAGACACTGAGGCCTACCAGAGGGTGGAGGGTACGGGGAGGGAGAGGAGCAGGAAAAGGTAACTAATGGGTAGTAGGCTTAGCACTTGGGTGATGAAATAATCTGTATATCAAACCCCCATGACACAAGTTTACCTATATAATAAACCTGCACATGTACCCCTAAACCTAAAATAAAAGTTTTTTTAAAATAAAAATAAAAGAGCAGTTGGGAACTTGGTAATAGAATCACAAAGTCTTGGATTTGAATCCCAGTATGGTATACGTACTCCGCAAACTTAAATTTCCTCATCTGTACAATGGATAACAATCACACCTACATCAAAGGGATTGAGGAAAACTAACCCGTGTAAAGCAGTGCCAAGCACATAGTAAGCACTCCATGAATGCTGCTGAGATGTGGTGTTACTACCATATTTCATTAGTAAGGTCATAAGACTTGAAGAAGTTAAATGCACTCACTGAAAGTCATACAGATATAAGTAAAAAATCTGAAACTGGAGCCCCATATTCTAATGTCATGCGTAATACTCTTTTTTGCAATGATTTCCTAGTTCACTGTTTAAAATCAAAACTTTTATAATACCATTAGTGCATTTTAATTGTATTTAATATAACCCAAAATAAAGCAAACATCCCTGGTGCCAAAAACCCAAATGATATGTAACACTGATCTTTCATTTCACTGACAATTTCTGGACAGATTCAAAAGGAAAGATGACAATCATGTAGGTAAAAACACTGGGAAAACCACACAGGATTTTAGTCCTCTGGCCTCCTCCCTCCCCTCAAGTACTGTTTGGGGCCAACGCATGACCAATGTCACTTCCTGTCACTGAGTCATCATCATAGATTAGCATCACTAAACGTAACTGTTCCAGGAGGAGCTCAGGAAAGAAAATTCTCTCAGCTTCACTTTGAAATTGGCTCCATCTCATAATAAATACTTTCCAAACTCATCGAGAGAGGTTATAGAAGAGTTAATGTCCCCAAAGAGCTTCATTTATTTTACAGATTTATGAAATAGATCTTCTTGCCAAGGCCTCGTGTACCTTTCTTTTTTTACTAAAGGTGACACAGAGTTTCTCCGAAAATAAAACTGACTCTTCCAGATGCTTAAATCGAGGGTCATGAGTCATCCTGGCTGCCCAGTGTCACTGAAGACATAGCTCTAGGAACCTATGCAACTTCTTAACATAAAAGCTTTGACAGCATTTTGGCACCCTCCCTTAATATACCTGCCCAAAAAGCTGAGGATTTGGTTTTTACCATTTTCACAATAGCTTCAGGTCAGTTAGGCTTGGGTCCATCATTCCTGACCAATAGTTTTTACAACTAACTTTTGAGTTTGCCAAAGGCTTGTCACTAAACAAACCCTGAGCTCTCATCATGGGCTGAGCACTGGACTAGGCACGCAGAACAGCTGAATCAACATGTTTTTGAAATTCACCATCCAGAAAGGGAGAGAGATGTAATTTTAAGCTGCATTCTATTATTTACCAAAAGTGTGAGCAGAGCACTGAGGGAGTAGAGACAGGAGAAACTACTTTGTCATGGGCATTACCAGAGGCTTTCCTGAGGAGGCAGCCTTTGGGCTGGGTGGTTTAGAAAGACAGCTAGCTAGGCATAGAGGCATAGGACATTCATGACAGATGAAACCACGTGTGCAGGGCATGGAGGAGTGAAAGAGCACAAGGTAGAGGGTCTTTTGAAGGGTGGAGACAGCATTCTAATGCGGAGGGACATGGTGGGAAGGTGATAAGAGATGAAGCACATTTAAAATTTGTTAAAATGTGGTCCTTTTGGTAATAGTAACACCATGACTGATAAGTTGTTTAGCAGCTTATTGATAACTTGTGTCTGTAGCCCTGCCCATCTTCCACAGCTAATCACCACAAGGACACATCCACTGGGTTTCTCCTCCACTGGAATAGTGCTCTCACACACATGCACACACACACACACGCACACACACACATGCACACACACACACATGCACACACACACCATATACCATCTTCAAGCTCACCTCCCCTCAGGGCTGCAGCACCTCTCCACCAAACTGGAATCTGGGACACCAGTGTCTTTCCAACTGCTAACTCCAATGTTAATTTCTCAGTCTTGGTCTCTGCACCATCCACTCTCTTGTCTTCTCTGAAATTTCTTACCATCTTGACTTCTGGGTACTACTGCTGTCTTCTGGCTATGGTCCAGCATCCCTGGCTGCCCCTCTAGACTCTCCTTATTCACTCTAATTGTCTTTCTTTTCACCTTCTGGATCTCCTTTCTAGATGCTCCTGAGTGCCAGCTCTCATCCCCAACCCTCTGAGTGGAGTCATGACCCAAATACACATCTGTAACTGAGCTCCTCCTCCTCCCAAATCTGTCTCCCATCATTTCCTCGTGTGTGCATGTGTGTACAGCATTGCTATTTCTATTCATCCAGTGTTCTCCTTCACCAAAATCCAGTCTGTTTCAGGTGCTGTCAAATTGAACACCCTACTACCAGTAAACCATCTCTTCTTCTCCTTCCCCATCTACCCTGCCCTAGTGCCTCATCAATTTTCCCTCAGATAATTCCAGCAGGCTCTGAGGCTTTCTTTTATCCAGTGCTGGTGGCTTCTTCTATCCAGTATTAATACAGAGACCAAATGAAGTTTTGAAGTGTAAATATGATCGTATCAGTCTTCTACTTGAAATCCCATCTTCAAATGGAACATACAAACCCATATGTGGCAATCCATATTAGTCTAGCCCTCACTTATCTGATAATCAACCTCCCCACTTGCCCTTAATGGGCTAAGCTATTTTAAGCTTTCATGCTCCTGCCCCTCCCCATACCCAAAGCAACTTCCATTCTTGATTCCATCCTTCTCTCCCAGCAAAACAAAATCATCTCAGGCATCCTCTGAGAGTCCTGCCTGACCCCCTCCACCTCCAGCTTACTGTCCTATGTATCCAAGTAACACACTATGTTATCTTCCACCCAGACACTAAGGAATGGGCAATCACTGCCTGATTAGACCATGATGCCCCATCATCAGAGGCTAAGGGTGTCTCTGTATTCCAATCAGGTGAACACTCAAGTCATATTTGAGTAAATAAATAAATGCATATTTCCACAGAAACTTGGCGATCAAGTTCTCTAATGCTAGTGTTCAGCTGCATAGGGCTTAAGTATATTCTCTGGGCTGGCTAGGAAACCTAACTACCATTTATAATTTTGTCTCTATGGGAAAATGCAAGGACAGTTCCAGATGAACCAGTTACAAACAATTTGGAACAAAGCTCATTTGTAAATTGAGGATTTACTATATTTATCTGTTCACATTTCTGCTAGGTTTGAAATTGGTCTATCATCTTTCCCTCTTGGTTAACAAGGTATGAGAGTAGTGAGAACATTAAGATACATCTAACACTAAGTATTCTTTGATCAAACTTGTGGGTGTTTAATAAACACTCATGAGCTGGATATATTGGCATGGACTATAGCCACCCTTCCCAAGTAGTTGCTTAGACATTTCTTTTATATTCTGGTCCTGTATTCATGTGATCCTATTTAGAAAAACCTGACATTTGGAAATCCAAACTTAGAAACGAGATACATTCAGGGGTTGTGACTCAGGTTACAAAATAATTTTTCACTTTTGAAATTTAATAGTGACTCACTCTGTTCATTAAAGAGCAATAAAATATTATCATGTAACTCTGAAAAGAAACAGAGAATTTAAGAGCAGAATTGAGGCTAGATATATTTGCAGTCATGAGCACTTCTTTTGAAAACACCATAATTTACCACCCCCCTGCAAACACACACCCCATTTGGGATTTATTCTTGTGGCATTACAACTCTCCCTCTACCAAGAAGCACAACAAAGACCATCTGAGTAGGAAGCAGATGTGTATCTTCTGGAGCTTAACACCCTTGGCTCAAATCTGACGGTGAAAATTTACAGCCCTTAAAATATATTGTACTGTGGTGGCTGTGACTGGGAGGCCTCCTCCCCATCTGAGGGAGTAGGGTTGCTAAAATGTTAGTGGCCAAAGGGGGCTGGTGCAGGGAGGAAGGAGACTGATTCTTCACTGGGAGGAAATGAGCCAGAGATTATCAGTGGATGATATAATCAAAAATTCATATACCAGTATCCAAGTTTTATTACACTACTGAGGAAAACAGCTCATTTATATTGGATTTCCTGTCCTTTTTTTCTTAATAAGAAGAATCACGTATCTATGAGTCATCACAATTATTATAGTTTTAACAGGACATTTTATTGTGATAATGCATATGACTTTTTTTCAAAAAGAACTATAAGGAGATATAAAATAATTGCATAGCTCCTAATTTATTGACAGAATAGTTCAAAGATGTGTTGGTATATTTTTCTCATTTGTAAAGTTTCTTGAAATAGCTTTGACTATTTCCAGTAGGCACATATCTCTGTTTTATAGTAACATTCAAAAATTAATAAATAGGGAAAAGTCACTATGGGAATACACTGTAATAAAGACAAATAGAATCCATACTTCAAAAGTTGGCAAGAGCTAACAGATATGCTCTCATTTTTTTATTTTTGTAATAAAATGTTCTGTATTCAGAGTTATTTCTTTCCTTGTTATTTTTCTTGTCTTGAGTAGGAACCATAAATGCTTCAACAAACAGAAAGTAGATTGGATGCTCAGTTAGTGTTAACTAAAATTTTTTTATGAAGTGCCTCTTAATGCTAATATGACATAATATTGTTTCAATGGAAAAGTTCAATTTGTTTTCTACAAAGATCATTTATGCAAATATTCTATGAAACATTATAACCATCAATAAGTCCTTACTGAGTGTCCAGTACTTAGGAGTCACACTGAAAACAATAAAAGGGTAGAATGACTCATACAAAGATGGAGTTACTTTTCAAAGGACAGAAGCATACTTATCAGACAAAGTAAAAATTGAGCATTTTCAAAGATGTATCACCAAATCAAAATTAAAACCTGACTTAAACTTTAGGATTGCATGCAAATTGCCCTCAATCGATTGACACCACATTCCTTGCAAACAAATCTACAATTTTTCTCCAGCCTAACATTATTGTAGAGTGCAATAACTAAATCCAGTTTCTGAGAAAGAACAGATCTTGGAAAGTGTCATGAATAGAAGATCTTCTGGACAGCAGGCTTAGAAACACAGACATTAAAAATGCACTCTGGTCTACACCCAAAGAAGGTGTAACATATTTGTTATCAGTACAGCCTCTGCTTGGATTGGTTTTTGCAGAAGTGGGATGGCTTACCGGGGTCAACCACAGTACCCCCATGGTTTGACTTGGGATGATCTCATACACTTTGTCTAGGGAGCTGGCCAGTGCTGACTGTATAGAGTGAGACTGAAGAAACTTACCTGGAGATTGAACCATTGTTCCCCTAAACTCCGTGGCCTAACTTACTGCTCATCAGCCATAGAGAGGACATACAGAGAAAGGAAAACATGACACCAAATGAAATAAAAATAAGTCACTACCCAGGAGAGCTTGGAGAGATAGTCAATCGATGTGACACATGTAAAAAAAAAAAATGTCCTTTCACAAACTCACTGAATATGATGAAATCCAGATCAGGTTATATAAATTTTTCCCTGGTTAAGTCCCAACTCTTACATCAAAAGGTCCAATCATATTTCAAACTGAAATATGTTATCAGCAAACTAGCAGAAAAAAAGATCAACAGAACAGTTTACTCCATTTGTGGTCTATGCACCCGCTGTTGTCAAAGCTAACCAATTGCCTAAATAAGATGTGCTGTCTTCCTTAAAGTTGCCACTACCCATTATGAAACAATAACTTAGATTTCACAAGGTTGAATGAATTCCATATAATAAAACGTTCTTAGGAAACTGAGTGAATACAATCAGGGTCAGTACCCACAACAGATGACTTTTTCCATATATAAGTGATTCTTCATAACTTTATACAGAAATTGATCCAATACCTGGGTCCAAATTCATTACAGGCCCTTCCAAAACTGGATCCCATAGGATGACAACATTTACACCATGTGTGCATTTTGTGTCATTATGATTCCTTTGAAAATGCCCAAACTGTTCTGAATGCCTTGGCCAGGGGTGCAATGGATGTGGGTATGTCCTACAGAAAAATGTTCCAGTCCTTGTCTTATCCTAATGAGTGCAATTAACCACAACCATAACATTTGAATTATTAATTCTCCCTAATAGGGCAGATACAGTGTCTCTGGAGCAAAGCTGTTTGGAGTTCTGGTAAAACTCATGCCAAATTTAATTTGAAAGTTCAACTTGAAGAGAGACAATGCTGGCATTGTATTACATTGATTTAAAACAAGTCTCTCCTAAGGATTTTCTTCATCCTTATCTGCATTAATAGAATATGAAAGAGGGAGAGAGGAGAAAATATCGAGTGCTGGAAAATATCTTTCTCAGAAACTGTAGCAGACGGGTCACAACATTTTTAAACAATGATAGTAACATTTATTATATCAAAGCCATTTTATGTTTTATTTGGAACTCTGGCGCCTTTTTTTTTTAAGTTCCCATAACATGACAGTAATTATAGCCATCAAGATGTTCCCTAGAAGATAGCAGCCCAGAGTCCAGATGCTGCTGCCCCGTTGTCCTGCTCAGTGGAGCTCAGTGTGCACATTACATCATGGTGTAGTTTATTTTAAAAGTGCTTTAAGAATGTAATGATAGTAATTGTAGACAGGGAAAATTAATGGGAGCATTGCCGGTCTGCAAATTCCATTTATAAAACACTCCTGCTGCTCAAAAAGAGAGTGCTTTCTTGTTAACAGAGGCTTCAAAATACAATTTGGAGGATGTATTAAGTAAACTCTGTGCTAAAGTCATTTTCAGCTGGGCCCTGTGTGTACATAGCTCCCTCTCACTTCACCACTAGCCCACCACACGACTTTCCCTGAGAGGATACAAGATTCTGCAGAGAAACAGAGGGTGCGTGTTCCCATGTAAAAACTACCATGGCTGTGGGGCAAGGAAAGGTTAAGTGGGAGAACTGATCTCAGGCCAACAAACACATAAACAGTGTGTAGAAGGAAGAGAGAGCAGAGAGGGTCCAGGAAGGCCTACACCCATACACCCAGTCACAGTCCTTTAAGAACCGACCACTCCTGGGTTTAGGGGTTTGAAGGGTTTCATATTTCATTGAGGATAGATGTTGGACATCTAAGCCAAGAGCATGCTTTTCCTTCTGGCTTTATGGCACAGAATAGTTGCCCTTACTCAATACTTTTTTTTCATGTTCCTTAAATCTGTCATCTTTATTCCCTTCTAACTAACTTCAGCAAAAATAAAATAACCTCCTTAAGATTACTTTTCAGTTCTTGTTCATTATGAAATCCACTATTCAAATGGTGACCAGTTTTGTCCTGTGAAGTTGCCGAGAAAATTCCAGTTGCTTCTGAAGTTTCCAGAGAGAACATAAAGAGCAGACCAAAATTTGTTAGACACTCCTTCCTTCTAAGTTCAACAAAACAAAATAAGGAAAAGTAAAGCTTTTCCATGCATCCCAGAAGTAAGAGTGTTTTATTTCAAGGTGATGAAACAGTACTGATACACAGTGGATGGCTACCTGGCTTGTTCCACCACAGCGTTACACTCCACACATGTGAAGGGAGGCCCCTGCCTCTACTCCACCCACAGTGGATGGGTGAGTAACTGGACACAATTAGGTAGGGGGAGTCTGCAATAAGCACATGTCTTCTTCCACCAAATATAGACTTGTTCACCCATTTGCAATGACTAGTGGTAATGACAATAATCTGGGAAAGTGTGTGTGCATGTACATGTTCGGGGGAGTCTTAAGAGAAAATTCATGATATTCCTAGCAGAGGGGAAACAATGAACATATTGCTCTTACTGGGACATCAGCTATATAGTCCCACCTTACTGCATAGTCTGATATCACCATCCTATTTTAGAGTCCTTTAACTGAGTCCAAGATAGGCATATCTGACTTTATTGATAACCTCATGAGGTATGTAGCACCTGTGTTTTCACCCCTCCTTGGCAGATGAGAATATCGAGACATGGAGAGGTTGGAATATCTCAGTGGAAAACTCCAGACTGGAGTCCAGGTTGTTTGACTCTCCAGGTAGGTTAATGGGCCACTTACAGTGGAGAGAAGAGATTGACTTCCTTAACTGAGCTAAGACAAATGGGTGTTTCTTTGAAGAGTCTCTCTCTACAAATAGTAAGGGCTCAGCCTATTTAGTTTTGAGCCTGAGACAGGACTGTGGTTTCCATCCCTAAGCACTAACTACCTTTTAACACATCTTACACTAATTCTAAAAATTACAGGAAGAGAGAAGGGAAAGCAAAACCAGAATGAATACTAACACATGGGGACATAATAGTGCCTACTATGGACCAGTCACTTTTTCACCAATATTACAGTTGTTATCTACTCTCTACAACAATCCTATACAGCATATATTATTGGCATTATTTTATATACCAAAAAACAAGGATAAAAGAACACTGCTAGTGTAATAGCTAGTACACATTCCAACTAATATAACATTTCATGTGCCCTGGGCACTGTCCTAAGCCCCTTCCATCTGACACATGTACAATCTTCATAATAACCCTATGAAGGTCAAGACTATTTTTATTTTTTTCATTTTATAGGTAAGAAAAATGGGGCACAAAGATGTTAAATATGTTGTCCAAGGTCACACAGCTAGTAAGTATTAATAACAGAGCCCAGTTCAAAACCAGGCAGTCTAGCACAAGAGCCACGCTCTGTAGAGCCATTCTACTCCACCTCCCAGCAACAAGGCCAGGAGCTTTCTGGCAACAGAATACTGCCACCACAGCATAAAGTGCCAAGGATATATTCCCCAGGTGTCTCAGTCTGTTTGTGTTGCTGTAAACGAATACCCAAGGCTGAGTAATTTATAAAGAATAGAGGTTTATTTGGGATCATCGTTCTGCAGGCTGTACAAAAAGCACAGTGAGGGCCCCAGGAAGCTTCCACTCATGGTGGAAGGCAAAGGGGAGCAGGCGTCATGTGGTAAGAAGCAGGAGGCGAGATAGAGAGGAGGAGGTGCCAGGCTCTTTTCAACAACCAGTTTTTCCGGGAACTAAGAGTGAGAGCTCACTCACTTCCTCAAGAATGACACCAAGCCCTTCATGAGAGATCAGCCCCCACAATCCAAACACCTCCCACAAAGTCCCATCCCCAACATTGGGGGATCAAATTTCAATATGAGGTTTGGAAGGAACAAATATCCAAACCATATCACCAAGCAAGCAAAACTGGGGCTTCAACAATTCTCTCCTCTAAAACACTTTAATACACCCTAGCATCTCTTCACTGACATGCAACAATGCAGAATCTCCCCACACTCCCAGGCCTTCATTTCCCCCAACACTAGATCACTATTTCTGTCTGTCATGTTCCCTTTTCCCATGGGAAATTTTGTGTTCTCTCTCTGAACTCAATAAAGCAACCAGACAGGGAAGAGCGAATGAACTACTCTATTTTAATTGGTATTGGTCGAGGTAAATTAAAAAAGGAACATTAGTTCATTCACCTATTAAAAGTAGGAGTTGGGTGTACAGTAATAAGACAATCTATTTTGTGTCACACGCTCCAATAGTGCTATGCACCATTCTCTCATCAAAAACTTAGATGTGCCATCTCATTCTGTTCTTATAGCAATTAGTAACTATGCAAAGTAGGACTTCTTACGCTCCTTTAACATAGGAGAAAGCCAGGGTCTATGTTGGCTAGATAACCTACCCAAAGTATCAAAGCTAACCTGGAGCTGAGATAGGATCAAACACTTGGATGGATTTTTAGGTGAATAAATGGATGAATGAACCCAAACCCGTTACTGTTCCACTACACCTTTCATTCATCCATCCAGAAAATAATTTTGGGGCACATACTATTTGCCAGGCACTATTAGGCGCTCGGGATAAAATGGGGCCCTATTCCACATTCTGTTGGGCGAGGCAGAAAACAATCTTCAGATCTTGATCTTCTTGATCAAGAAGAGAAATATCGAATGGTGATAACAGCTACGTGGAGAAGTTAAACAAGGTGTGAGAGACTGGGTGGCTATTTCACATTAGGATAGGAGAATCAGGGAAGGAACTAACCGTGACGCTCAGATGAGACTTGCAGGAAGGAGGCAGCTGTGTGGGATTCAATGGGCAACATTCGAATTCATGGGAAAGGCTGTAGAAAGCCCCTGAGAAGACAATGAGCTTTGACCCAATGGAGGTGTGGGCAAGGGAAATCAGGAAGGGTGCAAATCCCATAGCGTGTAATAAGCCAGGACAGAATGTCTGGAGTTGGTTCTAAGGACAGTACAGAGCATTTGGAAAGTATTCATCAGGAGGGCTATGACCTGATTTCTTCCTTCAAGTCTTTATTCTGCCATACTTCCTGCTTTTAAGGGTCCCAGGTCTATCTCCTCCCACTTACTTCCCCTGATACAAACCCACCTAGACTTTGTATCTCATGTCAGGCCATTTCCTCACTCACTCTCTGCTGGCCATAAAAATTGGAAAGTAGCAGGAAACTACTACCTACTCAGGAGTAACTACGTGACAGCTGTCTCACCCGCTTCTGGGTGAGACAGTTCCAACTGGCTGAGCTCCAGTTGGGCTCTGTGGGTTCTGACGACAGTTCCACAAGCTCTGGCTGCCTTGGTCCAGTAGGTACCTGAAACCAAGGTCCAGGAGATGAGGTGATGAGCTTCCCCCTGGCCTAGTCCCAAACAGTGACTCACAACTCAGTGAGCTCCCCTGGGACTCTGTTTTTCCATCAACAAAGGGTTTTTTGATGCTATTGCAGCCACCTTGTCCCAGAGACTGCTCAGAGCAACCCAAGGACTCAGCTAAAATGTGTACCCGGCTCAGCACCTCCACCAAGTCCCAAAAGGAGCTAATTTTAATACCAAATGCAGATTTATTACCCCAAGAAATAAGCATTTCCTGCTTCAAAAGGAAGCCTAGGCATTCCTGAGAGACTCGTCTACAGAGTACCAAGAACCAATATATAGAGAAAGTCAGTCTTGCTAAATCCTCCAGGGAAACTCAACCTCCCCACATCCTTATTCTCAGGGAAGTATGTGTAGTGCTCAAGGAAATGAAAAGTTGTAAGAGCATGCTTGGGAATTTCATCACGGGGAAGTTTACTAATGATTTCAAGAAACATTTTCCGTTCTAAATGAATGAAACCGTGGTCATTTCCCAATTGTGCGTTTGACCATCCAGGCCAACCCTTAATGAGGCTCCGTACCTCAAAGCCTGTCACCAATGCGGAAGCTTCCAAGGCAACATGTCTGAGTGTCTGCAGACATTCATAAGACCGTAAGAGGGCAAGTATATTGATTTCATAGGAAGGTTATCCACAGCACATCTGCCAACAAGTGGGGGCAGATTTGTTCTCAGAGGCCAGCTCTGCAATACATCTGCTCCCTACTGGCTGCTTGATCTTTGACAACTTGTTTAACTTCTCAGAGAACTAATAATGATAATGCCAACTTCACAGTACTGTTGTGAGGATTAAAGGTAGTCACATGTCACCAGGTGCAGTAGCTAACATTTGTAATTCCAGCACTTTGGGAGGCCAAGGTGGGTGGATTGCTTGAGACCAGCGTGGGCAACAAAGTGAGACCCTGTGTCTACAAAAAGATCAAAAAATTAGCTGAGCATGGTGGCACATGCCTGTAGTCACAGTTACTCAGGCGGCTGAGGCAGGAGGACCAGTTGATCCCAGCAAGTTTAGGCTTCAGTGAGCCATGTTTGCATCACTGCACTCCAGCCTTTGTGACAGAGCAATACTCTCTAAAAAAAATTTTTTAAGGCAATAACATGAACATACCTTATAAAATATAATGTCAATGTCCTATTTTTCATTTATTCATTCAACTAATATTTATTAAAAGCCTACTCAGTTCTAGGTGCTGACTTAAATGCTTGGAATATACTAGTAAACAAAAAAAATTAATAATAATAACTGCCTTCATGGAGCTCATATTGTTTGGGGGAGGGTTGGACAGACTATTATAATAAAGACAATGAATAAGTAAATTGTGTGTTGGGTTACAAGGTGATGAGTGCTATAGAAAAGAGGAATTGGGAGTGCCATGGGATGGTTTACAACATGAAACAGGGAGGTCAAGGCAGGCCTCACCAAAAAGGTGGCATTTGAGCAAAGATATGAGAAAACTGAGGAAGTTAATCAGGTGGATAGTTCAAGGACAGGGTTTCCAGACACAGAAAAGAGAGCCAGGACAAAGGCCCGGAGTGGAAGGAAACATGTATGACATAGGAGAGAACCAGCAAGAGGGCCAGTGAGGCTGGGGCAGCATGGGTGGCGGGGAGCAGTGGGGAAGAACAGAAGTATTGAGGGGCAAGGACATAGATCATGAGGGACCCTTTGCCATCATAAAGACTTTGGCAAACATCTGAGTATGATCAGGAGGCTTTTCCAGGGAGCACTGATATGAGCTAACTTTGTATTTTACAACAACCTCTTTGCTGTGTTGACAAAAAATTATAAGAAAACAAAGGGGGAAGCTGAGAGACCAGTTAGGAATCTACTGGACATGATAGATGTCAGCACTTGGACCAAAAGACCAGCAGCGTAAGTGGTGAAGAGTGGTTGGATCCTGGATATTTTTTTGAAGATAGAGTCTTCTGGATTTCCTGATGGGTTGGATAGGAGGCATGAGATAGAAAGGTATAGATTTGGTGCCAATGTTTTTGGCCTGAACCACTGAAAGAATGAAGATGCGACCAACCAAGATTGGGAAGACGATTTGTGGGTTTGATGGGAAAATCAGGAGTTCAACTTTGGATATGTAAGTTTAAAACACATGATTGATATGTAAGTGGAGATGCAAGAGAGGGAGTTTGAATTTAGGAGTCTGAAGATTCAGGAGAAGGGACTGAGCTAGCCATATAAAATTGGTAGTCATAAGCACAGGAAGTATTGAAAGCCATGAACCTGAATGAGCTCACCAAGTGAATGGCTGTACATAGAAAAGAGAAGGAATTCAAGAACAGCGGCCTGGGCACTGCAGTATTCAGAAGTCAGAAAGAAGAATAGAAACAAAGGAGTCTGAGAAGGAGCAGCCAATGAGTCTGAAACAACACCGAGAGAGCGTATCTAGAGAGAAGGATATGACTCTAGTGTCAAATAGTGCTGAGTAATCATTGAATTTAGCAAAATGCACATCGCTAAGGACATTGACAAAAGCAGGTATGGTGCAGTGGAGAGGCAAAGGTTTAATTGGGGTGGATTTTAGAGCGCATGAGAGAAAGGAGCTGGAGACAGAAGGAGATAGAAGAGTTTGTAGGAAATTTTCTGCTGAGGATAGTAAAGAAGTGGGATGCTAGCTGGAGGGTAGAGTAGATGGTCAAAAGGAGGACATGTTCAAGAAGAGAAATAATGACATGTTAATAAGTTGACGAAGATGGCCCAGAGAGAGAAGAAAATACGACATAGTAGAGAGGGAGAATTGTGGGCACATGAGGAGACAAGATCCAGTGCAGACGCAGACACGTTGAGCACAGCTCACCTACAGTGAGGGACAGGAAGGCAAAGCAGGTGGGTGCAGATGGAAGCTCTGCAGTGGGAATTGGTGGATGCTGGCTTCTGATTAATCACCTGCCATGGCCCCTGCCTACCATTTGTTAATATTTACTGCTTTGAATTATAATATTAAAACTGTTTTTTGTTAGAAAGCCCTCTGTAGGATTTTTTTCCACCATAGGCCTGTTTTGATAGAAAAGGAAGGTGAAGAACTAGAATAGGAACAAAGATCATGAAAAGCCCTGAAAAACCATCCTACAGCACAACCACCGTGGATATCAAAAGGCAGGACTTCTGAAGTGAAAGGAGCAACCTAAAAGAGGTTGGAGAGAAACTATTTCAATCAATACCCTTATCCCAAGACCACACTGCCTGCAAGAGATTCCTGAATAGCTACAAGAAAGAACTGCCCCTACCACAGCCTTCATTTCCCCAAGCTACATGTGGTTTTTTCTGTTTTCCTGACTACAATTGCAGTTAGAGTGTTAACTAGGTCCTTAGTTGTCTTAGAAAACCTCTGAATACATATTTGAATGCATACAAAGACAGGACATTTCTTCTCAAAACCTGGCATCCTAGGGTAAAACAGGCAAAATTATTTTTCACTTTGCTTCCAGACTCTAAAACTGTCACCGAGACTGGCAAAGATTGCACCACAGAAGTCTGAGTCCTCAGGGCATCTGTGTGAAGAGGGGAGGGAGGTGGTACTTAGAGCCAGAGGACAATCTCTGGGTGGAGACAAAGTATGTGTTACATCCTAGGAATGGTGTGTGAGGAGTTTGCTGAGGGATTCATACCTGCCCCGGTGCCAAATGTCTTACCAGCAGGTCTGCACTGTAATATTAAGAACTATTCTAATTAAAAAAGAATGCACTGTGCTTAGAAACAACCACCAGCCATAATTCATCATCTCTGAGGGCTGGAAGTAACACAGCAACAACCCAAAGAAAAGGGGAGAGAATCGGGGAGAGGAGAGCAAAGTTTGAAATTGCCCAGAGCTTGCTCTGCCTCCAGTTCCCTGTTCCTTTTGTACAAGCCTGCCACACGTCTGTGCCCTCAAGCTTGCCATGGCTTTGACTGACAATCCTTTTCCAGTATATCCTCCTTTCTAGTCCTGAGGAAGCCCCCACAACCACGAGGAAACCCTGTTACCCAACTAGATCTCTCTGTCGGAAGCAGTGTAAAGTCTTCTCTTTTCCCTAGGAAAGGACTGGTGGCAGTGGTTGGGCTGTTGCAGATGCCCCGAGGACTTACAGAAATACTTGAGCCCCACACGCAACATAAAAGATTCTCCAAGCGTGGGCCTCAAACTATTTCTTCCCACAGTGTTCCATGGTTCTTTATCCTCCTCAGTGCTTACAAGAGAGCAGTGCCTAATCTCTTGTTTCTGACATGAATAGTAGATCTTTAGAGCTACCAGATGAGCTCTGGGCAGTAGTTCATGGACAGATGCTCTCATCACCCTGTTTGGGCTGGAAAGCTTTTCATTGATGATCCACTGATGTAGATAGTCCTGATTATCAAAGTCATCCTTCATGGTTTGGCATCTGGCCCCTCTCTTCCATCATCCCTGGTCCCCCTCTCTCCCAAACGTGCATTCTCTAATGCTGTCTTTTCACATTTTCACATATGTCTCCAGCTGTCTGGAACATCCCTTCACCCATCACCCCTTCTTTTTGTTTCTGTTCATGTGTAATGCCTAGGGATTACTCAAGACTCTGCTCAGGGCCATCTCCTCCTTCTTTCAAAGAAGCCCACCATCATTCCCCTCTGTCTAAGTTGGCTGCTCTTTTTATTGTCCCAAAGCGTCTTATGCCTTCCCCTATTTTAACACTTGCCACAGTATCATTGTGCACTTACTCCCCCACAATATGGGGAACACCATGAAGGCACAAGCTGTCTTCCCTAACACTTAGGTTGGTTCGTGATATGCAGTGGGTGCTCAATCATTGTTGAATGAATGGACTGAGAAACACTGAAGCTTTCCAGTTTGTTGTAAAGCTTCCTAATATCACTTAACTGACATTATGCCAAAACTTACTTATTTCCCAATACAGCTAATACTACAGCATAAAAAGGAGAATAATATTTATGCTCCCACACAGCCAAAGAGGTGTGGGCAGCTTATACACAGAGAATATCTCATTCTCTCTCTTCTTGCTTAGGTATGAACAACTTTTGACTCTCACTTAAGATCTACAATCTCTTATCTGTAATTCCAAAATGCAAAAGACCTGAATAGTGAAAGTTTTTTGTAGCTGTTTGGCCATAAAATCTCACCTGATTTCAATATATATGAAAGCAAAAACTGACCTGAAAAGACGTGACATTTCTTATAGTATTTATTTCATTTCATGAAAGTCTTCATGAATTTTGCTTAAGAAATACAAAGTGGGTATTTTATAATGTAAGGTATATGCACCATATTCATTTGTAATAACTGGGACAAGTCTATATGTACCTTTTACCTAAGATTTTAGAATCAGGGCTGTGGCTATAACTTGAAAATCACCTAGGAGGTCAAAGAAGCTTTGGATTCTCTAGTGATGGGACCAATAAATCAGACAATGGGACTTATTAAGATGATATGGCCCACAAAAAAAGAAAACAGATCTTCATTTTACTGCTTTTTATATCTTTTTTTCTTCACTGGAGAGTTTGGGGGCCCGTCTTTTATTTATTCTTCAGCCCTTGATTATTTTGATGCTTATGTTACATGAACTGTTCTACTGGGTACACAGAGTTCTCCAGTCAACAGAGTTCTTGAGTCAACAGGGGGAAATAGGACTTACCTGAATTTCCCAATTCAAGCCACTTTTGTTGCCATGTTCTCTTGGTCTTAACATCTCTACCCATCCAGAGCAAAGTTTTTGTGAATGTGTTATTGTTCTCCCTGTATTTCTGCTCTTGTCACAATCACTTGCCCCCATTTCAACAGGTGGATATACCTTTGGGCTGCCTTCATTCAGTGACTTTAGTAGACTGAACAGCAAAACCAAGAGCAGAAATGCCCAGAAGGCTGAGGTCATTCTACATGTCCAGAGGGGTCCAGGGATGGAAAATCTTTTGAGTCCTAGAGTCATCCTGCCAGGATGACTTCTGGGAAGTCATCTTTTCTTCTGGGAAGAAAAAAGGTCTGCAGGGTCTGGGACCAGTGTGGATCACTTTGCTCTCTGCAGTGGTGCGTGGGGAAGTAGCAAGGCCTTGCCAGGATATTTAGTAGAACTTCTTGGAGAAGGACACCTGGACTCTCAGGATCCCAGGCTTACAGAAATACTTGAGCCTCACACCCAGCATAAAAGCAGAGAGCAGCCATATATCAAGAATACTCACTGGTTTGACCATAAGAATGTCAATGTCAATGTGAACATGGAATCCTGGAGATGGGAGGCCTTTTATCCATCTCCTTGGCCTCACATAGCCTCTCAGATTCTGGTACCCTCCAAGAAAAAACAAATTGGCCCAACAAGTGACCAAGATAAAATTTCTACCAGTCAGGTAAGTTGGGTGCCTTGATGTGAGGAAATAAAAAAGTAAATATCTTGCCCATATGAGCTCATAGACTCAGATGTATGCCCATTATATGTAATTCAACAGAAGAGCTTTATACTATATACTTACTTCCTCTCGTTGCCTTATTTTGCCCCCATTACAAATTCTAAGGAAAGAATTCTAAGTAGGTCCCTGTTGCCTGGCTCTTGGTTAGATCTCTGGAAATGTCCCTGAATGAAATGATTTTTTTAAGTACCAACAGAGCATAAAACATGCAAGTACAATATAACCTATGAGTGAGAAGTAGAATTTACACTTAAACAATGTATATTTATGATGTTCCTCTCCTTCCTCCATTGGGGAACAGGACCACTTCTGTATACTTAATCAGAACACATTTTAAATCACACCATGCAACAGGCCTTGTGGCAATTCATGATGGCCAAAGTATATAAAATATGATGAAGTTAAGAAGTTGCAGCTGAACCAACAATATATCCTCCTGGAAGGGAGACATTAAATAAATCTTCACTGTTTTTGATAGCCTATTAAAGTTCCTTAAGAGCTCCAGTACATTTGACTACATTTTTTTTAGCCATAATGCTTTAAACAAGCTTTTCTAATCATAAATATAGCACTAAAAAAAGGCAAAGACAAATAATTAACAATTAAATATGTCTCTTGTTGGTCCTAGCCAATGAACAGGACCTTCCTCCAAAGGGAAGTAAAGGATTACATAAAAAGCCAGGCTGTATGGGAATCTTTTTTTTTTTTTTAATTTCTTTATCCATTTGTGGGGATTGAAGGCCTAGTTTTTAATCTTGCTTGGGTATAGGAGGACAACACCTCCTGATAAAGACAGGACCATTTTTCTTCATCAGGCAATATCTCCAGCAGAAGCACTGAAAAAGAAATTTCATCTCGCTCTGAAGGTAAGTTTAGTTTTATTTGTTAAGCAAATGGTTGCATTAAAATAGTTCATGGTTCTACTTATATAATAGTTTTTCTACCCTAACCTTATTAAAACTTGGAATTGAGAACAGTAGGATACAACTACTGAAGAAAGAAAAGGCCAGCAAACACGTACAAATGAATAGAAATTTAATAGGTATTTTCTTTTATAAAATGTCACAAAACAATCAATCAGCTAAGTAAATAACCAAAGTAAAGTGAAATCACTAAAATTATTGCCCAGTCAGCTATTTGGTGTCTCAGTCAGCACCTCATCATATTTTTAATTACATTGACAGCCTCTGGGTAAATAAGTGATGCAAATCTTCTTTTTGGCAGTGACAAAATTTTTATCACCAACTTTCTTTTCTCATTAATGGTCACAGACTGGTATGTATTACAGATGGATATCACATAAGTTAATAACATATTGCAGCAGCCAGAAGAGTTCAAAATACTGAAGCGGATCCTAATGGAATTGGGATGGAAGACAGTGATAAGATCAGAGGAAGATCCTATGTGTAGCAAGGTTAAAATCTGCTTGGGAGAAGCCGGGCATGGTGGCTCATGCCTGTAATCCCAGCACTTTGGGAGGCCAAGGCGGCAGTGGATCACCTGAGGTCAGGAGTTTGAGACCAGCCTGGACAATTTGGTGAAACTCCATCTCTACTGAAAACACACACACACACACACACAAAATTAGTCAAGCAAGGTGGCACGTGCCTGTCAGCTACTCAGAAGGCTGAGGCACGAGAATCACTTGCACCCAGGAAGCGGAGGTTGCAGTAAGCCAAGATCATGCTACTGCACTCCAGCCTGGGCCACAGAGTGAGACTCTGTCTCCAAAAACATGAAACAAAACAAAACACAACAAAATCTGCTTAGGAGAATAGAACTCAGAGTGATCACAAACATAATTGACCCAAGAGCACAAACAAATCTAATGATGAGTTCAAATTAGTATATCTTGACCTTGAGCTTAGTGGGAAGACAGGACATGGATGGGATGGATTAACAAGGGATCCATGCTTATAATAAAGCAGCAGCAGGAACTGAAGTGAAAGCCTCCTCCAGGACAGGTTAAGGGTGAGGGAGTGGAGGTGTTGCCTAGAACTAGCTGATGTGCTCAACTTTTAGCTGTTCGAGGGAAAAAATCCGATCAGAACACAAGGAACTGAGAGAGCCACTCTTACTATTTCAAAGGGACCTAAATGACATGGAAAACATAACAAGCTACCAGTAGGCCTAAGCCATCAAGGTGGGGAAAAGGTACTAAAAAAGGAAAGGAATAAAAAGGAATGCCATGCCATGGTGGAAAGAACATTAGCCTGCTAACAAAATGGTGAGTTCTTGTCCCAGCAGCTATTGGCTGTCTTCAGGACCTTCAGCAAGTCATTGAGCCTCTTTATAGTCTAAGTCTTCTGGATTGGAGCGTGTGGTCATTGCACTTCTTTCCAACATAGATTTCATAAAACACTAGACCCACAGAAAGTGCTTTGAGAAACCTCCTTATAAATATTGTGCAGCCAAAAATATTTGAAAAATTTTGCTTAACCCAATCCTAAAGATTCACAATGCACATTAGCACTTAAAGTCTTTGAGAAGTCTTACCCTAAAAAAAATCGATTTACTTTTACTTTTAATTGTATTTTTACTTTTACAATTATTTTTAATTGCAAAAACCTCAATTACTTTTGCACCAATCTAAAAGGTAAGATAGTTTTACTCAATATTTACCAAACCTACTTGACACAAGGTTGTTTATTTTTCTGTGAAATATCCATTGACATAAATTGCATCCTTTGCTAAATACACAGGACTATATATTTCCAAATTTAAGTTTCTAAATGAGTCTCAAAATGGAGAAACATAAAGCATGAAGCAGAAACTTCCAGTTCCTTATATTAACCCCAAGACTGTAAAGCTAGTATAGAGTGACCTTAATTTAGAACTCCCATGAGGAAATATAACAAAAGCAATTGCTCAGTGGCAATTTCTAGTTAATGATCATGGAGACTAAATAGAAACCAATCCAGCTTTTGTAGACCTGCCTGAGTTGTGGTGGGTTAACCAATCACTGCACACAGGCTAAGAAATGTCTCTAATGTACTTGCACTGCGCTGAGTTCTAACATGTAATGCGTAATTATTTCTTATCCCAAATAAAGATAAAATTATAGTCTCAAAATTATAAGTGTTAGCTCCTAGAAGACAAGGAATTCCCTCCTGTATCTCCAGGGCCCATCCTCAGTTCCTGGCATAAGGCATATTTACTCATTTATGAATGAGTGTTCTAACAGACAAATATTTATTGTGATGCTCTAAGTATTACACCACCCTCCAACAAATTTAAGGCCTGTTTAAAGAAACCTTGAAATAGCTTTATTTGTTGTCAAAGCCAAAAACAATTAATGCTTACTGATCATGAAGGCATGTTGATTTTCAGCCAAAACGCAACGCGTTTATTTTCATTGGGTTACATTTCTAGAGACCAGAGCTTTAGATATAAAGACTACATGTTAATGGGCAGAATGGATGTTCATTCTAACGACATAATGGGGAATTCACAACAGAACGACATGTCATCTGTATGACTGGCAACATAAACAAGAGAGTTACAAAAAGAGAGGAATAAGGGAACCAAATATGTTCATGAGATCTATTAGCGAAAGTTTTCTATAGGAGAAATTGAAGTGGCTCTTCAAAAAAAGAAAAAAAAGTTTAAAAGAAGGACTGATTTTTAAAGATATTCCGTGATACTTTTTGCTATTGCTTTTTCAAAGGAAAAAATAAAGCAGGTTTTTGTCTTTTTTTTTTTTTTCAAATAGAAAGCTTTTAAACAGAAAGCAGACACGCTGAGAATAGCCTGAGTCAGGAATTCACCCCTGACCCCTCAGTCCAGTGATGTCCCAGCCTGTGACCCCCAGCCCCAGCCGTTTTGCACTTGACCCGTTTTGCACTTGACCTGCTTTGCACTTGACCCATTTTAAATGGCCCCCACTCACTCCTATTAAAAACATACACCTTTGGGCTATTCAAATTAATTATATATATGCATATATATATAATTGATAATGTAATATATATATGGTTTTCTTGGCACCTTTGGCTTTCTCTCTTGCTTGGATATGTGTAGAAACCTTCACTTCCTCCCTCTTTCTCCAACCTGCTTTTTAGCCAGTCCCCTCCTTGAGCTGTGCTGATACACGCCATCATCACATTCTCAGCTTTATCACAAGGCAGTTTCATTTGCTCTCTGCCCTTGTTAAGCACTCTGCTCCAGTTCCTTCACTGATTTCAATAGGAAAAGCAGAACAGATATCCCTATAGAACACTGTCATCACCTCATAAGGTCTACAGCCTGGAACATAAAATACTTCCGATTTCTAAGTTCTCTCTCAGGCTGAGCGGATTACAAGTCGGGCACTTAAAATCAAAAGCCAACAGGGACCCAACCATGACACTGAATGAGAAGTATAAGCAGACGTTATGAGTCACTTCCAAAAATTGGGAGTTATAGTGTCACAAGGCTAAGTGCCCTGGAGAGGATGTGGGTCTGATAATCAGAATGTTCCCAAATTCAAAAAGCAAGAAGTAGACCTGTGTTTAAAATATGAGTGCAACATATGGATTTTGACTTAGCATAACATGAAATAAAAACAAGACAGCAAATTTTGGGAGGACTGCTCAATTGTCATCGTATCTGACACCAACAGAGGTCCAAAGTATTCCTTCCAACCCTTCCAATCCACAAATAGACCACATAGAGTTCAGGTAGCAGGAGATGCAAAGTTCCTACTTTACTGGATGCTGGAATTTCAGGTCCAGAGGAAAGTTTGCAAAGCTACCCCACTTACCACCTCCCTATTGGTATATATACAGAGTACCCAAATGCATTGTCACTTCAGCAGAAGAACAATCTAAGAGTAAGTCAAAATTTTGAAGAGGTTGCTTGTAAGCACTGATATGATTCTTCTCCTTATGCACCATTCTCAAAGTCATGCCATGTCATTGCACCAGCCTGTCATTTGTAGGATGTATAAGAGGTTCCAACTTTCTCTACCACTCACTATTCAACACAAGGAAGCAAACTATTTAAAAAGCTTTTCTCTTGCTTCTTAATCAATAAAAAGAACAAGATGAATGGCCCCTTAATTTCACAAAACACCCTGAATTTAGAAGGCAATTTAATATCCTTAATCTTATCTGTGGGATAATTAGCCACTTTTATCTATTTTCTCTCCCCTTGGTGGGTACTACGTTTTGGCCAGACGGAATTCACTCACACCTAGCCTCAGATGAGACCTACGCCATTTCCTATTCTGTAGGCTGATTGCTTCTGAACTGTATTCTTCCAATATTGCTTTAGAGTCTGTTCCTGATTTATGCACCCTGCTTCAATTCCTGCTGCAAGATTGCATAATTCTAAGTTCAAGAGCTGTCTCTGAGTATGAGAAAAATAATAATCATAAACCAAAATGTGAGACTTCCATCTTTCCTTCCTAAACTAGTGAACTTCCAATAAGGTCTCCTAAATTGGTAAAAGTCACAAATCTTCCTTAGATCCCTTTGATTCCTTCTTTCCTATAAGAAGAATAATTGGAGGAGGTGGGCAACAAAACAGAAAATATAATCTTCCTAGGCAGATTTTCTGTCTTCTATTAGACCAGTCCTCACAAACACAAATGCCTACAGCAGCCAGGCAGGTCAGTGAGAGAGTGAACAGAGGAGTCATAAAATACTAGCAGTAGTGTGGACTGTGGCAAACTAGTGAGTACATGCACAGCTCCTAACACTTCCCCATCTGTTCAGTCCCAGCCAACTGTTGAATAGAAATGCAGGTTCAAGGTTTTCAGATTTTTTGATTTTTCATGAGGCTCCCAAAGTCTGGACACTTTAATGTAAAATTTCCCAATTTGTAAATGTTGGCAACTAATTGAAAACATTTCAAAACAATACAAAGGCCAAGGAAAACAGGTCCACAGGCCAGATGTGGCCTGTGAGCCATGGTGTGCAAACTCTGTGATGGGCTCAAAAGCTGTTTAAATTCACTAAGACAGTTGGGGTGCATAAAGGAAGAAAGAGAAATGGCATAGCCTCTTGGCTTCAGAGGAAAGTTTAACAATCTATGTGGAGGAAAGGCAGGTCACTAGGGAAAGAAACACTTTGGGCCAACACCCAAGCATGGGTTGGCCCAAACCTATGGGTTGACAATTATTTGACTTTGTCCAAGAAATAATGTCTCTAGAATAAGAGATGAAGGCCAGGCACAGTGGTTAACGCCTGTAATCCCAGCACTTTGAGAGGCCGAGGTGGCGGATCATTTGAGGTCAGGAGTTCAAAACCAGCCTGACCAACATGGTGAAACCCTGTCTTAACTAAAAATACAAAAATTAACCGGATGTGGTGACGTTCTCCTGTAATCCCAGCTCCTTGGGAGGCTGAAGCAGGAGAATCGCTTGAACCTGGGAGACAGAGGTTGCAGTGAGCTGAGATTGTAACACTGCACTCCAGCCTGGGTGACAGAGCGAGACTCCATCTCAGAAAAAAAAAAAAGACAGAGAGAGAGAGAGAGATGAAATTGAAAGTCTAAATTTCAAGAACATACTAATATAAACAGATAAATAATAAGTACATGTGTTTCTGTTCTAGAGTAAAAAGGTACAAAAGCTAATGGAGATTGAGATTTCAGGCCCCAATTTTTTCAGGAAGGAGAGAAAAACTATGAGAAATCGATGAACAATGTGCAGTTAATGTGGATGACATTGAAGTTGGGTGGGAGAAAAGGCTCAATTACCAGCATAGAGCCTGTGGGGAGACAGAGTGGCTCCACAGCAGAGACTATCACAGCCACCTCCCGCTGCACCTTCTGTAGTCACACTCAGGGTCAAGCAGCCTGAACTGTTCGAATGAACAAAAATAATCAGAGGGCTTCTGTCTCTGTCTGTAGCTACCACCGTTGAACAAGTACCCACATCAGTATCCTGGGGGATACACATTTGGGGAATGTTGTGATGGATCTCAAGCACACCTAAGGGAACTATCACAGGCACAGAGCTAAACAATATTTGCCAATTTACAACTACTGATTAAAAGCCCTGTCACCAAGCCAAGCACTCCAGCATGATTTTACCATTTTCCCCAAAGGTTTCCAGCTTCCAGGAAAGGAGTTGCAGAGAATGCAAGGTAAGTGCATACAGCTCAGGCAAGCAGGCTGAGGAGCAGACCACCGCTTCAGGCTTTGGATTTTCACAAACAATCCTGCCTCCCCCAAGCTGAGACAATGCCCTGCATTCACTGAGTTCTCAGGAGCTACCATAGTGTGCCGAGGAGCAGGAAAAAAGTTAGACTTGAATTGAAGATAGATTGGTATTCACTAAATGGCACTTCTGAATTTACTGCAGCCTTCGCCTTTAGAGAGAATTGCCAAGGTGCTCATAAAAGGAGAAATGATGAATATTCAGGATGTCTTTTGAATCCATTAGGCAACCGGGATGAGGTCTCCATATGTAGACTTCTCGTTCTTTCCTTAAGCTGTTAAGGAAACTGCCAAAATGGCCGTCTGCAGGATAAAATGGAGCCTGGGTTTGCCAATGGGGAGAAAGTCTAAACGCCAAAGGTCAAGTCTGTGGAAATAAAATTGGTTTAGGAGCATTTTGCAAGTGAAGAGATCTATAAATTTTGGATTTCTGGACATGGTGAATGAGGGAATGTGTCTGTCTGCTTGTAGGAACACTGATCAAAATGCAGTAGCAGCCTATTTATCGTACTGTCAGCCTTTCTTTCCCAGGATCAGATATTCTGCAGATCTAATTGTGTCCACTCCACACAGGAAAATCCCAGACAGTCTCTCTAGCGGCCTCCTATAGTTTTGTCAACTAATCTTACCAGAAGCAGAAGCGTTTGTGCATTTAAGACTGCAAAATGTTTATTATCAAGTCTGCTTACTTAAGTCCTAAGCACTTGCTCATGCCAATTATATAGAGAGTAATCGCGGGTTCTCCATGCTAAAAATAATTTAAAGAAAGAATTTAGCACCGACCCTTGGCTCCCAGATATATTGAATACAGGTCAATCAATTGTTAGGAAAAGGGAATTTCTGGGGAAGGGATGATGCAGGTTACTTATCCTCAGTTTCTTTGCCTTTACAATAAGGAGTGGAGTCAGGTTCAAGGCAACAAGCATTCCTGCAAGCCTCTGTGCTCCCACTATGGGATGGGGATAAGCACCCTTCTTGCCTTCTAGGCACTGACACATTAGCAGGGGAGACATACACAGAAGTGTACTTTTAACAGAATGTCAAAATAGCTACATTAAAGTGCTATATCAAAGCAGATAAGAGAGTGATTCATTTTGCCAGGGAAGGGTGGGAAGAGAATCAGAGATAGCAAATTACACAGCAAGGAGACATTTGAGCTGGCTCTTGAAAGACAAATCCAGAAAGAGAAAAAAAATTGAAAGCAGGCACCCTAGAGAGACGGCCCTGCCAGGGTCAAGGCTGGGGGTTAGAAAAGCACAAGGAAGAATGGGTGACCAAGTGGGAAAAGCCTCTAATTATTTTGTAGGAAACACACATACCCCTCAGGGAGATCATGTGCCCATCCTCTGTTCTAAATTGGGAATCAGAAAATATAGGCCTGTATCTCCAGAGTCCCTTCCAGAAATAACATTCCATGACTTTTATAATTCTGAGTGACCAAACCAAGAAACCAACTCAAGGAAAACCTTGAACTTAACAGTCTCTATTCTCTGCTGTTTTATGAGCAAAAGTGAAATTGGTGGCAGTAGCCAGGATGGCCACCCTGGGCCCCGGTAAATTGTCTACCACATGCCCTTCCAATCAGGGACAACCTGAGCCCCCAGGAGGAAAGGGGCAGGCCTCTTCCAAAGTGTAGGCAGAGGCCACAGGATCCACAAATGCTTGGATGCTATGGACACCAGGTTAAGCTTCCATACTGGCACTCTTAATTCCCACACAGCCCAGAATTTCCTGTCCTTCTCTCTTTCCTCCATGGTCTCTGCTCTCTCATGTATCATTGCAGAGTCTGGGGGCAGAAATAAACAGAAAATCAGAAACATGTAAAAAATACCTTCATGTGAGCATCTACTTCATTTCATTTTCTCTTCACAACAACTATGAGAAGTACAAGTAGGATAGATGAGAAAGGTAAGGCTCAGAGAGGAGCCTCTGCTCCTGTTGCCACAGTTGGCTGAGGCAGAGCTGACTCCCACCTGGTCTAGTTAGCCTTCTGCCCCCAAATCCACTCAAACTTGCTATCCCTTAAAGCAATCGCTGAATTAATGGAAAACCTTCTAAAGAGACATAAATGGATAGCAACATCTAGTTTATATTAGACTAGATTCTTCTTAGATTATATTAGACTAATTCTTCTTGACTAAACATCAAGAAGAATTAGGGTAGGAACAGAAATATGAATATTATAAATATTAAAACAGTGGAGTCCATAATGACATGGCACATTATTAAATAGATAAAATATACTATGACTTAAATGGTGTTTTGTGGCACTTTAAAAGTTCAAAATAACATACTAAAAGCACAGTTCCTAAAGAGAAATACTGATATATTGGACTTTACCAAAATAAGAAACTTTTGTTCTAGAAAGACACTGATAAGAAAATAAAAAGACTGCCAGGTGTGGTGGCATGTGCCCATTGTCCTAGCTACTTGGGGGGCTGAGATGGGAGGATTCATTGAGTTCAGGAGTTTGAGACCAGCCTGGGCAACACAGTGAGGCTCGATCTGAAAAAAATAAAAAAAAAAAATGAAAAGACAAATCACAGACTGGAAAAAATATTTGCAGATCACATATCTGATAAAAGACTTGTATCCTTAATGTTTTTTTAAAAAAATAAAAGCTTTTAAAACCTAACAAGAAAATAAACAACCCAATTATCATTAGGGAAATGCAAGTTCAAACCAAATGAGATACCACTATACATCTGTCAGAATGGCCAAAAATAAAAATTTTAAAATGAGGATTCCAAATGCTGGAGACAATGAGAAACAGGAACTGTCATTTATTGCTAACTGGGGATACAAAATGGTAAAGCAACTTTGGAAAGCAGTTTGGCAATTTCTTATATAGTTAAATACACACTTACCATACAACCCATAGTAATCCCAATCCTAGGTATTTATTCAAGTGAACTGAAAACATTTGTTCACATGAAAACCTGAATGTGAATGCTTACTTCAACTTTATTCACAATTTTCAAAAACTGGAAACAGACCAGGTGTCCTACAACAGGTGAATGAATAAAATAAACAGTGGTATATCCATACAATGGGATACTACTCAACAGTTAAAAGGAACAAACTATTGAGTGACACAACAACATAAATGAATCTCAAGTGCATTTTTAATTGAAGGAAGCCAGTCCCAAAATGCTACACATTGTATTATTCCATTTATGACATTCTGGAAATGGCAAAAGGGTGGGAAACAGATCAGTGATTACCAGGGGTAGAGAGGGGATGTTGACTACAAAGAAACCATACAAGGAATTTTTAGGATATTGGAACTGTACTTTATAGTCCTGGGGTGGTGGATAAATGGCTCTATGAACTTGCCAAAACCCATAAAACTGTACAACACAAAGAGTGAACTTCACTATATACATTTTTTAAATCAACCAGGATATTCAGCAGAACCCAGACATACTGTAAATTGTGACAAATAAATTTAACTATTTATAAATGTATGACAAAGCTTTATTGAAAAAGGTAAGGGAAAAGGAAATTTATCTGTGAAACACTGGAAAACTGTTTGCATATGGTAAAGCTACAAGCAAGAATAACTGTACATGAACACTCTACTCTGGTTGTTTCTCACAGGGGTACAGGTAAACAATTTTGAAATGACTTTACATGTATACTAGGATGGAACAAATAAGGAAATCTAATGAGATCTGGGTGTTCTACTGTAAGAGAAAGAAGTTACAAATAAACAACAAAGGGAAATCTACAATAAGTCCTGTGGTTTGATTAGAATCAGAGATACCAGAATGAACTCATATTTAATATGTTCAGAGATAGATTGATACATAAATAAATATAGATATCTGTATATTCATGAGTTAGTATATATACATATATTTCATAGCTGTGTCTGCTCAGAGGTGCCAGAAGCAGTGACACCCCAGTAGCAATGAGCACACCTAGTGTCCAGATCTTATTTTCTAAATATCATTCTCCAGTAAGGGAAACCAGTAATCCTTAGAGAAATGGTTGATTCTAGAGCAGAAGCATAGAAAACAGGATGATCCTTCTAATAGTGCCAAAAAGAAAAGATGTGCTAAAAATAAAAAATAAAATTAAATAATGGGGCTTTATCAAAAGGACACAAGTATATATCAAAAAGAATATACTTGGATTAGTATATCGAAGAGATATCTGCATTCCCATGTTTATTGCAGCACTATTCACAATAACCAGGCTATGGAATCAACCTTAGTGTCCATCAGTGGATGAATGAATAAAGAAAATGTGGTATATATACACAATGGAATTATGTATTATTCCATTATTTAGCCATAAAAAGAATAAAACCTTGTCATTTGCAACAACATGGATGGAACTGGAGGACATTAGGTTAAGTGAAATAAGCCAGGCACAGAATGAAAAATATCGCATGTTCTCACTCGTATGTGGGAGCTAAAAAAAACATTGATCTCATGGAGATAAAGCATAGAATGATGGTTATCAGAGGTTGGGAAGGGTAGCAGGGAGGAGGGGAAAAATGGGGATGGATAATGGGTACAAAAATACAGTTAGGTAGAATGAATAAGATCTAGTATTTGGTACCACAATAGGGTGACTATATCTAACAGTAATTTATTGTATATTTTAAAACAACTAAAAGAGTGAAATTGGAATGTTCCTAAAAAAAAAAAAAGATAAATGCTTAAGGTACCAGATACCCCAACTACCCTATTTGATCATTACACATTGTATGCCTGTATCAAAACATCACATGTATCCCAAAAATATATGCACCTATTATGTACCCATAATAATAATAAATAAAAATAAGTAAATGATCAACATTTTAAAAGGACACAGGTGCCAAGCTTAAAGAGCTGCTGATAAACATAGCTGGAACAATCTGAGCAACAAAATAAACAATAGTACTGGATTATAACTTCAATATTAAAATAAGTATCTGCAAGTCCATACTGGTATAAATAAGTGATTAAGTAAATAAGTAAATGGAAAAAAGAATAAATCTTGACAGACTAACTGTCAATGATAAATATAGAAGGAATGAGAAAAATAGAAAATCACTACTAGAACATACTAATAATTGCTGCAGCTAAAATTAGTGAGAGAAGATTTAAGCAGAAACAGGATAGTATAGAGCCTCAAAATATCTCCAAAAAATATTTATTTATTACTGAAATGGTCTTAACTTACATCCACAAATTCTTTGATACTCTTCCTTCCAAAGAGTTTAATTCTCCTCCCCTTGAATGGGGGCTGAAGTTACTGACTCACTTCTACTGATTCTAATCAAACCATGGGACTTACTTCTAGTATGAAAATGGGAAAGTATTAACTGTACAGTGAAGAGCCCTGGCATCAAGTGATTAATGCTAACATCACCACTAAATACATACACACACACACACACACACACACACAGACATTTGTGTATGTATATGTATATGTATATGTTACATAATGTATCCCTGGGCATGGTATAATGGCAAGGGTATTTCGCTTCTGGTGTATTCTTTTCCAACATCCTTAACCTCAGTCTAGCCATGAGAGAGCATCAGACAAATGTAAATTTAAGGACAATCAACAAAACACTTGACCAAATAGTATCAAAAGTATCAAGGTCATTAAAGACAAGGAAAAACCAAGAGGCTATCACAGATTGGAAGAGACTAAGGGCACATGACAACTCAATGTAGCATAGTAGACTGGACTGGACCCTGGAGTAGAAATAGAACATTATTGGAGAAACTTAATAAAGTGCATAGTTTAGCAAATAGTACTATATCAGTGTTAATCTTTTAGTTTTAATAAATGTACGAAGGTTATGAAAGATGTTAACATCGGGAGAAGCTTGATGAAGGGCATACAAACACCCACAATATTATATTTAACTCTTATGTTTTTTTCAAAATAAAACACACTTCTTGATGTCTAATATAATATGATTAACCTCCATTGTGGTTGCTAATTTTCTCTCTTAAGATCAAGGTTATAAGAGATTTCCCACAGCACCACTATGGAAATGATGTGGAACAAAAAAGAGAACAGAAGGGAAATGCCTTGGAGAAAGAGGAGATAGAAAACCAAAGAAATGTTAAATAATGTGGAAAACAAAAGAAAAAAATGGAAGGAGTGGTACCACCTCCCACCTTGAATCCCAACAGGCCACTGGGACCCCAGTCTGGCATTTCAATAGTCACTTGCCATCATTCACACTCCTCTCTCATCACCATATTAGTTAGGGCACAAGCTAAACTCTGTAATATAAGCCCTCACAAATAGAAGAGAACTTCAAAAAGCTCATGGAAAAATGGAATTTAAAGATAAAAATAAAAAATAAAATCAATTCCTCAACATAAGCTCCATCAAGTTCAATACACTTTTGTAAGTGATACCAGCCATACAGTCTATCCCTAAAGAACTGAGAGGATCAGGCACAATGGCTCATGCCTGTAATCCCACAATTTGGAAGGCGAAGATGGGAAGACAGCTTGAGGCCAAGAGTTCAAGAACAGCCTGGGCAACACAGTGAGACCCCATCTCTGCAAAAATAAAAAAAGAATTCGCCAGCCATGGTGGTACAAGCCTGTAGTCCCAGCTACTTGGGAGGCTGAGGCAGGAGGATCACTTGAGCCCAGGAGTTCAAGGCTGTACTTCAGCCTGAGCAACAGAGTGAGGCCCTGTCTCAAACAAACAAACAAAACGCTGAGGGTCCTAGGAATTTAACCATGTCATTGCATCTTTTGCATGTTGTTAACTGAGGAAAAATAGGTGCCCTTTAAAGATTTTTGAAGATTAGGAACAAAAAGAAGTCAGAAGGAGCCAAATCAGAACTGTGAGGTGGATACCTAATGATTTGCCACTGAAACTCTTATAGAATTGCCCTTTTTGATGAGAGTAATGAGCAGGAGCATTGTCATCATGGACAATTGGTTTCTAGCGAAGCTTTCCCAGAAGTTTTTCTGCTAAAGTGGTAGCTAACTTTCTCAAAACACTCTCATAACAAGCAGATATTATGTTCTTTGGCCCTCCAGAAAGTCAACAAACAAAATTCCTTGACATCCCAAAAAACCTTTGCCATGACTTTACTCTCAACTGGTCCACTTCTGCTGTGACTGGACCACTTTCACCTCTTGGTAACCATTGCTTTGATTGTGCTTTGTCTTCAGGACCATACTGATAAAGCTGCGTTTCATCTTCTGTTACAATTCCTCAAAGAAACGCTTCAGGATCTTGATCCCACTTGTTTAAAATTTCTGTCAAATCTCTTCTCTGGTCTGCAGTTGATCTGGGCACAAGAGTTTTGATAGCCATTGAGTGGAAAGTTTGCTCAACTTTAATTTTTTAGTCAGAATTGTGTAATCTGAACCAATTGAGATGTCTATGGTGTTGGCTATTGTTTCTGCTGTTAATCCTCAGTCCTCTTCAATTAGGGCACGAATAAGATTAAATTTTTCCTCACAAACTGATGTGGATGGTCTGCCACTGTGGGTTTTATCTTCAACATCATCTCATCCCTTCTTAAAATGAGTTGTCCATTTATAAAATCCCGGTTTCTTTGGGGACTCTTTCCCCATAAATTTTTTGTAAAACACCAATGGTTTTGCCATTTGTCCACCCAAGCTTCATCATAAATTTGTTGTTTGTTCTTGCTTCGATTTTAGCAGAATTTATGTTGCCCTGATTGGGGCTCTTTTCAAACAGATGTCTTATCTTTTGTGCCTCAAACTAGATCGGGTTCAGACAAACAAGTTAGTACAAGTTTATTTTGGTGCAAAAAAAGATGAAACTCATGTGTAATTTTTCATACTATGCATTTTCCATGAACTTTTTGAAGACCCCTCATTCAAAGATTAAATAAGATTATAGTTTATTTTTCTCTTATTTCACAATTCAGAAGTAGATACTCCAGATCTTATAGGATGATTCTGCCATTCTCTATGTAGTTTCTGTCGCTGGGGACAAGCCCTGGGAAAAGAAGAAGAGGCAGGGCAGCTAAGACTCCTTCCTTGGTTTGCTTTTATTCTGTTCACATCCCATTGGCCAGAAATAAGGTACATGGCCTGATTAATGTTGCAAGGGAGGCTGGGAATATAGTCTCTAATAACTGGGCAAAAGTAGACCTGTTGAGAGTAAAAGTCATAGAAACTCTAATAACCAGCTAATGCTCATCAGTTCTCCTGTTAAAGAAGAGAAGAATCTGGTTCTGGTAGAAAAAGAGCAGTCTGTGCCACTAGTTCTAACGCAGAATCCTTTCAACAAATTGGACCATGCACTGCTGCAGAATTTTCTATTTAAGGTGACGACAAAAGTACAGGCAGTCTTCAATTTGACAGAATAAAATTAAATTTTATAGAAGACAATATGTGATATCATGGGGCATGGGATAAGGGGAACACTATGACATTAGTCAAATTTATCTAAAGAGAACATTAGAACAACCAAAGGTAGAATCTTAGTGAGGCAGATTTTTTGGGAAAATGGCCACAATTCTTCATGCCTTTCCATACCTTTACCTCTGTGCAATGGGACTTTGCCTTTCTTCCCACCAAGAGAGTCTCTTTCTCTACCCTTTGAACCTGGACTGCCATTGTGACTTGCTTTGTTTCCATACAATGCAGAAGTGACTTTGTACAAGGTCCAAGCCTAGGCCCGAAGAAGGGGGCCTCGTCATGAGGGGAATTTTCTGTCTGTTTAAGGGAATGACAAAAGTCCTGAGGGGTGGGAAGAGAATCAGAGACAGAAAGAGGGGGAAAAGTTGCAAAAGAGGGCACCCTAAAGGGAGGGTCCTGCCAGGGTCAAGGCTGGGGGTTAGAAAAGCACAAGGAAGAATAGATGATCAAGTGGGAAAAGTCTCTAATTATTTTGTAAGAAACACACCTACTTCTCAGCGGGATCACGTGCTCATCCTCTGTTCTAAATCAGAAATCAGAAAATACAGGCCTGGACGAAATTCCCCTTGGAATTTTTGGGGGGCAAGTCACAAGGGCATTGCTCATTCCTCTTCTTTCCCTTAGAATGCTCTCACTGTGTGAATAAGGTCAGGCTAGCCTCCTGGAGGTTAGACACCATATGGGGTCAAGACAAGCCGTGCCAGCTAAAACTATCCTAAACCAGCCAGGCTCCAGCTGATTTGGTAGCAGGCCACAGATAGAGGAGGAGCCCAGCTGAGATCAGCTGATGTACTGACTATTAGCTAAATAAGTGGCCATCATTTAAAGCCACTAAGTTTAGGGGTTGCTTGTTATGCAGCAATAGCCACCTGGTAAAACTGGTGGAGCTCAATTCCTCTGTTTTTTGTTTGTTTGTTTGTTTGTTTTGAGTCAGGGTCTTATTCTGTTGCCTAGGCTGGAGTATAGTGGTGTGATCCCGGCTCACTGCAAGCTTCACCTCCCCAGGCTCAGGTGATCCTCCTACCTCAGCCTCCCACGTAGCTGGAACCACAGGTGTGCACCACCATGCCCAGCTAATGTTTGTATTTTTTGCAGATACGGGGTTTTATTATATTGCCCAGGCTTGTCTCCAACTCCTGGACTTAAGAGATCCTCCTGCGTTGGCCTCCAAAAGTGCTGGGATTACAGGTGTAAGCCACTGCACCTGGCCTGGAGCTCAATTTTTAAGGGATGAGCTGATGAAAATGAACTAGAAGAACCGCAAAAGAAAGGCAGAGAGCTGCAAGAGAACCAGCAAGCAATGCGAATCACAGAGACCAGAGAAGTTTCAAGATGAAGGAAGTGGCCCTCAAGCAAGATGAAGCCTAAGAGAGTGGTAGCTTTTTACAACAGGAATACTAATTTGAAACACCACATAGGTAATGAACACACAAATAGAAACTATTATGTACTTCCCATTAATAGTGGAAAATTCAGTTTCTTCTTTTGGTTAAACACATACCGCCTACACCACTGCATACCTTTCAGACAGGAAAATTGAATTTATAACACATTCAGAACATGAGTGACTTCCTTTAATCTTAATGTTCTCCTAAAAGTCTTATCTCCAAACACTGATAATACATTGAGGGTTAAGGTTTTCACCTATCAATTTTAGGTGGACACATTTCAGTTCATAGAGATGATGATGATGATGATGAAGATAGATAGATAGATAGATAGATAGATAGATAGATAGATAGATAGATAATAAATGGATGGATAGATAAATGTATAGGTAGGTAGATAGATAGATAGATATAAATGGATGGATAGATAAATAAATGGTAGGTAGGTAGGTAGATAATAGATAGGTAGATGGGTAGATAGGTAGGTAGATAGATAGAAGATAAGTGGATGGATAGATAAATGTATAGGTAGGCAGATACATAGATAGATAGATAGATAGATAGATAGATAGATAGATAGATAGAAGATAAATGGATGGATAGATAAATGTATAGGTAGGCAGATAGATAGATAGATAGATAGATAGATAGATAGATAGATATAAATGGATGGATAGATAAATGGATAGGTAGGTAGGTAGATAGATAATAGATAGGTAGATGGCTAGATAGGTAGATAGATAGATAGATAGATAGAAGATAAGTGGATGGATAGATAAATGTATAGGTAGGCAGATAGATAGATATAAATGGATGGATAGATAGATAAATGGATAGGTAGGTAGGTAGATAGATAATAGGTAGATAGGCAGATAGATATAGATAGATAGATAGATAGATACATACATACATACATACATACCCAAAACTCACATGACCCTAGGGCCTTCTGATTGTGCATAAGTCCAAGAAGCTGTTGGTCCCACCTGTGACCAAGTTGCAGGCTGACTTAATTAGCCCATTGTCTCCATAACTTCCAAGACTCCTTCCTTCTGTTCATTAGTTTTGTGGCCCTGTTGCCCTGACCCACTCCCCTTCTCTTTTCCTTATTTACTTCCTTTCTCCTCTGTTCCCCTAAATTATTATCTTCATATTTCTGAGCCCCACACAGTCCTCTCCTCCTTTCTTGGCCCACAATTTATTCCTCAGCTTTTGTGTAAAAGATATTTGGAGAACCAGATCTTTCCTGCTCCACATCACTAAGGAGTGGCCTGAGCTTGCAATAGTCCCAAAGCCTAACCATCACCCTCCAGGCCTCCAGAGGTGAAGTGACAGAGTCAGGGAAGCTGGGCTGCTACTTGGATGAGTGAACTTCTCTCCGGCCGCAGTCTATCCAGGCATAATGTGTATATTTGTGTATGTGTATGTGTGTGTATGTGTGTGCATGTGTGTGTATGTGTGTGTCTGTGTGTGCATGTGTGTGTCTGTGTGTGCATGTGTGTGCCTGTGTGTGCCTGTGGTGAGGAAGATCACGGCCTTTGGAGTCAACTCTGGACTTCACTTACAGCCTTACCACTTAGTAGCCGTGTGGTCTGGGACTTAACCTCTCAATGCTTTGTTCCATTCTGTACAATCACATTAATAATAATCTTTACTTTGAATGATTGATATGAGCATTAAAGGGTGTTAAATTTGCTAGAGCATCAGTTTTATGTCAGAGTCACAGATACTGCAAAGAAACCATCTAACAGTGCCCAGCACATAGTGGGGGCCTCAATAAATGCTGGTTATTATTGTGATCCCTGTCTGTTAATCCCCATAGCCTTGCCCCACTGGCCTGGCTAGACTCTTTGTCACCTTCTGTTGGCTCTTCCTATGCCTGGTACCTGCCAGTTTACCACCTTAAATCTACCTATTGGATTTAATTTCCTCAAATCATCTCCCTCCCAGTCCAGCGGGCAAAGATTGGTTCATGCCCTGGCCTCTTCTGGTCAGACCTATCCTGCTAGAGTTAATCAGGCCAGGTCTGCCTGTGTCTTAACGAAACCATTTGTTCCTCAAAATGACTCTCTCAATAAATGGAGTAAAAACACAATGATGATTGGGAGAAAAGGGGAAATGCGTAAGAGGACATGGCACGGTGACAAGCACATTCAAGGCCATAAATATGTGGCAATTGCTTTTCTCATCTAGTTCTCTTATTTTGAAACTTTCCTGGAAGGGACCTGGTATTATTAGCCATTATGATGAGGCAGATGCTGTTTATTTGCCCAGTCACATAAGGATCATGTAGGACTGACAACCAGTGAGGAAATTATGTCATTCTTCGGGACAGGGGAAGGAAGAGGGAGGAAGGGGCTTTGAATGAGGACAGATGGGGCAGGGTTGGGGTGTACTTCCAACACCTATAAGAGATTTATTGTGCTTTTAACAGTCTACACTTACACTTAATTGAAGACTACTTAACCAATTATTTCATGAGCTGTCTGGTAACACTTAAATCCTACCTTTCTAATCCCTGACTGGCTACATAGCCACAAAATCAGATTACATCGTGATTAGGAAAAAATTTACACATGCATAAGCCATGTCACAACAGATCACTGTTCTTGCCAAATATTTCCTACATAGCTTGTAAACCTCTTAGGTATTTGCTACTGCACAGGTTGCTGACAGGATACAAAGAAAATACAAGTTCTTGGCCTCTGTATATTGGGCTTCCCTACACAGGGTGAGTCCCCGCCCAGCCTCTGTACCAGGCCCCATGCTGGCTGACCACACCTCTGCTCATCACACTTGGGGCTGCAGCCATGCCTGTGCTGATCTGGGACTTGGCACTCAAATCTGGAGAGTCTCAATCCTGGGATCAACCTGCAAATGTCAACCCACAATGTGAGTCTCTTCTTTATGCATCCTCTTAAGGATTTAGTGAGCCTCAGGAGCATGTTGAGGCCAAGGCTTCAAACCTGATGCCATCTGTACTTTCTCTGGGGAGGTGGTCTCTCTCTGCCTCATCTCTGAGAGATAATCCACGGCCCCCAACCCTTGTTAAATTTCCCTGCACAATTTCAGGTGACCATCCTTGCCAGATCCTGATTGGGCCTGGAGAATTGGCTAGTCTCATTTTGTTTCTGTATCTTAGTCAACTTGGGCTACCATAACAAAAGGCCATAGGCTGGGTCTCTTAAAAAACAGAAATTTACTTCTCACAGTTCTACAAGCTGTCTAAGATCAAGATACCAGCAGGGTTGGCATCTGATGAGGGCACTGCAGCTGCCTTCTCACCATGTCCTCCCATGGCCTTACCTCAGTGTGTGCATTCCAAGAAAGAGAGAGCTCTCTCCCTCTCTCTTCCTCTTGTTGTATGGCAGATCTATCTGATCAGGACTCCAATCCTACCTGATTAGGACTCTACCTTTATGACCTCATTTAATCTTATTTCTCTCCCATAAGCCCTACCTCCAAATGCAGTCACTTTGCAGGGTTAGAATTTCAATATATTAATTTTTGAGGACACACTTCAGTCCATAGAAAGACTATATATATAGATAGATCGATAATAGATAGATAGATAGATAGATAGATAGATAGATAGATAGATAGATAGATAGATAGATGAGAGATCTGCATTCATATCACATTTAGGCTTAAAAATGTTTACTGTCGGCTGGGCATGGTGGCTCATGCCTGTAATCCCAGCACTTTGGGAGGCCAAGGCAGGCAAATCACAAAGTCAAGAGATCGAGACCATCCTGGCCAATATGGTAAAACCCCGTCTCTACTAAAAATACAAAAATTAGCTGGGTGTGGTGGCGCGTGCCTGTAGTCCCAGCTACTCGGGAGGCTGAGGCAGGAGAATCGCTTGAACCCTGGAGGCAGAGGTTGCAGTGAGCCGAGATTGCACCACTGCACTCCAGCCTGGTGACAGAGCTAGACTCCATCTCAAAACAAAACGAAAAAAAAAATGTTTACTGTCTTCTCTCCTTGCCTTCGGGATAGAGCCCACACTGCTTAGCCTGGCACCCATGGCCCTCTGCCATGGCTCCTACACCAGATCCCTGTGTTAAGCCCATGTAGTCTCCATTCTCCCATCAGGAACATCCTTCTCAGCTAGAACCAAGGTGATAATGGTTCCCTTCCCACCACTGGGGCCCTTCCAGTGGTTCTGTTTACAATCCGGAAACTATTTCCTCCCTGGTTACTGACCATAGATGACTTCACACATTCATTTATTATTTATTCACTCATTCAATGTGTAGGCACCACTAAAGCCTGATCTGGGCCCTGTTTTATGAGCTGGCCACTGTCATATGCTCACATTCAGGGATGTGGATTTTGCTCTTTAAACCGTAACAGTACAGCCACATCACAATACAATAGCCACTGCCTCTGTCTAGTAATAAAGGCAGTGACACAGCAAAAGAGGACTGTTTAGATACCTCATAGCCCCCAAAGATGAGCTCTCCAGGCATGGCGCGTGTGTCTATCCCCTCTCAGCCAGCCTAAAAAGTTCACTCTCATAATGTATGGCCCCTTCCTTTCCATGCTGTGCAAGAACGTCTTCTTGCCCACCAGCCTCACAAACTAAACCCTAATCGATGTGAGAAGATGAGCTGGGAGATCCCATTCCTTGGAGCTCCTAGTCACTTTGTCACAACCTCGGGAGGCAAAACTGATTATTGTGGAAGGTGGGACAAGGTTACCAACCTGCCAGACACATCAAAACCTGGATGGTTTGAAAACACAGACCCTTGCTAAACAGGAAAGTCATAACAACCTCCACAAGGGAACTCTCCAGAGGCAGGCTGGGAGGGGAGGAGCACCTGCTGCAGCCTGCGGTTGGTGCATGAGAAATTCCTGAGCACTTAATTTCATTTCTGTTTCATGATATACTGCAACGCTTATTGGGAAATTAGGTGAAGCTAAACTATGGTTTACTTTTAGCTGACAAGCACTAAGATCTGAAAGGTAAAACATTTTGGCTCTGAATTCTGGGGAAACAAATTACACCTTACCCTACATTTTCAGGGCCTGTATGCTTGGTTTGGTGGGGGGTGGGGGGCGGGGGGCGGGGGTACTTGTGAAGGAAAGCAGCCAGTAGAAAGAAAAGACAGAGATGCCAGTGAGAAAAGAAACTTTGCCAAACTCCAAATACACATTGGATCAGGCCAGAACCCACCCGACCCCTGCTGTCACCACCACCACCACCACCATCAAGATAAAGAGTGGATCTGTCCTTCCCATGTCTTCCACACTTTTGCTTGCCTCCTTGTGGTTTCAAGGGGGCCCTTGATTCTAATTTTCCCTTAGATTTCACATATAACAATGTTGGACAGGGGATCTCTAATGATTGATGCGGGCAGTTGCTAGTGCTTTAAACCTTTTCACATATTTAATCCCATCTCATACTCACCATAGTCCTGTGAGCTAGGTATTAACCCTCTCCCACCCCCAATTTTCCAGGTGAAAAAACTTAGGCTCAAATATCCATTGACTTGCCAAGTGTTTTCCACTAGCAGGTAACAGTTAAGAGAGTTTCAAACTCAGGACTTCGCCATGGAGAATTCTGGCTGAGCAGCTATGCCAGTCTCACCAAGTGTGGTGATCCTGTAGGCCTTCTTTCTTTTGTTTTTGTTTTTGTTTCTCAAGACACATACACATACATACACAGACACACAGAGTATGTCTCCATTTATACAACATGTGGAAAAGGCAAAAGTATACAGACAGAAAATAAGCTTGTGATTGTCAAAGGCTGGGGTGGGGAGAGGGATGAACTAAAATGTAATAGAAGAAAATGTAGGGAAGTGAGGGAACTGTTCTCTGTCTTCATTGTGGTGTTGACTGCATGATTAGACGTAATCGTCAAAACTTTTAGAATTCTTACGATAGTTTACTGAGAATGATGGTTTCCAATTTCATCCATGTCCCTACAAAGGACATGAACTCATCATTTTTTATGGCTGCATAGTATTCCATGGTGTATATGTGCCACATTTTCTTAATCCAGTCTATCATTGTTGGACATTTGGGTTGGTTCCAAGTCTTTGCTATTGTGAATAATGCCGCAATAAACATACGTGTGCATGTGTCTTTATAGCAGCATGATTTATAGTCCTTTGGGTATATACCCAGTAATGGGATGGCTGGGTCAAATGGTATTTCTAGTTCTAGATCCCTGAGGAATCGCCACACTGACTTCCACAATGGTTGAACTAGTTGACAGTCCCACCAACAGTGTAAAAGTGTTCCTATTTCTCCACATCCTCTCCAGCACCTGTTGTTTCCTGACTTTTTAATGATTGCCATTCTAACTGGTGTGAGATGATATCTCATAGTGGTTTTGATTTGCATTTCTCTGATGGCCAGTGATGATGAGCATTTTTTCATGTGTTTTTTGGCTGCATAAATGTCTTCTTTTGAGAAGTGTCTGTTCATGTCCTTCGCCCACTTTTTGATGGGGTTGTTTGTTTTTTTCTTGTAAATTTGTTTGAGTTCATTGTAGATTCTGGATATTAGCCCTTTGTCAGATGAGTAGGTTGCGAAAATTTTCTCCCATGTTGTAGGTTGCCTGTTCACTCTGATGGTAGTTTCTTTTGCTGTGCAGAAGCTCTTTAGTTTAATTAGATCCCATTTGTCAATTTTGGCTTTTGTTGCCATTGCTTTTGGTGTTTTGGACATGAAGTCCTTGCCCACGCCTATGTCCTGAATGGTAATGCCTAGGTTTTCTTCTAGGGTTTTTATGGTTTTAGGTCTAACGTTTAAATCTTTAATCCATCTTGAATTGATTTTTGTATAAGGTGTAAGGAAGGGATCCAGTTTCAGCTTTCTACATATGGCTAGCCAGTTTTCCCAGCACCATTTATTAAATAGGGAATCCTTTCCCCATTGCTTGTTTTTCTCAGGTTTGTCAAAGATCAGATAGTTGTAGATATGCGGCATTATTTCTGAGGGCTCTGTTCTGTTCCATTGATCTATATCTCTGTTTTGGTACCAGTACCATGCTGTTTTGGTTACTGTAGCCTTGTAGTATAGTTTGAAGTCAGGTAGTGTGATGCCTCCAGCTTTGTTCTTTTGGCTTAGGATTGACTTGGTGATGCGGGCTCTTTTTTGGTTCCATATGAACTTTAAAGTAGACTATCTTTAAAGTAAACTATCACAAGAACAAAAAACCAAACAACGCATATTCTCACGCATAGGTGGGAATTGAACAATGAGATCACATGGACACAGGAAGGGGAATATCACACTCTGGGGACTGTGGTGGGGTCGGGGGATGGGGGAGGGATAGCATTGGGAGATATACCTAATGCTAGATGACACGTTAGTGGGTGCAGCGCACCAGCATGGCACATGTATACATATGTAACTAACCTGCACAATGTGCACATGTACCCTAAAACTTAAAGTATAATAAAAAAAAAAATTAAAAAAAAAGAAAAAATATGAAAAGGAGAATTAATAGAGATTTCTCAAATAAAAAAAAAAAAAAAAACTTTTAGAATTCCACACTAAAAAGAGTGAATATTACTGTATATAAATTATACCTCAATAGGTATGACCTTAAAATATCACAGTCATGTTCACACAAAAACCTGCACACAGGTGTGTATAGCAGCTTTATTCATAATCAACAAAACTTGGAAGCAACTAAGATGTCCTTTAGTAGGTGAAGCAATAGCATACTATTCAGTGCTAAACAAAAGAGCTAGCAAGCCATGAAAAGACATAGAAGAAACTTAAATCCACATTGCTAAGTGAAATAAGTTAATCTGAAAAGGCTGCATACTGGTTCAAAGGCAAAACTATGGAGACAAAAGAAAATAGCCAGGGGTTGGGGGGATTATTTCTGAGGCTCCTATTTAAACTATACTCTTACTATACTTGTTCCTAGCCAAATAATCTCATTCTCTCTTTCTCCACCTGCCTTCTCCCCACCACATCCACAGGCCCACACACATTTTCCAGTTGGCCCTTTGCAATGGGGAAGCACCCAGGACTTAAGTGTGCATTGCGGGTGGTAAAGACGGGGGACCTAGAAAAATGAAGAAGCAAATCTTTACCGTTCAAAGGGAACCTCTTCCAATTTTGTGTCCTGGAGTTAATTCTCATCTTCCTTGTACTTTTTGTTTTAAGTTGAAATAGCTATGTATACCATACACCCACTTCCAGCAAATGAAAAACAAACCACTGAAGAAAAACTTCTGAGGTTATTTCCCAGCTGAACAAAATCAAAAATAGATGAGAAACATTGCAGAGATTTAGCTCACCTGACATTTTCAGTTTTATCAAAATTGTTCATCAGGGCGTCCTCACAACTTCTGACCCAAGTTTTACCAGCTTTCCTAAAGTTCCTCACTGAAGTCACTATTTTCTTCCACATCTTCTCCTTCCTAACTTATGTATCACTTGCTCACTAATAACATTAAAATTTATAGTTTTCTATCTGTTTAAGGGTCTAATTTCATATATGAGATGATAAGGCTGTTTTCCAGTAGTCTGTTAACAAATCATATCAGACCAAAGACAAGCAGACATCTAAGTATATTATTAACCTGGCTATTTTTTAAAAGCATATTTGCAGTTACTATTCTCTTTCAAGTAGCAACACTGCCCTTCCTGGTTTTTGTGATTTTGAGAAAGCTTCTCAGCCTCTCTCTAAACCCCAGTTAAAGAAACATAAGGCTGAGCATCATGGCTCATGCCTGTAGTCTCAGCTCTTTGAGAGGCTGAGGCAGGTGGATCACTTGAGGCCAGGAGTTCGACACCAGCCTGGCCAACATGGTGAAACCCCATCTCTACTAAAAATACAAAAATTAGCTGGGCATGATGGCATGTGCCTGTAATCCCAGCTGCTCGAGAGGCTAAGGCAGGAGACTCACTTGAACCCAAGAGGCAGAGATTACAGTGAGCCTAGCTCAAGCTACTGCACTCCAAAAAAAAGTTTTAATTAGCTGGGTGTGGTGGCACATGCCTGTGGTCCCCAGTTGCTCAGGAGCCTGCGGTGCCACTTGCACTCCAGCCTGGGGTGCAACAGAGTGAGACCTTGTCAAGGAAGGGGAAAGGAAGAAGAGGAGGGGAGGGGAGGGGAGGGAAGGGAAGAAGAGGAGGGGAGGGGAGGGGAGGGAAGGGAAGGGAAGGGAAGGGAGAAGGAAGGAAATAATGAAGATCTAACAATGTTTTTGAAAGAGAAAGGTGAAATAACATATGTGAAAGTGTTTTCAAAAACAGTAAAACTATAAAATGTAAAAAACTTATTATTTTATGGCTGTCTCTATTTTCTTGCCAGTAAAATGATATTAAATAGTACTCACCTTATAGAATTATTGTAAAGGCTAAATGAAATAAAACAGCAAAGGTGCTTAGCTTCATACTTACATAAGTGCCCAAAAATGTCAGCAAGCAACAGAAGCAGCATTTCCAAATCCCATGTGGTAAGTAAGGCACCTCTGGTCATCCCCATTTTATAGCTCAGAAAACCGAGGCTGTGGGAGGTCAAGGAGACTCAGACTAAACTTCAGCCTTTTATGACTCACTAGAGCATGTTTACATCCCTATGGCAGGCTGGTAGCAGAAACTCAGGGGTTGGTGGGTAGTGTTCGCAGGTTTTCCTATTTTTGAAAGGGTAAGTGGGAAGCAGCAAGCTCTGGTTCCTCAGGACACGTAGCTAAGGATCCACATGAGACACCACTTGCCCTCTCAGGGTTGCCTCATCAGCACCTGCAGCTCGATCACGTATTCATGCAAAATGCAAAATTAAAGAAATGAGGAGAACAGGATGGAGGGAGACAATCTTTGCTTTTACTTTAAATCTTCATTTGTAAACAGCTAAAGAAACAAAGGCAAAAAACAGTGATGAGTTTATCTACAAACACTAAAGCTCTAGACCTTTAGTAAAGAAAAACAAGGTAAGTCAAACTTCTGAAACCTTCAAATGATCTCGTAGTTTAGGTTTACCAAGGAGCTGGTCCCGGCATGTGGATGGTGGAAGAGGGGCAGAAAAAGCCAAAAGACTCCAACCAGTTCTCTGCACGTGATCTGACAGCAGGTTTGAGAGCTGCTTCTGGTAGGAAGAACAAAAGGCTCCCCAGGAAAGCCTCTTCCCAACCAGCTTTAGTTTGTCCAAAAAGAAGAAGGGAAAAAATAACTCAAGTCTTCAGCCAAGAACACCAGTAGGGGAATTAAAGAGCTGGGCACACAATAATTTTCAGTAACGTCAGAGGAGATTTAAATAGCAAACATCAGCAGAAAAGAATGGGGAAACCTCCAGTGCACTGACTTCATTGATACCCCATTTATCAGCAATTACTGACTCCATTAAAGGCCGAGTTTACAGCAGAAAGAGAAGCAGAGCCTAAAATATGTCCCAGCAGATGGACGGAGAGTGTCGGTGATGCCGTATTTCAAAGGCATCTGCAACGTTGTTATCATTGAACGTGGAGTCAGAGAGGCAGCAGACAAACAGCGCCCCGAGAGCCAGCAAATGATTTACTTGACCCTGGATGGGTAAAACTGACAGCAAAAACCTCATTAATTCCTCAGGTCATTCTGGAAGACATTAATTTGGTTTGGACTCACGACGAGGGGAGATTTTCCAGACATACACCAGGAATTATGAAATCTCCATGGCCGGAGAAAGTATGTCCAAATCACTTTTTGCATAAATCATGCTGACTTTCTGAAGAAGGATAATATGCTTAATCAAGGGAGTTATGGAACTTCTTGTGCTTATTAGACAGAAAATATAACAGTATTTTATTTGGTTATCAGTTCTGGGAGAGAGATTTTTTTCCCCCCTCTTTAAGCTAAAGTCTTTTCCTGCCAGCGTGGAAGAGATCCTTTGCAAGAGCTGGAAGAACCTAGATGTGCAAATAATTTGTTCATGCAAAAATAGCTTTTCTTTTTTTTTTCCTCTATTTTCAAATGGACATCGACATTGTGTGTGCCTCTCTTCTGAGTCCCAGCAAAGGGGTCAGCCTTCTCACCTTATCTAGAACTTTCTCAATACTGAACACACCCCTATAAATATATGACTATAAATGATAGTGACTGGTGGTTTTACTTTGTATATTTTGATGGCTTGCGCCAAAACTAAGAAGTCTGGTATTGAGACAGTTTGGGTTGAATTACTAAGTGTATAATCCTAACCAGAACAACCTCTCTATTCTCTCTCCAAGTCTGTGCGAGTCTGTGCACAAGCACACATAAGGAGAACCAAAGTCCTCTGATCCTCAAAAATTACACAGGTCACTTCTAATCCTGTGTAATTTAATGACTCTTAATGACTTTTAAGCTCTACAGTTTTCCCGGAAAACCCTGCTTCTTTGTCTCAACGTTAACTTGGGAAGAAAAAGGCGTGAAATATTTTTGAGAAAAAAAAACTTGTTGATTAAATCCAGGACAAAGCAGTCAGTTGGCTTATTTACATCAGTGAATCACTTCATTTTAGGGACACTGACAGAAAGATTAAGTGATTCAAAATGGTCAGGAGAGAAAGAGAGGGAGATTGAGATTGAAATGCTGCTAGGCAATGAGCTTATACCTGAGTGTCCAATGCATAAGCCGCAAGCCCTCTTTTCCTGATGATATCTTCCCTTGTAAAAGTTACATTCATCATGTTTAAAGCAAGGTTATCTCTGGTTGAAGAAAACATGCATTAGTACATTTTACTCATTCAACACTGAACACTCCCTATCAACAACCGTCTGCTTAAAGGGGACAAAGAGAACAAGAATTAATCACAGGAAGAGACAACTTAAGGGAGTTGGGCTATAAAATGGAATTCATTAGTAAGCCATAAAGTATCACTGCCTTAACTAGCCTTCCTCTTACACTCTGCTTTCTCTGCCCTGGGGCTGCACTGGCTCATTCACCTAACAATCTAAAGTCATCCCCATCCCCTTTGTCACCCCCTTTTCTCTTCCCACTGGGGACAGAGAGAACAGAGAGCTTATCTCTGAGGTAAGTGCAGGATCACAAGGTCTCTGGTCCACAAACTTCAGCACAAATATCTAATTGGAGCTTAACCCTCACATTCAAGGTCTCTTCTCATCCCACCAGCATCTTAGAACTGCATAAGCTCATCTCATAGGAGACTGTCACATCTAAGACAGAAAAATGTCCTAGTTAAAAACACAGGTTCAGGATTTTTACAGTCATAGGCTCATCAATTCTGGCACATCTCAGCTGGGTGACCTTGAATGAGTCACTTAACCTCTCAGCCTGAGTTTCCTCAGCAGTTAAATGGAGATAATAGTAATACCCAGCAGAGGGGGAGAGTGAGAATAAAATGAGATAAAGAAACAATATTTCAGTTCCCTGATTACAGCATAAGCAATGCATCCCTGAACAGATGTTGCCCTGTTGTAATGATCTGTTCTTGCTTGTATCTTTTCAATAGTAAAAATAATATTCCTGCCTATGTCCTGTTATTTCAATTTGATTAAAAGTATATCTAAAGATATCCAACCTTATCACTATGAAAAACCACCAAACCACAGAGATAAACAATAATGGAGAAAAGAAGGAACAAAGAATATACAAAGCAACCAGAAAGCAATTAACAAAATCACAAGAGTAAGTCCTCACCTGTCAATAATAGCCTTGAATGTAAGAAGATTAAATTCTACAATTAAAAGACTTAGACCGGCTGAATGGATAATGAAAAAGACCCAACTATATGCTGCCTACAAGAGGTTTATAGCAATAAAACATCAGAAAAACGTTTTCCTACATCAGAAAAGTAGGAAGATTGCAAGTAAACAACCTAACAATGCACTTCAAGGAACTAGAAAAGCAAGAATAAACCAAATCTAAAATTAGAAGGAAACAAATAATAAAGATCAGAGCAAAAATAAATGAAATTGAGACCAAAAAATACAAAAGATTAGCAAAATTAAAAATTGGTTTTTTGAAAAGATAAACAAAATTGACAAGTCATTAACTAGACTGAGAAAAAAAGAGAAAATACCCAAATACAATCAGAAATGAAGAAAGAGGACATTACAACTGATAACACAGAAACTCAAGGGATCGTGAAAGTCTATCATGAACAACTATATGCCAACAAATTGGAAAACCTATTGGTTCTAACAAATTGGAAATGGATCGATTCCTGGACACTTACAACCTACCAAGCTTGAACCAAGAAGAAATATAAAACTTGAACAGACCAATAACAAGTAATGAGATTAAATCAATAATAAAAATTTTCAGCAAAGTAAGCTACAGGACCAGGTGGCCTCACTGCTGAATTCTACCAAATTTTAAAGCAAAACTAATACCAATTTTTCTCAAACTGTTCCAAAACATTGAAGGGAGGGAATTCTTTCAAATTCATTCTATGAGGCCAGCATTACCATGATACAAAAACCAGATAAGGACACAACAACAAAAAAAGAAAACTATAAGCCAATATCCCTGATGAACATAGATACAAAAATGCTCCACAAAATACTAACAAACAAAATCCAGTAGCACATCAAAAAGATTATACTTCAGGATCAAGTGGGATCTATCAGAAAGTCCTAGCTAGAGCAATCAGGCAAGATAAAAAAATAAAGCGCATCAAAATTGGAAAGGAGGAAGTGAAATTGTCCGTTTGCAGACAACATGATCTTATATAGAGAAAAACCTAAAGGCTACACCAAAAAACTCTTAGAAATGGTAAACAAATTCAGTAAAAGTACAGGATATAAAATCAACATACAAATGTCAGTAATGTTTCTATACATCAAGAACAAACAAACTGACAAATAAATCAAGAAGCAATCCCATTTATAAGAGCTACAAAAAAATAAAATAAAATATCTAGAAATAAATTTAGCCAGAGAAGTGAAAGATCTCTACAAGGAAAACTATTAAATACTGATGAAAAAATTGAAGAGAGCACAAAAAAATAGAGAGACATCTAATGCTCATAAACTGGAAGAACTGATATTGTTAACATTATCATACTACCCAGAGCAATCTATAGATTCAACATGATCTTTATCAAAATATCAATGGCATTCTTCACAGAAAAAAACAATCCTAAAATTTGTATAGAACCACAGATGACCCCAACTATTCAAAGCAATTCTGAACAACAAAACAGTACTAGAGACAGCACACTGCCTGATTTTAAAATATACTACAAAGCAGAATATTTACAAAACAGTATGGTAAACAAAATAGCATGGTACTGGTTTAAAAACAGACACATAGACTAATGGAACATTATAGAGAACCCAGATATAAATCCTCATATTTACAGCCAACTGATTTTCAACAAAGATTTCAAAAACACTCACTGGAGAAAGGACAGTCTTCAATAAATGGAGCTGGAAAAATTTGATATTCATATGCAGAAGAATGAAACTAGACCCCTATCTCTCACCATTACAAAAATCAACTCAAATGGATTAAAGAATTAAGTGTAAGATTGGAAACTGTGAAACTACTAGAAGGAAACAGGGAAAATACTTCAGGCCATTGGTCTGGGAAAAGATTTTATAGATAAGACCTCAAAAGCACAGTCAACAAAAGCAAAAATAGATAAATAAGATGGTATCAAACTAAAAATCTTCTGCACAGCAAAGGGAACAATGAACAGAGTGAAGAGACAACCTGTAGAATGGGAAAAAATTCGCAAACTATTTACCTGACAAGGGATTAAGATCCAGAATATACAAGGAACTCAAACAACTCAACAACAAATAATCATCATCATCATCCAATTTTAAAAGGGGCAGATGATCTGAATAGACAGCTCTCAAAAGAAAACACACAACTGGTCAACAAGTACATGAAAAAATGCTTAACATCACTAGTCCTTAGGTAAATGCAAATCAAAACCACAATGAGACACCATTTCACCCCAGTTAGAATAATGTAGAAAAAGAGAAACTCTGTTGGTAGAAATGCAAGTTCATACAGCCATTATAGAAAACAGTAGGGAGGTTCCTTAAAAAACTAAAAATAAAACCACTATACAATCCAGCAATACCACTACTGAGGATACATCCAAAGGAAAGAAATCTATATGTCAAAAAGATATCTGTACTCCATGTTTATTGTAGCATTACTCACTATAGGGTAGATATGGAATCAAACTAAAGTCCATCAACAGAAGAATGGATAAAGAAAATGTGGTGTATATATACACAATGGAATACTATTCAGCCATTAAAAGAGACTGGAATCCTTTCATTCACAGTAACATGAATGAGCCTGGAGGATATTATGTTAGGTGAAATAAGCCAGACACAGAAAAATATATACCAAATATTCTTACTCATATGTGGAAGCTAAAAAGTTTAATCTTTTAGAAGTGGAAAGTAGAGTACTAGTTATTAGAGTCTGAGAAAGGTAGAGGGTAGAGGGGATAGGGAGAGGTTGGTTACAGCCATCCTATTACAATTACAGCCAGATAGGAGGAATAATTTCTAGCATTCTAGAGAACTGCAGGGTTGACTATAGCTAACATCAATTTATTGTATATTTTTAATTAGCTAGAACATAGGATTTTGAATGTCCTCAACACAAAAAAATGAGAAATATTTGAGATGATGGATTTGCTAATTACCTTTATTTGGTCATTGCACATTATACACATGAATTGAAATATCACATTATACCCCATAAATGTGTACAATTCTGTGTCAATTAAAAATAATAATAATTGTAAATAAAATAAAATGTATCTGTTCTTCTGCACATTCTTCTCGACTAATCCTCACCAATATAGACACTCACTAGGACCCAACACAGATTGGTTTTTTGACTAACATATAGACTGAAAGAGCTGCTATTAAAAGAGCAGCAAAAAACACTCAAGATTTTCATCTCTTAATCTCATATTTAGAGGATACTCATCCCTTCAGAATAAAGCAGGGAAAGAAGGGAAACAGTATAGTAAAAGAATTCTCCCCATCCTGATTTCTCCTTTAAGCAACCTGAAATGATTTATCCAATGGCATTGCATACATAGAGTGTTGTGGGTTAGATTTTATTCTCTGGTGTTGAAATATTGGGAAAAGGAAAAAATCTACATATCTTAAAATAGCCTTCTCAAAGTTCTTGGAATGTATCAACCCTACATCAATGATCCCCCAGCTGCTCCTTTTAAAAGCAGTATATTCAAACTGAAAAATCAATTTACTTTAAAAATGCCGAAGACTTAAAATCAAGATCTTACACAGAGGTGAAATCAAGGGTAGTTTCTCCCTTAAGGCTATCATTAAAATAACACATTTAAAAAAATAAATTAGAAGTCCTTTCCAACATCCGAGTTCACTTCTACATAGAAAGACATGGGTTCAGTAAACCCTTAATATTTCTGCACAAAGCTAAATTGCTTAGTGTCTCTGAGCCTCAGTGTCTCATCTATGAAAAAAAATGAACTGTTTTATAAACAGGATTAAACAAGCTGATATATACAAAGCACATATCTCTTAATAGGGCTTTTCATAAATGGCAGCGTTTTGGTGGTACTGTGTGGTATTAGAAGATTTATTACTAATACGTGATGAGGTTGCAATTTCTGGAACTAATTCTGACAAACTATTGTTGGAAGAATAGAGATTGCACTATATGAAGCCACAGAGAATACTTCAAACTTCAATAAATTTTCTTCGAATTTCAATAAATCAGCCCATTGTTTTATAAAATTCTAAGATACTTTGTTTAATTGATGTTTTTCATTAGAACAACTGATATTTTTGACTTTCTGAGTTGAACTAGTTCCTTTGTGGAAGTACAGAAAGCATCTAAATTATCTCTTTTGCTTTCTAACATGCAAACAAGTATGTCAATACCATTCAGTAATATTTCTCTCAGGCCACCCGGTTAGACATAATACCTAATATCAGCTAGGTAGAGAATAGGTAAGGCCTTTGTGTGAATGACATCCCAGAAACGCTCAATGATTTAGTCCTTGCAAATAAGACACAGTCAGTATTTATTCCTCCACCATGTCTTTTACACTAAATTTATTGTGGTTTTTCTAATTACAAAAGCAGTGCTTAGTCAGAATGAAAAATAAATGGGGAATATATCAAAGTACAAAAAAGAAAATAACTACTATTAGAAAAAAACAAGTGTTGGTGAGGATGAAGAGAAACTGGAAGTCTTGTGCACTGTTGGTGAGAATGTAAAATGGAGTAACTGCCATGAAAAATAGAAAAGTGGATCCTACAAAAATAAAAAATAGAATACCATGTGATCTAGCAATCCCACTTCTAGGAATATATGGGAAGAATTAAAAGCAAAATCTTGAAGAAATATTTTCATACTCATGCCCATAGCAGCCAAAAAGTGGATGGCCAAGAAATAAAAGAAGCCCAAGTGTCTATCAACAGACGAAATACAAGGGAATATTATTCAGCCCTAAAAAGGAAGGAAACCTTCTCACTTGCTACAACATGAATGAAACTTGAGGACATTATGCTAAGTGAAATAAGCCTCTCACAAAAAGGTAAATATTGTGTGATTTCCCTTGTACAAGGTATCTAAAGTAGTGAAATTCATAGGAACAGAAAGTAAAACAGTGGTTGCCAAGGGCTGGGAGGAGGGGGAATAGGGAATTGCTATTCAACAGTTAATAGAGTTTCAGTTTTGCAAGATGAAAAAGTTCTGGAGATCTGTTGCACAGCAGTGTGAATGCACTTAACGCTACTGAACTATATACTTACATTTGTTAAGATGATAAATTTCATTATGTGTTTTTTACCACAATTAAAAGGAAAAAAGCATCCATAATTCATCCTTCATGTATAAATCTGTTAATATTTTGATGTTGCAGTTAAAATCCACATTTCTCATTGAGTCAAATGTTGTTAACATTTTCTCATGGCATTAAATATTCTTCTACAACCAACCACATTTTAATGGCCGCATAGTTTCCATTGTTTAAATGATCCCCTATTATTGGGTTGTGAGTTATTATTGCTTGCTATTACAAATAAATCATGATATACTCCAGTTTTACATTATTTTAAAATTTCATGTTATATTTCTTACATTATATCTTTATTTCTTACATTTATGTCTTTAGCAATTGAGTGGGTTTTTGGGTTTTGTTTTGTTTTTAGCGTGGCATTTAAGATATTTTTGCTTCTAAACCTCTGTGATTCTGAGAGCACAACTCTCCTCCTCTCTCAAGAAAGGAAGGAGAATTGAGGGAAGCCAAATCAATCTCTAAAAGAAGTAAAATTCTAAGTTTGAAAACAGCAATGATTTCAGCATAAGGCTTATCAAAACTGGCCTCTCACAAATTGTCCCCTTCCCAGAGAATATCTGTAAGGAGAACATAAACCGCAGACACAACTGATGCCGGTCAGAAAATGATCCATGTGAAACGGGCAAAGTTCCCTCATCACCCTCGCAGGGCGTGAGATGGGGGTGTGGCTCGCTTCTTCAATGCTCGGCAGCTCACACCTCTAGGGGGAGCATGCAGATGGGCAGGTTGTGTGGCTCCGACCCCACAGCAGTGTCTAGGGGTGAATATTTACACCTCCTGAAGCCCCAGTGGGCATGTTACAGCGTGCTCTTTTAGTTTTGCCATGGGTAGGTGGTTTGTGTTAATCAGCTCAATTAGACCCTCTGCCTAATAGCAAGGACAGAGGGCTTTTGGTATCCCGGTGTTCTTGCCTTGGTGTACTGGAAAAATTGGATCACACCTGGGCTTGGAGAATGAGTCCAAGGTTTTATTGAGTGGTGGAAGTAGTTCTCAGTGGAGGGATGGGAGCCAGAAGAGGAGGTGATCTTTCCCTGGCGTCAGGCCAGTCAGTGGCGGGGCTCTCCTCTGACGGCCCTGGGCCGAACTCCAGGTCACCCAGCTATAGACGGCCTGCCCGCATCTGCTGGTGTCTGCCAGTGGGTTCTTCTCGACGTCCAGCCACTTGTGTGCCCTTCTGCTGGTGTGTTCCTCTCAATGTCCAGCGCTTGTGTCTGTGCCTGCTAGGGTCTCAGGGTTTTCATAGGCACAGAATGGGGGCGTGGCGGGCCAGGGTGGTCTTGGAAAATGCAACATTTGGGCACCAAAACAGAAACGGCTATCCTCACCTAGGTCCCTGTGCACAGGCTCGGCTGAGGGATGGGGGGCGGACCCCTGGCCGGGAACCCGCCATTCTCTACCCAGCACTTCCCTGCCCCTGTTCCCTGATCACATGCTCCCAGGATCAAACTTCAGGCCATCTGGAGCCACAGCACATCCTCAACCCTTTTCTATAGAATGGAATTATTTCCTGAGACCTTGCTTCCCTCAGAAAGTAACTGATAATATTGCTTGGGGGCTGATGTTATCACCCCCAAGTTATCAATGAGAAAACTGAGGCCCAGAGTAGTTAAATAACTCACCCAATGTCACACAGCTAAGAATAGCAGAGTGAAGGCTCAAACTCAAGCCTCCTGCACTTTAGCAATGTGATCTTGCCATATGGAATATCATGATCGATCACGCAGCACTAGGCGCAAAAGCACACTTGATTAATAGGATATCTCTAATTCCCTTTTTTTTAAAAAAAAATCTATGAGGAGGCCATTACTACTTACCTAGGGAAGACTATGTGGCATGTTTCAGAGAAGGCCTCCCTGTTGCTGGTTCTATTCCTTTTTCTTCCCTGGGCTGGACTAACCCAAATAATTAAGAAGAGTATTTCTGAAGGAAGTTAAATAACCCCAATTAGGAATGCTCTATTTTAGGAGGAACTGGGACGGCAGATCTTATTTCCATATGGCAGTTGCATGTGTTTATTAATAAAAAAGACTAAGGAAAGGTCTTCTTTATTAATAAAAGTCTTCCATGTGACCATGGAATAGTTATCTTGCGCTAAATTCCTGGGAACCAGACACAGGCTTTTCCAGCTTGTCCGCTGCAATCGTTTGTGGCCACTATGAAAGAGTTTATCCTCAACTCTCCCCCTAGAATGGCTGTTTCTGAAATGCGAGTCCTGACAAAATGACTCACTGGGGCCATGTTAACTTTTATCATCATCTGTTTTTAGCAGTAATTAGGCCATAGTGATTTTGGCGGCAGCACATAAGTCAAATTTGCAATCGCTCCCTGCACTAAAAATCCTGGTGGTTATTATTGGCGTTTCGCGGCCCTATGATTCACACGGGTTTGGAGTGTTGCTGCTTAAGGTATCTGGTCAGGTAATTAGGGAAGTGTCGGTTTCTTTTGTTTCAGTCAGTTCAGATCAAAGACCTGCCAAAGTCGGTCCCTGAAGTCCTTGTCTGAGCCCCACTGTGTCTGCTGCTATGCAGATAAATCCTTAAAGATAGAAAACCCAGCCATTCACAATATGAATGGTCTTTCTTTATTATCACTAAGCTCTACACAGTTTCCAATAGTCATCTGGAGGATGTGCAAGGTTTGAAAGGATTTTAATTTTTTGAAGGCAGGGAGAATATACAAACTATTAATTTTTTTAATTATTATAATCATGTGGGACAACTCCAGATGCCAAGTGCCCACTCTGACAGGCCACACCCTCATTTTTGGCAAAATGTTCATCATATTTCCTGCTGTGTTAATCCCTCCATGGAGTTGTATGGCTTGAACACAACTTTCTGTTCCCCCAAAGTCCTTCTTCATAGCTCTCAAATGTCGCTTTTGCTGCATATTCATCTCTGAGTCCTCTTCATTCTAGTTGTTAAATATATATCTTTTTAATTCTGACAGGTATTCTATCTCCCAGGAGCCCTGTTTCCTGCTTTCCTAGGTCCCTGGATTCTGCTGAACTTAAAACATCAAAAAAAAAAAAGACAACTCAATTGACCAGTTAAATCCCAGCACTGCACCCCAGCATAGCGCAGGGGAGAAGGGAAGCTGGACCTGGAGCCGGGACTCCAGTGCTTCTCATTGCAAAAGAAGCAAGTGGTAAATAAATTGGAAGAAGACACATCTGCAGGAGGGGAATTGTTTACAGAGTTTACAAAGGGCAAGAAGAAAGGTAGATGTGAGCTGAAAAATATAAACAATGGGTAAAAATGCAAAGAACTAATAAACCAGGATTCTCTTATTGCAGCGATTTGGAGCTGCTTAATCCTGGCCTCCCAGGATTCAGTCCCTCATTCAGTTGCCTAAAGAAAAATTCCTCATGCATTGCTTTAAAATTCATCTTTATTAGGGATAGACAATCAAAGTATAGACATGTAGCCCAGGCGCAGTGGCTCATGCCTGTAATCCCAGCACTCTGGGAGACCGAGACAGGCAAATCACCTGAGCTCAGGAGTTCGACACCAGTCTGGCCAAAATGGTGAAACCCCATGTCTACTAAAAATACAAAAAATTAGCTGGGCATGGTGACAGGTGCCTGTAATCCCAGCTACTCAGGAGGCTGAGGCAGGAGAATGGCTTGAACCCCAGAGGCGGAGGTTGCAGTGAGCCGAGATCGCGCACTCCAGCCTGGGCGACAAGAGCGAGACTCCATCTCAAAAAAAAAAAAAAAAAAAAAAGTAACCAGGCATGGTGGTGGGCACCTATAATCCCAGCTGCTCAGGAGGCTGAGTCACGAGAACCGCTTGAACATGGGAGGCAGAGGTTGCAGTGAGCCGAGATCACGCCACTGCACTCCAGCCTGGGCAAAAGAGAGAGACTGTTTCAAAAAAAAAAAAAAAGTATAGACATGTACGAAAGTGATAAACTCCTGTAGTTCATCAGAATATTAGTTACTTCTGGGGAGAAAGTGATACACAAAGTAATTCCAGTGTATTTGTCATCATTTATTTCTTGAGCTGATGATGGGTATATCACTATCTCTATTTTTCTTTATCCTTTTATGAATGTCCAGAAGATTTTGTAAGAACTTCTAAATAAACAAATAATTAAAAGAAGCTCATCACCAAAGCCAGCTACTTGGAACATCCATCCGGGAGTATCAAGGCCACCTTCTCAGTGTGCAGTCCCACAGAGCCCCACACTCAGGAGGATTCCACACTTGGATTAATGCTCTGTTGTCACCATCTTAAAATTCTTTGTAAATTTCTAACAAGGGGCTCACATTTTCAATGACCAATGGGCCCTGCAAATCACACAGCTGGTGCTAGGGAGCATTTAGTCAAGAAAAGCATATTTCTGTTTTAAGTTAGACACACGGGCAGACAAGCCCAGGAGTCAGGACACTCGTGTCACCCTCCCTCTGGAAGCTGTGGATCTCATTTTCCACTTTGACTAGTTAGAAACATCCTCAAGACACCTCATAACTTCTCTCTCATCTCTTGTTCATCTTCTCCTATCTTGTCCTCAAAAACCAAAGACAGCCAAAATACAGAGGAGGAAAAGGATGGTCAGGGTTGGTGGCAATTCTTAGGAATGGTGAGAGGAAGTGGTTCCAGGTTTGCCCCACTCCCATCTTAGCATCAAACAACAGGGAAGTGGCTGCCACTCTTCTCTACTCCTCACCAGGAGTCACTTATTTTAAAAAATTTTGGTTAGGATTTAATCCACCAAAAAAGGATGAAAGATTTCTACCCTCTAATTATTGATAAAGCATGCTGTCACCCAGAAAATAGTTACTGAACACCTGTTATGCACAGGCACTGTATTAAGCCCTGGAGGTTACAAAGAAGGAAACTCAGTGTCCCCAGCCTGCAAATGTTTACAGTCTATTGGAAAGACAGGGAAGCAAACCAACAATTATACTGCAGGATGGTCACTACTCTCCTGGAGGGGCTGCTAAGTGCTGTAGAAGCAAAGGAAGCATGCTGCCATCTGCCTGGGGCATGGGGGGACATTAGGGAAGATGTCATGAAAGAGGAGAGTGCACCAAAGCATTCAGGCAGCAGGGACAGTATGCGTATGGAAACAAGTGAGCAAGCATGGCATATTTATTTGGAGGACTGCTTTAATCCATTTATTCTTTCTTGATAAATCATCTGCAAGTCACCATGCTTAAAAAGTAAATTCAAGGGCGGATAATGACAGAAAAAGTGGGACAGATAGGAAAAGATCAGATCATGAAGAAAAGATTAGATTTCGTTTTGTTAGTAAAGGAATCATGGAAGAATTGGGGCAGAGAAGTAATATAAGATCTGTTTGTTGGGTTTGTTGGGATTAGAAGAACCCTAGGCTTTGGAAGATAATTTCAGGGAAAGTGAATAAAAGTCATGTGGCCAGTAAGAAGGAGGCTATTGCAATATCCCTGCTTCTATATAACTAGGGAAGTAATGATAGAAGAGATATTTCAGGACATAGAATTTAATAGACTTGACGAGTAGATGGGGCAACAAAAAGAAAAAAAGAGAAATTTATTATGACTCATAGGTTTCCATCATGAACATTTAGCAAATGGTGGCCTCATTCGCTAAGGGTTGGAACCCAAAAAGGGAAATGAGTTTGGAGAAGAATATGAAGTGTTCAGATTCGGTGTTGTTGGGTTAGGAAAGTCTGTGGGACTCTGAGTAAATGTATTTCTATCAGGTGAATGTATATGTGAGTTGAAACTCAAGAGAGAACTTTGAGCTGAAGGGAGTCACTCATGCACAAGGAATAATTGGACCAACAGCCCTAGCTAGATTGCCCAGGAAGAAAGAAGAATGTAGCAAGAGAAGTAACCTGATGATAGGAACCTTAGGACTGGAAGGTAACAATAAACTGTCAAGGGAGACTGAAAAGGAATGCCAAAATAATTAAAAATGAACTAGGAAACAGTGGCATCATAAACCCAAGTTGTAAAATGGAGACAATGATCAACAATGGCAAAGGCAGGCAGATAAGACAAGAAAAATGAGATCTGCAGAAAATCTCTGGATATAACTGGAAGATTTTTTATGACCTCAATAAAAATAGTTTAAGTTTAGTAGTGAGATTATGTTAGATGACTTTCTTGACATGGCTGGCATTTATCTTTTAAAATATTACCAAAGTATTCATTCCTTTATTCATCCCTACATAGTACCTAAAGGAGAAAGATAATTTATAGCAGCAAGGATTAATCTAATATGCATTGATAACACAGGTTGTATTTACCTCCCTTGTAAGGGATCACCCAGAGTGCTTCACACAAGCAGATGCTGAGACCAAATGCTTTGGATGAGATTATTATTACAAAGGGCAAAAGTTTTAACATCTTAATCTCATATTTTGAAATCTACATATAAAGCTTCTTGATTTGTTATTTAGCCAGATTGACTGCTCTTCCAGGTCACTTCCCCAAATCTTTGCTATATTATTTCAAACAGTTTCTAAAAGGAAAACTCCATTGGAATGATATGTATATCACAATTCCATACAAAGGCATATGTCCTACTATTTAGTTAAACTACAAGCAAAGAGCCAGGAATATGAAAATTGAGGTAGAAACTGTTTGGAGTTCACTTGTTCTGAGGCAGGCCCTTGAGTTCTTTGTCTACATTATAGATACAGCTGCCATCTCTTAGATTTGGAGAGAGAGATGACTTTCCTATCAGCTATGGCAGGCTCCAGATATCAATGGCTGAAAACCTTATTCTTCCATGAAAATGTTCTGCCTAGAGGAAATCAAGTCCATTCTCAGGCAGGCCCAACACTTACAACTTGACTAGTTAGAAAGTGATCAGAGTTGAGCACCTCAACACACTAAGTCTTGTAAGACTTAGAAGCAAGAGCTAATTGGTAGCCCTCCTTTGTTCTATCAGCAAAACTTGGAAATGAATATTTAGACTTCGTGATAATCATGTAGAAAACAGAAAGAAAGGACAAGGTATAAGGACCAAGGGATCATGGGGGGCACCAAAATAAAGTCACACCCAGGAGATCTGACCTCTCGAGGCAGGCCTATAGCAGTGGTGGTAGCAATATATTTGCAACAGATTCATGAAATATTAAACACTGTCACTTACAGAATGAATCTTTCTTTCAGGGCTGTGTGAGTTTTCTTCTCTACTGCTATATTAGCAGCTCTAATATACAGCTTTATCCTTTTCTCTCTTATATACATAGAATAGGTTGGCTCCTTTATTTGAGCAATTTTTTTAAAATGTTGAGTTTCTTAATAAATTGACCCGATGGCTTATAAAAAATACCATCAAAAAGAGCATTTTGTGTTAAAGAAAGCACAGTGTTTAAGATCAATTTATTTAATTTTTATTTTACTGACCTCAAACTATTTAAAATAGTGAATTCAACAATCCCATGTCCTCACTGCCAAATATCTTAATTCTCACCAATCAGCACAGGGGACAGGGCACAGGGGAAGAACAAGTCAATAAAATGGTAAGTAAGCCAAAGCTTCTGCCAATGAATGCTAACAATTTATTTATTTATTTATTTATTTATTTATTTATTTATTTATTTATTTATTGAGATGGAGTCTCACTCTGTCGTCCAGGCTGGAGTGCAGTGGCATGATCTCGGCTCACTGCAAGCTCCTTCTCCCCGGTTCAAGTGATTCTCCTGCCTCAGCCTCCCGAGTAGCTGGCACTGCAGGCGCCCGCCACCATGCCTGGCTAATTTTTTGTATTTTTAGTAGAGACGGGGTTTCACCGTGTTAGCCAGGATTGTCTCTATCTCCTGACCTCGTGATCTGCCTGCCTCGGCCTCCCAAAGTGCTGGGATTACAGGCATGAGCCACCGTGCCCAGCCAATTCTAACAATTTTTTTAAATGTTTGAGCTCATGGAACTAATCAATTCAAACGCTTTAAGGAAGAACTGAACCACCCAGAAGTGATATTTGATGTTACAAGACATGGCAACAGCTTTCTTTTACCAAAATGTAGCAAACTGTGACTTAAATACAATAAATTGACTTTTACTTCCAGCCAAGATGGAGTAACAGGGACTGCATTTATCTTCTTACATGAAAAAACTTATAAACAGAACAAATATGAAACAACAGTTTTCAAAATATCGGTCACCAGGCAATGAAGGAAAGTGATCCTGAAGGTATGAGGAACAAACAAAGTAAGCTCTACAGTGGTTCCACTTAATTCCTGGAGAGAGTTTCCAGGCTACCACATATGGAGGTGAAAATAAAAATTAAAAACTTTTAAAAATAGAAAAAAGCTTATAGAAAAAGGGCGTAAAGAAAGCAAATATTTTGGTCCAGCTGTGCAATGTATTTATTTTTAAGCTAAGTATTATCACAAGAGAGTCGAAAAGTTTTAAAAAATTAAAAAGTTTATAAATTTAAAAAGGTACAGCAAGCTTGGGTTAATTTATTATTGAAGAAAGAAAACGTTTTAATAAATTTAGTGTAGCCGAAGCATACAATGTTTGCAGTCTGAAGTATTGTACAGTAATGTTTTAGGCCTTCACATTCATTTACCACCTAATCACTGACTCATCCAGAGCAGCTTCTAGTCCTGCAAGCTTCATTCATAGTAAGTACCCTGTATAGGTGTACCATCTTTATCTTTTATACAGTTTATATTTTACTGCACTTTTTCTGTTTACATACAAACATAGTTGACACTGTGTTACTGTTGCCTGCAGTATTTAGCACAGTAAGATGCCATACAGACTTGTAGCCTAGCAGCAATAGGTTATACGAAATAGCCTAGGTGTGTAGCAGGCCATACCACGTAGGTTTATGTAAGTACACACTGTGACATTTGCACAACTACAAAATTGTCTAATCACACATTTCTCAGAACATACCCCTGTCATTAAGCAATGCATTACAGTTTTTAAACTACTAAAAGAAATGGAAATTGTCAATCAAGAATCCTATATTCAGCAAAAATATTTTTTAAAAAACAAAAATGAAATTAAAATGTTTTAGGCATACCAAAGCTGAAGAATTTCTGACACTGCAATTTTCCTTCTGCATTTTCATGCAGAAAGAAAATGATACCAGATGGAAATCTGAATCTACACAAAGGAATGAAGTGCACCAAAAATAATACTTACATTGACAAATATAAAAGATTTGTATTCTTATTATTTTTCTTCTTATTCACCATCATAAAATTATAATGAATATCTCTCTGGAAGACTTTAAGGAGTATTGAGAATATCAAATCTATACTAAGATGGTAGGAATTGATGGTAGGAATTGATTCCTACTAAGATGGTAGGAAATGATGGAAGTAACTATCAAAAACACAGCCCTAAACTGAACACTGACAACATCCATAGATCAGAAATATTTGGATATCTTAGCAATGAGCATTTTAAGGACTGAATCAGGTAATTAAAACTTGACTAATCTAAGAAAATATACAGACATCAATTATTATAGAAAATATTATTGAAAAGATACTGCCTTCCAACACTTTTTACCGCAGCTATCCTTCACTCACCCATTGTTCCAACTATATCAAGCCATTTCCTCCAGTCTGGCAGTTGGCTTATTGTAGTTCCTACCCAGTTTTTATAATCTGCTGGACTATGAGGTACTTGGTGGCAAAGAATCTGCCACCAACTTACCTTAACACAGGAACTGACCCATAGCTTGCAAATGCAAATGTATTTATTATTTTTATTTTTGCATATGTTAGATTTGCATATATTATATGTATTAGATGTATTAGTTTATATAAAATATGTTATATTTATTACTTTATTATATGTTAATGATGGGTTATGCATTCATACTTCTGGTTACTATTTTTCTTAAACCTTCCTTATGTATATTTATGTTCTAAAGGACTTTTTTGACACCCATGGAAGGCCTTAGATTATTTTGATTATTTTGAATGTTCTTCACATTCTGCACCAGGCCAGGACACACTAACTCACTCAAAACCAGGACACACTTTCCTCACTCAAGGGAATGAAAGAGATCATTCCTTTGATCTGATTTTGGTTTGCTCCTAATTTTTATTTTATTCAGAAAGAGAGAGAGCGTGTGTGTGTGTGTTTGTGTGTGTGTGTTTACATATATATAAAATACATATATAGTCTATATAAGGCAAATCACATTTCTCAGGTTTTAATATCCCCAAAATCAGAATGGACCATACAATCAGTAAACCTTAGATTCAGTAAAATATAGCAATATTCAAGGCATATCACAGAAAATGGCATCTACTGTTCCATACTACCCCATTCCTGAAGCTTACTCCCCATAGGCAACCATTTTTAAAATATTTCTTCAGATAATTATTAATATCTTTATATTTTGAAACATATACTTACATGTCTTTTTTTTCCCACTTTCAGTGGTAGAGAGAATATTCAACTGGGTCTGACCTAATCACATGAGCACTTAGAAGGAAAGTTGTCTCTGGCTAGGAACAAAAGAATGAGACAAGAATGCACTCCTGCTAGCCTGGAAGAAAGCAGACACTCATGTTGTGAACACCTGATGGAGGGGGGCAGTCTCTTGGAGCTGAGAGCAGTCCTCAGCCAACAGCTAGCAGGGAAATAAAGACTTCATTTCTACAAACATTGGAAAATGAATTCTACCAACCATTCGAATGAAGTTGGAATTGGATTCTTCCCCAGAGCCTCCAAAAAGGAAGACAACCCAGCTGATTCTCTGATTTGAGCCTTGCGAGACTCTGAGGAGAAAGTCCAGTGAGTCTCTGTGCCTGAACGTCTCACCTACGGAACTATGAGCTAATAAATGAGTATTGTTTTAGACTACTAAATCTGGAGTGATTTGTTACATAACAATAGGAAGCTAATATAGTAGTTATATTTTTATCAATATTCAATTTTTATATTATGAATATATGGATATTATTCACAGGAGAGCCATTTTGTACATTGCAATTGTATTTCTATTTTTGTACAGATTTGTTTCCCTAGAGTCAATAATTGTCTCATTTTTTCCTTCCTTATTATTCTGTGTGTTTATCACTAATTTTCTTTCATAGTCTCAATTTTTCAGACAAACATACTGCGTCATCTATTACTTTCATGTTTTCCTCAATGATCTCCCTTCTGGATCCTCCCAGCCTTCTGCATCCTCCCAGCCTTCTGCTCAATCTGTGTTGGTTGCTTTCCATCTCTCAGCAGAAGTGACTTAATGTTCAATCTTCCTTCACAATTTCCTTCACAATTTTTTGGAATTCTCTCTCCCTCACAGTTCTTGTATTTCTTATTTAATTTTGGGGGGTTACCCTTTTGTTTTAGAGAAACACCACTACCAATGGCTTCCTGTGAAAGAGATCATTGTAATAATTTTTTTGTTTTTCTTTTGTACTTTAATTCTGGTAAGAATATTTAACATAGGATCTACCCTCTTAACAATTTTTTTTTTACTTTAAGTTCTGGGATACATGTGGAGAACATGCAGGTTTGTTACATAGGTATATATGTGCCATGGTGGTTTGCTGCACCTGTCAACCCATCGTCTAGGTTTTAAGCCCCAAGTGCATTAGGTATTAGTCCTCATGTTCTCCCTCCCCTTTCCCCCTACCCCCTGACAGGCCCTGGAGTGTGATGTTGCCCTCCCTGTGTTCATGTGTTCTCATTGCCTCTTAACAAATTTTTAAGTATGCATACAATATAGTGTTGTCCACCATGAGCAAATGTCGTACAGCAGATCTCTAGAACTTAATCATCTGGTTTAACTGAACCATTATACTCATTGAATAGTAACTCTCACTTCCCCCACTTCCAGCCCCTGGTAACCACTATTCTACTCTTCTGCTTCTATGTGTTTGACTATATTAGATACTTCATATAAATGGAATAATGCAGTATTTATTCTACTGTGACTAACTTATTTCACTTGGCATACATTATGTCCTCAAGGATTATTCATGTTGTTCCACATAGCAGGATTTTCTTTTTTAAGGCTGAATAATATTCCATTGCATGTATGTACCACAGGAAAATGCAAATGAAATCACAGTGAGATATCTCACACCTGTTTACGATGGTGCCTTAGTCAGTTCAGGCTGCTATAACAAAGTACTATAGACTGGGTGACTTATAAACAACAGGAATTTGTTTCTCACAGTACTAGAGGTTAGTAAATGCAAGATCAAGATGCCAGCATATTCAATTTCTGGTAAGGACATCCTGGTTCAGAGATGGTCGTCTTCTTATTATATCCTCACATGGCAGAGAGCAGAGAAACCCTGTGTCTCCTCCTCCTTTTAAAAGGGCACTAATCCCATTAAGGAGGACTCTATCCTTATGGGTTAATTACCTCCCAAAGGCCCCACCTTCTAACACTATCACATGGTATTTAAGGATTTAGGCTTCAACATATAAATTTTAGGGGTCAGGAGACACAAATATCTAGCCCACAGAAGGTGGTTATTATTTCTTAAAAAATAAGTTTTGACAAGAATGTTGAGAAATTGGAAACGTTGTACATTGTTGGTGGAAATATAAAATGGTGTACCCACTATGGAAAACAATATGGAAGGTCCTCAAAAAATTAAAAATATAAGTGTCTTATGATGCAGCACTTCTGGGTATATATTTAAAAGAACTGAAATAAGTATGTTGCAGAGATATTTGCACTCCCACATTTGTTGTTCATTGTAGCATTATTCACAATAGCCAAGATGTGGAAACAACCTAAATGCCCATTGATGGATAACAGATAAAACGTGGAGGTAAATTTTTTGAGATTTTTCGTGTCTTCATTCTACATTCCTGCTTGGCTGATAGTTTGGATAGGCATAGAATGTCATGGAGGTGTTCCTTCACTCTGCTTTGCTTTCCTTTGTTTTTGAGAAGCCTGATGCCACAGTGATTGCCAGTTCTTTGGGTATGACATGTGATGGTTAATACTAAGTGTCAAATTGATTGAATTGAAGAATGTAAAGTATTGATCCTGACTGTACCTGTGAGGGTGTTGCCAAAGGAGATTAACATTAGAGTTAGCGGGCTGGAAAAGGCAGACCCACCCTTAATCTGGGTGGGCACAATCTAATCAGCTGCCAGCACAGCTAGAATATAAGCAGGCAGAAAATGTGAAAAGAGTGACTGGCCTAGCCTCCCAGCCTACATCTTTCTCCCATGCTGGATGTTTCCTGCCCTCGAACATCTGAATCCAAGTTCTTCAGTTTTGGAACTCACGCTGGATTCCTTGTTCCTCAGTTTGCAGACGACCAATTGTGGGACCTTGTGACCGTGTGAGTTAATACTTAATCATGTGAGTTAATCGTGTGAGTTAATACTTAATAAACTCCCATATATATGCATATATATATTCCTTATACCTATAAATATATATATTCCCTATATATAAATATATATATTCCCTATATATATATATTCCCTATATATAAATATATATATTCCCTATATATAAATATATATATATTCCCTATATATATAAATATATATATATATTCCATTAGTTCTGTCCCTCTAGAGAGTCCTGACTAATACAGACCTGATTTTCTTTTCGTCTTCTTCCTCCTTTTATTTCTTCTCTGTCAGAGTTTTTAGGATCTTCTCTAAGTTCCCAGTGCTGAAATTTCACAAATGATCTTCTTAGTATGTGTCCTTTTAATCTGCACTCAGTGAGCCTTTTTAATTCAGAAATTCGTATCCATGGGTGGTGTTATTTCTTAGATAATTTCCTCCCTTCTGTTTTTTCTGTTCTTTCTTTTTAGAAGTCCTATCAGTTTCTCGCCTGAGCATTTCATTCTCTTATCTTTTCTCTCGCATTTTTCAACCATCTGCTTAATTTCTTTAACTTTATTTTCCACCTATTATATTGGTTACTTTATTCTGCTTTTTAACTTGCGAAAGTTATTTCTGTTCTCTGAATGTTTCTTCTTTTAAGTGTAATTGTGTTTTTCCCTCATACTATCTTTTTATATTTCTGAAAATATTAATTATTTGGGAGAGTTTTGTTTTGTTTTGTTTTCAGTTTGTTTCTGTTCCCTGTATTGTCTTTCCTTCTCTGAGTTTCTGGGTTTTTTGTTGTTGTTACATTAATTAAGGTTTCTATTTTCACCATGGAGGCATTCCTCACATGCTGGTGATCCTTGACTATAAATTCCTATGTAAAAGTGAATTATTAAAATATTATTCAGAAGCATTTTTTGCATGAAAGCCTTCTCAACTAGGCCAGGCGCAGTGGCTCACGCCTGTAATCCCAGCACTTTGGGAGGCCGAGGCAGGCGGATCACCTGGGGTCAGGGGTTCGAGACCAGCCTGGCCAACATGGCAAAACCCCATCTCTACTAAAAATACAAAAATAAGCCAGCCATGGTGGCGGGCACCTGTAATCCCAGCTACTTGGGAGGCTGAGGCAGGAGAATCACTTGAACCCGGAAGGCAGAGGTTGCAGTGAGCCAAGATTGCGCCACTGCACTCCAGCCTGGGCGAAAGAGCTAAACTCCGTCTCAAAACAAAACAAACAAAAAAAACAGAAAAGAAAAGAAAAGAAAAAAAGTCTTCTCAACTAGTGAGTGAGCTTCCTTGTAGGTGGAGACCTGATTGTTTCCTTGGGAAACTTTAATGTATTTTTAGATCTTTTTTGGCAAGTTTCCCCAGGAACAAAGCATCCAATCTCCTGCCAGGAGGGTATAACTCTGGCTGTTCACATTCCAAGAACTGCTTCAGGAAGGGAGCTGGAGTATCAATGGTCGGTATGTAAATTTCACTTAACCCTCTTGTTTTCTGATATTCCTTCCTCTACCATTCCTAGTGTTCTTGAATCCAGGACCTTTTTCTTTCAGTCTCTTCTGAGAATGAACTTTCCGTGGTCCAGAAGCTAGGAGAGGGGCCAGGCTGCCAAGGTTGATGAAGAGGATCCAGGTCTTTGCGTCTATACTGCTGCCTTTGATTTGGGGTTCCTTCCAAGGTTGTGCAGCTCACTTCTTAGTGGTCCTTCCTGCCTACAGGCATTGAGTTTTCAACTCCAAAGTGCAAAGTAATTTGCCACACTGGTTTATTCACTTTCCAGCTTCGAAATTTTGCTTTTATCTCTTCTTTTCTCTTCTTGGTTTATCCTTTTTTATTCCTTTATTATAAATTTAGTAAAATTTCAGAAAAAAATCATCATGCTTAACCAGAATATCCTAGATATTTATAGGCTATAAATTTTCTTCTATTTATTGTTACAGCAGCCTCCAAAAATCTGAAGAATTTGAAAGCATAAAAAACGTCATTATTACTCCTTCGATTTTTTTTTCTGTTTACTGGTATAAAAATTTCAGGGATTCTGAACTTTTCATAACTACTAATATGAAAAAGACAAAGTTGAAAGAACCCTTTACTTCCCAAACTAAAATGGTAACCCCTCTTCTCCCATGTACATACACCATGTGGCAGGTCCACAGCATATTCATGCCAGCGTTCCCATTCCCTAGCTTTACCTTCTTTGAAATGGTCAGAGGGAGAGTAGGAAAATTTCTGCAGGCAGTAGTGATGTTCCCCTCCCTGTGTCCATGTGTTATCATTGTTCAACTCCCACTTATGAGTGAGAACATGCAGTGTTTGGTTTTCTGTTCCTGTGTTAGTTTGCTGAGAATGATGGTTTCATCCATGTCCTTGCAAAGGACATGAACTCATCCTTTTTTATGGCTGCATAGTATTCCATGGTGTATATGTGCCACAATTTCTTTACCCAGTCTATCATTGATAGGCATTTGGGTTGGTTCCAAGTCTTTGCTATTGTGAACAGTGCCGCAATAAACATACGTGTGCATGAGTCTTTATAGTAGAATGATTTATAATCCTTTGGGTATATACCCAGTAATGGGATGGCTGGGTCAAATGGTATTTCTAGTTCTAGATCTTTGAGGAATTGCCACACTGTCTTACACCTTATACAAAAATTAACTCAAGATGCATTAGAGACTTAATTGTAAGACCTAAAATCATAAAAATCCTAGAAGAAAACCTACCATTCAGGACATAGGCATGGGAAAAGACTTCATGACTATAACACCAAAAGCAATGGCAACAAAAGCCTAAATAGGCAAATGGGATCTAATTAAACTAAAGAGCTGCACAGCAAAAGAAACTATCATTAGAGTGAACAGGCAACCTACAGAATGGGAGAAAATTTTTGCAATCTATCCATCTGACCAAGGACTAATATCGAGAATCTACAAAGAACTTAAACAAATTTACAAGAAAAAAAAAAAAAACATCAAAAAGTGGGTGAGGGATATGAACAGACACTTCTCAAAAGAAGACATTTATGCAGCCAACAAACATAAAAAAAATCCTCATCATCACTGACCATTAGAGAAATGCAAATCAAAACCACAATGAGATACCATCTCACACCAGTTAGAATGGCAATCATTAAAAAGTCAGGAAACAATAGATGCTGGAGAGGATGTGGAGAAATAGGAACGCTTTTACACTGTTAGTGAGAGTGTAAATTAGTTCAACTGCTTAAGCTTCTGTTTGAATAAATTCATCTCATCTTTTCCTATGGGTAGCATTTGATAAGGGAAAGAAGAGACAGTTAAAGGGACTTAGGGGTCAAAAGAATGGAAAAGAGAAGTTAAAAGACTCCCCCTTCTTCAATTCAGAGTTTTAAGACCAGCCCTGCCCACCCCTCCTCCTTCACACACTGCCATCCTTTGATGTATGGATCCAACACTGGCTTCACCTGTTTTCTGGGGTTGCCATTTTGTATTTGATAATCTCTTAGCTTGTAGTTTACTCCTATTTCTACATAGATAGCTCAATTTTAGAGTTTAATACCCTTGAAAGTTGGGGTGCTCGGTTTACTTGCTTTTTACAGTTCCTATTCCTGAATACATCTGGGAATTGTCAATCCAATTCTCTAACCCACTGGTTCAGAGGTCACTCTGTCAAAAATTCTGTGAGAAAAAAAACTTCTAAACATAAGTCTGGAAAAAAAAAACTGCTGCATCTCCATTTTTCTGCTCTGGAAAGACAGTAGGGTGGTTGCACTCTTCCTTTATGTCCTGGAAGGAACCACTGCTTCCTCCAATTTAACAACTCTTAGCTCTTAGCTTCAGTTTCTTCTTCTTTTTTTTTTTTTTTTTTTTAGACAGTCTCGCTCTCTCACTTAGGCTGGAGTGAAGGTGGGGTGTGATCTGGGCTCACTGCAGCCTGGACCTCCTGGGCTCAAGCAATTCTCCTACCTTAGCCTCCCGAGTAGCTGGGATTACAGGCCCACACCACCAAGCCCAGCTAATTTTTGTATTTTTAGTAGAGACGGGGTTTCAGCATGTTGGCCAGGCTGGTCTTGAACCCCTGGCCTCAAGTGATCTGTCCACCTCTGCCTCCCAAAGTTCTGGGATAACAGGTATGAGCCACAATGCCCCACCTCAGTTTCATTTTATAGATGAGAATAATAATGTCTAACTCACAGGGAACTGTGAGGAGTAGAAACGAAAATGTGTTCAAATCACCCAGCACTTGCGTGGCACATATTTGATGAGCAATAAGTGCTAATTCACTGTCCCAGTCACCCTTTGCCAGGGAGTGGGAAGGGAGCAGTTGGAAAAGCCCCTGAAGGCAGCCTCCAGAAGGTTGAGAAGAGCCCCAGGGGAGGGCACCCAGCACTGTGTGGGAGAAGGATTGTTTATTCCAGACAAGATCCACCCATCCTTTTCCATCAGCCCAAATTCCAAAGCCTGTAAAAGCATTAAGGGACCATCCGCCTGGAGCCACACTGAAGCTTCCTGACCTAAACAAGAAGGCGCTCTGCTGCTGCAGGAGCGTCAGTACCCAGCGGCCATATTTCAACAAGCCTCCTGACCTCTGAGTAAATAAATGTGTGGAACAGATACAATAAACATTTTCTCTTGTCCTGAAATCAGATCTGCAGATTCCTCCTCCCCTCTGTGCTTGGCAGACTGTAATTACAGGATATGTTAAATTTTCTTTATAGCTAGTCTTGATGGTTGTTAAGTGACCACACCAGCCAGCACAGCACCCCGCTCTGGTCTGCTACCACGAATAATGAAAACCAGATGTTTTTCTGTAGTTAATAATCAATACAGCTCTTGGCCCAAGTCAAGTAGGGCTCACCATTTGCTTGGAGAAGCCATGTAAAGTGGTGATAAGCCGGGGTGACCTGCAGCCTGCATTTGGGGCCGCCACTGCAGAGTGAGATAAGCCATTGACACTCCCAGAGGTGACTGGGAGAGAAATGAGCAACTGACAAGAACCAAAAACTTACCAGACACATGAAGTGTCTGGGTGTTGGAGCCCTCTCCTGAAGTGCCATACAAAACTTCTAGAGATCTGGCAATGTGGATAGAAATGGGCATCTTTGCTAAGAGTCTAATTACAGGTATTATTCAGCTTTTAGACAATCCCTTGGAATTCCTGTACAAAAGTCTCTTCTATTTAGTGGCACTTTTCCTCCCTTACTCAGAGATAGTCACATAACACAAAAATCAATGAATGTGTCATTGAATAACTCCTCTTGGTATCTGACACTGTAGATCTTAGAACTGATAAGCTAGACATCAATATGTATAGCCATTAAAAGAAAGCATCAACAAAGATTCTGATTGAGGGCATGAGGTGAGACCCTGAAGTCTCCACTTTTGACTAAATCCCCAAGTAATTCTGATAAAGAAATATGCTTTATAGAAAGCGTTTTCAAGAGCCATCTTCTTTTTTTTGGTATAAATTTAAGGGGTAGAAGCTTCACTACTAAGCCAAACTAGTTTGGAGATGCAGAGGGAAGAAATGTATATTTCTCTCCACCAGTCTTACAACTGTAAATACTCAGGAAGATTCAGACCTCCGCCTGGTCTAAGCCTGAGAGCAGCTCCATATGCTGCTTGTGGGGAAAAGGGGGTCAGATGCATTTTAATGTAATCGTTTTTAGGCCTTACTGGGGGAGGAGTGAGAAATAACACAGTGCCGTGGTTTTCCAGCTGCTCTTAATACCAGAGATAAGAATGTTTTTGAATAAGAACACTAATCCAAGGGAGAAAACAATATTCTGTGACAAACATATCAATAAACTGCTTTAGAAGCAAAAATAAATAAATAAATAAAGGAGACAGATGAATTCTGTTTTGAGGAGTGAATAGAAAGTATCAGGGAAGATTGCATTGAAAAGGCAGCATTTATTAGGCCTTAAAGTGGAAAAAAATCTCAACATACAAGTATAGGAGAAAAAGACACTCTGATGATCAGCTGTGTTTTGACCACCCAACAACCGAACCATTCTCCCTTCTTCTGTACCAGCGCCCGTATTCTCCTTGGGAAATTATCATTCCCAGATCCCTGAGCCCCATTCAACACACACCTCACCTTATCACCACCAATCACACTCCCTTGGGTTAGGGATTGTGAATGAGACTGGGGGAGGGACAGGAATTAGGAATTAATTAATTTATTTATTTATTTATTTATTTATTTATTTATTTTTTGAGACAGAGTCTTACTCTGTCACCCAGGCTAGAGTACAGTGGCACAATCTCGGCTGACTGCAATCTCCGCCTCCCTGGTTCAAGCGATTCTTCTGCCTCAGCCTCCTGAGTAGCTGGGACTACAGGCATGCGCCACCATGCCCGTCTAATTTTTTGTATTTTTAGTAGAGATGGGATTTCACCATGTTGGCCAGGCTGGTCTCAAATTCCTAACGTCGTGATCCACCCACCTCGGCCTTCCAAAGTACTGGGATTACAGGCATGAGCCACCGTGCCCAGCCGGAATCAGGGATTTTTATGAGAAATAAGCTGGGTATTCTAACAAACTAAATGGAATAAAAAACCAATATGTTTTCAGATACTCAACTCAGAAACTTTTCTATGCAAAGTATCTCTTAATCCTTGAGAACTCATTTATTTTCTTTAATTTCCATCTCAAATTTACAATGATTGCAGTTACTTTCAATTATTAAATACATTTTCTTAATATAGTATTTATGCTTCCAATTGATAGACACCTCTTTTTTATGAGTGTCCTGATTTGATAAAATAAAATATTAGACATGGGTGTGGAGGATATTCGAACCAAAATATAATCCCTTATTCTTAGATCTAGACAACACAAGAAATTCTCAATTGGGTACTGCTCTCTAAGTACTCCTCTCATCTGAAATATTCTATTTAATATAACTAATCTCTTTTACAATAATAGTTTAGGAGGTGGCAAATGGTATACCCAAATGATGAGCCCAGTGCCTTTCAGAGTTTAAATTTTTTCTTTCTCTGAATATAATAATAATGTGCACTTTCAAGAAATTTAAACAAGTCAAAAATGAATTAAGTAGAAAATGAAAATTAGCAGCAAATAGTTTGGGAATTAGGTTTGGAGTGAGAATAAGGAGTGTCTGTTACTCATATAATTTAGCAGTGAAAACAAAGATTTTGCATTTTTAGAAGACATTGTGGTGCCACCATCCAAACAGCTCTCTCAAAAAGCAACTACTTTATAAATGCTATGAACTGAGTTGTGTCCCCACTCCAAAATTCCTATGTTGAAGTCCTAACTCAGAATTTTATGGTATTAACAGATGGGGTCTTTGGGAGGTAATTAGCTTTAGATAAGGTTATAAGGGTGGGGCCTTCATAATGGAATTAGTGCCCTTATAAAAAGAAAAACCAGGGAGCTCTCTCGTGCCCTATCTCACTCTATTTCTCTCTCTCTCTCTTTCTCTCTCTCTCTCTCTCTCTCTCAGAGCACTCGAAAAATGCAGCAGTCTGCAAGCCAAGAGGAGAGCTCTCACCAAGAACCAAATCAGCTGGCATCTTGATCTTAAACTTTCCAGCCTCCAGGATTGTAAGAAATAAATGTCCAGTACTGTGTTGTAGCAGCCTGAGTGGACTAACAATAAAGATCAATATTCATCCTCTAATATTTCATTTATCCCACTGCTGGACTTTCTACCTCTCTTTTATCCTTTATTTTTCTCCATTGTCCTTAATACCATATAGCATACTAAATCTTTACCTATGTGTTATTTGTTTATTCACTGCTGTATCCCTAGTACCTAGAACAGACCTGATATATAATAACTGCTCAGTAAACATCTGTTGAATATTGAATGAATAAATTCAATTCAGGTGCTCCTTCTGCTCTAAAGGCTTTGCTCATTTCCATTATTCTTGACCTTGGCTTATCAGAAATTAACACCCTTTCTGTGTGCTCCTGTCTCTGTATCATGTCCAGATATCTGTAGTTTTATTTTTCACACTATTAGCACATGCTGACCCTACTCAGGACCAAGAACTCCTTGAGGACAAAAACAAGGACATTTATATCTTTGTCTCCAATATCTATCTCTATGCTTGTCTCCTGGTCCTGGAAGTGCAATGAGAAAGAAATGGAAGGAAGTAGAGTATGAATAATAAGACTGCTGATTTGATTGGAAAGACACCAGAGCATACAAAGAGGCAAAAACTACCCTTTTGGCAGGGAGAAGGTGGACCACATAGATGGACTATAACATTGAATCTAGGTCTCAGACATAAAACTAAGCAGATCTCTATTTTAGCCTGTGATGGAAGGTGGTTTGGGCTTCATGTGTAATATCTCCCATGAAGCATGCTGGGACAAATCCCCAGGATGCTGGGCTCTTCCTGGGTTTCCAAGATCAAGCTGTTCTATTTACATCCCTCCAAAGTCTTCACCAAATGACTACCAGGTGATAGAAAAATATGATACATCCACTTGGTTATGTAGAGACTCATTAGACTTAAAAGCTGAGGACTATCAAGGACCAACGGAGCTTATCAACTGAACTTCCTATCCAAAGGGACTCATCCACTGAATACACTGTACCTTAAGAATGATTGCTCACTACATGTGGGTCCACCATCCTCCATTACCCCTTCAAAGAATACGTTAAAACATATAATTGAGTAAAATATTTTCAGCTCCCACTTGCTGCTTTGCACTTTGGTGGATGACAATTTCAGATATGAATGTCAGCTTAACTCAAACGTTAAGAGTTGTATACTGTTTTTTCTAGACCTCCTTAGTAGAGGATAATCTGTTTCTCCAGGATAATGATGTAAGTTTTCACGTTTGTGCTCAAATATTCATAGGCTAGTTTATATCCTATCTTAGTTCCAACTTCCTATTAACAAAATAAAGTAAGCCAGGTTCAAGCACTTCTTAGTAATAGCATGATAACCACATATAGAGTACCTACTACAATATCTCCTTTATTGTGCATAATAACCAAAGGAAGCACCATTATACATTTTTTACGCATGTGGAAACTGACTCAAAGACCTTCCAAAATCTCTCCGAGATTACGTAGCTAAGAAGTGTCTGAGATGTCATTCAAAACCAAAGTTATCTAACTAAAAATTTGTTAGGCTTCCTCGACATTACCATAAAAAAATTCGCCACATCTTTATGCTTTAGTCTCCCTATAGTCTGGTACAGGGTCATTAAAGCAGACATTTAGCCATTCTTTTCAAAAGAAGAGGTGCAAACCATTCTGTGTATGGGTGGTGCTTCATATGGCCATGTCAGGTAATGTGCTGTCTTTGCCTCAGTCAGAACAGCTGGGAAGGATTCCACACCCACTCACTCTGGAGGGAACTATTCAACCTTCCCTGGCCACTAGAGATGATTCCAGTCTTGTTTGTGCCTTCAAACTCCAGTTGAGTTTGAAATGATCTGAATTCCCAGAACATTAGGAACACCTGCATTCCAATGAAATGCAAACATTAATCAAAAACAAATGTAAGGGATTTGGGGCTTGTGTGTCATCCAGACTCTGCTGTTCTCTCTCAGGAGGGATGATTGAGAGATGATTACAAGTTCTTTTTGATGATGCTGCTAAAAACTATTTGAAAAACATCACCCCCTCTCTTCACAAGACAGATTATATTGGGCAACATGAAGTCATGATTACATTGCACTAATTTTAGTTAAGTCAGACATCTTCATGAAAGCATTGCTCATACTTGCCAACCACTGTTGATTGAGTCAAAGTTCACCCAATTCTGGACAAAAGGAGAAACAGTCAGCAACCTTCTGTTCCGGTGAATGAGCTGCTGCTGCAGCTACAGCAAGAGCCAAGCAAACCTCAGGCAGACAGGCCCATTCACTTCTAGAACCCACAAGTTCTGCTACCGTTCTTTGGATATTCCCAAGCCATCTCATTATTTTCTAGCTCCCCTAGTAACATAGTCAAGGTGGAGAAAAGTGCAGCCATGTTTTGGTGACCTTCCCCCCAACCCCTTCAACAAAGAACCTGGTTTCAAGGGCCCCTGATGCTAATACTTTCCTGCCTCATGGTCTGGTCTCTCTAAAATTGAAATGGGTCTTGTTAATTTTCCTCTATGATCTACTTTGAATTACCTTGCAATGCTGGAAAACCTGTAATGTTCCAAGAAAGTGATGCCCCTAGAACTCTTTTAGAACTTCAATTCTAGTTGGACAATTTGGGGAGTAATTTGGATGGTTGGTTGGTTTTTTCATTTGCTATTTATTGGAACTTCTGAGAAGTTTCTAATAGGGTGCTGACTTACCCTATTTCTTACCCTTAATTGATGTGCTGAGAAGTAAAGAGGCTCAAGTTATAATGCTTTGCATTTTATGATGAAGTCCAGTATCTGGCCTTCAAGTAATTTGTGAACGTCAATTCAGACTATTGCCACAATGGGGTACCAAACTATTCTACTGCTATCTCCTCAGCCCAGGAGGCATTCAATCCACAGAAGAATGGAAGCCTCAAATTTATCTTTCCTTCCCTCTGAGGAGAACCACATTTTTGCTCTTTCTGACTTTTCAGTTTTCCAGAAACCTAAAAGAGTAGCTCTGGTATTAAGATTAGATTCCAAATCTCACCTTTGCCATTTATTTACTCTGTGTGTATATGTGTGTGTGTGTGTGTGTGTGTGTGTGTGTGTGTGTGTGTGTGTGCTTGATACTTTGACCACATTCCTTAATTTTTCTGAGCCTCAGTTTCCTCATCTCAAAAATGAGAATAATTACAAAGAGTATTTTTCAGGGTTCCTATGAGGCTCAAATTAGTAAAATAACATGAAACTTCTTTTTTACTGCTAAACTGACCCTACTTGCAGGGGAGAGGGGAGCCTTTAAAAGCTTGATTCTAATCTCACCTGTCAAGGTTGACAAGGCCTTGGTGTTATCAATATTATTTTAAAGACATAAATTGGGACCAGAAGAGCTCATTGAATTTCCTATATTCCTTCAACCAATCTAGAGTAGCATGTGCTAAGAAATGAAAGTGGATAATCAGAGCCAGTCCTTTAGGCGACAAGCATTCTGTACATGTGCTGCACCTATTATATGCCCAGGTCTAGGTTACATTTTCCATGGGAGACACAGGAAGAAGAATCAAGACTCTGATATCTTGTTAAACTCAATCAATTAATCAACCACCCCTTACTGGAATATACTACATGCTCAGCTCTGCCAAGGTGCAGAAAGGCAGACATTCCTGCTCAGTAGCAATTTGACATCTGAATCATTTAATGGCTTCCCTACCTTAAAAAATGGGGCAGAGGTTGGGTATTATAGAGCTAGTAATAAGAGGAGGGAGAAATCCCACTGGAACTGAGGAACCTGGTCTTACCAAAAGTAAACTGGAAAGTCTGTCTTATGCAAGGGACTCTCCGGACAGACAGGATTGTCAGATGTTCTTTAGCTCTGGAGCTTGGTGGCTTTGTTACTTAGTGAGGGGCGATCAGTCTGACACCTGTGCTCAGTCTTGTCTCTCATCATATGATCATCTGGCTGGCTCTGCTCCTCACAATAAACTCCCAAGAAGGAAAATTAGACTGGTCTTCGTCATTGCCAGGACCCATTTGTGGGCAGAGTTCCTCTCACTGGCTCTCTCTGAGGTCTCTGCTTTTGAACTGTCCATCCTGGCTACTGATATTCCAATCAACCAGAACCAGAGGGCCACTTGGCATGCAGTGCCCCTGCTTAAGGAGAAGTCTAGATCTGCTTTCCTCAGCAAGGAAGGTAGATATTTGGTCCAGAAAAAGCTGCCAGCCTGGAATATACCATAATAGTCCTCTTCAGAAAACAACTTCTCTCCCTTTCTCCCTGCCCCTTGCCCTAGCCCTGGCCCACAACACACACCTAAAAAATAGCAAGAGTATTACCAAAAAAAAAGTCCAATAGGCTGGAATAATTGGGAGATATTTTATTAAAGCGCATATAGTGTCACCTGGATAGGGTGACACTAGATAGACCAAGAAGATGAAGATATTTCAGGCAGGTGGAACTGATTAAGACTGGACTTTCAAAATGAGCTTCTGGTTAAGCATAGAACTCCCTTATATAACACATCTGGGACTCAGTGCCTCTGCTTTCAAGTTGAGGACAAAATAGCAAAAGGGAAACTGACCACCTTTTATTCTGTGATGGGATTATTTTCTCTGTTGCTAGATATTGACATATGTGTGTTAATAAGACAGAAGTTTCTTTTCTGGATTCATCCACACTCAAAAGTATGCTTCCCTTATTTAAGTGGTACCTTTTCTCTCTTCGCCTGCTAGTATAATTCTTAAAAAAAAAAAAGAAGAGAAAATAATAATAGCCAGTATTTATAGACAACCTTTGTGCCGATGCTACATTAAGCTCTTTATGTGTATCCTGTCATGTAATCTTCATATACTATGTGTTTTATAAAATGATACTGTACAAAGCCAATTATTAACTTTGCTAAGAGGAAAAAGACTTCCCCAAGGAAGTAATATTTGAATAAAATCTTCAAATATGTCATAGGAGTTCTCCTGGTAATCAAGTCTGGGAAAGACATTCCAGGCAGGGAGATTGAATCGAAGGTATTAGAAAAATTATGGAATGTCCCAGAAAAAAGTAAGTCATTCAGCAAAGTTAGATGATAGGAAGGGATTGAAGTGGGACCAGACAGGCTAGAAGAAGCCAAATTGAGGAGAGATTTATATGTCACAATTTTACCAAAATTAAACAAAAATCCACTGACGTACTTTACAAGGGAAAGTCATTATCAGACCTGCATCATAGAAAAATTATTTGGGGCAGTGCAGTGCATGGATTGATCAGGCATGGAGACTGGAGGTAGACACAGCCAGTTAGGAAATTGTCTTAGTCCATTTTGTGCTGCTGTCACACAATGCCACAGACTGGGTTGTTTATAATGAACAGAAATTTATTTGGCTCACCATTCTGGAGTCTGCAAAGTCCAAGATCAAGAGGTCGAGTCTGATGAAGGTCTTCTTGCTGCATCATCCCACAGCAAAAGGCAGAAGGGCACAAGAGTGCATAAGAAAGAGAGGAAATAGGGCAGAACTCATCCTGCCCTATTTCAGAAATACAATATTTCAGGAATACAAATATCAGGAACCCATTCCTATGACAGTGGCATTCACGAGGGCAGAACACTTATGACCTAATGATCTGTTAAAAGTCCCACCTCTCAGTCAACAGTTCCACCGTTGGATTGAGGATTGAGTTTCTAACACATGAACTTTGGGGATACATTCAAACTTTAGCAGAAACTACTGTTAGTCTACCTGATAGATGATAAAGAATAAAACTGAGGTGAGATTCAGTCAAGAGTTAAGAATAAGATGCCTACCCTCCAGGACTACCCTTAGGGTACCCCAAGACACTACCCTCCAAGGCTTAGAACCAAAGAGGAGAGGAAAATCTGGCAAACAAATGCCAATGGCACCAGGCCATAGATGTGTGAGGCCAAGTGGATCATAGAGATTGTAGGTACTGGGCAAGGTCAGAGGAGAGAAAGCTTCCAGCCTGAGAGCTCCAGCAAAGCTTCCAGAGGAAGTGTACAATGGCCTGAATATTTATGTCCCCATAAAATTTATATGTCAAAATCTTAACCCCCAATAAAATGTGATTAGGAGGTGGATCCTTTGGGAGATAATTAGGTCACGAAGGTGGGGCCCTCAAGCATGAGACCAGTGCCCTTGTGAAAGTAAACCCAGCAGCTCTCTCACCCTCTTTCCACCAAGTGAGGACACTAAGAAGTCTACCATCTGCAACTAGAAAAGGATCCTCGTCAGCACACGACCATGCTGGCACCTTGATTTCAGACTTTCCAGCCTCCAGAACCAAGAGAAATATATGTGTGTTGTTTATCAGCCACCCAGTCTATGTACTTTGTTTTAGCAGCCTGAACTGACAAAGAAAGAATAGTATTTTAGTTTCATACCAACAAATGAGTATGCCTTAATAGAGAGAAATACTGTGAAGATTATTCCAGTTGGGAATAGCAAAACAAAGGCTTTAAGAGTGGAAAGCATGAAGCATGTTGGGAGGTGCCAGAGTGAAATAGACAAAAACACACTCCAAAGACAGTCTCACAGGTCAGAATCCTGAGCAGGGTCTTGTCTGCTTTCCTACTCACCCTGGTAGACCCTCAATGATAACCCCTACCTAGCAGGGGCAGAAGAAATTTTACATTGACTTTATCACCAAAAAAAAAAAAAAAAAAAAAAAACCACAGATAAGGTCTGAACATAATCAAAGGCCTGGAATAGCACCCCAATCAATGACACCCTGAACATGCCAGTGGGACGTTTCATCAAAAGGAGCTGCCATTTCAAATCTCTTGGTTTCTCTAAGCCTGTTCAGTGATCCCTTTTCTAGTTTCTTTGAGCCAAATGGTCCTGCCACTTAGTTCAGTGTCTTATTGTCCTGAGTCATCTTCTCAGATTGCTCAAGAATGAGTCTCCCATTTTAACACACACACGCACACACAGCAAGTCATGGACTGTGGCGGTTTTCTGTGGGTGTGATTGTGTCTAAGTTGCTGGAATGCAACAAGTCTAGCTTGGAAGAAGCTTAGTCCCCATGCCTGCTGGCTCTCTGCATGTTCCCCACCAGAAACACAAGGGCTACAAGCTGAGGGTCCTGTTCTCTCATTTTTTCCACCTCTCTTTATTCACAGGCAGGCCAGAAAGCTATTTAGCAGTAAATGAAGCATTTATCCTTTAATTCTCAGATGTATGTAATCTGAAAAAAAAAAAAAAAAAAAACAGAGAAGAAAATATCCTGAGGACGTCAGAGAGAGAAAAATGTGCAGAGCAGATGCTGCTACTTGTTTTTGTCCCTGTTTTATCTTTTAAAATACATAAAACATGAGTAACTAGGGACAAATAGTTCCAGCTTTTGGTAAAATACAAATGGGACTATTTTATAACTTGGGTTGAATTTCTTATATTTTAAGCTGTTTTGCTACTCAACACACTTCATGGCCTCATAAAATTCTAGAGCAGGAATGGAACTTAGGTGACTTATTCCAGTTCCTGGCCTGTAAGTTGGTAAAAGAGCATCCAGAATAGAAAAAAAAAAAAAAAACCCTTTTTTCTTCTATTCTAAGTTTAGAAAGTCCCCCCTCCCTGCTATGCTAGCCCTATTGTACCATTCAGAAAGTCAAAACGTTTCTCTTATGTACAAATATTCATTCACATGACAATTACCATTAGGTGGCAGAGATGCAAAAACATGACACATGAGTTGTGTTTACACAATTCATGTTACAATATAGTATGGGATACTATAATATAGTTATCCAGAAAGCATGGAAGGGCATGAAGTGGGGGTGGGAGCTAACCAAGACTGAGGATGAAACTTGGTTTAGGGTATACATCATTTTAGCTTAACCAACATCAATATATAACCAAACAGTGTCTGTATCTCATTCTTTAGTTTTAAAAGGTTGTCCCTACAACCTCCTCATTCATTTCATAGCAACCCTATGAGGTAGGTTTTTCTGTTATGTCTGATTTATACATGTGGAAATGGAGGCCAGAGTTTTTAAAAATAGTAGGGGTCTAAATTGGAAACCAAATTCAGTCCTTGGGACTCCAGGTTCCTTGCTCTCTTTTTTCTCTGACTCTGCCTTTCCATTATCTTTTTTTTAAAGGGTAATACTATGTAGCATCTGAGTGCCCCAAATAACTGAAACGGACAATGATTGGTACAGGACTCCCAGAAGGGAGGAATGCCCACATCACAGGCTAACATGTGGTGGTCACAGAAAGATGGGCTTGGTCTGAGCTTTACAGATAGAAAGCAAGACCTTGTTGTTTGGAAGTCAGGGTCAATCAAGAAGAGAAAAAGAATAAACATTAATTCTATATGATAGTGGTTCAAAATGTGGGTTGTGGACTCAGTCAGAAATGATTTCGAGTTCCAGATGTTTCCTTACCTGCGATTTTGTCACTGTTTAGTGACTTTAGGCAATTCATTTAACCATGTAAGCATTAAATGTGATCATGAACATAAAAACATTGATCACAGTAGCTGGTCTATATGAATTCTCAATAAGCAATGGAGATGGCAGTGGTGATGGTGATATCATTGCTAACATCGTCACCATCAACCCCTAACCTCCCAGAGATTCCAGGGAGGGTCCGTCAGGCCACCCTTCCTAACACTGTTACACCACTCACCCCATGGCCTAGTCTACAAGGCTCTTAAGAACATGGCTTCCCATCTACCTCCCCTTTTCTCTTCAGCCCAGTGTCTTCCTCCCATAGAACAGTCATTTCTACAAAACTGCCCTTCCTTCAGTCTTTCTCTGTTTTCCAGAACTTCCTGTGGAATTCACGCCCCTGGAAAGGACAGACCTTCTTCCCAAGAACACAGAAACTGCCTGCTACAATTCTCAGGTGGACCCTCAGCAGGTGGGAGTCAAGGGTGATCTTGTACTTGTCTGCTCCCCACTGGAGGTTCTCTCTCGGTCTGCTATTACTTACTGCATACCTCTGGACTGTGTTATTAGCCATCAAAGGCTGCAGGGGCCCCAGCTGCCACAAAACAGACACATAAAGAAAAAATGTGAAGCCAAAAATGAATTACTACAGCTGAAATATGTGAAAGAGGCAGTGTTTCTATTTAGAGGTCCACCGTCTCCCCACCAGGCCTCTACATATTATTCACCTCCCACAACCCACACTCTCGTCCCCCTCCTATTCTTCGACCAGTTGCCAACTAATCTCACCCCACTCCCAAAGACAGGCCATAGGTATACCAAAAAGGGCCATAGCTGGCAGTCAGGAATCAGGGGTCCAGGCTGGATCCTGCTGATGATGAGCACATATATGTTTTCTCAACCTCATTTTAAACCAGCAACCCTACTAGAGGATCAATCACCTTAGGCAGTGTAGCGAAACCCCTTCTTTACCTCAGTGACAGGAGAAGAACAAAATGAACTTCCATGTCCTTGCAGTGTCCTCTAAAGCAAGCTTTTCACACTTAGAAACTAAAATTGCTAAATCAACAGGGCCTAAAGATGTGGGCGTGTGATGCAAATTTTTGCAAGTCCTTCATGAGGAATAATGGTTATTAGAAAAAAAATGATGCAAAACCCTATCACCTCTTCTTTCCCTCTTAGCTCCTAGATAAGTGTATTCTAGCTGCGGAATAAAATGCATCACAGATTTGGTCACCAGTTCAAAGCATATAATGGATTTTGTAGGACATCTCTCCACCCACACAAACTTTGCCCTTCTTGCTATCACAATAATCGAGTCTTCACTAAGCCATGTTACCATTCTACAAAACCAGATGCTTCTATGAGATGAAATACAAAATAAGACCAGTGAATCATGTAGGTATGGAAGAATTACCACATTTTTTCATTGTAAAATTAGTTCTGTGGTCAGAAACAATATTGTGTGGTCAGAAACAATATTGTGTGGAATGCCACATGTGAACAAAGCATTCACTAAGTCCGCATATGCTGAAGCTGACAAAAGCTCTGTAAGCAGAAAAAGCAAATTCATTTCTAGAATAATTATCTCTTTCAGTAAAAACAAAATACTGCATTGTTCTTGATGTAAGTGGTTCAATATAATCAATCTATCTGCCAACAGGTGTCTGTCTGAGAAATGATGTTTTATCAGGTTTAGACTTGGCTTCTGCTATTAGTAGGTTGTTTGTATCTCTCTTATAATGGGGAAATTAGAGAGTGTGAGCTATCTCTTCCCTAAACAGAGTTTGTACTTGTCCCCCTGGAATATGCTGGTCTTTGACTTTGGATACAGGTCTGTAGGTAATAAAGAATGGTCTTGAGAAGCAGGTCTTGGGAAAAATTAGAATCTACTTATAAAAGAACTGCTGTAGGTGAGCTTATCGTAGACTCTTCAGGCAAGAAAAGGCCACCCTCCTTAGACAGGGAAGGAGGAGCTTCTTCTGCTGGCAAGAGAGTACCAGTTAGATGTGGAGGTTTAAGGTACTCAGATTCAACCCCTTCTCACATGTCTTAGTTAAATTTTTATGGTCTTACTCTTTGTGAAGCAGTGCTATAATTTTCACATATGACAGGACAAAGCTTTAAATTCAACCTGCAATATAATTCTATAATCTGCAGGATTAAATTGTGGGTCTGACCTTTTTATACATTGGTCCTGCAACTACAATATCTAAGAGATTCTTTTAGCTCAGTCATACAAGTTCTCTGGCTCCCTGACTGTGCTTTAATCACAGTTCTTTAATCACAGATCCTTTAAACTCCTATAGTAGTCATAAACCATTGCCACACACCACAGTCCCAGTAGTCATTATTCCCACAATTAAAGTTCACTGCAATGGCCGCTTTTTCACCCAAAACCTTGTCTTCAATACAAAATTTGTTGTAGACAACAGGTGATCACTTAAGTAATGCTTTTGCTATTGCATGCCATGGATTATTAATATCCATGTCACTAGCAATTATGTCATCACTGCTTTCAAACACAGGCAGGTCAAATAACAAATCCCAGATTTATATCATAAAGACATATTTCCTGCAACCACTACTGATACCAAATATTTTATCACTCGAAATTCAGCCAGGAAAACACCAACATACAATGTATTTCAAGCAAGAAAGGATTTAATACAGGGAATTAGGTACTTAAAAATTGATGGATTTCACGGAGGAGCAAAGGTCAAGGAAGGATGTTTCTACCTCTCAGAGAATTAGGAGATTTCTGTCAACCAGGTCAAAACTACAGGAAATCACTGTTGACATTCACAGCTGCTGCAGTAAAATGCTGTAAAATCCCATCTGTCAAAACCCTCATGTCTGCAAGCCATAGATGGAGGAAAATTAATGACATCTGCATCTATTCTGCCTTCCAAATATTTTATTAATGCTTCTCATTGGCAAAATATGAAGTGTAACCTTACTGTCAAGAGATTCTGAAAATCATAGTTCCAGGATGCTAGGGGAGGGCAAAAAAAAGTACTGGAATGTTTACAATGGGAGTAGAATTTGAAAAGGGAGAACAGTAAAATACATTTAAACAAGAATGAGGACTTGTAGAGATAATGACAATGTGCTGTGAATTAAGGAATATAAATCAGTCAATTCTCTGTGCCTGAGATTCAGGTACAGGCATATATATAGAAGATATATATAGAAGATATATATGCATATATATAGAAGATATATATAGAAGATATATATGCATATATATAGAAGATATATATATAGAAGATATATATGCATACATATAGAAGATATATAGAAGATATATATGCATATACATAGAAGATATATATAGAAGATATATATGCATATATAGAAGATATATATGCATATATATAGAAGATACATATGCATATATATAGAAGATAGATATGCATATATAGAAGATAGATATGCTTATATATAGAAGATAGATATGCATATATATAGAAGATAGATATGCAGATATATAGAAGATAGATATGCAGATATATAGAAGATATATATGCAGATATATAGAAGATATATATGCAGATATATAGAAGATACATATGCAGATATATAGAAGATATATATGCATATACATAGAAGATATATATGCAGATATGTAGAAGATATATATGCATATACATAGAAGATATATATGCAGATATATAGAAGACATATATGCAGATATATAGAAGATATATATGCAGATATATGCATATATAGAAGATACATATGTATATATATGCATATATAGAAGATACATATGTATATATGCATATATAGAAGATATACTGTATATATGCATATATATAGAAGATATATGTTTATGTATACATATATATAGAAGATATATATATATCTTCTTGTTTTTTATGTATTTTATACAGGTATGTGTATATATACACACCATATATACACACACTCACACATGCACACACACCTTCTTACTTCTTCTAACTCAGAAGAAATTATTCAAGAGAAAAACATTATCTGTGCATTTAAAAACCTCATTAAGTATTATACACAAGAAAAAAAGTATAGTTGATTCTCAATATTCTCAAGAGCTACATTTGGATAATTTCAAGTATCCTAAGTTTGTGAATTTCTTTACTTTCCCTTCAATTTAGTCAAATTTTGTTGTATATATTTTGAGGTTATGTTATAAAGTATATACCACTTCAGTATTGCTTCATATTCCTGATTGACATTTTATTATTATCAAATATTCCTCTTGCTACAGTAATGTTTGCCTTTATGTCTAATTTGTTTGGTGTTACTATATGTACTCCAGCTTACTTTGAATTATAATTGCATATTATACATTTTTTTCATCATTTTATTTTCAAAATTTCTGTCTTTATATTTAAGGTCTGTTTCCTATAGGCATGATATAGTTGGTTTGATTTTCAATCCAGTCTGTTGTATTAGTCTTTTAATTATGGCATTTATTCCATTTACATGTAACATAACTACCAAAATATTTGTACTTAAAACTACTATCCTACTATTTGTTTTATATTCATCTCACTTTTTATATTTTCCTTTTAATTTCTTATCTTGATTTCTCTTGGACATATCAATAAAGATTTTTTAGGGATCCAGTTTCTCCCCTATTGTTAGTTACACATTCTTTACTACATTTTTTAGTGGTTACCTTACATATTATAAGATCCATCCCTGACTTTCTAAAGTCTAATATAAATTATAACTTTTACTTTCCAAAATGAAGTGCATACTTGAAAACATTTTAAATTCCATTTACCCACCACCCTCTTTTTGAAATTTATTGTCATATATTTTACAATAAATATATTTTAAACCCCATAAGACATTGTTAATATTATTTTATATAAACAGTGGTAGTTTATATTTGTCCATGTATTTATTTGTTCTATTGTTTTGTATTTCCTTCTGCTATTTTCAGATCCAGGATAATTTAACTCTGCCTGAAGAACTTGTTACAGAATCTTTTATTGTGGTCTGCTGATGACAAATTACTTGTGTTTTTGTCTGAATATGCCTTTATTTTGTACAGATTTTAAATAATATTTTCTCTGAGTATAAAATTCTAAGTTGACAGTTATTTTCCTTTAAAATTTAACATGTACCATTGTCTTCTGGCTTCTATTGTTTCTCTTGAGAAATCAGCTGCAAGTCTTAATGTTCCTTTAAAGACTTCTTTCAAGATTTCTCTAGCTACTTTCAAGTGTTTTTTTGTTTTGTTTTTGTTTTTTTGTCTTTTGTTTTCTTAAGTGTTTTTTTGTTTGTTTGTTTGTTTTGAGAGGAGTCTTGCTCTGTCATCCAGGCTGAAGTGCAGTGGCATGTGGCATGATCTTGGCTCACTGCAACCTCCATCTCCCAGGTTCAAGCAATTCTCCTGCCTCACTCAGCCTCCCAGGTGGCTGGGATTATAGGTGCACACCACCATGACTGGCTAATTTTTGTATTTTTAGTAGAGATGGAGTTTCACCATGTTGGCCAGGCTGGTCTTGAACTCCTGACCTCAAGTGATCTGCCCACCTTGGCCTCCCAAAGTGCTGGGATTACAGATGTGAGCCACCATGGCTGGCCTTGTTTTCTTAAGTTTTACCATGCTATGATAAGGAATGGATTTCTTTGTATTTAGCCACTTTGGGGAATGTAGTGCTTCTTGAATCTGTGGCTTGATGCCTTTGGTCAGTATGGGAAGTTTGGAGACCTTTTATCACTTTGAACATTTTTTTTAGGTATTTTAACCATTTTTAAGTATATAATTTAATGGAACTAATTACTTTCACACTCTTATTCAATTGTCGCCACTGTTCCCAAAACTTTCACTTTGAACATTTTTTCTGTCTCATTCATGTTTTTTTCCCCTTCCGAGGTTCAAATTACATTGGACTTTTTCCTAAAACTTGACATATTTATTACATTGTTTTCTATATTTTCTACTCTTTCTCTATTCCATACTTATGTCAGTTTTCTTTCCACTAAATTAATCTTCTAGTTTTTTAATCATGTCTTCATCTGTGTTTAACCTACTATTAAAACAGTTTACTTTTCTTAGTTTCAGACATTTTCATTTTAGTTCTCAAATTTCAATGTGTCTCTTTTTTTTGTGGATTACATTTCACTCCTATGGTTTTACTAATGAATTCTATTTACTTGAACATATTAATCACAATTTTTAAAATGTATATGATACCTCCAAATCCAGATTTCCCCGTCTCTTTCTATAAACTGATAAATGTCCCACTCCTTTCTCATTATCTAATCTATCTGGCATTTTTAAATCAAATACTGTGAAAATTTATAGAGATAATTTGAGTCTTGGGTGGTATTATCTTCTCCAAGACAGAATTTACTTTCTAAAGCTAATATTTATCATGAAAATTTTTAAACATATGCAAAAGTAAAGAAGGGAGTATAATGAGTCCCCAAGTACTCATCACCCCGTTTTTAAAATGTATCAACTCATGGACAATCTTACATTAGCTATAGCCTCACACTTCCTCTACCACTTCCAGAATATTTTGTAGACAATCCCATAAATATCTAGCCCATAAATATTTCAGTATGTACCTCTCAAAGGATTTGAGAGATAAATATGTATATCCTAAAAGCATATTCACAATATCATTATAAGAAATGCAGATGTGGTTTAATATTCAACAAGCAAAAAGTGTAATTCACTACATGGATGAAATAAAGGAAAAATATCAATGATTATCTCAAGAGATGCAGCAAAAGCTTGTGAAAATATTCAATATCCATTTATGATTTTAACAAATAAATAAACTCTTGAATGAGAAACAGAAAGGAACATCCTTCTGAGAAAGATTATCTTCAAAAAGCTTATAGGAAATACCATAGTTAAGGTGAAATATTTAAAGTTTCCCCCTCTGAGATTAAGAATGAGGTAAATACTCCCCTTATCATCATTTCTATTTAATTATACTGGAAGTTCTAGCTAATGTAATAAGGCACAATTAAAAATGTTATAAAGGAAGAAAATAAAAGATATATATTTTTTAAATCCCGGTAGATCTGCAGATAAATTATGAGTATTAATAAGCAAATTTAGTAAAATCACTGAATAAAAAGGGCAATGATACATAAAAACAAATTGTTTTCCTTAATATCAGCAACAATTATAAAATTAATTCTTTTAAATAAAACTATTTGCAAAACAACAATCAAACACATAGAAACAAATCTACTGAAAATGTACAAACTTCTACATAAAGCTGCAAACATTTTAGAAATTAAAAAAGAGTTAAATAAATTAAGAGATATACTAGGTCTATGGATTTGGAAGATCAACATTATAAAGATGTTAATACTCCCTAAACTAATCTATAGATTCAATTACATCCTAACTAAAGTCTTAACACTTTTTAAAGGAAATTGGCAACTTATTTCTAAAATATGTGGAAGGGTGAAGGGCTAAAAATAACCAAGACAATCTTGATAGTTCGAGAATTAAAGTACTAGCTATGATGATTTTTCTATAAAGCTGCAGTGAGTGAAAAGTGTAAGATTGGCAAGGATAAATAAATAAACCCATGGAACAAAACAGAATGTCTAGAGACAGACCCATGCATGTGTGGACATTAGTTTATGAAAAAGGAAGCAAGCACTGAATACCTGCAAGGAAAGAATGTTTTTTTCAAGATGCAGATATTAAAAATAACTGAATCTAGACATGTATTTCACACCATAGGCAAAAATCAATTTCATGTGGAATATAGACTTTAATGTGAATGGTGAATCAATAAAAGAAAACAACATAGTATCTACAAGTAGGCAAAGATTACTTAAACAGGACACAAAAATCATGAATCATAAAGGAAAAGACCAATAAAGTGGGTTCTATATTAAAATTAAGACTTCTGTTTACCAAAAGTCACCAGCCTAATGAAGATTACTACCTCAAGGAGATGTCAACATACACCTATCACAATGATTACAATGAAAAAGACTAATAATTCCCAGGGATGGCAAGGATGGGAAGCAGATGGACTATCATACACTGCTGGGGCTATAAATCAGTAAACTCTTTGAAAAAGTATCTGTGGTATCTATTAGAGCTGAACATATGCACATTCAAAATAACTCAGCAATGTCACTCCCATATATATTTCCCAACAGAAGACGATTACATATGTGCACCAAAGATAGGTACAAAAATGGTCATAACAGCATTATTTGTAATAGCTTAAAACTGAAAATAACGCAAATGTCTATCAACAAATGTCTATAAGATTTTGATAAACTGGATAAAATCTTAAAATAGAATATTATCCAGCTATGAAAATAAACTACTGCTACATGTGACAACACAGATGAATCTGACAAATATTATGTTGCATGAAAAAGTCAAAACGAAAAGAGTTTGGAATCACCCTATGATTCTCTGTATATAAATTTCAGAAACAAGCATGATGAAATCATGGTGTTAGAAGTCTTGACAGTGGTCCCTTTTGAGAAGAAAGGGAAGATAGTAACTAAGAAGGAGCTAGTAATATTCTATTTCTTGATCTGAAAGATGGTTACATAAGTGTGTTCATTTTGTGAAAATTCATCAAGCTGTACAATCATAATTTGTGCACTTGGCTGAATGTAATTTATAGTTCAAAACCCCCATTAAAAATAAGATGTTGTGGAACATTAACTTGGTGAATTACTCTGAAATAATTAACAGTTATATTTATTTCAGACTATGTAAAGTCATGAAAAATATTTATGATGTACTAGTACATAAAAATCAGGATAGAAATTGTATGGATATCATAATTACAATTATGTATCAATAAGTAGCATATGAAAATAATTGGAAGAAAGTAAACTAAAATAATAAACAGTTGGATTAAAGTGAAGATATAATGGGCAATTTTTTAAAACAATTTTTAATGTCGATTCTTTTTTATATAAAAAGTAGAACACTTTTATAGAAAAAAGCAATAAAATTTTATAAATGTGAGCTTTTCATTTTGTCAATACTATAAAAGTCTTAGTGATTTTTGCTTAAAATTATCTTTGGGATACAAAGAGCAAATAACCAACGGACACCAGAATTACCTATTGGTGTCAAAGATTCCCAAGCCCCACCCCTTTCCTTCAGCTATTAACTGGCAATGTAAATTAGTCACCAGTCTCAATATTAACTTTTTAGAGTCATGAATGCGTTGATAATCTACTGTAAATTATAGATCCACTCTCCAGAAAAATATGGAGCATATGCATACATACAAAACAAAATGTTTTACAGTTTTCATGGATTCATAAATGCCCTGAAAGCCACACAAACTCAGGTGCATGGTCATGAAGCAAAGCTCCTCTGCCAATGGAGAATGGAATCCTCCAAGCATAGGTCAGATCCCACTCAAATCCACTCTGCTCCTGGTGCTATCAGACCAAATACTGGGTACCGAGTTATGCAAACCTCCTAACTCTTTCCTGCTTCTTGTCCCATTGCCTGTTTTCCTGAAAACCCTCTTGGCCATCCAAATTCTTAAATCAAGGGGAATATTTCCTCCAAATGATGAGTGAGGCCAATTCCACTACTGGCTACTCTCTTTCCTGCCCATGTGTTTGTCTTCCCTGATAAAAGCAGAAAGTCCATCTCTTCTCACTGTGGCTGTGTCTTTCTTCACTCCCTTGGAGAAGCCTTGCTAAAAGCGAGTCAAACTGACATGGTACTGGTTATAGAACATGACTGTCGATGCATACAGCCTACCTAGGGCCCCTTCTCTCAGCAGTAAGGTAACCATGCAACTCACTGTCCATTCCAGGACATTTATAAAATAAAGAGGGTAATAGCAATAATTACTCTGAGATAACAGGGATAAGCCAGGACTGCCCCACACTTAGAGACCATATGGATTCCCAACTTAGTAGGAACAAGAGTACAGCAAATGTAAATAAAATAAGCCTCTCTGCAAAGGCTGTTGGGAGAAACAAGCTTTAAATGTGGGCCCTTTTTGCCTATTTTTTATTGATCCCAGGACAGTGGATGGCAATTAACCTCAAAGTCCCTTAAGATTTAAGCATTCTCCTTAAAAAAGGTCTGCACGCCTATAGTAGGCAAGGAACTTAATCCTGGCCCCCAAGCTTCCTCAAATAGACTCTCTCTTGTCTCCACGATGTCAGGCACTTGTTGAAAGCTCACTGTCTATCTCTCACTGAAGGACCCATAATTTAGTCACCAGCCTTATAACCTTTGTGTCAGTAAGACTTTTATTAGATGAGGCTACTTCAAACAAAAAAAAATCAAGAGAGTGAATAGAGAGATACACATTCCACACTAACGTATGCGCTATTTTCAAAAGACACAAGTATGAGAATCAAAATGAGAGTAACCTTTCTTGATGCTTCCAATGGATTCCCAGTCCTAAGTCAAAAAGGAGAACCAGATAGCCTAGGGTTGGCTGTAACAAGAAAATCTCAGGGGACACTGCCTAAAACTTGACAAGACAAAATGACTAAGTGACCTTGTATATATTGAAGCTTTCCCAAGTGAACCTAGATCAAGCAGAGAGGTAGGCATAGGCTCCTAAGAAGGGTTGGAATTTGGGCCCTTCTCCTTAGACTTATAGACTGGGCTGACCTTAGACATCATCTCATTCAGTTGTTTAGCTTTTCCCAAACATTTTGAATTATGTATTTGAAATAAGTGGAATGCAATTGTTCTACAAAATTGTACTGGAAAGTCCAAAATGGAAAGTATGTAACCAAGGTGATGAGGGGCCTCACTTTCCGCTCTTTTCTTCTTCTGTCTAGAGCCCCAGGGAGTTTCAGGAGTTTAGTTGAAGAACAGTGGATCTGACCCAACCCCTCATTTTACGTAAGATGAATTCCAAGCCCTGAAGTGTAGGTGACTTGTTCATGATCTCAGATGTGCCCAGCAGCAACACTGGAACCAGACCCTAGTTCTTGCCTGACTGACAGCCCAGTGATCTCTCTATGATACCTGGATTTCCCAAACTGGAAGACACATACTTCCACAGTAGCAAATGAGTGGCATATAAGGGCAACCAGAGACCCCAACATAAACCAGGCACATCCTGGAGCATTCATTTTCTTCAGAAGTTTGACAGATTTGGAATAAAACAAACTCAGGTATATTATAGATTAGATGGCTGATTTTGCAAAAAAAAAAAATTATCTTTTAAAACCCACACAATTTAGAGAAAATATTGAGCCTTCTCAATAATATCTGGCACTGCTGATTTTAGTGCCAGATTCCCCTGGAAGTGCACATTCATTCCCCTTTGATTTAATGGAGACTTTAGTCAAAAACTCTGTTAAGCACTGCTCCACACTATGCTGCTGTCATTCTCCTGCCTTTAGTGGGTAGCACAAAAATTACCAGCTGTTTAACTCTGGGCAAATTACCCATGCTTTCTGTACCCTGATTTCCTCACCGGTAAAATAGAGATGATAATAGTACCCACATCCTGGGATTGTTACTTATTATAGAACAATGTCTGTCATACTGTAAACATTGTGATATATAAAATGATTTCTTTAACCATTCATATGATTGGTACTTTTATAATTACAGAGCTATATATAACTAGCTTAGAAAATAGTACATATGCACATGCTGGGTACTCTTTAAAGTCTCTTAAATATATAAGGCATAATTTTTAACATAGTTGGCTCAATAACTATGCTACACTCATAGGTCATAAAATTAACATGGACAGGATACTTACCTTTGTGAAATACTAACAGTTGTTCTGTTTGGGGAATTGAAGAGAGCTACCCAAATAGAATCCCGAGAGAAGGAAGATGCCTCAGAAGATAGATGACCCTTAGATAAACAACCATAAACAGATTTCAGTATCATCATTAGAGCAACAAATCACCCTTCAAAAACGCCAGCTGACAGCTCTGTGATCCAGTACTGATGGGAAAGCAAACCCTACTGGGGTGAAATAATTGAGGGAAATATGGCTGGATTAGATGTCATCTGATGAGTTTACATTCTACAATAATTTAAACAGTCATTGGCTCTCTGGGTCCTGCTTTATCCAGCTATGCAATACTTAACATTTTATGGCTGCTCCCCAGTTGCTGTCCTTCAGCCCTCCCTTCTGGCCTAGGATTTGTTTAGATAAGCTGGATTTCCTGGGTGTGATTTGAAATAAATTAGCCATGTGGATGGCTGTCTTCCCACCAGGCTCCCACTGGTTTATTCTACATACTGCATTATTCTAAGTGCTTAGAAGCATCTTTTAACAGCAACTTATCTGCACCAAGAGGAAAGAACCACTCATGGTTCATCTGCTGGCCCAATCAACCAAGAACTGATTCAATTACCAGATTGTACCATGCGCCTTGTTTTCTGCAGAAGGCATCATGAGAAGTTGAGAGACTATCTTCGTGTTTGAGTCAGAGCAAAAGAGACTAGCACTGAACAAAAGAGACAGCCAGAATGCAAGGTGCCTCCATGATTCCTTGTGGTCAGTTTCAGTTTAGCCACTTCCCTGAGTTCATGCAGCAACCCAACCCCTCTGGTTGCCTGTATCCATTCATCAAATACCACATTCATATTTTCACATTTATGATTTTGCATCTGCTCTCTGTTTTCTCTTTTGCCCTTTTCCCATCTGTTTATATGAGGCAGCCACATAAGAGAGAAAAATAAAAGACCTTAAAAATTAATTTCATGAACTTAAACAATTGAACAAGCAAAAACAAAATAACCCCATTTAAAAATGGACAAAAGACATAAACAGACACTTCTCAAAAGAAGACATACAAGCAGCCAACAAATATGAAAACATACTCAGCATCACTAATCACCAGAGAAATGCAAATCAAAACCACACTGAGATATCATCTCACACCAGTCAGATGGTTATTATTAAAAAGTCAAAAAATAGGCAGGGCACAGTGGCTCACACCTGTAATCCCAACACTTTGGGAGGCCAAGGTGGGCAGATCACAAGGTCAAGAGTTCGAGATCATCCTGGCCAACATGCTGAAACCCTGTCCCTACTAAAAGTGCAAAAAATAGCTGGGCGTGGTGGCATGCACCTGTTGTCCCAGCTACTCAGGAGGCTGAGGCAAAAGAATCACTTAAACCTGGGAGGCGGAGGTTGCAGTGAGCCAAAATCACACCACTGCACTCCAGCCTGGGCGACAGAGTGAGACTCTCTCAAAAAAAAAAAAGTCAAAAAATAACAAGTGCCATTAAGGTTAAAGAGTTAACGAAACACTTATACACTGCTGGTGGGAAGGTAAATTAGTACAGCCACTGTGAAAAGCAGTTTGGACAACTCTCAAATAACTTAAAACAGAGCTACCATTTAACTCAGCAATCCATTACTGGGTATACGTCCAAAAGAAAATAAACCATTCTACCAGAAAGACACCCGCACTCATTTGTTCATCACAGCACTGTTTACAATAGCAAAGATACAGAACCTAGGTGCCCCTCAACGGTAGATTGGATAAAGAAAATGTGGTACTTATACACCATGGAATACTATGCAGCTATGAAAAAGAACAAAATCATGTTCTTTGCAGAAAGAGAATGAAATCATGTCCTTTGCAGCAACAGATGTAGCTGGAGGCCATTATCCTATGCAAATTAATGCAGGAATAGGGAACTAAATACTGCACGTTCTCATTTATAAGTGGGAGCTAAACATTGGGTACTTATCGACATAAAGATGGCAACAATAGACGCTAGGGACTACTAGATGGCGGAGGGGACAAGGACTGAAAAACTGTTGGGTACTATGCTCACTACCTGGGTGATGGGATCAATCATACCCCAAACCTCAACATCATGCAAATATACCCAAGTAACAAACTTGCACATGTACTCCCAGAGTCTAAAATAAAAGTTAGAATTAAAAAAAAATCCGTGAAGTAAGAATGTATTGTCTCATCCGCATAGGTGGGAAGACAAAAGAAGGATGATGGTCATTCCGTAATTCAGTCTTGAAAGTCTGACAGCTACTGAGCACACTTACTTGGCATCTCAGGTCTGGTGGGGACAGTGGGCTTTACTTTCCAGAATCCAAAGCTTGCCCTTCTTCTTGATCTGTACAGCAAGGATTCTTCTGGAATACAAACCAAGTTCACTAACTAGTCATTGTGAATATTTGGCTTCCAAATCTGAGGGATTCACTCATTGTTACCACTGCCACAGGGAATAAGAAAATATATCAGCTTAAAGAGAGCTTAGAAATTATCAAATCCAACCACCTTATTTTCAGACGAGGAAACAACACCCAGGAAATAATATTTCCTCACCTAAGGTCATATATCAGGTGACCAGAGCCAAGACCAGAAGCCTCGGGGAGTCTTCATTCCCCAGCCTGGAGAATTTTCGCAAAACAAGCTGCCCGAGTCCCAAGCATCCTGATCTTATCCCAGGTCCCCAGTGGACTCATGCTCAGGAAAGCACTATCAGAGACAAAGGGGACACTGTTTCTAAAGATGTAGAATCATATAACCTTTCTGGATGACACAAGTATTCCCTCTGATAGAGAAAATTTTCTATACTTAAAGAAATAGAATCTGATAATTAGTGATGTGTATAAAGTTGTATGTTAAAAACTTGCTTAGCAATAAATTATATGGAAAAGCCACAAAATGTCTTAGAGTAATGGATTCATTAAGTACATTATGGACTACCTATATGATGCAAAGAATACTATGAAATCATTAGAATAATTTTGAAAAAGAATATTTGTTAACATGGGAAAATAAAAAACAGTATTGCTAAGTGAATAAAGACCTTAAAATTATATATACAATATCAATCTTTAAATGACAGAGAGAGAGAAAATTTGAAGGACATGTATCTATTGTGAACAATGTTTATTTCTGGTTAATTGGATTGTGAAGTTTTCCTTTTTGTGCTTTTCTATAAGATTTTTCCAAGCTATATGCACTGATTAGGTTTTGATTTCAATTTTGTTATTAGGAAAAATATTACACAAATAAACCAAATACTTTAATAAACATTTCTTCATTTCTGCTCCTGGACAACCACTCTAAAGAGAATTTCTCTGAATCCAGTTTTCCAGTTCCTGAAGCAACTGGATCCACCCCACCACCACACCTGCCACCATCATCCCAATTGCCTGCACCTAAAAGCTATATCCTGCTCCCTGTACCTACTCCAAAATACATGTTGTCATGTACTGAGTTCCTACCATTAGGGCCCAACCACCTGAAAGACTAGTGATTCAGTCCTCACCATTCCAGCCTCCTTTGGTGCACGACAGAGCAATAGTGCTAACCTGCCCCTGACCGCACAATTGACTATTGCCTTGAATTATTCCTGTACTTGTTGTCTCTGTTGTATGTTCAAGTTTGGACTTTCTCTATTTCTTGTTAAAATCAGCTCTTCTTTATCTAGGTCAGTTTCCCCAGCTCAAAGTCCCTTCCTCACTCCAGCTTCCTCTGGAAAGCTCTTCAAATCCAGTGGTTGAGAACTTAACATACCTTGAATCAGATCCACTGGAGCATGACATAAAGAATTAACTGAACTTGAGGGTCTTCAGGAAAAGCTCACTGGAAGAGGCAGATATTCTACAACACTAAAAGTGTGGCTGAAAGTTAACAATTGTTTAAGGATTTGTCTTTAAAGAAGTATTTGGCTAGGGTGGCTGAGCTTTAAATTAGTAAGTACGATTTTACCATAGACACAGATGAACCATGGAGGTCTTCTACACTTGTTGGCTTCTAAAGATGCCGCCATATAAGATGAAAGCTTAGTAATTTGGCAACGATGAGTGTAGTAAATAATATTGCTTTAAAAATCATAACGGATGTAATATTCTGTCTATTATTCTTCAATCAAGTGTGTGCACGTAGTCTCCAATTCACTGACCACAAAATCCACCCCTGAGTTGCTTCTCTTACACCGTGGGGATGTGGTTTGGGTATAGCTTGCATGGGAGTATCCCCAGCAAGCCTGCTTCATCCAGCCCCCCATCATCTACATAACTTCAGGAAGTTATAAAACATATTTAAATAGAATTATTTAAATATTAATAAGCATGCATATTTCTGAAAAATCATGTTTCTAAGAAATTTTCAAAGTAAGCAAACAAGTTCAAGAAGAAAATCAAACCAGAACTCTTAGACCAATTGGTTTTCCTCAAGCCCTGGGCTTCTATTAAAAATTTTAAAAATAGAGTTTTCCCTCCAGAGAACTCTTAGATGGGGTTCATCTGACCGAGGCATGGAGAAGAGACAGTGGAAAATGAATGTCATCAAACAGCTTTGTGTGAAAGGGGACTGTAGCTTTGGTTTTACCCATTAAAATCATTTTACCATACACATTTTTGGCAGGAAATTAAATGATGCGAACAGATGTAGATAGCAGTATCTGAGTGTCCAAAGTAGTTGCTTTTTAAATATAATGAAATAAAATAGAAAAAAATTATTTCTGACCATCTGTTTTTATCTTAAAAGAAACTGCCAGATGCAAGGGGGTGAGATTGATCTCCTGGAGCTGTGTGAACATGTCAGACAGAGCAGGTATGAGGAGATGATTCTGGGCCTCGGGGCCCAATGGAGAGGAGAGACAGCAGCCGAGGAGGGGCAGCTCCACCAGCCTCTGTGGTAACTGTCAGGCAGCCTTTCGGGATCATCCACTTCCTGGGTGCTGTAAAACCTTAGCCTGCTGATGCTGTCACCGAATCCAATTTCCTTGTGGTTTATTAGTTAGCACCTTCTACAGCCTCAAGAAGTCAGAAAATACAGAGGGGAAAGGCATTTGGGGCCAAGAACCAAAATTGACTTACTTATGAAGATGGAAACACTACAGAAACCTCTCTTCCTCATTGTTCTCCCATGCAAGCTGTGCCCAAACCACATCCCAAAGATGCAAGGGAAGCATCTCAGGGATGGATCATATGGGAAGTGAATTGGAGACTATGCATGCACTTGATTGCAGGATAATAGAATATTACAACCATTATGATTTTTTTAAACAATATATTTCTATTCTATGTATAAATGCATTGATAACATCCTGACAGAACAGGCCAGTCTTATAATAATGGCTACCTCTAAATCTGTAAACTCTGAGAGACGATTATAGCTACCTATACCTCTTGTATAAGGCTAAGTTAATGTCACTTGCACTGGCCAATAGAATGTGAATGGAAGTGATGCAATATTCATGTAGAAACTTTAAGAACTCAGGCATGGTTCCATTATTTCCCTTTTCCCTCTGACATAAGAGTGGCAGGTGTGTCATGAGAATGGAGAGAAATCCTCCTTTAGCCTGGATTCTGGGATAAAGAAGCTCTACTTCCATTTACATTCCCTTTGCCAATGCAAGTGAGATAACTAAGCCTTATACAAGAGGTATAGATAAGTATACTCCTCTCCCAGAGCTTACAGATTTAGAGGTAATCAGACTGGCTTATCCTTTCAGGATAGTATCAGTGCATTTATAAGTGGAATAGTCCAGTGGAATCATTGTAGATAGCCTCTTCCCATCTTTCTCTTTTCTACTTTCACGGCTTTCGTTCTCAGGCTTATTTACTCATGTCCCAAGATGGCTGCTGCAGCTGTAAACATTACATCTTCACACAATCAAAGCCAGAGGTAGGCAGGAAGGGCTTCTACTTGTACGTGCGTCTCTCTCTGTTTCCATCAGGACAGTTCTCAGTTCTCTCAGTTCTCTAGCATCCTAGATGAACTAAGTGATGCAGGAGGTTAATTTTGAAGTAAGAATAGGAATTACCTAAGAAAACAAGGAAAAGATTACCTTGTTTTCCTTTTCATATTCCAGAAAAAGGGTCTAACTCATGCAAAGCTATGGAAGTATGAAAGAGCTTGGCATTTTAGGGTAATTACCAGTAATTGCCAGAATATAGGGTGTAGGAGAGTGGCTAAGAGATGAGGAGGAGAAGTAGACAGATATTAGATCTAGGAGGGCCTTATGTTTAATTCTAAATTATTTCTTGTTTTTCTAAAGACAATAGAGAACCTATATTTGGTTAAAAGGTATAAAAGGGTAATCCTAGAGTTATTCAAATCATAAGGACATCTATTGCCTTACATATTAGTCAGCTGTGATGCAGCAACAAATGTCTCCAAGATCTCAGTGGCTTACAGCAGAAAAGTGTGTTTCTTGCTCACATATATCAGCTGTCGGTTGACAGTAGCCCTTCTCCTGCACCAAGTAGCTTCTTTATCCCAGGATCTAGGCTGAAGAAGGATTTCTCTGCATTCTTACAACATACCTGCCTCTCTTATGCCAGAGGGAAAAGGGAAATGGTGGAACCATGCAAGAGTTCTTAAAGGGTTCAAAAATGAATATGGTATCACTTCCATGCACATTCCATTGGTGAATGCAAGTGAGATAACTAAGCCTTATAGAAGAGGTATAGGTGGGTATACTCCTCCACATGGGGGCAACTCACATCAGGTGGCAGTGGGTGGGCAAAGTACCATCCTCTTAAAGAGAGGAGAAAAGCAATTGGGAACACAATGTTATTTTAAACACCTCGCCTAGCAAGTGCAGAGATAAATGTCTCCAGGGTTGGTTCAACAGTTCAGTGGCATCATTGTAGATAGTCTCTTCCCATCTTCTTTTCTATTCCCATGGCTTTCATCCTCAGGCTTATTTCCTCATGTTCCAAGATGTCTGCTGCAGCTCTAAACATTACAACCTTGGCCGGGTGTGGTGGCTCACGCCTGTAATGCCAGCACTTTGGGAGGCTGAGGCAGGTGGATCACAAGGTCAGGAGTTCGAGACCAGCCTGGCCAAGATGGTGAAACCCGTCTCTACTAAAAATACATAAATTAGCCAGGCGCTGTAGGGGGTGCCTGTAATTCCAGCTACTTGGGAGGCTGAGGCAGAAGAATTGCTTGAATCCCGGAGGCAGAGGTTACAGTGAGCCAAGATCATGCCACTGCACTCTAGCCTGGGAGACAGAGCAAGACTCTGTCTCAAAAAAAATAAAAAATAAAATAATAATTTAAAAAATTACATCCTCACACAATCATAGCCAGAGGTCAACAGGAAGAGCTTCTATTTGTGTGTGTGTCTCTCTTTGTTTCCATCAGAACAGTTCTCAGAAGTCCTCAATAGACTTTCTCTATGATTGCATTGACCAGAATTGGGTCACTACCCCACTTCCAAATCATATCACTGGAATAGGCTAAGAGAATTACTGTGACTGGTTTAGATGAGCTGGAGTTGGAGCAGAGACCTATTTCCCTGAACACAGTTCTGTCTCATTCCTGAAAAAGTCAGGATGCTGCTGCCACAGGAACGTAGAGTATTGGCTTGTGAGTAGGCTAACACCATGTCTGACAAAGAGGTTTTTAAACAAGAGAGTTGCATGCTTGTATTTACATTTTATAAAATTCATCCTGGCTGAAGAGTGAAGGATGACGTTAATGGGGATAAGACTGAGGATAATGAAACCACTTAAGACACTAAGGGAAGGAGCCCAGATACGAGGTCTAAGTAAGCACAAGTGAGATTCCTTGATAGATAGCTAGAAGCTCATAGAACCCTTCAGATATAGAAGGAAATTGGATTAGGGTAGGAAAACTACCTCCAGCCTCTGCTTGGTAAAGGAGCCAAGATTTCCAATCCTCAGATTGTTGGTTCAAGACACTTAGGCCCTCAGATATCTGCCATCATGTTGGCCAATGAGCCTCAAATTGCCAATGTGGGAGACCCACAGACAGTGTTTCTTAAAGGAGAAATCCCTAACTTTGTTAAAAAAAAATTGTTAATGCTAAGGGAAATATCATCACAATTATCTTTCACTAAAAATGAATTATGAAATAAAATAATTTCACTGTCTTTATAATATATTTGGACTTAAATACCCAAGTGAGTGTTGTTCCTTCATCATGAATTCTTTATGAGACTACACTAATTTCTGGTGATGCTGCTTTTGGATTTCCTCTGAGTCTTGAGAATGTCTTAAAGGAGAGCAGATTTCTCTCTTACAGGGGCTCATTTGATTTTGTGTGTGGTTTTTTTGTTTGTTTGTTTGTTTTTTGGTTTTTGGTTTTTGTTTCTTTTTTTTGAGACAAAGTCTTGCTCTGTCGCCCCAGCTGGAGTGCCAACAGCTGATCTCGGCTCACTGCAAACTCTGCCCCCCCGGGCTCAAGCAATTCTCATGCCTCAGCCTCTTGAGTAGTTGGGACTACAGGCATGTGCCACCACGCCTAATTTTTTTTTTTTTAATTCAGTAGAGACGGTGTTTTGCCATGTTGGCCCAACTGGTCTTGAACTCCTGACCTCAGGTGATCTGCCCATCTCGGTCTCTTAAAGTGCTAGGATTATAGGCATGAGCCACCATGCCTGATCCCTGTTTTTGTCTTTTATTAACAACCAAAACACAGGCTAATCTAGTGGATAAAGTTCACATCCTCAGGAACCACAGTATTAGGTCAAAAATGAGGTGAGACAATAAAGTCAAAATTTTGCATACTTTGATTCTTTTCCAATAAAAATATAAAAGAAAAACAGAGTATGGAAATTGATCTTATTTATGATCTATCAATCAATTCAAAATGCAAGTTTACTCGTTGGTCTTTTCCTCTCCCTTGCTCTCCAATTTGGAGCCCAATCAGATGGAATCATCCAACTTATATCTATGGAGTATTTACTGTTCACAAAGTCTTTTCATATATGTTATCTTATTTAACTCTTATGACCACTTGTCAGGTACACAGCACAAGAGGTATGACTTAACCTCTAACCCTCAACTATTACACCTGTAAAACTGGTAAAATAATAGTACCTGATGGCATGGCTATTGTGAAGATTTAATGAGTTCATATGCATGCCATCACCAAGCACAGGTTGGACATTCAACCATATATACAATGATGACAGCTATTATCTCTATTGTACAAATGAAGAAACAGTTCAGTCAGAGCAACTTTGCCAAGTCATTAAATCAGAGTTAGAGGGGGTCCAGCAGCAAAGATGGCTAATACTGAGTCATGGTGGTCCAGAAGTTGGGCTCTTTAAATTTCCTGTGATTAAGGACAGGATTGGTCCCAATGCCTTAAACGAGCTGAGTCTCCAGATAGGGGAGAGGCAGTCACAGCCAGGGAAGGCAGGTGCATGAGGACTTGAAGCCTATCTAGTCAATAAGGTCTGTGCTGCTTCTCCTCCCCAGAAACCTGTGTGCCCTAGCATTGTCCTGGGCATTTTTTTTCCCTAACCTACTCAGAGGAGCAATGCAGAACGCCCTGAGACCAAGCTTGCCAAACTGTCCTCTTGGGTACATGAGCCAGGCTCGAACAATAGAAACTGGAGCTAGGAGAAGGGAGGAGATGGATCTGGCCAAAGAAGGCCACTGAAGGGCTGTACTCCTTCTATGAAGGTGGAATAGGAAGGAGGTGGTTGGGGAACAGGGTGGAAAGCCAGAATGTATGCATTGTAAACATGTATCAAAACATTAAATTGTATTCCATAAATATAGACAATTATTATCAGTAAAAACCAAAAATTTTTAATATAAATGAAAAGAATAGATGCAAAGCCAATGCTCTGTGGACAGGAAACAAAGCCCATGATTTCTGAGACGGTGCCAAAAGAAACCTCTAGAGCAGTGGTGAGTTGAGAGGAGCCCAGTGGGGAGGGACTTCCATGTAAGGGTACTGACGTGTGTAGCCAACCTGATTCAGAGCAAGAGACAGCATTCACTCTTGCATTGTCAAAAATGGCCTGCAAGAACAGGCAAAACTAATCCATGGTGGAAAAAAATCAGAAGTGTTGTAGGAGGCGGAGACTGAGAACATGCATGAGGGAATCTGCTGGAGTGATGGTAATGAGCTACACCTTGACAGGGGCTTCGGTTACACAGGTGTATACATTTTTCAAAATTCACCGAATGGCACACTTAAATGTTTTTGCCTTTGCCTGTGTGCAAAATTCACCCTCCGACTAAAACAGACTAGACCTTAAGCCTTGCATTCTAGTCAATAGATGCATAGTGAGGTATGTAGGAATAAAGTAAACTGATGTCTGAAGCTTACTTTGGAATATATCAAAATATAAGATGGATTTATGAATGAACAGAGAGCTGGATTGATGGGTGGTAATCAAATACAAGACAAATTAATCTAGTTGATGTTCACTGTAAAACTCTTTCAATTTATATTGGAAAAGTGTTTAAAATAAAATATGAGGCAGAGGGTGAGAAATGGCCTATAAAAAATGTTTTTTCAGAGCCTGAATACCTGCATACACTTGAGTTGAGACAGGCATGTACACAACACAAGACAAACCTGATTATTTTGTGAAAATTCTACAATAATGCTGATCTGAACTCCCAAGAAAATCTCTTCACTAGATGGCCCAATGGGTAGACATTTGTCTTCCAAACTCTGACCACAATGTTTCAGACAGGATGCTCTGTATTTTTCATCCACACTTCTTAAACAGTAGTTCTTTACCAATTGCAAGGATTAAATTCTTGTAACCCTGATGGTATGAAAATCCTGATAGTATGAAAATAAAAGAATTTAGAATCTTATTAGGAAAAAAAGAGTCATATAGAGACATGTACACAAATGCTTATAGCTGCTTTATTTGTAAAAGCCAAACACTAGAAATAACCCGAATGTCAATCAATAGGTGAATGGATAAACAAATTGTTGTATGAATACAATAGTCTATTGCCCCGCAATAAAAATGAATGAACTACTAATATATGCAAGTTCATAGAGGAATCTTGAATTAATTATGCTGATTCAAAGATGCTAGACCAAGAAAAAAAGAATATATATTTGTGTTACTGTTATAGACTGAATATTTATATCCCCCCAAAATTCATACATTAAAGCCCTAACCCCCAATGTTATGGTATTTGGAGATGGGGCCTTAGGGAGGTAATCAGGGTTAAATGAGGTTATAAGGGTAGGACCCTCATGATGCTATGAGTGTCCTTACAAAAAGAAACACCAAAGAGCTTGCTCCCTCTCTTTCTCCCCATGATCACACAAAGAAGAGGTCATGTGAGCCCACAGTGGGATGGTGGCCACCTACAAGCCAAGAGAAGAGGGCTGAGAATGAAACCTGCCTTTCTGGCACCTTGATCTTACACTTCCCAGCCTCTAGAGCTGTGAGAAAGAAATTTACATTTTTTAAGCCAGAAAAAGGACTGGGAGACAGAGGTTCCAAAAGAACCTTTGAAACAGAAAGAAGAAAAAAATTATCCAAATATGTTCATACTGAAAGAAATTTTGTAAATATCTCAAACTGATTTTTTAATATCTCAAACTGATAATTTTTAAATATCTCAAATTGCTAATCATTAGTACCACAAATGTAAATATTCATGTACCATCTTCTCACTAGACCACGTTTCTCAACCTTGGTACTAGCGGCACTTTGGGAGAATAAGCTTTGTGTGTATGGGGTTGTCCTGTGCAATGTAGGGTGCATGGCAGCATCCCTGGCCTCTACGCACTAGATACTGTTGGCACCCATCTCAGTCATGACAACCAAAACTGTCTCTATGCATTTTCAAATGTCCTCAGGAGCTAAATTACCGCTGGTTGAGAACCATTGTCCCAGACCCTTTTCCCAGTACTCCTTTCTCTGGTGTTTTAATGAAATGCTTGTTTAACTTTGTTCCAGGTAGTTCACACATCAAGAGGCACTCACCGTGTTTCACCTCCTTCACAGCAGTGCTCAGTATCTCCCTGATTTTATGCTGCCAAGTTGCTCTGCCTGCTCCTATATGCTGAAAAGAACATAGCAACCTCCCACCCTTTCCCCCCACCCCCAGCCCCATGGACACAGGGACTCTCTTGGGCTAGTGTTCTCTTTTGGCTGACCTTTACAATTCAGTCACTCTTGGTATTTCCAAGAGAACCCAGGGTTCCTGTTCTGACCTAGGAGGGAATTACAACTCTTTCAGCAGGGCCTGCATCTCCAGCAATGAAATGATAGTACAGGAAAGTTTTCTCAAATGGGAACTGTGGCCCTTCTGAATATGGCCCTAGCCAGAGATACCTTTTGAGTCTCCTCAGGATAGAAAGAGCCATGACAACTGCCAATACCCCTCTGAAAGTTTTCTGTCCAGGCTCCAAGTGAGATGTTATTGCTAACTATATTTATAGGAGAACTGAATCTCCTCCAAAATCCCATTGCCTCTCTTCTCCAAGGTACAGTACTTTACTGGGTCAGAGGTTGAGAGGGCTTCAGCTCTAATACATTGTTATAAACACTGGATAGACATATTCAAATTATGGGGGAGTTGAGGGATGAAAAATTACTTAATGGGTACAGCATACATTATTTAGGTGATGGTTACACAAAAAGCCCCCACTTCACACTACACAATATATCCATGAAACAAAGCTCTACTTGTAGCCCTTAAATGTATACAATTAACAAAAAGAAATATTCAAATTTTTTGAATTTGACAGGGGACAGTGGACAGGGACAGGGGACAGTGACCTGCCACACCCTAGGAGAAGTACCTCTCTTATGCATTGTACCCATAACATTGTACTGCATCATCTTGACACACACACACCCCATTTGACTGTAGCTGTGTAACAGCTGGTGTGTATGCTGTTCACCTTTGAGTTTTCCAGTCCTGGTCACAGTGCCTGGACCGGAGAAGGTGCTCAGTAAGTACTTAATTAATAGAAATGAGAAGAAGCATAACTGCAGGAATATCTGAATTTTGCAATCCCTGCTCTCCTGTGTGGAGAATCAGGCAGAGGAAAATAAAAGTGCAAAATACTTGGTTCAGGCAGCAGACTCAAACCTAACTGGTTTCTCGTCCTGGATGAGAAAATGTAACAAATGTTTACATGACTCAGACATTTGTTTTCTGATCTTATTTTTGTTTGGTTTTACCACAGATCAATGAAAGTCAAGATGACTGGCCTCTCTGCACATGGGCTTCAAGGCCTCTCTGAATCCCCAAACAGCTCTAGCACCCCAGGTAGACCCCAACATCCCATGATATTCTGGGTCAACATCCCATGATATTCTACTTTACATACTCATCCACCCCTTCCACCTGCCAAGGTTTGGTTTCCACCAAAACACAGTTGCAAAACTTGAGAATGTTGTGGGTTCAGACAGTCTGGAGCTGAGGAAGGATTTTGTTTATTATATCCTCATTCCTGCCACAGTCAGCCAATAAGACTTCCAATTGTCATCCAATACACTGATAATAAGTCAGCAGATCAACAGTGGGTTCCAGAGAAATGCCTGCAGTTGGGTCCACAATGGCTGTAACTTCTGCATAGCTTAATTCTAAACCTGATTTAAGCTACATTTCCTTTTAAATATGAATAAAAGAAGATTCAGACACTCATACTGCCAATGAGAGTAAAATTGGTAGAGCAATTTTGGAGAATAATTTTACCACAGCTCTTAGAATTTCAAATGATCTTATTATATAACCTAGTAATTCTATTTCTCCCCTGGAAAACATGCAAGTGAATAAGATCATAATAAAGGTAAGAAAGCATGTAGAAGGTTGGTTACTGTGATGTTTATAATACTGAAAGATTGGAAACAAACTAAGTGCCCATCAACTGAGAATGGTAAAATAAACGTATATACTCATACTTAGGAATACTTGTCGCATGCAGCAGTTGAAATGAAAGTAACCACTATGTACTAAGGTGGCTAGATTTCTAAGGCACATTAAGTTTTTTTAAAAAGTACAAATAACACATTCTACTGTAAGCCAATTTGCTTAAAACACATAACACACACATGCACACACACACAAAAACCCTGAACACTTGCAAAGAGCACAACACCAGACATGTAAATCAAAAGGAAGATGTGCAGACAGATACACACTAATCTATCAACAATTTTCAACTTGGGTTTGAGGGCAGAGGAAAAGCAAGAGGGGGGAAGAACTGAAGGTATTGGGAGATTATAGTCTTGCTTTGTATAATATCTTGTTTTTTTTTCAAGGAGAAAATATTCATGTACACCTTGTATAATTAAAAATCAAAAATTTTTAAAAGGAAAAAAATTTACCTCCTTCTACCTCTGTAAAAGAAGAAAGGCTATTAGTTGGAGCTGCTGGGAAACAGCAACTCTTGGAATTTATGAGATGATCTGGGGCAGGACTGTATCTTTATATTGGCAGGGTGACATGTTTTGATTAAGGCCACTGTGCATGCTCCCATTGCAAAAATATCAGTCCTTCACTTCAAGAATTCTTCATTAGGAAGAGATGCCATGTACATAGTATAAAGTTAGACTAGATAACCTTTAGTTTTTCATTCTTAGAATACAGCATAACCATCCAATACATAATACCAATAGTCACAATCTAACAAGCATTAGTATGTGCCCAGCACTGTGCTAGGTTCTTTATATGCAGTCTCTTGGTCAATTGTCACAAGGCTGCAGGTATGTATAGTTATCTCTATTCTACAAATGAAAAAAACAAGTTCAGAATAAGTAGTGAGCTGAGCTATGAAGCCAAGCCTGTCTCATTTCAAAGTCCACTCTGTTGCTCACTATGCTACCTTGTCTAAGAAGCTAGGGCACTCTGCCCACTAGAAATGTTTTGGGGTTTTTGTGCTTAACAAAACGATTGTTGGCCCTTTCTAAAATGCTTCCCAGAGTTCCAACTTAGCTCTGCTGTTTTTTGGGTACCATGGGACAGTTTCTTCTTGTCTAATAAAATGAAGTTTCCTCTGTAGAATATTTTCTTGGATATGGCATTCTTCAAATTCTCTCCTAGGAGCTGTGTGATAACGAAATTTCGTTGCCATTTGAAAGAGGTTGGTGGAAAAGGAAAATGAGCCCCAGGTGCGGCAGATCTGATGGTGTAGCAGAGGAAATGCTGTCCTGTGAACACAAGCAGCTGGGTGTCTGGATGCATCATAAAATTTTATTGTGAAATGCACAGATGATGAGCCCAGCTGCAAAGGATCAGGAGTGTTGATCATAATCTCCCAAAGCATTCTGGGTGTGTTCCCCTTTGACACTACTTTTGCGGGCTTCACCTAGTTGAGATGAAGATGTCAAATAACTTCAAGGTTCAGCCCTGCTGGGAGGCATGCCATGAGCTTCCCTTTCTGAAGGTCAACGTACTATTTGTCATGATGGGCTAGACCCACAGTGGGCAGAAGGAATAAACAGTAAGTATTAACATGAGAAGATGCCATGACCTGGAGTTTAGTGAATCTTTGCTGGTCACATTCAGCAGTAATCAACCCACCAGGAGGCTATTCTACTGACCATACTTTGCCATTGAATGGGATCATCAAACTCTACGACTACGTGTGTGTGTGTGTTTATGTTTCAGAGACTGAGACAACCTCCAAGTTAAAGATAGTTTTACTCTCTCCTCTCTCTCTCTCTATCTACACCCATCCCATACAGCTGGGCTCTTACAAGAAGTTCTATCCTTGGTAACAATTCCTCTTTTTGATAAAGCTTTGCCTTTTCCCCTAAAGACCATGACATTCTTAATCAAGGTTCCTCTTCTGAAATACACAACACAGAGCAGAAACAGTAGCTCTGAGTGACTACTTTCTCTCTTTCAAGAAAAGTACCTAATTAGTCCTATTCATATTTAGTACTATTCTCCATGCATAGGAAAGAAATTGCATCATTGCATACAATGTATGCCCTACACATCAGGGCTTAGTTGTCTCACTGAACCCTAATTGAGAAAGGCTAATGAAGGCCTCAAGATTTATACAGCTGTAGAATTAGGTCATGAAATCTCACAACAGAAAAGCCTCTGACTACTTTTCCAGTTCAACACCCCCTTCTTTGCCATGAATTCCCAGCACTACCCTGAAAAATAAGCAACTGACTTCTACCTGAACAACTCAGCCATCAAAGACAGCCAACACCATTAAAGAGAGCCCTGGCTGCTAGAAGTTTTTCCTCTGAATATGGTAGAAAGAGGCCAGATGGCGAGGGTCCTTAGAGACTGGGTCAAGACATCTGGACTGCATCTTGTAGGTAGTAGCAACCCATCAGTCCCCCAGCTCTCTGCAAGGCCAGCACAGGTTCATGCAAGTTCTCTGATTCTGCCTGATATTATTTCAGGAAGAAGCATCCACAAACCTGCTGACAAGCTTAGAAAGCCAATGCAGTGCCAGCAGGTAGATGCTATCAACAAATAATGCCATTCATCTCACACAGAGATCTACCTGGCAGGATAGACAGTGCCTTGAGGAATGCTATCGCTGCCTGCAACCTACCAAGATTTCCTGGTACCTCCTTGGATAACTTGAAAATACCCCATCATAATGTCTTATCTTGTTTTCTCACATCAAGCCTGGGCTGAGGTTTCAGGTGCCATGTTGCAGCCAGAAGGGAGATTTATGGTCTTGTTATCAGCTTCAGACAGAAAGAGGCTGTGGTCACATGGGGGAGGAAACAATAGCCCAGCAGGGAAGGTCACAAGCAGGGCTGCCGGTCAGCACCTGGAATCACCTGTGCCTACACAGTCCCCACTGGGGGGTTGCCTGGACGGTGCGTTGGAAATAGAAATGTACTGTTCGTCCTGGAAAAACAGCCCCAACCACTCAAGTGCTACGAGTGCAATCACTTACCAGCTCAGGGGGTTGTCACTTGTGGCTAGATCCACTGTCACATATTTCAAAGGTGTTAAATCATTCCAGTAATGTATAAAATGGAAGAGCTATCAAAGCTGTTTGGCACTAAGGAGGTCATAATAAATGGAGAGGGAATAATAGGACCCCTTTGGGGCTTACTCATCCCTATGTTCAAACCATAGAAGGGACATCTTGTTGACTTGTGCAACCATATGACAGGACGCATGCCACCCACCCTCCAAGGACAAAAATAAGAATGTACAAGACAACTTCTATTTGTCAGACATGGGGAGGTAGGAGTAAAAATATGTATTATTTTAGCAACAAGTTTTCTCCATCTCAGTCAACCACTGACCATTGTGTGACCTCCTCCATCTTATTTCTAATAAATACTCTCCAACTAAATATAGTATATCTATCTTTCCTATAGGTGTTTTAAAGTACCTTGTGTCATTATCCTCCTTGTGTCATTATCTGCCTTGTATAATAAGCTCCTAAAATTCAGCCCCCATGTATGACATTTAATTAGTATTATACAAAATATAGTACCAAAAACAAAATGAATAAAGCCCTTGCTTCTCCATCCCTAACTCTGCCCTTATGTTGCTGTAGTATGAACACACAGCCCCTGCCACCTTCCCCATTGATGCTATGAGTAGGGTACACTAGGAGAGAGTCTCTCCTATTCTTCTCTCTCACCCATAGCTCTCTCCCAGCCTTCTGGCATAGACAAAAAAGGTGAGAGCACACTTCAGTTGAATTTAAAGAAATCCCAACCCTAGGCAACAGGGAAAACTGTCTATTTCTTATTGCCCTCTGATCAGGCTGCCAGCAGAGAAGTTAGATTTGCCAAAAGATGTTTTTTTTCCATTAGGCATTAGGCTCTAGGGTAAAGTCACCACTTATTCCCCCTGGTTTGCCACAGTTATCCCAGTCTGCTGAGTCAGGACCCGGGCTGAACCTGAGCTGGTGACCCTGAAGGAAATGGCTCCAGTATGCCCAGGAGCAGCTGTCTCCTTCAGAGCCCTGCTCAAAGCACAGGCTCTCCAGAGACTCTTCTCTGGTTTATCCTGAGTAATCGAGCAGGGACTGGACTCCAACCAACAAATATTTAGCAAGTGCCTATTACATGGAGAGCATGACGTGAAGGAGCCATGTCAGTGTGCTTAATTCAGCAAAGATTTACTGGGGAGCTTTTATTAGTGAGAGGTGAAGTATAATGGCTCAAGAATGAGCTCTGAGCCATTCTGCCTCGTTCACATCCTGGGTCAACAGCCCTTTGGATGTTGTAAAGTTAAGTGAATTAATACATCCAAGATGGTTAAAAACTGTGCCTGACCCAAAATAAACACTGAATACATATTGGTCAGTATTGTGATTACACAGTGGGTTCTTGGCTAGGCCCTGGGGATGCAATGGTCAATAAGTTATCCTCCAGCCCTCTAGGAAAATGCAATCTATGGAAGAGAAGACTGAAGCAGAGCATTTCAACACAGCAGTATTTCTCAATCAGTCTGCAATGACACACTGATATATGTCTCGCGCTTCAAAGGTACACTGTCCCATTGTGAACAATGGACAATAGGAATGTTTGCTACACTGAACATAAGTACTCCAACAGCTATGTTCATCAGCTAAATCACTGAGCTGAATAGAGAGACAATATTGTATAAAGAAGGAACAATGTCAAGTTTGCACCAAAGAAAAATCACATATTACTGGAAAATGTCACATAAGAAAACGTTACTGGGCCACAAATAGTTCTGTTTAAACAGCAAAAGTACCCAAGGGTACTTTTTGTCTGTTATTGACAGCACACCCAACTAGAAGGGATAAAATATAAGAACATTTATTATCTTCCATAACAAAATGCCTTGAGGAAGGCAATTCCAATATTGGTTCAGCAGCTCAATTATGTCCTTAAATCCCTGGTTCATTCCACTTTTTCAATTTTTAAACCTAAGCACATTGACTTAGTCCTTAAGCATCTATCTTCATGGCTACAGAATGGCTGCCATAGTCCCAGGTAAACATGGTAATGTTTAGCAAACAATGTGCCATGAGTGTCTTCTATGGAGTCACATTTCCCTAACATATCATTTGCCAATATTGAACCATATGGCCACGTCCTAGTTTCAAGGCCACTTGTTCAAGGAAAACAAGTGTCTGGAATTTTTGGGAGATGGGAGATGAGTTGCACCAGAAAAGTGTGTAACCAAGAATGTCTGCATATTGAGTAAGTGAAGTATCCAGAAATTGTGGATGCTTATTCAAACACTGTTTTGGGTGTACTATAGTAGTAATTGTGTAGTAATTATTACTAGCTCATCAAATGTGGTTTTAAAACATTCAATCCCCTCAAGTGTACAGCCAAATATTCTAGTATTCTGGAGTGTACCACAAACACAGAAAGACTGAGCACTAGGTCGACACTGTAGTAAATGTTACTCATGCAAACAAAATGCTATCAAGGCAACTGAAGAATCAGCTAGGAGATCATCTATATTCATATACTCATTCATTTAATAATTAATTTTTGAACATCTGCTGTATATATTACATCATTTTACATTAGTGAATAAGACGAGGTCCCTGCCCTTATAGAATTTACATGTTGTGGGTGTGACCACATGGCTTTCAGTTCCCAAGACCCAATGAGTTTTATTCATCCTATGCTCTGTGTCGCTTCTGCCAGTGCCTGTGTTGTTAGACTCTGCGACTTGGCAATTGTCTCTATTGTATGTAAATATTCCTATACTATACTTATAAAAGTGGATCTTGTTTCCATAAGGTCTGAAAACTTTGGAGAATAAAAAAAAACAGGACTTTTAATTATTTCATGCACTGTTAAAATAGTGAATAATGCACAGGTCATTCAGCTTATTTACAGTGGCAATGTGTCAGGGTAGAAAAAGTAGACTGGTGCACTCATCCCAGTTTTGTTACTCATTAGCCACATAGTCTTGGACAAGTCACTTTCTGAGCCTCAGTTTTCTCATCTAAAAATGGGCATGACAGCAAAAGAAATAATCAGCAGAGTAAACAAACAATCCACAGAATGGGAAAAATATTTGAAAACTATGCATCCAACAAAGGACTAGCATAAAGAATCTATAAGGAACTCAAACAATTCACCAATAAGAAAACAAATAATCCCACTAAAAAGTTGGCATAAAACATGAATAGACATTTCTCAAAAGAAGATATACAAATGGCCAAAAACATATGAAGAAAATGCTCACATCACTAATCATCAGAGAAGTGCAAATTAAAACCACAATGAGAAACCACATTACTCCTAATGACAAATGGTCGTTAGTAAAAAGTAGAAAAACAATAGATGTTGGCATGGATATGGGGAAAAGGGAACACTTATGCACTGCTGGCGGGAATGTGAATAGTTACTACACTCTATGGAAAACAGTATGAAAATTCCTTGAAGAACTAAAAAGTAGATCTACCATTTGATCCAGCAATCCCACTACTGCATATCTACCCAAAGGATAAGAAGTCATTTTATGAAAAAGACACATGCACATGCATGTTTATAGCAGCACAATTCACAGTTGCAAAGGTGTGAAACCAACCTAAGTGCCTATCTACTAATGAGTGGATAAAGAAAATGTGGTATATATACATCATGGAATACTACTCAGCCATTAAAAGGAATGAAATATCTTTTGCAGCAACTTGGATGGAGCTGGAGGCCATTATTCTAAGTGAAGTAACCCAGGAGTGGAAAACCAAAAACCTTTTGCTCTCACTTATAAGTGGGATCTAAGCTATGAATACACAAAGGCATACAGTGATATGATGGACTTTAGAGAAACAGAAGTGGAAGGACGGGAGGGGGCTAGGAATAAAAAAACTATACATTAGGTACAACGAACACTAAGGTGAACGGTGCACTAAAATCTCAGAATTCACCACTATATAATTCATCCCTGTAACCAAAACCCACTTCTGCCCCCAAAACTATTAAAATAAAGCATTTTTGAAAGAATTCAGAAATAAATAAAAATGGGCATGATGGTAATGCCTACATTGCTATACAACACTGTAATAACAATGCTAAATCTTGTTACAAAGCTTAGACAAAAGTTGTGTACAATAGCTGGCCTGCTGTAGACACTCAGTAAATGAGAAGCTAGTAATAGTCATCACTGTTCTTTAACCTAGTCTCATTTGCCACTTGTCAAATAAAGCGAACCTTCAGCAGCAGGTGGCCAGGGAAGCCAATTAATGCCTGCAGATGGCACGATGATCTGCTAATTGCCTAAGGCTTCCAAAGTCTAAATTGGCGTGGTAGCTCAGCTGCCAAGGACATCCAGTCTTCCTCTCTCCCTCCCCCTCCTTAAGCCCCGCTCCTGAGAATTCCGATGAAAACTCTGGTTCTCTGGAGACAGGTCAACAATTTGCACTGTTAAAAATAAGCCATTTGGACCCTGACCTGACATTTATGTGGAAACAGATGGCATTGAGTGCCATCTTGAATTTCTTTTTGTCCACTGCCATTAAAATAAATAATAAAAAAATTTAAAAACTTTTGGAGATGTTGGCATTTCTCTCTTGATTCAGATCTTCATCTATTACCCAAATTCCCTGACCAAGCATGAGGTGAACAAAGGACCTAAGAAGATACAAGTACCCTGAAGAAAATGTCAAGCTCAATTATTTATTCAAATTGCAGAGCATGGTGTATACTTGCTGCTGTTAATAAATTTTTTTAAAACTGACCATTTCCACATATATAAATATATACTTTTTTACCTAATAAATAATCAACGCAGTCTCCCAGCAACTCAAAAAACCATCTGCTTTTTGAGCTCTGCCTTCACAGATGTCCTTCCTGAGTTTTAAACCACGACCTCGGCCTAGGCTTCCTGCTAGGAAGGATGGGTAGTTTGCCACTTGTCAGGGAAGAGCCTCCACACATGTTTTTTTATTGCCAGTCTAAAAACGTGGCATGTTACCCATACATCAAAGCATCCATATGTCTCTGGCATATTCTCTCCTATGTGCTTACTATAGGGGGGTTGATATAATTGAAAGTAGTGGAAAAATAGACTACGGAAGGAGGGGAAACAGATGGAGGGAAAAAGTTCTCCTTCACAGGCTAAAAGGGTATGTGTCCGCGGTGCTATGTCTCCTGAACTGAGAAAAGTAAGAGAAAGAATTTGGGGAAAGGCCAAGCAAAGTGCAGCCCAGTGTGGTCCATTATCATTCAAGCTGTTGTCATTCAAGGCCAGCACTGATAGGAAGAAGGGTCTTCAGAATTGATGATTTCATGGCAAACTTCAAAAGCAAACTGCGGCTTTGCTGCTTGTCCTAGTCAGCTCAGACTGCCATAACAAAATGCCACAGATTACATGCCTTAAGAAACAGAAATATATTTCTCACAGTCCTGAAGGCTGGGGCATCCAAGATCCGGGTGCCAGCTGATTCAGTTCCTGGTGACGGCCCTCTTCCTGGCTTGCAGTGTACTCACATGGCAGGGAAAGAAATGGGTAGAGAGAGAGAGAGCACAGCTCTCCAGTATCTTTTTTATAAGGACATTAATCCTATCAGATTAGGGCCCTTATGACCTCTCTCAACCTTAATCACTTTCTTAAAGGCTCTTTTTCCAAATATAGTCACAATAGGGTTTAAAGCTTCAACTAGGAGTTCGGGGAGAAACAACTCAATCCACAGCACTGGTAAAGAGCTAACTCTATCTGAAGCCGCTTTCCATGCCCTGGGTAGAGTCATCCTTAGCATGTTTTGCATACCACAAGACATAGTGACCTGGGGTCTGTGGCTTACTAGAAGTCCTGAACTCAAGTTTTCACCTCCTCTGTGGTCACAGGCTTTTGTAAGAGTTCTTTATCAGTATTCAGATTTATTATTTAAAAGGAATTGTCACTTTATCAAAGAATTTCTCTGATAACATGTTTTACAAATTAAGAGAGGTAGGAATATTTGAGTGAGAAGAGTTTGAGATATCAGCCCATCAGAGAGTTATTAGAAATGAACATAAAGAGGAATTAAAATAGTAAAGCAGGACAAAGATGAACTTTGAGTTGTACCCTACTTTTTGGGAATCCTTCCATTACTAAAACAAGGCCAACCTGCTCTTCATCGGTGATTTTATTCTTAGAGTTATTTTGTACAGCTCCATTTTTTTTCATTTAAAGAAAAATAGTGCTCCAAAGCCATGGAGAGGAAAAGGCTAGGGTTACATCTGCCTCTCAAAGTCCACATATATCCTGTTCAACTCAGCCAATATTTTCTAAGCAGCTACAACAGGTCAAAGATCATTCTAGGCACTGACAAAGCGAAGGCTTAGGGAGTTGATCATTTGCCACACTAAAAGGTCTTTCCTTCTCTCTACCCCAAACCCTATGAGTCTTGAGGTTGTGCTTGGAAGCTGCACAGAACCAGACTAGTGCATCCAAATGGCAATTACCCATCCTGGAACTGTGCAACTGCCTTGTATCCAGCACCATGGCATTCTCCACCTCCAGCCCATCAATGCCACGTAGAATACTTTAGGGTTTCTCTACTAGCTAGGGCAGTTTTTCACTGAGCCATCTACACTCAAGATTGTTGACCATGGAACCATACTTACAAGTCGGTTTTCTGGAGCAGGAATAAGGCAAAGCTTATGTGCCAGTAGAGGAGTCAATCAGGGAAATGATAGCAATGATGTCTCTGAAGAGTCCACTAGGTTCTCCACAATTCCTAGGTCACTCACTTCATTTTCCTTCCCTTCCTCTCCCTGCTTCCTCATTCCCTTTATTCTCTTTTGCTTCTCACTTAACTATGCCTTAGAGGATTTGTGTGTCCCTCTCAGAGATTCAAAAAGCACACCAAAGAGAAATTCTTCAATAAAGAAACGTATCTATTCCACTATTTCCAAATGCATTTCTCTCCTAAGGCCATGCGTAGCCCTGTGGGTGGTTTCTAGAGGTTGCTGACTTGTTTCCAAGAATTCAAGCCAGGTCACTAAACTGGCCTAATTATAACTCTAAAGAAGACAGTGTTTGCCTTCAATTCCCTCTTTTCTCTTCCTAGGTACTGCTCCTCACTTTTGACATCCACCATGCATCAACTCTACCTACATTCTACCCCTGGCTACCTTAGACTCTGGATAAAGAGGACCACCAGGCCCTGTGCTTTCTACCGAAAACTTGATGCTCTAGGCCAGAATTTCCAACTGCAAGCTCTAAGGATTACTTATCTTCGAAAAATTATTAAGGAAAAAAAGAGAGTTCATAGTTAAGTAAGTTTACATATTAGATCCTCTTCTTAGAGAATTTACTCATCACATTCCTTTATTAAAGGCTCTGAGAAGTCCTGTATTAGAAAAACTTATTAAACCTTAATTTCCTAAATGCATTGGACCACAGCCCTCTTTCTTATTAATACCTAATCATGGCAAAAAAAAAAACCCTGCTATTCTGCAGAATACATTTTGAGAAACTGCTGCAGAAGAGTTTTCTCTTCTGATCTTCTCCCCCATCAAATTTCCCCTATTGTATGTTTCATTCTGTCAGGATTAAGTTAGACAATTGAACTAATCATGACATGCTGAGCTAATAATAACAGCACACATTGATTGTCTGTTTGGTACTAGTTCCTGTTCTCAAAAATACAATGGAATAAAAGACAGCAGTCTTCATTTTACAGATGAACAAACTGAGACTTAAAGAAGGTAAGGAACTGCCTTGAGTCTAACCCAAGCAGTAGGTTTTCAGTTGGGATTCAAGCCCCCGATCTTCCAATGACTGTTTTAATACTAGCCATTCTGTAAACAAGAAGTTAATATACTCCCCTCCCCAGAGCTGTTTACATTTTAAAGTCAAAGAGAAAAAATACTTTAATACCAGAAGAATGAAATTAATCCCCACTAATGGGAATCAGGGAAGACTTTCAAAAAGCCAGGGAGAGAGAATTTGGGGAAGTCAGTCTTCCTTTATGTCTTTCAGATCACAGTCCCCTCTCCTCATGAGTGCAATGAAAGCTCTGCCTGCTTGGGCAAGGGAACCTCCTATCCTCCTCCAAGCTAAGGTTGTAAGGATATGCAAACAGCCACATATCTATATGGAGGCACAGCTATGGAATGGAGCTACATAAAAATAACTTTGGATATGCTGATTTGTGGAGCCCACATGCATTGCCATCTATTAATAGCTCAGTTTGTGGTTTTATTCCAGTAGGTTTAAACAGAAACCTACTGTCCACCATAAATAAAATTTTTCTAATGAAAAACGTGGGTCCATGTAATGGTGGCTGTATAATGCCCAACGGAAGATGCCATTGGAATATGGTGCTCTCAAAACCAAGTGATTTACTGTACTAAGTATTTTCTAAAAATAATAATCCTGAGAAATCAGTACCCATTTTAAGTATATATTTGCTCCCAAATGGATGGCAAATTCACCCAAGTCCCAAAATCAGAATTTGGGGTGAACTTCAGTTGAAGAGATTTTTCTGGACAGCATCCCTTCCAATGTATTGTCTGTAATGATAACTTAGTCTGCACTGAAGCAGCAATGGAATCTCATTAGGCTCCAATCTTGTTCTGTTTGTACTTCTCCATCACCTTTATTTGTTTAAGGGGCCTGACAAGGCAAATGCTCCTGATGTGATGTTTACATTGCAGCTTTCACTGGAGCTTATTAAACTCATCGTTACTTCATATAAGCTGCAGATAGGTGGCTAGGGCCAGTTAGTGTTGACAGTAAGTAACAGACACCCTGCCACAAGGTAACATGTTTATATACTCCATTGGATGCCTGGTGGATTTTGTCCCTGTAAAACTATCACAGATAATGAAACTACTATCAGATAAGTGACTATAATAAATGACCACAATTAGGTCTCTGGCTGATGAGAACACTTGGTGGTCTCTCCAGCCTGACTTGGACAAATTCCAGGCTAAGTTCACATGAAAAAAAAAAAAAGAAATCAAAAATCAAATTTAAATGAGATTGATTCAGTAGAACATTACTTGATTTCAAAAGGAGCAAGAGTTGAAAGAAATTGAGTTTTCATCTTTCTTCCCAACTTTTTTCTTTACTTTTCTTCTTATCTTAAAAATAAATGAGTAAACAAATAAAATTCTAAAATCAGATTCTTATAAAATTCAAAAGCATTCAGTATGCCTCCTCCACAAACGTTCCCATGAAATCTAGAGTTGCAGAAAACACCTCAGCACATCTAAGGTTGGGGAAGCTTCTTTAAAAGGAAAGGCTTGTGTTGGGCTGTTACTGCACCCAGAAGAAAAACAGGAGAGACTAAATCACTGAGGGGTCTTGGTGTGGACTTTAATATGGCTGGACAGTCTAGGATCCATTCGGCAGCTTGCAAAGCACAACTGTAATCACTTCTTTAAAGGGTTTTTGTTTACACCAAGCAGGCTCTCATTACATGATGGTGAAATAATAGCACAGAATTTAAGTGCTCTGATGAAAAAAGGTCTTTAAAAGACATTTTTTTTTTGTACGGAATAGTCATTTCCAGGATGACTTATAGATTTACAGTGAGTTTTTTATATATGTGTATAACTTTAGAATGTGCTGAAAGAAGGCTTGTAGGCCCCTTTTAGAGACCTTAAAAGATGATACTAGGCATGTGAAAAATGACTGGCAGGCAAACATGCCTTGCAAAGCACTGTGAAATTATTTGTCATCAGTGACAACTATTTTGTTTATGTCATGTCACACTTGCCTGCCCTAGATACCTCCCCACTCCTCTTCCTTACCATTCTCTCCTCATTTCCCTCCCCTTCCCCATCCCAATGCTCCTACCATCCTCTCAGCCTCCTTTGAAACACAGCTACAGTTTTAAAATTTGGCTAGAGGGAAAGTGCTTTTCTGTAAAGGTATGTTTACTCTGGGGGTTTCCATTTTCATTTGATTTAATATTTCCTAATAATAGTTTTACGGGAAATTACCCTGGATGGTGGATTGATCCCCTCTAGAAATAAACGCTTTGGGAGTCAGGGGTGGGGCGGGGAGGGGGTGATTGATGGGGCTTTTGTATATCCCTGTTGCCAGAAGACCTCATAAACTCAGGAAAGCTGCCCAGGCATCAGTCTGTTTACCTTTTCACGACTTTAAAGGTGATTTATTTGACCTTTGAAAGCCGGGATCATACTTCTTGCTGAAAACAGTGCACACTTCAGCATAAATGGTGACTGTCAAGATGGTGAAGTTTCCAGTTTGAGGTATTTTATCACTTTTTTCCCTGTTCTAATCAGAATTGGGAGTGTCTTCTGGGTTCTTAGTACAAACATATTTGAGGGACATTGTCTAAATATATGGAGATAAGTGTGTGTTTATGTGCCATCTGTACATATAGTTTCCATAACGATTTTTAAAACTATTTATAAATGCCCCGGATATTGGGTCAAGAAAAAGTAGCATGAGTAGAGAAAAAGCTTGAGATTTGAGCTAGGATCTGAGTCTCTCCCTTACCATCTGGTTCACCCTAATTATATAATTTAGCATCTTACAAGTGAGAACTCTGGAGCCGTACCACCTGCATTGGATTCCCAGCTCTGCTCTTTACTCACTGTATAATCTTGGGCAAGACACTTAACCTCTCTGTGCCTTGATGTCCTTATCTATAAAATGGAATCAAAATAGTACCTATACCTCACAAGGTTGATGTGGAAATTAAATGGGTTGAAATGTAGATTGTTTCAACTAATCCTTGGCATTTAGAAAACAATAAAAGTAATTAATATTATGTAAAGGGGGTAAAAGAATCATACATACAACAAATAGGTAATGTCAGAACTAACATAAGACAATGCATATAACCACTTTGTACAAGGCAATCTGCTATTCAAATGCTACTAAACCCCTGAACTAAAGACAGCTCCTCAAAATTTCCATGTATCCCGCTAGTACTGGATGCTGTGACTAGATAGGATTTCACAACTTTTTTAACCGAACTGTGAAGAAATATGGCAGGTCTTCCTATCTTCACTTAACATATGAAGACACTAAAGGTCAAAAATAAAACAAAGTTACTTACTCAATGTCACATAGCTCCTCAGAATATAGTAGTAAGAACATAGCACCCCAGAATACAGCATTAGGAACATTCTAATTAAAATTCTATAGCATAATATTATTTGTTGATGAGTAATGGATAAAGTAATAGCTAGTTGTTCTTCAGTTTTGTAACTAAAGGTTGCTTCCCTGCAGGAACCAGTTTTCCCTTCAGAGAGACTCAACCAGCAGAGGAAATGGTTCCCAGAACAGAGAGAGTATGTCATTAGCCAAGGTCAGTGTTTCCCTGAGATTTAACAATCAAGAGAGGAAATGAGGAAAAGCATTCAACTGCACAAACTGAATTAAGAGAATTGCTTTACCAACTGGTTCTACTTAGGGACATCAGAAAGGATATTTGGTATCAATAAGATTTCTATTTTAAAATGTTTTACGTCTTTTTAGAACTCCATCCATCAAGAAAAGAATGGACAACTGCAAAGGAAATCCATTCTGTTAAAATAGAAGTGGGTTTATTTCCACTGATGATTTTGCAAGCTTTCCCAACAACTGGTCAGAAGGAGAGGGTGGGGATAGGTGAGTGTTCGGGGGACACTGACATCGGGATCACCACACATTTTCCAAGCCCAGTTAGGAGCTTGTGATATGGTGATTCTTTGGAAAACTCCTGGGAGTCTCACAGGTGCTAGGTGGGAACTCAGGATTCAATGAATTGGTAGGATCAAGAAAGCCACATTTAAAGGGCAGAGGGAGCAAGCCTACTGGGGAATCAGAAGACAAGTCCCTGGGACAGGGAAACCATGTTTTTCCAGTCACTGGGATAGGTAGTAGCAATGAGTGGCTGTTCCCTAGAAACCAGTTAGAGGTCATCCATTCTGGGAATCTACCTATCTGCCTCCAAGTCCCCCAGAGCCTCGTCGTTAGAAACTGCTTACAGTCTATACCCTTCCTATGGTCACAATATCCCAGCCTCTCCTGCACCTCTCAGAGGTATCAACATTCATGGGTACTGTAACAAGGTGCCCATCCTTGACCCTGCACATGCCTAGCTCAAAACCCCGTGAACTGAGAAGGACTCTGGGATTGCCCACCAGCCTCTATGATGACAGCGCATAATTTATTAGCCCCTGCATTTCTCTTCAGTACGTGACAATTGCATATGTTCTAAGGGGACAGCTGAAGGCCCATTAATCTTCACCCTAGTGGGGAAGAGACTGATGGTAATTTAATTTAACTGGATGGGTAAGGTAGATATAAGAGACCACAAGGTAAAAATGACAAGATTATTAACTGCACCTAGGGCCGTCTGTTTACCAAGCTGCCTCAGTAAATGGAAGCGGGTTGGTTAAACGTGAACCAAGGTTCAAGCAAGGTTTACAGAGGGGAGTTTCTGGCAGATGTGGGTAATGGCAGGGCTCCACATTTCCAGGAAGAAAGCAAAGGACTTTTGTGGTTAGAAGAGGAACTTGGGCTTCAACCAGCTTAGCAAGCAGGCTAAAGTTTAAAAGGTCAGGGCAAATTCAGAAATATTTCTCTCCTACACCCACAAAAAGGAAACGGTTGAACTTAATCACCAAGGTCCCCCTTTGAGTCCTCCCTTGACAGACCTCCCATTCCAACTAACTCAATTTTTCCTCCTGTCCAAGTTGTTTTTAAAGGTTGAGCTACAGCGCTTTGTCTGAGGGGAGGCAAGTCCTCTGCCACTACCCTCACCAGCCTGCGGAAGGATTTGAGCAGGCTATCTATCTCTGGGGAGCTTTCTATTCAGAAGCCCACACCCAGCAGAGAAAGCATCAAGTAAATGCCTGCAAATTCACCATTCCTCATTGTCAACATCCACCATACACAGACCATTGCCAGAGAGGAAAACCACTTTCCCAGTTCCTGATCCGGCTCTGGATTTGTGCACAGAAATGTAATGATCAGCTTCCAGCTCTTTCCAATGTCCCAGCTTTGTGCCTAAACTGACCCTGGTCCCAGCCCTGTTGAAGCCCTGCCCTTTGCCCCATTTCCATGCCCAAATTCACCATGCCAAACTACAGATCAGCAGGACCACATAGGTTGTCCCATAAGGGACAGTGTTTACATTAAGACACTAACAAGAATAAGTGTTTAACACCTTATGATTCACAAAGCACTCATCTAAAATGATTCTTATTTAGCCCTGTGTCTGGGCAAAGTTACTAATTTCTCCAGTTTACAGGTGAGAAAACGGAGACTCAGAGGGTTTAGGTGTACTAAGGCAGCAGGAAGCACAACAGATATTAGAATCCCTCTGTAAGTACTTATTTTACGTTTTTGTGGAGAGAGAGAGAGATTTGTATACGTGTGTATCTCTCTGTGGCAGACACTATTACTTGCCTCTTCAAAAGTCATTAGCCCCCTTAGTCACAGAACCAGAATTTTATTTAGTATGGCCAGAGATGCACTGGTGTCTGGAAGTGGACCCAACTTCTGGTCTAAGAATGGGCATATGACCCATTTCTGATCTATAAGATGAGAGAGGAAGTCAGCTAGAGGGTTTCTGGAAAGATTTTCCTCTATGATAAGAGGGAAGCACCATGAGGGGAAACTTTCCTGCAACACATTGCTTATTGTCCCCTGCTTTCCATCATGGATTAATGAGGGTGTGATGACCAGAGCAGCTGCAACTTTTTTGCAGTAAAGACAGAGAAGGCCAAAAACATCCAAGAGATGACAACCCAGAGCCCTGTTATCTTTAAGCTGCTAAACTAGCATCAGCAACTGCATTCCACCATACGTCTAGTTGAAGCCATTTTTAGTTGAGCATTTTGTTTACTGGAGGTAAAAGCCCTCCGAGATAATATGCTTCCCCACCAGTTGATGAGAAACTCAAGGACAGAGACTATATTTTATTTATGTTTCAGACCCCTCTGGAATTTAGTCCAGAAGTAGTCACTAAATATATGTTTGCTAGAATAAAGGCAACAAGGAACTAAATGTGTACTTCTAACAGATAGACCTTAGCGTGATGAACTTGTCAGAACCAGTGAAGTAGAATTTTGGGTCTTTGCTGAGATTTCAGTTGGTTCTGTGTTAACATTGTTATTACTGCTACCATTACTCTTCCTTCCTTCCTAGAACTGTTCTCACTATTTCCATATATCTCAACAACTAAAAACATGTTTTTTATAACATTGAAAAAGTAATGCGCTTCTGCAATGAAGATGTTTTTCTTATTTAAAAATAGAATCTCTTAAAGGTGACATTCAAAATCAGTAAAAGAAAGATAAATTATTCAATAAGTGATGAAATAATCTAATAACTATCTGAAAATATCAAATAAGATTCAGTACTACACACCAGAATAAATTCCAGATAAATGACAGTTCACTATATTATAAGGTAAATCATTACTGGACTTCATTAAAAAATCCGAAGAACCTATTAATAAATATTTATATAATGTCAGCTTCGGAAGAACTTTGTATAGCAGAAATCATAAAGAAAAAAATTGAAATATTGACTACATAAAAAGTTACATTTTCTGAATATTAAAAAAACATAAACAAAATTAAAGGAGAAATAACACTGGAAAAAGTATTTGCATATGAAGAGTTAATGTCTTAATTTATATAGGAATCTTACAAGAAATCATGAAAGAAACAACACCCCAGTCACAAATGTGCAGAAGACATTAGCTCAAAATTGATTCAAATAAAATAAAAATACCAACGATTAATACACATATGAAAATATAGAACCTCACTGGTAACAAAAGACATTCAAATTAAAATGAGATCTCCTTCACCACTTTTGCCTATCATATTGGGAAAGATTTCTTTTCATTATTATATCAAGCATTTGGGAGAGGTTGGAAACATGTGCAATTCATAAGCTCCTGCTAGAACCAGAAAACAGAAAATAAAAATTCACAGCAAACAAAATAGCAAAAAGAAAAGAAAACCATAATATTATCGGGCCATAATATTATTTTACAGAATGTACCCTAAGGTAATATTTTTAAGATGAATACAAAGATTTATCTATAAATATACTTATTGCAGCATTAAGAAGTTTAAAAGTTTGATAAACTTTTAAATGTTTGTTAAATGATTGTATAGCTGTTCAGTGTTGCTACACAGCAAATATTGCTACAGGGAAATGCTCCCCACCTTAGTGGTAAACGGAACAAGCAAAATAAGCAAGTCATGAAATAGCACAGGCACCTTCACATGAAAATGGAAGTTGGTAATGAGGTAATGGAAGCAGAGAATTTTTTTGGTGGGGTCTATTCTAAAGTTTCTAAAGTTTTCTGTGAATTATATGTGTTATGTTTATAAACAAAAATTGTTATTTTTGATAGATATTACAGGCAGGGAAGGGTAAGGTAGATAGGAGGGGGGACAAAAAGAGGTATGGGTATGAACATACAGTTAGATGAAAGGCATAGGATCTATTGTTTGACAGCAGGGTAGTGTGACTACAGTGAACAACAATGTATTGTATATTTCAAAATAGAACAGAGTACTTGAATTGTTCTCAACATATAGAAATGGTAAATACTCAAAGTGAGAGACACCTCAAATACTCTGACTTCATCATTACACATTCTACGTATGTAACAAAATGTCACATGTACCCCATAAATATGTAAAATATTGTATATCAATAAAAATGGTTATTTTTATGTAAGAAAAATAATCACAACCTCTCTTATTTGAATACCACTAGCCAAGAAATGTGCTGCTCCCAATAATATTTCAAGTCATAACACATTACTTCCTAGTCACTTTACAACATTGACACATACACCTAACAAAGATAGAGTGCTAATAAAAAGAAGTCGTACTGTATTAATAATAAACTTTTTTGAACAAATTCCGTTAATAAAACTGAGAAAATGTCCATCTCCACAATGGCTTACATGGACACTATTTTGTATAACCCTACAAGAGCCCTCTAAGGGGGAGAATGAGCAAACTGAGGCTCAAGGTGTCTAAGTGACTTGTCAAGGGGAGGAAATAATAACTGCCACACCTGAGGACCAATGGCTTCACTGCACACTTTGGCCTTCATGCAAGATTATAGATGAAGGAAGAATGGACCTGAGTGAGTCCCATCACCTGCATGGTTTTCAAGTACTATGGCCCCAGGAACTGAAAGCCTGAGAGCCAATTCCAGTCTCTGCATAGCCCCCAGCCCCTGGCATTGCATATGCCCCTGAAGGGGTCTCCTGGACTCTCTCTCTCTGCCTCTATTCCCCAACTATAGGAAAGCGGAGCTCAGACCTGCCCCTTCCTCTTACAGTAGGGTGGGCCAGCTGAACAGCATTCATAGAGAGCCAGAATGGGTCAGGGCTGAGCATGGTTAGACACAAAGCCTTGTGTAGGAGTCAAGTCAAGCAGGAGATCATAGCTCAGCCAGAACTGCCAAATTGGTCTCCAGTGTCTCATCACCTGAAGCCCTTCTCCTTAACATTATGCCAAGGACCAGCAAGGGAACCTGAAAATACAGCTCATGTTCAGAATCATACTCAATAAAGTTTCTTCTCTGACTGATACCTTAGTACAGAATGATCTGTACGGAATACCAGAATCTATGCAGGATATAGTTTTTTTGTGTTAGCATCCTATCTTTGTTAGGTGCATGCGTCAATTTTGTGAAGTAACTAGGAAGTAATGTGACAGGAAATATTACTGGGAGCAGAATGTTTATTGGTTGTGATATTCAAATAAGAGAAGTTGTGATTATTTTTCTTACATAAAAATAACTATTTTTTATTTTAATAATATTTACATATTAATGGGGTACATGTGACATTTTGTTACATATGTAGAATGTGTAATGATCAAGTCAGTATTTGAGGCATCCATCACTTTGAGTATCCTTCCTTTTGACAGAAAATACAGCAAATTCATAATACGGATCTATTTTTGTCCCGTCTACTCATATGACATAGAGACCCAGCCTAAGACGCAGGCCTTAATCAGACCCCCCAGGTGACTTAGAGCCATTCCACACTTTATCCACCTGGTCAGCAGTACCTCGTATCCTCTGAGGCCCAGCGCCCATGTCGCCTCCCTGAAGCCACCGTCGTCCTTTCTGCTTCTCCACAGGCCAAGCAGATTTCACTGCAGCTCTGACTAGTGTCCCTGAGGCACACAGTCACTACACAACCCCCACATGTTGTGGCATTCACTGGTGTGCTATGATCAGCTGTCTGCTCATCTCTCTTCTCCACTGTGCTCTGAGCCCCTGGAAAGCAAAAAACCACATCTAATTCCCACAGCACCTGGCACAGAGGCTGGTATATGGCCAGTGTGATGCTTCATTGAGGCAGTTAACCCCTTTGGTATGTTCAAGAATCCCTACCAAAAAAGCCAGAGGATAGGAACTCATAGTCAAATGACAGGGAAAAAATGAGAATTGCAGACATTCCTGCTGCAAGATAGAGAACATAACTGTAAAGACTGAATGAATGAATGAATGAACAAATGCATACATACATACTCTCCCTGGTCTGAGAATGACCAAAAACACAAAGAAGGTATTCACCAGAGAAGTGACACAATTTGATCATGGAAACAAAGTGCCAAAACTGGGGGAGGGGGACTTGGGTAGGATATCCAGAAAATTATCATCAGTTGTGAAACAAATTCTTTTAGAGGAAGCTTGATTATTTTGATTATTGAAGTACGACATGAACCAACCCCAGAAGAGGCAGTGCCTGGTGGTGCCATGTCTTCATATTTTTGAGTGAGTTAAGTGGTGGCCATACAACAGCCAAATAATCAACCAGATACAGAAGAGGGTTGCAATGGTGTTATTAAAACCTCCGTATTTCACAAATGGGGAGTTGAAACCCAGAGGAAAGAAGAGACATACTTCAAGGAATATACTCAGTTACTTGGGTCTAGAACCCAAGTCTCCCAGCTCTCAACTCATTGGGAGAGGGAATTCCTTCCTCAAAGTAAAGCAAATGGCAAATTAGAAATTACAGAGAATGTGGTTGCAGGGAAACATACTTTCGGGATATAAGATGCTTTAAAGGCTTTTATTTTTCTTCCTCTTCCAAGAAGGACTGTTCATGTCAGTTTTTCTGCCCACCTACAAATACTTGGATTATCACAATTCAAGAATTAGTGAAGAAGATACCAAATTATACCTGAGGTGTTGTTAGAACAGTTGCTCTGCAATGGTGATTGACTTCATTATTGTTTGTATAACCACATAGAAAAGACATACATGTATTCGTCTTAAAACCAAAGCTGGAGGGCCCAGACCTGATACCAATTCCATCTTCACCATGAAGGATGGTGAGTTTGGGGAAGTTACTTTACTTCCCCCTCAAAACCTAGTTTCCTTAACTTTAAAATGAAAACAATATCTGCCTCATATAGATTATTTCTGATGATTAAATCAAACATTGTGCAGAGGCCTGGCACATGAAAGATACTTGATTAAAAATTAGCTCACCCCTTCCATTTTCCTCCTCTGCAAATTATTCAGAATGTACAATCAGAGCATGAGGAAACTACCACCACCTGGTGTACGGGTCTCAAAACTGCATAAGCGGCAGCAAAGGTGAAAATACAACTTCCACTGAGGAAACTGCAAAATGAAACTACACAAATGACTGAATGCATCATACAAAAAATACAACAATTATTCTGGGATAGAGGCCATTGGCCACTCCAGGATGATGGGTAGAATTAACAAGGGCAACCTTCCTGGAAGAGGTACACCTTATTTTGAAATGTAAGTGGAGGAAAAAGGATGTGGACAGATTGGAAAGAATGAAGAACAATTTTCTGCACAATTGGAAAAAAAGTCGGAAGCAAAAGAGGAAGGTCCTGGTGGCAAATAATGTCAACTGGAACATTTAGCCCAGCCATGCCTGTTAAGCCTTTAGGGTCTTTAATCACAGAAGAACAAGGAGGGAGGACTGGGTGTAAGTCACTCACTAGGAGGTTGCAACAACCAGCTGGTAGTATTCAAAGCACAACATCTCTAACTTGTGGATGTCGGCCTCTTGTTCAGGGCTTGCTTTAATGGACAGGTGTTGGAGGCAGGTAAGATCATTCTAGCAAAGAGCAGTCCCTCCCTGTAGAGCTCCAGAAAGGGTGGAAATGTGTTTCTCCTCAGACATATGGGTAATGGGCAGAGCTCATTGAAGACAGCAGTCCTGTCTGACCCATCTTGGGGATCCTGACAATACCTAACTCAGAGCTCAGTACCTGGAAGAAGCTCCGTACATGGCTAAGTGGATTTTCCCAGCTGGTAGGGATCAGAGGTTGTATTATGCAGTTAAGTTTCTAACCCAGCTCTCTACTCTGCATCCTTACTCTACATTCTGGGATGTGCTATGCCCTCTCTTTCTTCCAGATCTTTAAAGATGTTTCTCTTTATGCCTGAAAAATATTCTAAAGGTCCCAATTGAGACATGGCATCTTCCAAAAAGTCTTCTCTGACTTCCTGCAGCATTCAGTAATTCTCTTACAGTCCTAGCATGTATTACCACATCGCATTATGATTTGTCGTCCTCTTACCTGTATCTAGGTTTGACTCTAAGTTCCATGAAAGCAGAAACAATGATTCTCTTGTTGGTTGCTATTTCCCAAGAACCTAGTACAGTGCCTGGCACATTAGAGGTCCATAACGATTTAAGCTGAAATTAGCAGGATGTCCTAAAAACCCTAATCTGAGTAGCCTACAAATGAAGCAACTCAGGAGGGGAGGTAGCTCCCCTAGAAGTGCCCACCTCAGCTCCCTGAAGCTTGCCTCTGACACTTCTTTGGTCCAGAGTAGTGCTGTCGTTCAGTCTAGCACCATCTTGGCAGGGCCGACTTTGGCCACAATATCTCCACCTGTCATAGGTTTATGGGGATCCAAGTTATCCCACACCTTACACCACACTCTGAGCATGCTTCCATATGTTGAACAGCCTGGGTAACTGAACTGGGTATGGTGCCTCAAACACAAGGCTGACCAAGATAAACAAGGCCATGCACAATAGTTTTCTAGGGAGAGCTCACCCTGATTCTCTAACTCCAACAAAAAGAAGAGAAAATCATGAAGGAATGAGGCATGAAGGATTAACCCTCACAGGACTCAGAGCCCAGAGCCCTAGATAGTCACATTGGGCACTTCCACATGTTCCAGGTGACATCAGGTTAAAAGAGGCATCCAGGATAGCCCTAGAGTGGGAAAGAAGTCAACTGGGCAGTTTTTGGAGGAAAGGAAAGGATTAAAGCAGGGAGAGATGAGTAACCCACAGTGGAGGGCCTGGCAGCACCAGCCAACTATTTGTACATGGCCCCAGGCATTTCTAGCATCAGCCGCCTGCCAAAGTAAATACCTCCTCCCTCACAGCAGCTTCTTCTTCCTCCTCCTATCAGCAACATAAAGAAATCTATCTCCCCAAATCTAGAGGATGCACGATGGTGCCTTCCAGAGGGGAGAGTCTATTCTGAGGTGCATGAGAGATGTCACAGGCATGTGGCAACTGCCAGTAGCAGACTTCAAAATCAACCTGGTTTCTGCAGTAATATTTTTCCCTCCTCCTTAAATTCAGCCCAGTTATTTAATAATGTGAACTCACCCATCATTTGTTTCCCCACAGGGCTTACCCCTCCCTGCAGCTAAGCATGACCTAGGTGGCCCATTTCTCCCAGAAAACCTCCCACACTGCTAGATCACTTGTATTTTGCAGGCACTGATGGTATTAGGCAGTTCTGCTACTTACTATACCCAGGCATCTATACATGGTGGTGGGACTGTTGCAATAAGTGGATTTGGCAAGAGCTGGCTGCTATAACAGAGTCTGGTCCTTTTGAGTTCTTCACTCCTATACTCCCATCCCTTATAACAATCCCTTGATTCCAGATTTTACCTTCAAAAGTGGACCATGGCCTTGGCTGGGTTCTGCCCCATAGACTTCTTATGACATAATTACTCTTGCCCTCTGACCATGAGTCTAGCCAAGCCTGACCCTCATTCTATTGATTCGCCCTGAGTCATTTGTCAACAGAGTGGCTGATTCCCCGTGTCTAGGTAAGCATGGGAGGCATTTCATCAAGACATTTGACACCTTCCTTTGAAAGGTGAATGACAGAACATATGAATACCTCTGATTAACATCTAAAGGCAGCCGGGGCCCCCCTGAAATTGCCCCTCCATGGAGTAGCTCTCAAGTAAATCCACTGTAGGGACCTCTACCATTTCAACTCATTTATCAGCAATTCCATCTGCTTCAATTTGGGGCACTCCATGTGTCTGTGGTTCTGTCATGTCTCTCTGGAGTTGCTCCCTCAACGGTTTCTGGCCTCCATGCATGGCCTAATCCAGGCTGTCATCTTTCCCTGTGATATAGCTGGGGCAGCTGTTGCTTCTTCCTCGATAGTAGAGGGGTGGTTGCCAGAAAGCCTGAGGGGCCCACCATCCAATTTCCATGCTTGGAGCTAAATATGCATGTGCATGATCTTTCCTTGAAACTGGAGGAGGGGACTCAGTCCCTCTACCTTTTACACCAAATTGATTTGATGTCTTCTTAAGGAGTGGTGAGGTCATCCCTGCTCCTATTCAACTTCAAAGGCCAACTTCTCATTAACCTAATTGCCTGACTTTGAGTAACTTGCTTAAATTACCAATTAATGGATGGCCATTTCTGTCCAAACAAAACATTTTAAAGCATTCCCACTGAAAATAAATTGCTTTCAACCATGACAAATGAGTGTCTACCTGCCCAGAATTATTATAATAACTATAGTAGGTATGCTTCTAAGCACTGAGAAATTTGTAAAAGAAAAGTACCAGTGGCAAATTTATATATATTACAAATTGTTGAATCCTTTTTCAGTGATGGAATTTTGAAAAGTTTTTCATTCAACCAAGCTACACTAAAGTATAAAGGCAATTAAATGTCAGGGCTGTAGAGCATTTGTCCTTTGGAGGGGGGGAATCCCTCAGGAAAAGAATACCGAAACTATCAGTAGCCCCTGTTGGCTATATTAAAGCTAATAAAATTACTAATGATACATTCCTCGTCAATGAGGGGTCCCTGCTGTGCTGCTTCTGTCTGCTTTAGTCACAGTGAACAAGGCAGGAAGATTGAATTATTGGCTGGATTCATTTTATTGGTTTGAGCTTTAGGGGGAGGGAGTTATATGGGAGATTCTTTTTATGTTTTGCTTTTTTGCTCTCAAGAAGCAGCTGGTTTTGTCTTTAGTTTCAAATGTCTATTTAAAAAAATCAGGGCAATCATTAGAAGGCAGGAATTTGGACATGGGCACTTCCCAAAACACCTGATGTCAATCCCAGCTGGGTTTGCCAGGAATGGCCTATCAAGTCTCAACTGGGAGAGATATGGGGGAGGAGGAGATAAAGGGCTGAATTGATGGCTGCAGGCATGGCTGACAGGTGGCCCTAGGAGAGGAAGGGAGGGGGTGCATGTTAGGAAGTGCCAGAGAGGAAGAAAAGCTGTGGACTCAGTGGACCAAAGCTTCGGGACAGAGACTGGGCCTGCAGCCCTTGGGCTCACCAGCACTACCACGGTCGGATCCCTGTCCCTTGCTGATGCAAGCTCCCTTTTAAAATTTCTATAGGGAGATGGCAGCTATGGCATGCAAGATATCACAATTCCACTTGCCTCGAGAACAGCATGGGCTTCCTGAAGAAGTGTACATTCCCAGTGTAATTTCCTGGGAATGGAAACTTCTGACAGAAAGAGGTGGTGCTGATTTCAGAGTGTAGTTTCCTGAAAGCCTGGGATCTTATTACTGCTCATTCCCTTTAGCATCAACAAAATAGCCTTTTCCACCATAGACTGGGGCACTGGGGATAACAAAGAGAAACCCAAAACCTGGACTGAAACTCGGCCTCCAATCTCTCAGACTGTCTCCTCCTAACTGGAAGGGCCCAGACCCAAGATGCCATGAAAACTCTGGAGCATGTGTCTGTGTACCGAGCAGCCAACTCTAGCACTGGATGCTCCTCTGAGAAACACTGCTCAGAGCCCAGGACTGTGATCATGCCCACAGCTCGACAGTGGTCTGGTATTTATGCCCATCTGCATACTGGCTTTCCTTTAGATCCATTCTTTGCTCTTTTCTGACCTACGCTGTACCCAGGGGGTTGACTTCAGTGGATCTCATCTTCTGCTTTAGCTGATGGGATGCACCGGCAGGAGATTGGGGCAGGTGGTGGGAGGTGGCTGAGGAAAGAGCATATTTCTTCCTCCTGCTCCCTCCCTAAGGTGATAAGGGACACCATTATGGCAGTGGCTGTGCCCTCTACCCACAGCCACAGCTGGGTGCCTTCTCTGCCTCAACCTCAGCTCCAGGATTCAGCAGCAACATTCCTCCTGTGGGAGGCTGAATAACGGCACCCAAAGATAGCCAGCTCCTGATCTCTGGCACCTGTGAATGTTGCCTTATATGACAAAAAGTACTTGCAGATGTGATTCAGTTAAGGAGCTTGAGGTGAGAGATTAATCTAGATTGCCTGGGTGGACGCTAAATGCTACCACACGCATGCTTATGAGAGGAAGACAGAGGAAAACTGGATGCAGAAGAAGAGTCCATGTGCCAGAGAAGCAGAGAATGTAGTGACACAAACACAAACGAAGGAATGCCAGCAGCAACCAGAGGCTGAAAAAGCAAAGAACAGTCTCCATCGGAGCCTCCAGAAGGAACCAGCCGGGCCAACACCTTCACTTTAACCCAGGGAAACTCACCTTGGATTTCTGGTCTCCCAAGCTGTAAGCGAATACATTTCTGTTGTTTTAAGTCACTAAGTCTGTGTCAATTTGTGACAGCAGCCTAGGAAACTAATAAACCTCTCCAGCCTGCTGTTGATCATGGCAACATCTCTTGTTGGTTCCCACACCTCTGTAAATAGTCCTTTATGAAAGAGTCTATTCAAAAATCCTCACTGAGTGTGTCTTCTGTTTTCTGCTGGAATCCTGAGATATTCTACTTCTTTCCAAAAAGAATGTAAGATAGCATATTTTTTAACGAGACAATAAAATTGTGCCTAATGAGAAAATGCAGAAGAAAAAGAAAATAAAGATAAAAAAATAGGAAGCCAAAACAATTATTAGTATCCATAATTCATGCCATACAGGCCTGAACACTTTTCAAGAATTAGCCTGCAGCTTCCACTCTAAGTTCCCTAGCAGCCAGCACTAAAAAGCATGATCAATTAGAGTTTACTATTTCCTAAACTGGCTTGATAATAGGAATCACCTGAATACCTTGCCAAACATCGAAATATCCAGTCATCACCTCATCCAAGACTTGTCAAATCAGAACCTACTAGGGAAGCAGTAAGAATCTGGAACAAATATCCAAGATGAATTAGATGAGTCACAAATTGTGTAAGATAAGAAAAAAACATGGGGGTTGTTCACAAGAGCAATAGTGTTAATGATGTGAAAAAAGCCATCATCTCAGGACTAGAAAGATGTCTCCAATTGTGTGCTCTTCCAGCTGTGGTCAAGCACTGTCTCCAGTGCCCATGCAGCATACAGCTTCATGATAAGGTGACAAAAGTAAGTGATCTAATCATGAAAAATAAAATTACACCTTAACTGTGCTCTAAATGAAGATACATACTGTAGTGGACTCCTGCATTGCATCTTCGGTTTCCATTCCCTGTTCTCCTTTCTAGATAAGCTCCCAATGTCCTTCCAGGGATTTCTGTGGTCAGGAGTGAACAGGCAACTGAGATTAAGGCAATCGAGGTGTTTTATTCCCCTGCCTGTAATGACTGCAGCAAGGAAAAGTAGTGAACTACACCAATCCAATTGGGCCTTTTTCTAGATATTCCAGGTTTACAGTCAGCTTTTTATTCTAGATGGTATAGTATGCACAGGAGTGAGACCTTGACACCAGGAAGGAGGCCAGGCTGAGAATAAAATAGATGCAGAGAACATTGCAGGGGTAAGAACCCCACAGAAAACAGACAGAACTTCGATCCAACCATGCATGAAACTTACTCCACCACTTCATTTTTTTCAATCATACAATACAATAATTTTCTGTATTGGGTAGGCCATCTTCAGTTGGGTTTTCTTTTACTTGCATCTGAAAGCATCATATGCAGTATGGCTGTTGTATTTATTTAATAGTCTCCATTTCAAAATCCACCTATAGGAAAAGTTACAGGAAAATACATCCTTGGAGAGGGATAAACTCTACCAAAAAGAAGCACTTAATGCTTTTTTTAGTGACTACTGTTATTTAGGGGATTTTTTTTCTCTCCTCCTGCTTGCCTTATGAAAAGAATTGCTAAGTGAGGAGCCTGGATGACTTGTTCTGATTTTTGTCCTCCTGATTACTCACCATCACCAAGACTTTCTATGCAACCAGACACTAATCTTGAGTTTATTTTTATCTACTATTGTACCATCAACCTTTCAGGCATTTCCCAGAAAACATCATTTCAAAGACTCAGTGACCTAACTCGCCAGCCATCATTGACTCTCTAGACCCATAATCAGCAATCGTTTGGGGAATCCAAGGGTGTACTCACTGCTTGGTGAGGAGGAGCTGTTAGGATTCACAGTGGGGAAAGAAGAGGAATAAATGGTAACTGTATATTCATTGGAACCTGATTACATTTGGGGAATACTGGCTGTCCTCTCCCAACCACCTCAGCTATTTTGAATGACAAACACTGATCTCTTAGCTGGAATGGTTAATGCTTAGTCAAATACTTCTGATCTAAAGCTTGGAGTCTGATTCACATCAACATAAAAATATTCCTGATGGAGGGAGTTGTTAAATGGGTAAAGAGTTTCGGTTTTGCAAAATGAAAGAAGCTCTGGATGTTAGTTACACAACAATACAACCAATACTTAACAATACTGCACTGTAAACTTAAAACTTATTTAGCTGGTACATTTTATGTGATGTATATTTGACTACTATATATATTGATATGTATATAGATGTAGATATAGATACTACTGAAAGGGGAGGGGAATTAAATTTTATTGTTGCCCAGTAAGGTTTACACTTTAGATAGTAATAATATCTAACACATATAGAAGTAGTTATAATATGCCAGTTACTATTTCTTAAGTGTTTTTCACTTATTTGATTTACCCTTCATAACAAACCTGAGGGAGATATTACCATTATTATTACTCTTATTATATTTCCAATTCACTGATAAGGTAGCAGAGCCATGGAGAGGTTGTTAAACTAGCCCAGGGTCATCTGGGCTGAGCTGAGATAAAGGCTTATTCAATTTCTCCCCAAAGTTCATACTCTTCCCAAGAAGCTCTGTTGCCTCTCTCTAGTTTGTGATCAGGAACCATTACACACATTTTACAGAAGCAGAAACTGAAGCTCAGAATTTAAAAAGTGGCCCAAGATTATGAAACTAGCAAGTGCAGAGTCCCGACACATATTTAGCAAGTACAGAGTCCAGACACATATTTAGCCTCTCTAGTTCCAATGCCTTAGTCAAGAGCACAATCTAGAGAATGTTCTAAGGCAAGAATCTCAATCTTAAAAATTATTGAGGATGCTACATCGCACTTATTCTACAATTGACCACATAATTGGACGTAAAACACTCCTCAGCAAATGCAAAAGAACAGAAATCACATCAAACTGTCTCTCAGACCACAGTGTAATCAAATTAGAATCCAGGGTTAAGAATCTCACTCAAAACTGCACAACTACATGGAAACTGAACAAAGTGCTCCTAAATGACTACTGGGTAAATAATGAAATGAAGGCAGAAGTAAAGATGTTATTTGAAACCAATGAGAACAAAGACACAATGTACCAGAATTTCTGGGACACATTTAAAGCTGGGTGTAGAGGGAAATCTATAGCACTAAATGCCCACAAGAGAAAGCAGGAAAGATCTAAAATCAACACCCTAACATCACAACTAAAAAAACTAGAGAAGCAAGAGCAAACAAATTCAAAAGCTAACAGAAGATAAGAAATAACTAAGATCAGAGCAGAACTGAAGGAGATAGAGACACGAAAAACCATTCAAAAAATCAATGAATCCCAGGAGTTGGTTTGTTGAAAAGATCAACAAAATAGACTGCTAGCAAGACTAATAAAGAAGAAAAGCGAGGAGAATCAAATAGACACAATAAAAGATGATAAAGGGGATATCACCACTGACCCCACAGAAATACAAACTACCATCAGAAAATGTTATAAACACCTCTACGCAAATAAACTAGAAAATCTAGAATAAATGGATAAATTCCTGGACATACACACCCTCCCAAGACAAAACCAGGAATAGGTTGAATCTCTGAATAGACCAATAACAGATTCTGAAATTGAGGCAATAATTAATAGCCTACCAACCAAAAAAAGTCCAGGACCAGACGGATTCACAGTCAAATTCTGCCAGAGGTACAAAGAGGAACTGGTACCATTCCTTCTGAAACTATTCTGATCAATAGAAAAAGAAGGAACCCTCCCTAACTCAGTTTATGAGGCCAGCATCATCCTGATACCAAACCTGGCGGAGACACAACAAAAAAAAAAAGAGAGAGAGAGAATTTTAGGCCAATATCCGTGATGAACATCGATGCGAAATCCTCAATAAAATACTGGCAAACCGAATCCAGCAGCACATCAAAAAGCTTATCCACCACCATCAAGTTGGCTTCCTCTCTGGGATGCAAGGCTGGTTCACCATATGCAAATCAATAAACGTAATCCATCACATAAACAGAACCAACGACAAAAACCACATGATTATCTCAATAGATGCAGAAAAGGCCTTTGATAAAATTAAACAGCCTTTCATACTAAAAACTCTCAATAAACTAGGTATCAATGGAACGTATCTCAACATAATAAGAGCTATTTATGACAAAACCACAGCCAATATCATATTGAATGGGCAAAAACTGGAAGCATTCTCTTTGAAAACTGGCACAAGACAAGGATGCCCTCTCTTACCACTCCTGTCCAACATAGTATTGGAAGTTCTGGCCAGGGCAATCAGGCAAGAGAAGGCAATAAAGGGTATTCAAATAGGAAGAGAGGAAGTCAAATTGTTTCTGTTTGCAGATAACATGATTATATATTTAGAAAACCCCATCATCTGAGCCCCAAATCTCCTTAAGCTGATAAGCAACTTCAGCAAAGTCTCAGGATACAAAATCAATGTACAAAAATCACAGGCATTCCTATACACCAATAATAGACAGAAAGCCAAATCATGAGTGAACTCCCATTCACAATTGCTACTAAGAGAATAAAATACCTAGGAATAAAACTTACAAGGGATGTGAATGACCTCTTCAAGGAGAACTACAAACCACTGCTCAAGTAAATAACAGAGGACACAAACAGATGGAAAAACATTCCTTGCTCATGGATAGGAAGAATCAATATCGTGAAAATGGCCTTACTGCCCAAAGTAATTTATAGATTCAATGCTATCCCCATCAAGCTACCACTGACTTTCTTCACAGAATTGGAAAAAACTACTTCAAACTTCATATGGAACCAAAAAAGAGCCCGCATTGCCAAGACAATCCTGGGCAAGAAGAACAAAGCTGGAGGCATCATGCTACCTGGCTTCAAACTTTACAACAAGGCCACAGTAACCAAAACAGCCATGGTACTGGTACCAAAACAGATATATAGACCAAAGGAACAGAATGGAGGTCTCAGAAATAACACCACACATCTACCACCATCTGATCTTTGACAAACCTGACACACACAAGCAATGGGGAAAAGATTCCCTATGTAATAAATGGTGTTGGGAGAACCAGCTAGCCATATGCAGATAACTGAAACTGGACCCCTTCCTTACACCTTATACAAAAATCAACTCAAGATGGATCAAAGACTTAAATGTAAGACCTAGGACCATAAAAATCCTGGAAGAAAACCTAGGCAATACCATTCAGGACATAGGCATGGGCAAAGACTTCATGTCTAAAACACCAAAAGCAATGGCAACAAAAGCCAAAATTGACAAATGGGATCTAATTAAACTAAAGAGCTTCTGCACAGCAAAAGAAACTATCATCAGAGTAAATAGGCAACCTACAGAATGGAAGAAAATTTTTGCAATCTATCCATATGACAAAGGGCTAATATCCAGAATCTACAAAGAACTTAAACAAATTTACAAGAAAAAAGCAAACAACCCCATCATAAAATGGGCAAAGGATATGAACAAACACTTCTCAAAAGAAGATATTTATGCAGCCAAGAGACATATGAAAAAATGCTCATCCTCACTGGTCATTAGATAAATGCAAATCAAAACCACAATGAGATGCCATCTCACGGCAGTTAGAATGGCGATCATTGAAAAGTCAGGAAACAACAGATGCTGGAGAGGTTGTGGAGAAATAGGAACCCTTTTACACTGTTGGTGGGAGTGTAAATTAGTTCAACCATTGTGGAAGAATGTGTGGCGATTCCTCAAGTATCTAGAACTTGAAATACCATTTGACCCAGCAATCCCATTACTGGGTACATACCCAAAGGATTATAAATAATTCTACAATAAAGACACATGCACACGTATGTTTATGGCGGCACTATTCAAAATAGCAAAGACTTGGAACCAACCCAAATGTCCATCAGTGATAGACTGGATTAAGAAAATGTGGCACATATACACCATGGAATACTATGCAGCCATAAAAAAGTATGAGTTCATGTCCTTTGCAGGGACATGGATGAAGCTGGAAACCATCATTCTCAGCAAACTATCACAAGATCAGAAAACCAAACACTGCATGTTCTCACTCGTAAGTGGGAGTTGAACAATGAGAACACATGAACACAGGGAGGGGAACATCACACACCGAGGCCTCTGGGGGTGGGGGGCTAGGGGAGGGATAACATTAGGAGAAATACCTAATGTAGGTGATGGCTGCCGCAAACCACCATGGCACGTGTATACCTATGTAACAAAACTGCACGTTCTGCACATGTAACCCAGAACTTAAAGTATAATAAAAAATTTATTGAGGATGCTAAATGTTGTTTGCTTGGTTATATCTATTTATATTTATGGCATGGATTAGTGCTGTTCTATAGAAGTTTCTGTGAGAATAGAAGTATTCTGTGTCTGCACTGTCCAATATGACAGCCACTAGCCACATATGGCTATTGAACAATTGAAATGTGGCTGATGTGGTTGAGGAAATAACATTTTTCATTTTGTTTCATATTAATTAATTCACACGTGAATAACCAGATAAGATAGGTAGAGCTATAAAACCAAATGCATTTTTTTTTTGAGAGGGAGTCTCGTTCTTGTCGCCCAGGCTGGAGTGCAGTGGCATGATCTTGGCTCACTGCACCCTCTGCCTCCAGCATTCAAGTGATGTTCCTGCCTCAGCTTATGGAGAGCTGAGATTACAGGCGCCCACCACCACGCCCAGATTTTTTTTTTTTTTTGTATTTTTAGTAGAGATGGAGTTTCACTGTGTTGAAACCCCTAACCTCAGATGATCCACCCGCCTCCCAAAGTGCTAGGATTACAGGCGTGAGCCACTGTGCAGGCCCCAAAACACATTTCTAAAATGCATTTTTATTGTGGTAAAATACAAAACCAAAACATTTGTAAAACACTGCAATATGCACACGCATTCCCTAAGCCATCAGAGCCCTGACATCACCACACCGAATGTGGCCTCCGGAACACTCCATTGTACACTTGTTAAAAAGTCAACAACCTTTTATTATGAAAATAGTTTTGACCTCAGGGACCCTCTGAAAGGACCCTTAAGGAACTGGGGACCACACTTTGAGTCCAGGACCAACAAGGGGAGCTCAGCTCCTCCATGCCCAGGAAGGACAACTGGTCACCCTATTCTGGGACTGCTGCCTCCCACTTTGAGGGGCTTTCCACTTTCCCTGCCCCACCTCCGCCCCCGCCCTGGTAGTTTGTAGTCTTGTTAACAGACCAAAGGCCTTTGACGTGCTGGGTCCTGCGAGAGGCCGAGGACCCACTCTCCAACGCAGCGGACCTGAAGGAAGAAGGGCAGCCACAGCAAGCTCGGCTTGCTGCGGGAGGAATTTCCCTCTGAGGTTCCAAGCCCCCAAGGCAGGCAGATCAAACCAAAAAGTAGAAAGAAACGCGCAAAGTGAAATTCAAGATGCTGGAAAAGATGGAAAGGCCTCTTCTCCCTGGAGTCTCCCGCTTCTCCCCTCCTTCCGGCAGGCAGGAAAGAGGAGGCCATCGGAGGCGGAGAAGAGAAGGCTCCGCAGGGTCTTCTGGGGCAACTCAATCAAAGAAATTATTTTCCCACAGACGAAGCCAAGAATATCTTAATGGCTTTTTCCTGATTGAGGGATAAATCTTCTATTAATTTATGGCTCAGACCCAAAGCAGTTGTGTCAACTCCACCCGCCCTCTAAAACAATGTGAGAAATGCTTCAAAATTCCACTTATTTTGATGATTTCCCTCTTCCCGTTCCTATTTCTTCTTCTTTTTTCACTCTGTGCTTTCATAGTCCATCCTGATCCTTTTCATCCTACCTCTTCTATTTTCAAATCAATCGCCAACTCCTCAATGCCACGTCCCTACCCCAGGGAAAAGTCTCTGGACGTTCCCAGTTAGAGGGGCTAAAACCTTCTGAAGTGCGACTCCCCTGCACCCCCATGCAGGGTAAAGACCGCGAGAAGAGCTGGATGGCGTCGGAGAGAAGCTGCACCCGCGCTAGCGCCTCACCGCTTACCCTGGCAGCCCTGAGCGACTGGGTGCTGAGACCCAGTGCGACAGTAAATCAAAAGACAGCAGACGGCGAGAAGCCAGTGTCACAGCGACTCACAGTCACTACTGCCCAGCGCAATTATCACGCCCTGGGGGTAATTGCTAAATGGCCCGTGTTTATGGACTCGGCCACCTCGCTCGGCTGATCCCTACAGCCAGCTACTCCCGGCGCCGGAGCAGGGGCGCGCTCCCCCTCGGGAGAAGGTCTGCGAGTGGGTAAACTGACCCGAGGTTCTTTGGGAATTCTGCCCACTGTCGCCTGCGGGACGCCTGATGCTCGAGTCAGTGTGCTACAGATGATTTAGGTAATCTAGGCCGTGCAGAGAAGATGCGAGTTATTCCCAAATCCACTTGCTAACTGCATGTCCTTAGGCAAGTTAATTTAACTCTCTTACCACAGTTTACTTATCTGTAAAACGGGGATAATGTAAGTAATGACCTAACTGGGATTTGGTAAAAGGCAAATGAGCTAATACATATAAAGGTTGTGAAAACAGTGCCTGGTATATGGGCACAACGATTACTAAGAACAGATTGAAAAGTCGTGACTGGTGTTAAAAATTAAGCTGTTATGCAGCTACACTCCGTGACACCTGTTCTGGTGACAACGTGAGTAAAGGGACCTACGTAGCCCTGACCGCCCAGCTTAACTTACAGCTCCTTTGTGTGGGTGTAGCCCAGGCGGGGAAAACAGCGTGGACATGCTTCGTGCTAACACTACCACTACCGGAATGAAGTGCGAGCAGCTAGACCTCTGGCCTCCACCCGAAATGGGCCTCCTGCCTCCGGACTGACTCCCGAGCCATCTTCTCGCTTCCTCTGGCACCGAAGGCCCACAGGGTCCAGCTTTTTAATGGGCCCTTTATCTGCTACAGACCGCCTCGACGAACCGGAATCAAATCTGGGCCCTTGCAAGGACGGAGGCCGAAGTCTAGATCCCGAAGTAAGCCCAGTAGGAAGCGGCGCGGTCCAGACACCCGGGGACCGGTGACCTGTCTGCACTCCCGGCCACGCGGCGCGTCGCTGGGCTGGAATCCCACCTTGCATCCACCGCGCGGGATTCCAAACAGCCAGTATAAACTATCCTCTTACCCCACCACAACAGGGAAGATGGCGGGACCCAGGCTTCCGTGCAAGTTTCCAGAATTATACCTGAGGGTCCGGGCGGCAAGGCCTGCATCCACCTCTCGCCCGGACTTTCGTTTACAGCCGCGCCCTCTAAGGGAAGGTTTATGACCACAGCGCTGCAGAACAGAGTCGGGTGGGCACTATACATGGCCGTGGCGCCTGCGGCCCCAGCTCGCGGCCTGGGGCGCGCTCGCAGGGCCCCATCCTTCTGGTGCGCGGGGCTCTGGAGCCAGAAAGTGTACACAGACCATAAATTTTCCGCCCTGCTCGGCGCAGCTCTCCGAGGTCAGGGGCCGGCCGCCCGCCTCCAACCGCCTCTGCGCGCCTACCCCTTAACTTGCGTCCGGGTAACTGCCGCCGACAGCAAAACGTAGCTGGTGCCCGCTGCAGCGCCTAGCCAGACTGCAACGCCGCCTCATCACTGTTACAGCACCCTAGTAGCGTTGGGACTCGGGGAGCAGCCTGCGGCTCCCCACCGCTGCCTACGAGGCAGGAGTTAGGGAATGGAGTAAAGAGGGAAGAAGGCGAGGCCTGGGGGAGGCCAGGTGAGAATGGAAAGCGAAAGGGATGACTAGGAGCAGGGAGGAAGACGCTTCTGTGGCTTCTGGACCCATTTATGTCTTTCTATCCTGAGGTTTGGGGTGGGAGGTACACAGTAAGTGCACGTGGCGACCGACGTTCGCTTAAAGATGTTTTTGCACTTGGGCCCTCTCTTCCTTCGGCTGTGAACCTTGCATACCGTACAGGGCATACCATACAGGGCATACCATGAATGCGCTTTCCCTGGGGATGCAGCGAGATGACTTTTAATAGATTTCTCTATGGTTGGGTATACACTAACATTGTAAGGTGAATATTTGAAATAATGATCAGAATAATTCGTCAAAAAGAACAAATCATTTCTTTGAACTTTTTTTCTCCTTGACTGTAGAAAATCGCCGCAGACCACAAGTTCGGAGATTGGAGTAAGAAAGGCAGATTTCTGTCAGAGGCTCGGCCACGCCCCTTACCCGCCAAGTACCTTGATCAAATTACCCAACCCCTCTGCTTCTCAAAATGGCCATCTGTAAGAGAGGAAGAATATCTTCTGCCCTGAGTTGCTGTGATGGTTACATGAGATATAAGACTTTCACCTCTTGTTCAAAGAGTGGAAAAGACTTGTGTCTCTTTCCTCCGTTCTTTACTTGCACGCACCCATAGGTGATTTCAAACGAGTATAGACACTCTCTCCAGCCAGAATGAACTCGCAGTGTCATCGTAGTAATAGTTTAATAACAATCTCCACTTACTGAGCGCCTTCTGTTTGCCAGAACTCTGTCTGTGACTGTGCCCTGTATCAGATATGCGCCCCTAACCTAAAAACTGCCTCTGGGTTGCTGAACAAACTGACAAGAAGAAAGTGGGAAGGCGTAGTTGGAGAGCTAGCTGGAGAGAACACAGGGAGGTGGGATGGTCTCCTCACCACCATTCCTCCGCGATGAGGAAAGCAAAAGAGAAATAAGAGGAAAGAGGTGGGAAAGAAAGTTTTCGATTTTGCTAAAACTTTTAGCTTGGAGGGCACATGTCAGAGCACCTTTGGATCGTTTCAGCTGGAGACCCTTGACGGTCCCTAACCCAGAACCGGTCCAGCATATAGTAGAGGCTCAAATGATGTGCACATCTGTAGATGAGTAACATCGAGGCTGTGAGTGGCCCTTCTGTCCCCAGCATGTCTCCCTTGGCTCTGAGCAATGCTTTTGAGGAGGATGGCACTTTTGTGGGCTTTAAAAAAAAATTATGCAGATCTATTCTAATTTTTAAAAATCTCTTCCTTTCATTACATTTTAGCTAATAGGCTGTCCTCCATCACCTCTGGAGCTGCCTGGCAGCCCTGTCATCCCTTGTCTCAGGTCACACACTCTGTCCTCCATGTCCTCCACGGTGGTCATCTGGAACCAAGCCAGGGGAGTCCCGTTCCTCTTAAAATTCTGAACGGAATCTTGAACAGTACCAGGACGAAAGGAAGCCCAGGGCTCAATGAGCAAAGAGGAAAAAATGAAAAGTGAGAAATGGTGAGGACATACAAAGCAAGGGAGAGTGAAGACCAATGGATATGGGAAAATTCAAATTACAGGTGACATTCCATTTAAAAATTGTGTGTCACACAGCAAGTCTTTAGTTTGACTCTTTCTTTATAGCTTTTCACCCCCATTTTTTTCAGCTACAAAACTGTGCTCTTGGCCTGGAAGAGTAGTCAGCACAGGCTGCAGGGTCCCTGATGGAGGCAAGAAAAAGGAGACCTGGCTTAGATCGCTGAAGCTGACCCAAAGTGGCCTCAAAGAGTCATCTCCTGGGCGCTCCCGACCGGCAACCGACTGACGTAGCGATCAGCTTGGGGGAGGTGGGGGCCAAGGGGCCCGCGCTGACCGTGAACTGAATGAATATTCGGCGGGCAGGTTGGGGATCCGAGACCACGGAAGACCCAGGACCTTCCTATGCTACACCCAAAGCCATTGAGAACGGGGCGAGACCCTGTGACCCCCGAAGGTAGGAGGCCTTGGAGCGAGATCTGAGCCCCAGACCACGAGAGCCTGGCTGCGTAGAGTCTCAGGGACACCTCTTTGGAGGCGTGCGCGGCCCGCATTTCAGCAGGTAGTGAAATTCAACAGTGGCCGGATTGTGATGACGGATGCAAGTCGGGACTGCCAGATAGGGGATCCTATTCGCTCATTAGTTCATTCTTTTGATCTTTCGTTCACTTGCTCATTTCTTGAGCTTCTACCACGTGCTGGGTGCACTCGTCACGCGGATTCTGAGAAACAAAAATAAACAGCCCCGACAAATTAAAACGAGGCTAAAATTTGCAGACTGGGAAATCTCTGGTCGAGGACAGTGGGGATTGAGGGTGGCTAGGGAATTCCGCAGAACAGGCACTTTTGCTCCGCAGAGAGAGGCGGCGGGGTGCAGACGCACTAAGACCAACTCGCCTAGCGTTCTTACCCGCTCTGCGGTGCTCTTCCGTGTTCCAAGAGAGGCTCGGGCAGATCTTAGCGCTCCGCACCCCCGCATAAGTGAGGGACTGGAGAAAGCACAGAAAGCTTTGGACTTCTGTCCTGGTTCTTGACGTTGACCACTAGGGAAGTGACCTTGAGTGAGTCATTCAACCTCCCTACCAGTTGGTTTCCACCTACAACGATGCCCAAATGGTACGCAGACCAGAGTTTCGGCCGCCTGCATCGAGTCCTGCTTGTGAACGCGTTCTCTTGCCTCTCTGTGATGACCTTAGCATCGGGGATCCTAATGGGTCCTCGACCAGATGATTCGCAGCTCCAGGTCCACTCCCGGGGTTACTACCTGGTACTTCTGGGTCGTGTTGCACAGCCTCCTACTGTGTTTATAATGCTACCTACCCTGCGATGCTATAAATAACCACAAGGGCCACAATAATTATACTTGTCGTTCATTCAGTAAACACTTTTGGGGGTGCATTTCCTGTGCCAAGCACTGAGCTAGGTGCTAGAGCTTCTCCAACCATGCAGCAGAGTCCAGCCCTGCTCTCAAGAAGCCGAGGGTGCCTTTTTCCTCGAAGGAATCGTTAATCTCCTGTTTCCGTTTCGAGGGCCCTCCCTCATTGTGATTAGTTAAAAACTTAATAAAACTCCCCAAGTGCTATTTGTCCCAACATAATCTCAACAGCTGGAACATAATTTTCCCTTCTGTGCCCCTGGACACTTGCTTAAGCTTCAGAAAACTAAGTATCAGAAAACTAACTTCTTCCTTTCTAACTCCCATGAGTAAGTCCCCACCACACCCACAAGCATTGTATGGCCTGCCTGCTGTGAAATTTGCAGACTGAGGTGCTCCTGTGCATAGTGCCAGGAGCATCAAGATGAAGAAGGCCTTCCAAATGCAGCAACCCCTGACCTAGCCAGGCAGCACATCCTAACTCTCTGGGCTACTCCTTAAAGGATTTCCTGGTGACAAGGCATCCTCATTTTCATCTAATGATATAATTTCTTGGAGAGTAAAGGTTGTCTTGCATTCTTTTTTTCTCTATGGTGCAAACACTCACAAGGATCCCCATAAATACTGCAATGAAAAAAATGAATGGATGAAGGAATGCAGTAACATCGAAGCCTATAGCATTAATTGTATACCAGCCACTGTTCTCATTTTGGCTTTTTTTTTTTAACTGTCATGAAGTCTTACACCAATTTATGAGTTACATACCTTTGATTATATCCCATTTCACCGAGAAAACAAACCAAGTGATTAGATGAATTTTCCAAGGTCATGTAGCTAGTTATTGGTGGGTGAGGGAATGAATGAATGAATGCCTCTGGGGTTAGTTCAGACCTCCTATGCTGGGCTGGGATCAGGCCCGCTTTTTCCTGCACACTCCTCCTGCCGGTCTCCTCGAATAACCCCCCCAACCCAGAGAGTCGTTGAGGGTCTCCAGAGAGGCAAGTTCGGAGCGCATGTCAGGCGATGCTGCCGCTGCCACTTCCAAGGTCTCTTTCTGGTTCCTCGTGTGTTGCGCAGGGTGGACTGTGCTAGAGGTGAGGCTTACTATCTGCCATGGCTTCAGCTGAATCTGAGGCTAGAGGAAGAAACAAGGATCCAGCGCAGGGGCTGCCACGCAGGCATGATTGGGCCTCGATCTCCACATTCTGCCCAGAATCCTAAGTGTCAGCAATGATCAATGGAAGTCAAAAAGCACCATGGATGTCGCTTCCTTTCGTGAGCACAGTGTGGCTGGGATCCTACACACTATTAGCAAAGCTAACATTGCTATTAGGTCAGTGCAGGGTGGAGAGCAGGGTATCAACCCAATGGAGTCCCAGACCTGCGACTCCCAGACCCCTCAGGAACCACCAAGGGGAAAGAGAAGGAGCTAATGGGAGCCCAACATCCCAGGCAGTGGTTGAACCTCATGCTCTTTTTGAAAACCTATTGAGCTTTGATAATTTGGATCAGAATCTGGTTGCTCAGGAGTGTCTGGCACCAGCTTTCATGTTCCTGTGTACTGCAGGAGGCCCTGACACAAGGCCCATCCTGGTCCTTGCACTCACTCTCCAGGGCACCTTGGGCAAGTATTCTCACATCTCTCAGCCTCTGTTACTTCAACCCAAAAACGAGGAAGTTGGGAACAATCATAACTGTGGAGACTTCTATTCCTGATTTCTAAAATGACAGGGGGCAGAGACAGGGAAGGGATTAAAGGGCCAGGGGTTCTCTAAGCTCACCTGTCCTCAGGGCCCAGGGATCCTCGTGGAGGCTGCTGCTCTGTTAGAACCTGAGTTGAAGGGAATCTTAGAAAGTGCTCCCCACCCTGTGTAAGCAGTCTGGATTCCCCAAGAGTGGCTGGCAGAGGGTAGGCACTGTGGGTTGTAATATCCCAGTGTGTGAAGGGAAGCTTCAGAGAAAGCCAACTAGTTTGTCTTTGGGACGCCAGCCAATCTCATCATGACCTCAAAAATGGAGGCTGTGAGCTAGATGAGTGCATGAGTTAAATCAAAATTTCGGATTTTAAAAAATCTTCCCTAGCCCAAATACCTGTAGTTAAAATCCTCCTTAAAACTCGCATCTTCACAAATACATTGGAGTGTGCAATCAGTCCTTTCCAACTCACAAGGCTAAAGAAGGAGAATGTGATGTCCCAGCATGTTTAGGGTCCTCTTGGTCATCTTTAAAGCGGTGTCACTACATCACGTGGGGGAGGGCTGAGCTTGCCTACTTTTTCTTCTTAAGGGAGGAAGAAGCCGGAGAGGGGACTAGGATGCCTGAAAACGATGGGAGACTGCATCAACCTCAGCCTCTGACTTCTCTTCCCCCGTTTCGTGCTCCATCCAGCCCACTGAGAGTCTCAGGTAGGCGTGGGCTTGAGCAGAGGTGGGTTCAGATCTGTGGAAACAGATTAAAGCTCAACAGGTTAAAGCTCAACAGATCAAGTCAAGTCCAGGTGCCCGCAGAAAATCCACTGCTACAAGCCCTGGTTTCTACCACACCCCTCTCCTGACTCCGAAGCTTTCGTTGGCGGTTGCCTTCCCAGACAGGAGAACCCAGGTTTCACTCTCCTGTTTCTTCGGCTTCTGACACCTTGAAAAGAAGCCTAGGCGCTCTTACTGTGCCTGCCCTGCGCTGGCCACAACCTAGTTCATCCCCTGCCAACATCAAACTCCAGATCCTGGGTAGAGAGGGCAGCCAGAGAAAAGATCCCAGAGTGACTGGAGTTCCTTTATGGTTGCCTCTGAGGTGCAAAGGATGTCAGAGGGATTTGTGGCAAGCAGAGTCTGAGCCCGCCTACAATCCACACGACTCTTTGCAGGGAGTAGAGGGAGAGAAGCGGGAAATCTCCCTGGCTGGTATAATGACCTGAGCCTCCCTTGGAAGCAGGACCTCGCCTGGACCTGCCCCGGGGGCTGACGACTTTGGCCTCGGGCGGGGGGGTGGGCACAGGAAGGCGAGGGAGACACACTGCTCGCAAGGATGTCTATGCCCACTCTCGACTGAAGCGGGCAAAAGGGAGAGAAACGCGGCGCCAGCCTTCAGTGGTTTAGTCCGCGGAACTTGGCGCTAGGCAAATTCTCTGTGGAAACAAGCGCCCTACCCACCCACACAGGCTGAATAAGGCGGCAGAGGCTCCTCTCTGCTTTGCCATATGGAGGAGAATGGGGAAATTTATTAGCGTGGTTTTACCCGCAAAGTGCTGAAATAGCCAGTATACTGCCTGTCTCTCGTGTGTCTATATGAATCTGCAGGTCTGTGTGCGTCCACGTTGGAGGGGATGGGTGATGGGTATTGAGTCCCTACCCCCGCCCCAAAGGAAACGCACCGTGGTCACCATCCCTCTGTGAGCCTCTGTGCACCTTGGTAGCCTTTTTCGGAGGGCTCCGCGCAGCGGGGACTTCAGCGGGCTAGGCAAAGCTTTGCTCAAAGAGCAATCGCTGGCTGGAGTCTCGGGTTGTGTGCAGGAGGGGCGGGGGCCGCGGCTCTGTTCTGCTCTGCTCTGCTCTGCTCCGGGGCCCGCGCGCTCTCCTGCTCCAAGCCTCAACCCTGAGCGGTTCTAGCGCCCCGCACGGTCCGCGCTGGGCCTTCTCTTCCGGGTCTGAAAACTCTAGGTCTTGGTTGAAGAATTTCGAGCTGCTTGGCCGCCTTTGCTAGCATTTTGCGCTGCCAAGAAGACCCCAGTACCCGGGGTCGAGAGAGCAGCCCTGGGATGGGACTATCCGGCCAAATTTTAGCCTTTCCTCCTGGCCACCTGTGGCTACCCTTCTTCCAGATGAACTGTAACTTTTCCGGGGCTTGTGATATTCCGATTCTGATGAAATGTGGAAGAACTCCACTGCTAGGGTAAAGCCCCGCAAGAACTTCAGGTGATAACTGACTAGGAACTGGGGGTGGGGGTGGCGGAAGCAGGGGCGCCTCCTGCGAGCACTAGGGTGGTATTCGTCCTTCTGACTCCCGCCCTCAGGCGCTCACCCCCCCGGCTCACTTCATCCCTGAGCCCCCCAGCTCTGCCGTGCCCCCTGGCCTGGCGAAAGGTGGCCTAAATAAGGCAGAATTCTACCTGAAATCACATCATGACATTCCCCGATGATGATTTTCTTCACGTTCAAAGCCCCGGGGCCAGGGCGTGGACCTACGGTCTGGGTTTGGCGGTAGCGGAAACCTCCAGGGCCAGGTGAGGAGCAGGGGAAAGTGCGGTTTGTATAAAGCATCCTCCCCACCTTTCTTCCCTAGACTCCGCTCCTCAGCTAAGTGTGCGTGCCGACGCGTTATTCTCCTTAACGCCAGAGCTGGATTGAAGCACCTCAAAATTCGATGTGCTTGGGATATCCTGCTTCCAGAATTTCGATATGTGGGGTCAGGGGAAATTGATATCGATAATGCAGACAAAACTGAGGTACAGAGGGAATCCTGAAGTTTGGCAGCAGAGCCTACAGAAGGCTTGAAGAACTATCCCAGCCCTGGCCCGCACCCAGGCCAGGTGGGGAGGCTGCCCTGGCCTGGAAACTCTTGTGACACAATTAGGGATAACAGCTAGTTCATGTTCCTATTGAAGATGGGGTCCCTTGTGGTATGCTCTTTCTTTTCTCTTGACTAAATTGTACATCTCTGATCATTCTGCCCCTACTCCATTCTCACTGCTCTTGAATCATCTCGATTTGGGGACTTAGGGGGTTGGCTGGGTCAGGAAATGATCATCTTTGCATCCATGTGTTGGCTTTGGGACTTGTTATCTGTATCTTGTATCTGGCTATGCAAGTGTAAGAAGGCTCAATCTGCTGCCTCTACTTCACCCCTGGATGGAAAAGTCGAGAACAGAGATCCTGGAATGAGCTCCAGGGGAATGTCTAAAAGTGGAGGAGATAAGCAAGACAGAGGACTGCTGAGAACTTTCCCACTCTGGCCAAGGGACTGAGGTGTGTCCTAGGCTCTCTGACTTCAGCACCTCTCCTCAACTCATTCTGAGAACTGGCCACCCCGCCTGGATGCTGGGTCTGCCAGAGACCTTGTGTCCTTCACTTGCTCAGTGCCGAAGAGATTGGCACTGAGACTGATCAGGATTTCCCAAAGAAATCTATTTGCTATAAAATCCCCCCAAAGAGCTTTTAGCAACTCCAGACATTTCACAGTTACAAGCAGGAGGACAGGTCCTGGAGAGAGGTTTAACTTTTCACCTTTAAAAGAAATAAACAAACAAAAAATCTTTGAATTGCCCATCCTAGTAGCAGTGTCAAGGTTTACTACATATTTTCCAGCTGCAGTGGGATGGGGAAACTGCCTCACGACTCTCAGCAGCTTTGGGGAGAAAGAGCTCATCTAGGCACCTCCAGTGGCCAAATTGCAAAGGAAAATTTTTGCGTGGATGAGGGAATGGAGGATGCAACTTCATAGTTCTATCCGTGGCCACATGTAGGCCAGGAAGTCCAAGTTCTGATCTGGGCTGTGCCTCTGCTTCACCTTGAAGAAGTCACCTCTTTGTTTGGCATGTTTACAACCAGGGCCCTGGCACTCTAAGACCCAAGCTTCCAGCTCTAACCACTGTGTCATGTCTGTCCTTTCCTCAGCAACATTGCAAACCTGTCCTCTACCCCATCCCGGAACAAGGAAAAGTTTGTGCAGGGCTCTGGGCCCGCGCTTCGCGTCCACATAGTGATTACAGCTGTGCCTAGATTGACCCCGCCTGGCATCACTGCCTTCCCCATTCCAACTCTGAGTACTCTAGGAACTCATTTCGTCCATACTGTGAATGGGGAAACCATCTGTTGCACTGGCCTAACAGTTTCTATGGCCTGCTCCACTCTCAGGCTACTCAGGGTCTCAGAGGGCACTTTCAGTGGCAGTTGGCGCTAGAAATCTCTTAATTAGAAGCCTCTAAACCCAGACGCCCATCTCTGATGTCTGTAACAAGATGGCTCTGAGGTTGAGCCACTTCCCCTGAAACTCCAGCCCCACCACCTTCAGCTGCTGCATTCTACAGTGTCCCCGGGACTAAGGTCCGGTTGTAGATCTCTGGCCTTAACAACCCCCAGCAAAGCCAAGCGGCCTTTACAAACCGTAGTAAACATTTTATTTACAAATTTAAGGCGTCCTAAGTGCCTTTGAGCCACGACCTCTGGGGCGAGTCAGAGAAACAGTTTAGTCAAACACCTCACAGTCGAACCAGCCTGCTTCCGGAGAGAAGTGTTCGGCTGGCTAGCAGGACACTGAGACTCCCCTCTGCTTTGGGCAGTGTCCGCTGCAGCCAGTCGGAGCAGCGTGGGGCGAAGCGTGAATGTCGGGAGGTAGGCTCCACGCTGCGTCTCCTGCCCTACCAAGTCGCCAACATACAGTAAGCACAAAACCCAGCCCATGGTTGGGAGGCTGCACGCAAGGCCCGGATCCCCTCCGCCCTAGTACAGTCTATAAGCAGCCAAGCGCGCCTTGGGCTGGCTCGGGGCTTTTGGGAGCGCTGCTGGCTGTGGGCTGTGTTGCAGGGAGAAGCTCCGAGGCGCCGCCGCCGCCAAGGCTGCTGGCGCAACCCGCACTGGTGCTGCTGCTACTAAGACTGCTGGCGCTGCTGAAGCTGAAACTATTGCCGCCGCCGCCGCTGCTCCCACCACTCCCAGCACTGCTGGCGGTAATGAGGGCGCCAGTGACCGGGGCCTTAATAACTGTTGTTTGGTGCAGAGAACGCTCACTCCCCTCAGTCCGCTCCGTGTCGCTGGGGGCCATGTCCAGGGACTCGGAGTCGCTGCTCTCGCTCTCAGCCTCGCCTTCAGAACGGCTGGGGCTCCTCTCGTCCTGCTCGCCATCCGCAGCCGGGGCTCCACCTGATGGCTTCTCGCCAGCCTCCTTGTCCTTGTCCTTTTGGGCCTGGGCCTCCTTGGAGTGCCGCCACTTCATCCGCCGGTTCTGGAACCACACCTTCACCTGCGCCGCGCCACACCGGGAGACAAGAAGAGACACCGAGATGAGACCCAGGTTTGCTCCTATCCGACTCGCGTGCACCCTCAAGCCACCTCCCTGAGTGAAAAAGCAACGCTTACTTGGCGACTCTACCAAGGACCAGACACTGTGGTAGGCGCAGGAGCCAAGGGGCAGCCCAGGGGAACACAAGAAGCCAGGAATCCTGGCCTAGGGAACCCACTAAGACCGTTTTCAAAATGCAACCCTCAGGCCCCAGGACTAAAATGACCTGAGTGACTGTTGGAAAGGCAGATTCCTGCACCCGACCCCCAACATACTCTCTCTCTACTCTAAATCCATGTAATTTTTTTATGCCAGGACCCCCATGAGAATCTGATTAAAGTTATGGACTCCTAGCCCAGAAAAATACACATATGCCCAAGATATTGCTTACAATGTCAAGGGTTTGGTGTGCCAGTGTTAAGAATTCCTGCTCTAAGTTGGCCCTCTCCTCTACTGCCACTACCCAAAGCAATACTTTTTTCAAAAAAGGAAACATGGGAAGCAGAAAGGGAAAGGGGTTTTAAACTGTTAATCACAGTAGGGTGGGGGCATTGTTGGGCTTTCAGTAAGACAGCATTTCTTTGGTGTGTTTGTACGCAAGAGCTGATAAGGACCTTGCCCCTGTTAAGGATAAACAAATTCTCCTGGGGGCTCAGAAAACAATGGAATTAAATGTGTGCAAAATTAAGGAAGGGGATAGAGATGGGGCAGAGAATCTATACAGATATATACGATCCCCTGGGGGACCCAACGCATTCACACAAGTTCCAGCTTCCCTTTTAAAAATAACATCCACAGCTGGTGGAAAACGGCTGGGCTCCTCGTGTGTGTGTGTGTGTGTGTGTGTGTGTGTGTGTGTGTGTGTGTGTGTACTGGGGAGAAGAGTTGTGTAATGGAGGTCAGAAAGAAACAGAGACAGCAATTTGGGGACCAAGGAGCTAAGAAAAAGAAGCCTGCCTCTGGCTTCTGACCTGCTGGGGAAAATCAGCACCCCAGAGCCAGAGCCAGTGCTATGGGGTGCACAAGAGTGACTCTTCCACAGTCAAAGCTCGGGTGGTGGGGGGTGGGGAAGCCCAGTTCTTAAATTTAAGAAAAAGAATAAAATTATTTCAGCCACAATACATTTCCTATTGTCTTGAAAAAATTCAAATAGGCAGAACCTGCTGAAATGCTCTTGGGTATTCTAAGAGAATCATTTTTCTTTCTTTCTTTCCCTCACCTCTCCCCTTCCTTCAGATTTTCTTCAGAGCCTAAGCCTTGTAATGTGTGGCCACTCCAAGCAGACTCCCTGCCCTCCTGGAGCTAACTAATTCCGTTTGAAATTATATTTTCACTTCCTCACAACTGGGGATTTCACAATCCAGCAGAAGCAGCAGGAGGAGGAGGAAGGAGGGAGGGTGAGAGGGAAAAAAACCCAACAACAATCTCTTGCCTTTGGGTTTTTATCTTTTCTGAAATAAACTGCCTCCTACAGCGAATTGCACTACAGTTGAGTGTATCAGTGTTATTTCCAGCGGCCCTTTTGCTTTCTCCGTGGTTCTTTAGCCTGTTGGCCAAAATAAACATGCAGTGCTTGTTGACACACATCTTGGGGATGAGCTCTTCTCTCGGTCCTTCTCCCTCACCCCATCTCCACCCTCCTCTTCTCCTGCCTCAAGTTGCGTAGTCCACAAAGCCTCTTGAAAGTCAAGATCTTGCGTTTGCACCGCAGGAGGCCAGTCGGCCGGGATGGAGGGGACCTACCAGACTAGGCCGTGCGCTGCTGCCCGCCCGAGGGCGCTGTGCGCTGGAGCCAGAACTGCCTTACCTGTGCGTCCGTGAGGCCCAGCATCGCCGCCAGCTGCTTTCGGTCCGGCTTGGTCACGTACTTCTGAATCTCAAACCTTTTCTCCAGGCCTTTCCTCTGCAGGTTGGAGAACACAGCGCGCGACCATGAACGCTTCCTTTTGTACGTCTGCGGCATGGTGTCCTTCGTGAGCACAGCATAGGGACCTGCCGCAGAACGGGAGCCAGAGGGAAGAAAGACAAGAGGGCCGTTCAGTGTCCAGTCCTTGACCTGCCAGCCTGGGGGTCCCCGTAAGGCTTGAAACTGTTTCGTGTTAACTGTCGATTCCACCCTCATTCAGAAAGCCCTTCGCACATACACCGAATGGCCCCTCTAAGGAGGAATTTTACACGACAGTCGGAAGACCTAAAGCGAGCGTGGAGTGGAGAAGCCTGGCGGCTTGTCCTTTAATTCCAAGAGAAAAACATAAACCTCATGCGTGGCCATCAGGCCTACGAAGAGTAGACAAAAATGTCCCTTGGGCCTGAATGATGACAGCCCTGAATTGAATTATCTCGTGTGTGTGTGTGTGTGTGTGTGTGTGTGTGTGTGTGTGTGTGTGTGTGTTTATTCCCGCATGTGTCCAGGCACCCAGACATAAACTCGCCAAGCACAAGTGTTTGAGGTCATCCCAAAATGTGTATATGCTAATAAGCAACATTGATGCTGCATTTTTCAAGCCCTCTGGGGCGAAAAGACTTCGAGAAAGCCCCCCACCCCACCGTCCACGCACACACTTTCTGGGATCTCCAGGCGCCTCTACCCCTTTTCAAGGGGAACCATCCGAAGCGAGCGCTAGCTCGCTGAGAAATCTTTCGGTTTCTCTCTCCTGACTCCGTAGCCTCCCGCCCCAATTGTGAGATTGCGACACCGTGGCAGCCCTGGAGGCGTCAGTCCTGAGATTTCTGACTGTTAGTCGGCTCGCCCGTTAGGCAGTACTCTGGAGTTTTTCCGTACCTGGAAACGTGTCTTGGAACTGATGCTGAACTGAATTTCTTGGGTTCGAGTTTAAGGGACTCAGGATTGCAGAAGCCTCGTTAATGGGATCTAGAGATGCGAAGAACTGGCCGGCCGAGGGCTGCAGGCCTGAGAGGTGCACCCCGGCGGGCCGCCCACCGGTTAGCAGGGAAGTGAGATCTGGGGACAAGGGAAAAGGATAGCAGGTTACATCTCGGGCACACTCACACTCTCCGCTGATTTGTTCCTCCCCTTCCCCTTGCCCTGGATTCACTTTTATTGAGCGAAGTCAAGAGAGAACCCGTCTAGGCGCTGAAACCTCTCTCTCCCAACAGTTGCCAAGGAGCGACGCACGAAAAGTTCCTGTGTGTCCCTCACGTCCATATGCATGTATATAGTAAGTAAAGGCTTTACATAAATCGGCTTACGGCCTCACTTTCACGTGTCTTCCAAGAACGCCACAGACGCAAAACCTCCGCCCCAAGGTGGCCCCACTCTGCCCGCTCATCTAGGCGGTTTTGTTTATTATTTACATTTCCTGGGTGAAATTTTTACTAGAAATCAGATAAGTGCGAAAGTGTTTCCCAAAAATGCTTTAGCTGTCAGAAAATATAATTCTGTCTCTAGATACATTATTAAAGAGATCAAAGTCATGTTAGCAGATAATTACACCAACCACTTTTATAAATATTGATTCTAAGACGTGTTTTTAAAGAATCCCTGGAGTCATTTTTTGTTTGTTTTACATAGAACAGGTGAGTTTTAGACCTAATGTTTTGTAGTTTTCTTACAATTCGTTTTCTTCTCTCCCGTTTTACCGATTTGTCCTTAATTGTAAAAACACTCAAAGGCACCCCAAGCCAGCCCGGGGTCCGGGGAGTGGGTCAGTGGTCAGAGGCCTGCAGCCTCCCGCCCAAGACCTACCTCTCAGCGTGTTGCCTTCTTTGACTTTTGGGTCAAATTCTGCAGATAAAATGCGGTCAATTCCAAATTTGAGGTCTTTGCTGGAGGGGGCCGGGGCAGAGCCACTGTGGTGGGGGTTCGGAACCACTCGCGTCCCCGAGGCCGGGGGCTGCAGGGCGCCAGCCCGGGGCGGAGGCGGAGGCTGTTGCTGCTGCGGCTGTTGCTGCTGCTGTTGTTGTTGCGGGTGATGGTGGTGGTAGGCGGCTGAGAGCGGAGACAGCCGCTGCGGGAAGCCAGCCGGGACTTCGGAGGGCGCCACCACTGGGGTGGGTCGAAGCGGGGATCTGGCCGCCGCTTGGAAAGAGGCGTGCGGGTGAACCGAGCCCAAGTGCGCGGTGAGGGCGGCGGCCGAGGCCCCTGCCAGGCCCTCCGGGGCCGCCCCCAGATCCCCCACGCCGGCGTGCAGAATGTCTGCGATGCAGAAGGAGGGCTTTTTGACGGCGGCGGGGTCCAAGGGGAAGGAGCAGCCGCCTGGGCCGGCCGAGGAGCAGTAAGCGGCCGACCAGAGGCTGAAGTTGGAGGCGTAGAAGGGAGCCAGCCCGGCTGCGAACATCCTGCCGGGGTGAGCCGCGCGGCTGCCGCAGTCCAGCCGGACTGGGTGGGTGGGCGCGCGGGGAGGGGCGCGCGAGTCCCGGAGAAGGCGGCGGCAGCCGAGGACGATCCGCTTTCGCTTCTCCGCCCGCACTGAGGAAGAGAGGCCGGGAGCCCTAGCGCCACCGAGGGAGGAGGCGAGGGCCGGATCTCGGCCGGTCACCGCCTCGCTCCCTGGCCTCGCTTTAAAGGCGGCGCGGCGCCCGCACTCCTCGCGGGCTGGATGAGAGCGAGGGGCGCTGGGGCCGCAGGGCGGGCGGGGGAGCCAGGGAGACGGGAGCCGGACACCGCAAGAAAACCCAAATAGCTAAGCCCTAAGAGCTAAATTTAAAACAACAACAATAATAGTCCGTTAGTTAGGGGGGGGGAAAAGTAATAGAAAAAAAAAAAAACTCGTCTCTAAAAACTCCCAAAGTTTTGGCAGGAGCTTTCGAGTCAGGCCCGGGGTAGGACCTCGATCCGAGCGCTCATTGGTCATCCTCGTGACCAATGGGAGCGGGGAGTGGAGGGGAATTAGGAACAAGGGGGCCTGGCCGGACCCTAGCCACGCCCCGGCCACGCCAAAGTTTTTGCTGCGGCCGCGTGGGCTTAGTAGCGCACATCGCAGTGCTTCTTGCTACTCTGCGTAGGGGCCAGGCAGCCGCTCCGGAGGGCTCTGACTCTCTTCTAACTTCTGCAGCTCCGAACCGCCACGGGGCAAGGAGGGTTGATCACAGGAGCTTTCCTGAAGCGCTTGTCACCCGGGGCGAGTTGGGGGCGTGGGGAAGGGACGGTAATCTCACTCTTTAGGGCTCTGCAAAGCCCGCCTCCCGGTGGAGAGCGGAGCGCGCTTTGGCCCCTTTGCTTCCCTTCTCTTGACCTCATTCTGCTTTTATTCCAGGAGTCCGTGTCCTCGGCAAAGCCCCTCATCTTTCCTGGGCCCTTGCCCAAATGTTGCCGCCCTGAGTCCCGGCCCAACTCAGCACCGCGTCCGCCTCGTGCCTCCCAGGAGATCCTCCGGGAAGCGAGGAGGAGGGGCGGCCGCAAATTGGTTTTATTCTGAGCTGTCACACAGTGACAAATTGAACGAGTGACTTTTCAAACAAAATAAGACGGATGGCTCCAAACGTCTCTCTTAGACGCAGCCAAACCTTTCCCCGGAGCCTCAGAGGCTACAAAACAGGCTGCCTCCCGAAACCCGGGAGAGCGGCACGCGCTTCCATCCTTTGCAGGAGGTTGTAGGAAATGTTAGCCTCACCCCTCCACCACATCTCCGGATCACGTGGGGTTCGTTGTTTTGCAAGTGCCCACAAGAGCAGATTTCCGTGGGGTTCAATACTGCTTTCAATTCTGTGACAGCTTCCCCAGGAACCCCTTGGGCCTGGTTGCAGGAGGAGCTGCGTGGTGGTCAACGTCTTCCATTCGTGCCTTGGGTCTTTAGAACGCAGGGTAGTGGTGGTGGAGGTTTTGTGCAACATCGACATATCTATTTTAAGAATTTCTTCTCTTTAAATTATAGTCAGAATGAATTTCCCCACCCCTCTCCCAAACAAACCACAGGCCACCCAGATGAGCTGTTCTTGCACATTTTCAGGAAGAAAATAAAATAATACGAATAATGAAACCACGAAAACTTTTGTTTTCGATTGCCCTAATAAGCATCTCCTAACAGGGATTCTGTGACATTTTTATTTCCCTTCAGCACGAAGGCTCCTCACCAAATAAACCCAGAAAAGCAAGTGAACTTGCCATGCCTATCTCGAGTTCAGGGTTTGGGCTTATAAAATTAATTTCTGGTGTTTTCTCTAGCCCCTTGATGCAGATGCTATCCTTTTAAGCTTTTGACTTTCTCCTGGAAAATTATCAATCACTTCTGATCAGCCAGCACTAAGATCTCTCCCTCTCCCTCTCTCTCTCCCTCCTCCCGCCCTCCAGCTCTCCCGCTCTCGCTCTCCATCTCTCTTTTACTGAAAGGTTTTCTTCCCCTGCTCCACGCAACCAGGAGAGAGGTGCTATTTCCAGAGATAGATGGGTGTGTTTGGCTGAAGGTAGGGGTACCTGGGGCGAGAGACGTATTAAGACCAGTTTTTCTGTGTCAAGGTGAAGGCAAAGGAGCGACAAGTACAACATGGGCAATTGAGGCGCTGGCTGAGGGTTCTGGTGAGCCTTCGGTGGGAGTGTGCGTAGCGGAGGCCGTGAGCCCTCTGCTTTCTAGTGCCACTTCCAGTTTGATTGCGTTTCTAATTTGACTGCAAACATTTAGACCTCAGCCTAAGCCCAAACTCACGGTTGTGAAAGAGGTGCATTTACTCCTTACCCGAGGCAGCGCCGCGCGCCCTCACCCTCTCTCTTAAGAAATAAGACTCCCCTATCAGCTTTCACCCTTTCCAAGGTTTGCGACGCTCCGGGGTGGGCACGGGATACAGACCCGGGGGAATGCGAGTCCTCAGGGTTCCCTAGGTGCCCACAACTCGCATCTGCCGAGATTCAAGGCCCGGAGCGCTGGGCAGATGCGGCGAAAGCGAGGCCCCGAGGCCCGCCGACTCCTCGCGGCGCCGCGAGCCTCCCTTTCTCCGCCAGGCCCGCGGCTGGAGTGCAAGTTGCAACTTCGCCTGCGCGCCCCTTGCTCTCCCAGGCCTCAGCTTCCTCGCAACCGCGTCGGCGCCATCCAAGGCCTTACTCCCAGCTCCCGGAGGCAAACGCGAAATACAAGTCTTTGGAGCGACCCCCGCCGCCCCCTCTACCCCTTCCCCAGGCCCAAGCCTGGCCCCTGCAGGCCCCTCGCCGAGTTCTGAGCCCGCAGACTCCCGCCCTCCTTACTCCCCACTCTTCAGAACCAAGAAAGCAGCAGGAAACCCTGGGCTCGCCGGAGTTCAGGTCATCTCCTGTTTTTTGATGGGCTCAAACTCGGGACTAAATGAGCGGATGTGCCTGCGAGATTGGTCTCAAAATAGAAGCGGCCTTAGTATTTTAGGATACTGCAGAAATCCTTATTTCTTCCGGAGAAAAACTCTATAATGACTCCTAGCACTTCCCCTTTCAATATTTGTGCAACTTTATCTCCACCGGCAAGTTGCTCGGGTGACGCAAATCCGCCCTTATGTATTACAACTACCAAAATAAATGCACGGAAATCAATTCCCTTCTAGCAATGAAAATATAAATATACAGCTGCGACTTTCCCCTTTAATCTTTGCTTTCCGAGAGGCTCCGGGCTGTGGCGAAATGAACTGGCCCAGAGCTACTGAGCCGGGCAGGGAGGTCCTGGGGGTAGAGGCGAGGGCTCCCCAGGGGCTGGTAGCCATGGGGGTTGAGAATTTAACAGGAAAGAAAAGGGCCTGGCTAAACCGAATTAACTTGAGCTTGGTCTACGCAGCGGAGACCCTAACTGTGGCCTCTTTTCTTTGGAAAATATCGCATTGGCTGGGGTTTCTGATCATGCTGACTGCTGTTTTTAATGCTTTCAACTCATCCCTTCACTTTTCCTAGTTAAACACAGCCAAAGACGATTTCACCATATTGGGAATGGATAAGATCAGAGAAGGTTCGTTTTATAATTTAACAATATAGCTTATGGGGATTTAGGGTTTAAAAGGGTCCTGAATCAGGGGCTTATGCAATGACTGAGGCAAGAGATGGGTTTCACCATCCTTTGGTTCTACCTGTCTTTGGAGCCTCCATATTTAAATCATCAGTGCAGACTTTTGTCCCAAAACCAGAGTCACAGATCCACACTGAGCACAGGTCAATTATAGTGAATGCTGGGCCTTGTATATTACAGGACCATAACTCTTCAAGGACTTGAACTGGCTATATCTGCTATCTGTGTTGCTTTTTCTTGTGCATTCTGGGTAAAATAATGTGCAAGGCAGTTGCTCTGTGGACTTCGGAACCCCTCTCCTCTTAATTTCAAATATTCTTGCAAACATGGTACCTACTGGCTTCAAGAAAAGAGATGTAAATAATTAAATATTTACAATCAGAAAGAAAAAGAAACACAGCTTATCCAGCTACTTGAGAATTCAAGAAATTTGCAGCAACGTAGGAATCTGTGTATATTGTGCCTGTCTTTCTGCCAGCTGGAGACTTATGGATCACTGGTCCCAGCAGTCATACTTAGTGGTGGATATGGGAGTTCTGTTCTTTGTGGGTGCCAGATACTAGAGATTAGGACTCTAATGATCCCCCATAGACACACCCCCTACCCACACACGCATACTTTGGCCTATTCTAAGTAGGACACAACTCTCTTTCCTTGGAGACCTTAGAGTTATTCCAGAATTTCTGAGTTTTTGAGAAGAATTGGACTTTGCTATGGGGTGGGAAAAGCAAATAATGCAATAGGGCTACAAACATCCATAGCTATTTGATTTATTCTTTTTCCTTTTCTCCATTTCCCAGATGTGGCAGATTTGCAGGTGGCCAGCTCTCTATTTGGCTGTGGCCCTGCCCTTGAACTTTATCCATAGGTCTTGCTCCAAAGTTTCAGACAGCCTTTTGGCTCTGATTCCATTTGCCCTTTCCTCTCATAGGGCTTCTCACATATTTCCCTTCCTCACTACTAAGATATACCACTTTACATATATGTACCTCTCTCTCTCTCTCACACACACACACACACACACACACACACTCTCTCTCTCTCTCTCTCTCTCTCTGGGAATCTTAGAAATGTGGAGGGGAGGGGAGGCAGGCAGTTTGGGATTTGCTCCTGTTTCAAAGAGCTGCTTCTCTGCCTCTCCAAGTCATCCTCTCTACATCCAGCCAAGAAAGACCCCAAATCTCATAAAACCTATGGCAGAACCCATTTCAACATGGCACATTATAACAGACTCATATACATTTGCAATGAAATCATAAGAGTAAAATATGAGAGACTATCTGTAGCATATATGAGCTTACATACTTCATTGCACGGGCTTCTATTTAGTAGCTGTAAACAGTGCTCTCCCACTTCCCATACATTAGCCACTCACCTTGGATTTGTTGCCTGAATTATTGAATCTGAATGGCTGGTTGTTAAGGTAGGAGAAGGAGGAGTAGGTGAAAAACATATATCCAAAACAGACAGGGATGAAAGGCATTCCCAAAGCAGTATTTCTCTAAACAAACAAATAAACCTTCTTCCCTGTGAGACAGGTTTTCAAGTTAGAGCACAGGTTCTAGGGCCAGAAGAGGGACTCAGGCCCAGACTAAAAAACAGTCATGGGAAGGGATCTTCTGAAGGGAGAGGATCCTGGAGCCAATGAGAGGGATTTTGCAGATAAAGCCAATGGGTTGTTGTCCCCATCTCAGTGGTCCCAATCTGCCTACCAGCACCCGCCAGAACTGGGACAGCCCTGGATTTAATGACGGAGTCCCCCCAGCCCTGTCCCAGCCCACCAGGCCCGGGCATCTCCCTCCCTGGAGGAGCCCACCTAGTACTGAAAGTTGGTTCTCTGCTGACACCTGCTGGACCATCTCTACATTGTTTTATGGCAGTAACCATCCTGTGCCAGCAACATTGTTATGATGAAAGTTGACTCTTCCTTTTGCAAAAATGCAGGTTTCTAAAACTGGCTTTGACTAGCAGCTGTTTCCTTCCATATTGCAACAATATGGGAAGATCTTGTATTGTGTGCTTAAAATCACTAGACCGGGCAAGGGAAGCAGTCATGGTTCAGGAATAATACTGTGTACATTTTACAGATCTCAAGGTCAATTCACATTTATTATCTCACTTTTTTAAAATAACCAACTGTAGGATGCCGACGAGGGATTATTATCCCATTTGACTTTAGGAAGTTGATCCTCAGAAAGGTTAAGTGGCTTGCCCAAGGTGACGTAGTTGGGAAATGGTGTTGGAGGGAACAGAGGCTAGGTTTTCTGGTTCATCAACCGGTATTATACCATCCAGCCAATTTCTTCAGGGGAAATGGTTTATTCAGAGGAAAAACTCTCTGCCCTTAATCAGAATGTGTATTGATTTCAAACAAGGAGCTGTAGAAAAGAAGTATGTCTAACTCAGACACACTTCCCTGTCCTGAAATTTCTTTCTCTCCTCAGCATTAAATGTGGAGACTTCCTTGCCTCCCAGTATCATGCCACTTGTTAAATTCTAGTTTGGGCATCTACCCAAATGAGGCCCAAATTTGATTTGGGTGGATGCTCTAAATCAGAATTCAACAAGTAGCATGATACTGTGTCCAATTCACATCTGCAAATGAAAATAAATCCCTCAGTTTATATTCAGTTTTGTCTTTGCACTAATAAAAGTAAATCATTTTGACTATTTAAAATATCCAACCAACTAGATGCAGTTTGCCTAGGAAGGCATTTATCTAAACCTTCTCACCCACCCTCCTTGCCCTCCATCATAACATCCCAGTCACCTTTTTCCGTTGCAGCTGGAAAGCAGTCTATTTTGGTTGCCATCAAAGCCCTGACTTCAATCTCTATGACCCTCTGGATCTGAGAATGCCTCTCAGCTTCCAATGCTTCATCGCTCTCTCTAGTATTACCCTCATCTCCCCACCCTACACTTTTTCCCACAGCAGCCATGTGCAATGGAGATTTCCACAGGAAGCATGACATGTGAGGTGCTCAAGAGGCAGGAGCTTAAGAAGCCTGTGAGCAGATTTTAAGAGGTTTCTATGCAGACCCCAGAAGCAGGCATCCTTGACAGCAGGGAGCCTCAAAGCAGACATAGTGTTCCTTGTTATTCTGGTCTGCTGGAAAGTAAGAGGCTTTCAGTTGCTCTCCTCACTCCTTTGCTTCTCTTCCCTCCCCTATAACAAATATGATTTTAGTCATCAAGGTCATATAGAATCTTCTGAAATTTCTTAGAATTTTTCAAACTTACTGCCAACCTCCCTGGTTGAGAATCTCCTTTCTTCATGCCTAGATAGAGAGAAATGGTGAGTTCTAGGGCCATGCACTCTGCTAAGCACTCTACAGACATTATCTCATGTGATTCTAACTTTTTTTATTCTTTATTTTTAGAGATGGGGTCTCACTGTGTTGCCCAGGCTGGTCTCAAACTCCTGGCATCAAGCGATCCTCCCATCTTAGCCTCCCAAAGTGCTGGGATTACAGGCATGAGCCACTGGACCTGACCCTCTCTCATGTGCTTCTAAAAACAAGCTCAGGAAGGTGCTATCATTATTTCCATTTTACTTGGGGGTAAGGGAGGCTTAGAATGGTTAAGTAACTTACCTAAGGTCACAGTAAGTAGGGCACATTGGATTTGAGGCTGCATTTTTAGCCACTAGGCTCCTTGCTCATTGTTAATGTTTAATTTTTGTGTCAACTTGACTTGGCCATGGGATGCCCAGATAAACATGATTCTGGGTGTGTCTATGAGGGTGTTTCTGGATGACATTAACATTTGAGTTGGCAGACTGAGTAAAGCAGATTTCTCTCCCCAGTGTGGGTAGTAGGCCTCATCCAATCCATTGGAGGCCTACATAGAACAAAAAGCTGAGTAAGGAGAATTTACTCTCTCTACCTGTTTTCAAGCTGAGATATTGGTATTCTCCTGCACTGGGACTGGAATTTACACCATCAGTTCTCCTGATTCTCAGGCCTTCCATCTCAAACTGGAACTACACCATCAGCTCTCCTGGGTCTCCAGCATGTAGACAGCAGATCATGAAACTTCTCAGCCTCCATAATTGCTTGAGCAAACTCTATAGTTAGCAGGAGATCCCAGTTTCTGCATGCGGCAATGGCCTGCTCTGTGCACATGACTACCTACCTTTCCTGACAGCTGAGATCTCACTCTGTTTGCTTTCCTTTTCAGTTCTTCCCAGTTAACCCTCCCAAGGCCAAATAAGTTAAAACTGTTAAAAAAAAAATGGTGAAGTAGAGGCAGTGACACTTATCTGCAACCAAATATCCGTGGTTGATTCTATGATGAGCAGGAATTGATAATCACAACTCTTCATTATAGTTTGCCTTGAACTATATGTTTCGTATGATAATAATAATTTTTTTTGAGTCAGGGTCTCACTCTGTTGTCCAGGATGGAGTGCAGTGGCATGCTCAAGGCTCACTGCAGCCTTGACCTCCTGGGCTCAAGCAATCTGCCCACCTCAGCCTCCCAAGTAGCAGAGACAAGTATGCACCACCACACCTGACTAATTTTTTTTTTTTTTTTTTTTTTTGGTAGAGAAGTGGTTTCACCACATTGCCCAGGCTGGTCTCAAATTCCTGAGTTCAAGTGATCTGCACACCTCAGCCCTGCAAAGTGCTGGGAATACAGGCGTAAGCCACTGTGCCCAACTGAAACATGTTTAATATAATTATTTGATAAACTTGGTTGTAATGTTATTTTTATTGTATTCACTGTGTTATTTTCACTGTGTTCACTGTGTTATTTTCAATAAATTCCTCTTCTTAATGCTTTCAACATAAGTTCCATTATGAAAGCAGTTTGGTGTCTCTTTGTTTGTGGAGATAGAGTCTCACTCCGTCGCCCAGGCTGGAGTGCAGTGGCATGATCTTGGCTCACTGCAACCTCTGCCTCCCAGGTTCAATCGATTCTCCTGCCTCAGCCTCCCGAGTAGCTGGGGTTACAGGCGCCTGCCACCATGCCTGACTAATTTTTGTATTTTTAGTAGAGACGGGGCTTCACCATGTTGGCCAGGCTGGTCTTGAACTCCTGACTTCAAATAATCCACCCACCTCGGCCTCCCAAAGTGCTGGGATTATAGGCATGAGCCACGGCACCCGGCCAGCAGTTTGATTTTTTAAAGCAGGAATACCTCAGTAGACTTGTTATGTTGGATGTTACTTAAGAAATAGAGAAAAATTTGGGTGTTTACAGAGCTATCATGTGAACGATGTAATATTAATCCTATGGCTGGAGACAGTAATGGGGAATAGGTCTTGGAGAGACTGGGGGATTCTCAAACCCAAATCCAGACCTAACAACTGTCTATAATCCCAGTGGAAAAGTGAGGCATCCAAAGAAGCCCACATGGCTGCATAGGGGGCTCTTCAATAGGCTTCAATCTTTAAAAAAGCAAAACCGGAGTTTACAAAGACAAAGTCAAGAGAGTGGCAGGAACCTCTAAGTGTACTTGCAGAATGCCTAGAGCCCATAGTGAAGTTAGACTTGTAAAGTATGTGATTGGTAGCAAATGGGACTTTTAAATCTGTGCCTACACAGAAGGATGAAAAAGTACCAGGTTTCAGTGAAAATGATGCGATCGCTGATAACAGAGAGAAATAAGAATTATCCAACTCTTAGTTTACTTAGATCTTCTTATTCAGGGAGAATGTTTTTGAAATTATAAATAATTTTTAAACAATGAAGGTAAATTTGAAATTTCACTATAGTACATGCTTTTACTATTCCCTCTTCCTTGAAAGAACTTTTTTGAAAAAGCAGTTGCTTTAAATTAGTTTAGTCCTTGAGAGCTCTGGTTTACTACTTTTTAATCCCAAAGTACTAAAAAACTTTCTGATGTGATCTTAGATTCACTGTTAACTATATCTTTGGGAATTTGTGAGGAATAAGAGAGATGCCAAAACCTAGAGCCAAAAAATAGGCCTAATTTTAAAGGGGTTTTAAACTTCAGATTAGTAAATATATTGTTCCCTGGAAATTTTGGACTGGAGTATCAAGTACATTAATTGTCTGCTTTTTGAAAGGTTTATAGGATTCCACTGAAGCAATACAGATTGTTTTTAAATAACAAGTTATGTTAAATTAATAACTTTTTTTCTAAAAAGTTTATTAAGTTCATTAATTCATTCATTACATTCACAAATAATGTATTGAGCCAGGTACTATATGCCAGGAGTTCATCTAGATACTGGCAACCGAGTAAAACAAAACAAAACTTCTGGCTTTCAAGAAGCATGCATTCTAGTGGTGAAGCAGGCAAAAAGTGGCTAGATATGTGTTAATAGGGAAAAAATGCTGGGAGAAAAATAAAGCAGGATAAGAGAATTAAGAAGTAAGAGTAATAACACTTGAAAACTGCATTTTGACATAAGCAAAACACTTAACAGTGGCTGCATATTAGACTTTAGGAGAAGATGATGAAATATGGATTAATGATGTGACGCTCATTGATTGAATGCTTCAACCTTGACACCCGGTAACTGACATGAACCCAGAGGGGTTGGTTCAATCTGAGGAATATGCCTCAAACTGTTGCTGGTCCACTCTTGGGCAACACTGGTGTCTACAATTTAGATGGAGATGTAGAAGGTATTAATATCATATACCAAGTATGCAGTGCAACAAAGCTAGGAAGAATAATGGGACAAAGCCAATGGACAAAACAAATCCAGTCCTCTATAAAAGCAACAAGAACACTGGAAGTAGAGTCAGGAATCAACTTTTTCAGAACTCTGGAAATTAACCAAAACCTCGTAACAATTTGAAAAGTGTTTGTTCGAGAAAAATGGCAGAATCTTGGTAAAAGTGATAAGATTTGTAGCATTTTCACCTGCTGTATTCTGATTTCTGTCTCCTCAGTTTTAGTGATAGCTCTGAAAGCCAACAGCTTCACCGTCATGGTATCATGAAAATCTGAAAGCCAACAGCTTCACCATCGTGGTCTTATGAAAACCAGCAGCCTAGCAGTAACTAGAGCCGGGAGATGGGGGTGAGGGGGATAGTTTTGGAGGTACCCAAAAGTCTCATCCCCAGAGAATTGTCCGTCTTTGATCTCTCTGGCAGCTCTCTGAAGACCCTCACTTGCAGGACTGACTTTTATTTCACCTAACTCAGAGCCTAGGGGCATTGGTCAAAATAATGAGCAATGATTTTCACATTGCAGCTGCCTGTGGCTGCAATAACAGTTGAGGACAAACAAGAAGTTGACAAAAAAGTTAAAAAGATAGGCTGGAGAATAAACTGTCCCGAGGAGGCTTTGTAAAATTCTGACATATTCATTGGAATTTAGAAGATGATGTACATATGCAGAGCTGTGCAGATGCCACCCAAAACCTAAAGAGGCCCTAATCACTCACCTCTGACTGAAATTGAGGCTATGCAAAGGCACACAATAAAGGCTAACATTTACTTGTAATCTGCTTGCAAGACCATTAAAGTTGCACTCCGAACACATACACAGAGTCTCTTGACAAAGGTGGTAAGAGTTATTGATGCAAGACACATAAGGAAATCTCTGTCCAATAATTTGTTGAATGGTAAGCTAACCAAACAGAGACCTCAGTGGCTACATGTGAAAAAGAACAGTGACTTTATACGACTAGCTCAGAGAAGTCACTAAACAAACAACTACAATAACAAATAATAAATATAACAAACCCTGTTGAGGGGAGGGATCTGCTTTCCAGAGTTGTCACGTTATATTGTTTAAAATGTTGAGTTAAATACACACACACACACACACACACACACACACACACACACACACGGCATGGTGAAGTGTGCCTGCAGTCCCAGCTACTTGGGAGACTGAGGTGAGAGGGAGGATCCCTTGAGGCCAGGAGTTTGAGACTAGCCTGGGCAACACAACAAGATACCATCTCTAAAACAAACAAATGCTACAAGACATACAAACAGGCCAGGCGCGGTGGCTCACCCCTGTAATCCCAACACTTTGGGAGGCCAAGGCAGGTGGATCACAAGGTCAGGAGATCGAGGCCATCCTGGCTAACACGGTGAAACCCCATCTTTACTAAAAATCCAAAAAAAAAAAAAAAATTAGCTGGGTGTGGTGGCGGGTGCCTATAGTCCCAGCTACTCAGGAGGCTGAGGCAGGAGAATTGCTTGAACCCGGGAGGCGGAGCTTACAGTGAGCTGAGATCGCGCCGCTGCACTCCAGCCTGGGCGACAGAGCGAGATTCCATCTCAAAAAAAAAAAAAAAACATACAAAGAAACAGGAAATTATGCCCCATACTCAAGAAAATAAAGTAGTCAATAGAAACTGTCCCAGAGAAAGTCCACACATTGGACTTACTATGAAAAGTCTTAAAATCAGCTATTATAAATATGTTCAAAGAACTAAAGGAAAATGTGAGAATGATGTATCACCAAATAAAGAATGTCAATAAAGAAATAGGAATTATTTAAAAGAACCAAATAGAAATTCTGGAGTCAAAAAGTACAATGACTAAAATAAAATATTCACTAGAGGAGCTCAATAGCAGATTTGAGCTGGCAGAAAAAAAAAAACAGTGGATTTATAGATGGGTCAGTAGATGTTATCCAGTCTGCAGAACAGAAATAAAAATTAATGAAGAGAAATGAGCAGGAACTCAAAGACTTATGGGACATCACCAATTGCACCAACATGTGCATAATGAGGGTCCGAGAAGGAAAGGAAAGAAATGGCACAAAGAATATTTGAAGAAAAACGACAGAAAACTTCTCAAATTTGATTTTAGGAAAAAACATTTATCCACACAGCCAATGTAGCTGAAGCTCAATGAAGTATAAGAGACCTGTACCTAGACATATCATAATTAAACTGTTGAGAGACAAAGACATTCTTGAAGACAGCAAGTAAGAAGCAACTTATCACATATAAAGAATTCTCAATCAGATAAACAGCAAATTTCTTATTTCTCTTAGAAACCATGGAGGCCAGAAGACAATGGGATGGCATATTTAATGTGTAGAAAGAAAAACTTGTCAAAAAAATCATACTGTAGACACCAAAAATATCCCTCAAAAACGAAATAGAAATTAAAACTTTCCTAAGTCAACAAAAACTGAGAGAATCATCACTAGCAGACATGCCCTACAAAAAAAAAATAGTAAAGGGAGTTCTTAAAGCTGAAATAAAATGACACTAGATGGTAACTAGAATTCACGTGAAAAAAATAAAAAGCACTGGTAAAGGCAACTACATAAGTAAAAATAAAAGACAATATAAATGTAATTTTGGTTTGTAATTCTTCTATATTACTTAAAAGATTACTGCATAAAGCAATAATCATAAAATTGTGTTGAGGGGCTTATGATATATAGAGATGTAATTTGTATGATGATAATGCCACAAAGGAGAGCTATATAGGAGTAAAGTTTTGGTACACTATTGAAAATTGAGTTAATATTACTTCAAATTAGATTGTTACAAGATGCTAATTGTAATCAAATATACATATGAAATACATGATAATATAACTAGGATGGTACACTAGAAAATATCTAAAACAAAATAATACACTAATGGAGGAACAGAGGAACAAAAACATGAGACATGTAGAAAACAACAAAATGGCAGGTATAAATCTTAGTTACATTAAATGTAAATGGATTAAATACTCCAATAAAGAAGTAAAAATTGGCACAATGGATTTTAAAAAATTGATCCAACTATGCTATCTACAAAAGACACACTTGAGTTTTAAAGACACAAAAAGATTGAAAGTAAAAATGGGAAAAGCTATAGCATGAAAACAATATTGAGAGAGATGTAGTGGCTATATTAACATTACACAAAATAGAAGTTAAAACAAAAATTATTACTAGAGCCAAAGTGAAACAGTTTATTATGAGTAAGAGGTCAATCCATCAAGAAGATATCATTATAATCATATATGCACTTAACAACGGAGCTCCAAAATGCATGAAGCAAAAAATTGGCAGAATTGCAAGAAGAAATAGATAATTAAACAATAACAGTTGGAGACTTCAATATCCCACTTTTAATAATGAATAGAACAGCTAGACCAAAGATCCATGAGAAAATTAAAGACTAGACTATTCCACACCCAATCAGACCCAACACATTTCTATGAGACACTTCACCCAACAACAGCAGAATATATGTGTGCTTCTCAAGTGCACATGGAACACTCTCCAGACTAGATCACATGTTAAGCTATAAAATAAATCTCAAAATATTTGAAAGGATTTAAATCATAAAAAGTATGTTCTCCAACCACATGAAATTAGAAATTAATAACAGAAAGAAGTTGGAAAATTCACTAATATGTGAAAATTAAGCAATATACTCCTAAGTAATCAATGGGTCAAAAAAGTAATCACAAAGGAAATTAGATAATATTTTAAGGTGAATAAAAAATGTATACACAACAAACCAAAACTTCCGAAATTTAACGAAAGCACTGCTTAGAGGTAAACACCTATTTTTTTTTAAAGAAATCTCTTAAAAGCAAACCTTTCACCTAAAGATCCTGAAGAATAAAAGAGCAGAGAAAGCTAAATCCAAAGCAAGTAGAATGAAGAAGATAATAAATATTAGAGTATAAATAAGTATATTAGGGGATAGAAAAACAATAGAGAAAATTAATCAAACCAAGTTGACTCTACAAAAAGATAAATAAAGTTGATAAACCTTTAGCTACACTGACCAGGAAAAAAAGAGAAAAGACTCAATTACCAATATCAGGAATGAGACACTAATACTAACTTACAGAAATAAAAAGAATTATGATTATAATGAACAATTGTATGCCAACAAATTAAACAAAATAGATTAAATGAACAGATTTCTGGAAAAACACAACTACCAAAACTGACTCAAGAAGAAACAGAATATTTGAGTAGACACATAATGAATAAAGAGATTGAATTAGTAATTAAAACACTTCCCACAAAAAATCTTGCCACGAAGTTAAGGACCAGATAGCTTCACGGGTGAATTCTACCAAATGTTTAAAGAAGTGTTAACACTGGTCCTTCCCAAAATCTTCAAAAAATAAAAGAAGAGGTTATACTTCCCAGTTTATTCTATGAGGCCAGTATTTTTATATCAAACTCAGACAAAGATGACACAATCAAAAAAATTACACAATATTTCCTATGAATATAGATGCAAAAATCCTCAACAAAATACTAGCAAATTTAATCCAGCAACATATAAGTGAGATTATACACTATTCCCAAGTGAGATTCATCCCAGGAATGCAAGGTTGTTACCACATACTAAAATTAAACAAATAATACACCTCCTTAATAGAATAAAGGAAAAAACCCAAACAATTATTTAAATAGCCTGAACAGCCTTGAAAAACACAAACAGAGTTAGAGTGCTCACACTTCCTGAATCTTACTGCAAAGCTACAGAAATCAAGACAGTGTGGTACTGGCACGAAGACAGGCATATTAATGAATACAATAGATTTGAGAGTATGGAAATAAAATCTTACACTGATCAATAGGTTTCTTACAATATTTGCAGGTCAATTTAATGGGGAAAGAATAGTCCTTTTAATAAATGGTGTGTGATAACTGGATATTTACCTGCAAAAGTATGAAGCTGTTGCCCTACCTCACACCATATATACAAATTAATTCAAAATGGATCATTTGCCTAAATATAAACAATACAACTATAAAACTATTAGAAGAAAACATAGCAGTAAATCTTTGTGATTTTGTATTAGGCATTGATTTTTTAGACATTCATCAAAATACAATAAAAAAGACAAATTGGACTTTATCAAAATTAAAACTTCTGTGTTTCAAAAGACATCATTAATGAAATGAAAGACAACCTATCATTGCTGCCAAGATGGCCGAATAGGAACAGCTCCAGTCTGCAGCTCCCAGTGAGATTGATGCAGAAGGCAAGTGATTTCTGCATTTCCAACTGAGGTACATGGTTCAACTCATTGAGAATGGTTGGACAGTGGGTGCAGCCCCATGGAGGGCAAGCCAAAGCAGGGTAGGGTGTCACTTCACCTGGGAAGCGCAAGGGGTCAGGGGATTTCCCGTTCCTAGCCAAGGGAAGACATGAGAGACTATACCGGGAGGAACAGTGCACTCTGACCCAGATACTGTGCTTTTCCCACAGTCTTCACAAGCGGCAGACCAGGAGATTCCCTCTGGTGCCTGGCTCGGGGGGTCCCACCCCCACAGAGCCCAGCAAACTAATATCCACTGGCTTGAAATTCTTGCTGCTAGCACAGCATTGTGAGGTCAACCTGGGACGCTAAAATTTGGTGGCAGGAGGGGTGTCTGCCATTGATGAGGCTTGAGTAGGCAGTTTTACCCTCACAGTGTAAACAAAGACGCAAGGAAGTTTGAACTGAGCAGAGCCCACCGCAGCTCAGCAAGCCCACTGCAGCCAGACTGCCTCTCTAGGCAAGGCATCTCTGAAAAAAAGGCAGCAGCCCCAGTCAGGGACTTATAGATAAAACACCCATCTCCCTGGGACAGACAAACTGGGGAAAGGGGCGGCTGTGGGTACAGCTTCAGCAGACTTAAACATCCCTGCCTGACAGTTCTTAAGAGAGCAGCAGATCTCCCAGCACAGCGTTCAAGCTCTGATAAGGGGCAGGCTGCCTCCTCAAGTAGGTCCCTGACCCCCATGTATCCTGACTGGGAGACATCCCCCAGTAGGGGCGGACAGACACCTCATACAGGAGAGCTCTCGCTGGCATCTGGCAAGTGCCCCTCTGGGACGAAGCTTCCAGAGGAAGGAACAGGCAGCAATCTGTACTGTTCTGCAGCCCCCGCTGGCAATACCCAGGCAAATGGTCTGGAGTGGACCTCCAGCAAACTTCAGCAGACCTGAAGAAGAGGGGCCTGACTGTTCGAAGGAAAACTAACAAACAGAAAGGAAAATAGCAAAATCAACAAAAAGGACATCCACTCAGCGACCCCATCCGAAGGTCACCAACAGCAAAAACCAAAGGTAGTTAAATCCACAAAGATGGGGAGAAACAAGCACAAAGGGCTGAAAACGCCAAAAACCAGAACGCCTCTTCTACTGCATAGGAACACAACTCCTCACCAGCAAGGGAACAAAACTGGATGGAGAATGAGTTTGACAAACTGACAGAAGTAGGCTTCAGAAGGTGGGTAATAACAAACTCCTCTGAGCTAAAGGAGCATGTTCTAACCGAATGCAAGGAAGCTAAGAACCTTGAAAAATGGTTAGGTGAATTGCTGTCTAGAATAACCAGTTTAGAGAAGAATATAAATGACCTTATGGAGCTGAAAAACACAGCACGAGAACTTTGTGAAGCATATACAAGTATCAATAGCCAAATCGATCAAGCAGAAGAAAGGATATCAGAGACTGAAGATCAACTCAATGAAATAAAGTGAGAAGACAAGATTAGAGAAAAAAGAATGAAAAGAAATGAACAAAGCCTCCAAGAAATATGGGACTATCTGAAAAGGCCAAATCTACGTTTGACTGTTGTACCTGAAAGTAACGGGGAGAATGGAATCAAGTTGAAAAACACTTTTCAGAATATTATCCAGGAGAATTTCTCCAACCTAACAAGGCAGGCCAACATTCAAATTCAGGAAATACAGAGAACATCACAAAGATATTCCTCGAGAAGAGCAACCCCAAGACACATAATCGTCAGATTCACCAAGGTTTAAATGCAGGAAAAAATGTTAAGGGCAGCCAGAGAGAAAGGTCAGGTTACCCACTAAGGGAAGCCTATCTGACTAACAGTGGATCTCTCTGCAGAAACCCTACAAGCCAGAAGAGAGTGGGGGCCAATATTCAACATTCCTTAAAAAAAAAATTTTCAACCCAGAATTTCATATCCAGCCAAACTAAGCTTCATAAGTGAAGGAGAAGTAAAATCCTTTATAGACAAGCAAATGCTGAGAGATTTTGTCACCACCAGGCCTGCCTTACAAGAGCTCCTGAAGGGAGAACTAAACATGGAAAGGAACAACCAGTATCAGCCACTGCAAAAACATACCAAATTGTAAAGACCATCAGTGCTATGAAGAAACTGCATCAACTAATGGGCAAAATAACCAGCTAGCATCATAATGACAGGATCAAATTCACACATAACAACATTAACCTTAAATGTAAATGGGCTAAATGCCCCAATTAAAAGACACAGACTGGCAAATTGGATAGAGTCAAGACTCATCAGTGTGATATATTCAGGAGACCCATCACATGTGCAAAGACACACAGAGGCTCAAAATAAAGGGATGGAGGAATATTTGCCAACCAAATGGAAAACAAAAAAAAAGCAGGGATTGCAATCCTCGTCTCTGATAAACAGACTTTAAACCAACAAAGATCAAAAGAAACAAAGAAGGGCATTACATAATGGTAAAGGGATCAATGAAACAAGAAGAGCTAACTATCCTAAATAAACTGTCCTAAATATATATGCACCCAATACAGGGGCACCCAGATTCATAAAGCAAGTTCTTAGAGACATACAAAAAGACTTAGACTCCCACACAATGTTAGTGGGAGACTTTAACACCCCACTGTCAACACTAGACAGATCAATGAGACAGAAAATTAACAAGAATATCCAGGACTTGAACTCAGCTCTGGACCAAGTGGACCTAATAGACATCTACAGAACTCTCCACGCCAAATCAACAGAATATATATTCTTCTCAGCACCATATCGCACTTATTCTAAAATTGACCACATAATTGGAAGTAAAACACTCCTCAGCAAATGCAAAAGAACGGAAATCATAACAAACAGACTCAGACCACAGTGCAATTAAATTAGAACTCAGGATTAAGAAACTCACTCAAAACTGCACAACTACATGGAAACTGAACAACTTGCTCCTGAATGACTATTGGGTAAATAACGAAATGAAGGCAGAAATAAAGATGTTCTTTGAAACCAATGAGAACAAAGACACAATATACCAGAATCTCTGGGACACATTTAAAGCAGTGTGTAGAGGGAAATTTATAGCACTAAATGTCCACAAGAGAAAGCAGGAAAGATCTAAAATCGGCACCCTAACATCACAATTAAAAGAGCTAGAGAAGCAAGAGCAAACAAATTCAAAAGCTAGCAGAAGACAAGAAATAACTAAGATCAGAGCAGAAATGAAGGAGATAGAGACATGAAAAACCCTTCAAAAAATCAATGAATCCAGGCTGTTTTTTTGAAAAGATCAACAAAATAGATGGCCCGCTAGCCAGACTAATGAAGAAAAGAAAGAAGAATCAAATAGATGCAATAAAAAATGAAAAGGGTATATTACCACCAATCCCACAGATGTACAAACTACCATCAGGGAATATTATAAACACCTCTATGCAAATAAACTAGAAAATCTAGAAGAAATAGATAAATTCCTGGACATATACACCCTCCCAAGACTAAATTAGGAATAAGTTGAATCACTGAATAGACTAATAACACATTCTGAAATTGAGGCAGTAATTAATAGCCTACCAACCAAAAAAAAGTCCACGACCAGACAGATTCACAGCTGACTTCTACCAGAGGTACAAAGAGAAGCGGGTACCTTACCTTCTGAAATTATTCCAATCAATAGAAAAAGAGGGAATCCTCCTTAACTCATTTTATGAGGCCAGCATCATCCTGATACCAAAACCTGGGAGAGAAACAACAAAAAAAGTAAATTTCAGGCCAATATCCCTGATGAACATCTATGTGAAAATCCTCAATAAAATATTAGCAAACCAAATCCAGCAGCACATCAAAAAGTTTATCCACCATGATCAAGTCAGCTTCATCTCTGGGATGCAAGTTTGGTTCAACATATGCAAATCAATAAATGTAATTCCTCAAACAAACAGAACCGATGACAAAAACCACACGATTATCTCAATAGATGCAGAAAAGGCCCTCAACAAAATTCCCATCAAGCTACCACTGATTTTCTTCACAGAACTGGAAAAAACTACTCTAAATTTCATATGCAACCAAAAAAGAGCCCACATAGCCAAGACAATCCTAAGCAAAAAGAACAAAGCTGGAGGCATCATGTTACCTGACTTCAAACTATACTGCAAGGCTACAGTAACAAAAACAGCCATGGTACTGGTACCAAAACAGATACATAGACCAATGGAACAGAACAGAGGCCTCAGAAATAATGCCACACATCTACAACCATCTCATCTTTGACAAACCTGACAAAAACAAGCAGTGAGCCTATTTAATAAATGGTGTTGGAGAAACTGGCTAGCCATATGCAGAAAACTGAAACTAGACCTCTTCCTTACATCTTACACAAAAATTAACTCAAGATGGATTAAAGATTTAAATGTAAGACCTAAAACCACAAAAACCCTACAAGAAAACCTAGGCAATACCATTCAGAATATAGGCTTTGGCAAAGACTTCATGACTAAGACACCAAAAGCAATGGCAACAAAAGCCAGAATTGACAAATGGGATCTAATTAAACTAAAGAGCTTCTGCACAGCAAAAGAAACTGTTATCAGAGTGAACAGCAACCTACAGAATGGGAGAACATGTTTGCAATCTATCCATCTGACAAAGGACTAATATCCAGAATCTACAAAGAACTTAAACAAATTTACAAGAAAAAAAACAAACAACTCCATCAAAAAGTAGGCGAAGGATAGGAACAGACACTTCTCAAAAGAAGGCATTTATGCAGCCAAGAGACATATGAAAAAAATGCTCATGATCACTGGTCGTTAGAGGAAGGCAAATCAAAACCACAATGAGATACCATCTCATGCCAGTTAGAATGGCAACATTAAAAAGTCAGGAAACAACAGATGCTGGAGAGGTTGTGGAAAAATAGGAACCCTTTTACATTGTTGGTGGGAGTGTAAATTAGTTCAACCATAGTGGAAGACAGTGTGACGATTCCTCAAGGATCTAGAACTTGAAATACCATTTGACCTAGCAATCTTATTACTGGGTATATACCCAAAGGATTATAAATCATTCTACTATAAAGAGTCATGCATGCGTATGTTTATTGTGGCACTATTCACAATAGCAAAGACTTGGAACCAACCCAGATGCCCGTCAATGATAGACTGGATAAAGAAATGTGGCACGTATACACCACAGAATACTATGCAGCCATAAAAAAGGATGAGTTCATGTCCTTTGCAGGGACATGGATGAAACTGGAAACCATCATTCTCAGCAAACTAACACAAGAACAGAAAACCAAACACCACATGTTCTCACTCAAAAGTGGGAGTTAAACAGTGAGAATACATGGACACAGGGAGGGGAACATCACATACCAGGTCCTGTCGTGGGGTGGGGTGTTAGGGGAGGGATAGCATTAGGAGAAATACCTAATGTAGTTGATAGGTGCAGCAAATCACCATGGCACATACATAACTATGTAGCAAACCTCCACATTCTGCACATGTACCCCAGAACTTAAAGTATAATTTTAAAAAAGGAAGAAAAGAAAGACAAACTATGAAAGGAGAAAAAATATTTGCAAATTATACATGAGACAAAGGACTTATATAAAAAAAACACAGACTAATTAAAAAAAAGACAAGAACCAAATAAATAAAATCAGAGATGCAAAATGAGACATTACAACTCATACAGCAGAAACTTGAAAGATCATTAGTGACTAGTATGAGTAAATACATGCCAATAACTGGAAAATCTAGGAGAAATGAATAAATTCCTAGACACATACAACTTACCAAGATTGAACCATGAAGAAATCCAAAACTTGAAAAAACCAATAACAAGTAACAAGATCAAAGCCATAATAAAAAGTCTCCCAGGAAAGAAATTCATGGGATCCAAAGGCTTCACTCCTGGATTCTACCAAATATTTAAGGAAGACTTCCCACCAGTCTTACTCAAACTAGTCTGAAAAATAGATAAGAAGGGAATACTTCCAAACTCATTCTATGAGGCCAGTATTACCCTGATACCAAAACCAGACAAAGACATATCAATAAAAGAAAACTACAGGCCAATATATCAGATGAGTATTGATGCAAAAATTCTCAACAAAATATTTGCAAACTGAATTCAACAATACATTTAAAAGATCATTTATGATGACCAAGTGGGACTTATCCCTGGGAATCAAGGATGGTTCAACATATGGAAATCAGCCAACTTGACACATCATATCAATGGAACAAAGGAAAAAAACATATAATCATTTCACTTGATGCTGAAAAGGCATTTAATAAAATTCAACATCCCTTTATGACAAAAATTCTCAAAAAAAACTAGATATGGAAGGAACATACCTCAACATAATAAAAGCCACATGAGACTCATAGCTAGTGTCATACTGAATGGAGAAAAACTGAAAGTCTTTCCTCTAAGATCTGGAACACGACAAGGATAGACACTTTGACTAGTGTTATTCAACACAGTACTGGAAGTCCTAGCTAGAGCAATCAGACAAGAGAAAAATACGGAGCATCCAAGTTAGAAATGAAGAAGTCAAATTACTCTTGTTTGCAGATGATATGATCTTATATTTGGAAAAACCTAAAGACTCCACCAAAAAACTATGAGAACTGATAAATTCAGTAAAGTTTCAGGATCAACAAAATCAACATATAAAAATCAGTAGCTTTTCTATATGCCAGCAGTGAACAATCTGAAAAAAAAATTAAAGTAATCCCATTTACAATAGGCACATATAAAATTAAATACCTGGGAATTAATTTAAAGAAGTGAAAGCTCTCTATAATAAAAAACTTTTAAAATACTGATGAAAGAAATTGAAGAAGACACCAAAAACTGGAAAGATATTCCATGTTCATGGATTCGAAGAATTGATACTATTAAAATGTCCATACTACCCAAAGCAATCTACAGATTCAATGCAGTCCCTACCAAAATACCAAGGAAATTCTTCACAGAAATAGAAAAAACAAAGAACAAAACTAATGGAATCAGTGCACCTAATTTCCAATTATACTACAGAGCTATAATAACCAATGCAGCCTGGTATTGGCATAGAAACAGACACATAGATCAATGGAACACAATAAAGAACCCAGAAACAAATCTACAAACCTACAGTGAACTTATTTTCAAAAAAGGTGCCAAGAGCACACAGTGAGAAAAAGACAATCTCTTCAATAAATGGTGCTGCAAAAACTGGATATCCATATGCAGAAGAATAAAACTAGACCCCTCGCTCTCACCATAGACACAAATCAAATCAAAATGGATTAAAGACTTCAATCTAAGACCTCACACTATGAAACTACTACAAGAAAACATTGAGGAAGCTCTCCAGGACATTGGTCTGGGCAAGAATTTCTTTGAGTAATACCCACAATCACAGGCAACCAAAGCCAAAATGGACAAATGGTATCACATCAAGTTAAAAAGCTTCTGCACAACAAAGGAAATGATCAACAAAGTGAAGAGACAACCCACAGAATGGAAGAAAATATTTGCAAACTACCCATCTGACAAGGGATCAATAACCAGAATACACAAGGAGCTCAGACAACTCTACAGAAAAAAAAAATCTAATAATCTGATTTAAAAATGGGCATTTCCCAAATGAAGACATACAAATGGCAAGCAGGCATATACAAGGGTGCTTAACATCATTGGTCATCAGAAAAATGCAAATCAAAACTACAATGAGATATCATCTCACCCTAGTTAAAATGGCTTTTTTCAAAAGACAGGCAATAACCAGTAAGAAATGGGGGTGCCCCTGTGTAAAGAAAGATACCGAAGCCTTACATTTGCACCTTAGCCTCAATAGCTAGTAACCCTAGAGAAGCAGCTTGCCAGGGCTCATCTGCAACTCCTGACTCTCAGGAGAAAGGTGGGTTTTAACCCAAAATTATGAGTGAGCTGTTGACTCCAAAATGTACTTGGGAGAAAGGCCAAGCGAGAGGTCATGGGTCACCTAAGCATTATCATGTAGAAAAGACAGTGCACTGCTTTTCTTTTAGTTTTTGTCTTTTCTTTGCTACACCTTTTACTATTTCCTTTTGGCTTAGAATGTAAAATCAATTGTTAAAAGTTTTGTTCTGAATAAATATTTACTTTTTGTATTGCTAAAAAAATGACAGGCAATAACAAATGCTGGCAAGGATGTGGAGAAAAGGGAACCCTCCTACACCGTTGGTGGGAATGTAAATTAGTACCACCCACTATGGAGAACAGTTTGGAGATCCCTCAAATAACTAAAAATAGAACTATCACATGATCCAGCAATCCCACTGCTGGTTATATACTCAAAAAAAGACATCAGTATACCAAAAAGATATCTGCACTCCCTTATTTGTTGTAGTACAGTTCAGAATAGCTAAAATTTGGAAGCAACCTAAGTGTCCGTCAACAGATGAATGAATAAAAAAAAATGTGGTTCTTACACACAATGGAGTACTATTCAGCCATTAAAAAGAATGAGATTCTATCATTTGTAGCAACATGGATGGAACTGGAGGTGATTGTGCTAAGTGAAATAAGCCAGGCACAGAAAGCAAACATCACAAGTTCTCACTTATATGTGGGATCTAAAAACCAAAACAATTGAACTCATGGACATAGAGAGTAGAAAGATGGTTAACAGAGGCTGGGAAGGGTAATGGGAGGGTGAGTGGGAGATGGGGTATTAAAAAAATAGAGGCTGGGCATGGTGGCTCATGCCTGTAATCCCAGCACTTTGGGAGGCCAAGGCGGGTGAGGATCACCTGAGGTCGAGAGTTCGAGACCAGCCTGACTAACATGGAGAAGCCCCGTCTCTACTAAAAATACAAAATTAGCCAGGTGTGGTGGCACATGCCTGTAATCCCAGCTACTCCGGAGGCTGAGGCAGGAGAATTGCTTGAACCCAGAAGGTGGAGGTTGCAGTGAGCCGAGATCGCGCCATTGCACTCCAGCCTGGGCAACAAGAGTGAAACTCCGTCTCAAAAAAAAAAAAATTGAAAGAAAGAATTAGACATAGTATTTGGTAGCACAACAGGGTAACTATAGACAGTAATAATTTAACTGTACATTTAAAAATAACTAAAAGGTTATAATTGGATTCTTTGTAACACAAAGGATAAATGCTTGGTAAATGGATACCCCATTTTACTTGATGTGATTGTTATGCATTGCATATCTGTATCAAAACATGTCAGGAACTCCATAAATACATACACCTATTATGTACCCACAGAAATTAAAAATTAGAAAAAGATTACATAAAGAACTCTTACAACTCAACAATAAAAAGCTAAACAAATTTAAAAATGAACAAAGGATTATTTTCTCCAAAGACCATTTCTCCAAAGGTATACATATAACCAATAATTATACAAAAATGTGTTCAACATCATTAGTCATTAGGGAAATATAAACCAAAACCACAATAAGCCAACTGTGTGACATTCCTGAAAGCATATTGTTTCTTTCTCCTCATTTTGTTGCATTTGTATATACTGTATTCACTGTTTGGAGCATCCTTCACCTCACCCAATACTCTGTGTTCCTTGCTATACCCTGCTAGTCTTCAGAATCCATCCCACATAACATTTCTTCATGGAAGCCTTCCCTGACTCACTCTTTATTTAATTTATACTTGGATAGTTCCTCTGAAGTCCCAGAGAAATCCATATTTACCTTGGTCACAGCCCCTAGCATACTATGTTGTAATTGCCCTAAGTTACACACTCCTAGCTAAGAGTCCTTTCCAGCAGAGGCTCTTATTCATTCTGTATCCTTCATACCCAGTACATGGACTGACAAAGAGTGATGCTGAGTAAATAGTTGTTCAATGACTTATTGAGGCAATAGTCCCATCAAACTGATAAAAAATGGAGTCGGCATCCCCCCAAAAAACAAAAACAAAACTGATTGCATTAAAAATATTGAGTGAAAAAGTGATTCCCTGGATTGTACACTGACCAAACCATTAGATAAATTCCTACAAAAATGGGAAAACAACAACAAATATGGAGGACCCGGGAAATAACACAGAATATGGACAGAAACACTTGCAGTTCAAAAATGGTGATTTAGAAGAAAGCTGGCTTCATTCCTCCCCCTGTTCACCCCCCAGGAAACAAAAGACAAATATATAGCACCAAGATTGTCACCAGCAATATCTCAGAACCCAAACATGAGGATGCAACAGTTCCCAGGGCCACAGAGAAATGAAAAATCTCTGAGCAAATGGTAAGAAAATGAGACTTCTGTATCCATGACACTCATCCTCCCAATCTGACCAGTACCAAATGCATGCAAAATTTCCCATGACTCATGGTTTCTACACTGGAAAAAGTGAGATCAAGATGGACATCCAGATTCCACACCATCTTGAGTTCCCTGGCAGAACACCTGCCCTGCCTCATCTCATAGGAAGAACCAGGAAAGCCTGAAGTGAGAAATATCCCTGAAGACAGCCAGAGACAAAAAGAGGAGGCAAGACTACCATCTCCAGTCCGGGAAACTTGGCTCTGTAACTCAGCCAAAGGAGATGCTAAATCAGAGTGGCTGTTCAGCAGCACCATGCTGTAGGAGATTTGTTCCATAGCTGACCTGGGCACAAACCCCTAACCAGCCTTCCCACACGACTGGGATATACCATTTGACACTCCAATTCAGGACTGGCAATACTCTGGTTATTTACTAGAACTGAGGCAAACTGGGTTTAAGGCACCATAACTGGTGCCAGAAAAGAGGCAGTGACCTAGCATTAAAGAAAGGAATGGGAAAGGGAAAGGAGGAAGGAAGGAAGGAAGGAAGGAAGGAGGAGGGAGGGAAGGAGGGAAGGAGGGTGGGAGGGAATTAACAGGAAAATTGCAAAGAATCTCTAAGCAAATATATCTAATGAAAAACAGAACAAGCCAGATGGAGAAAATTGGAATAAATAACTAATTATTCAATGCAAAGACATAGATACACATCCACAAGAAACACCAGCAAACAGGGAACCATGGCCTCCTCAAACAGACAGAGCAATGAACCAGTGACTGTCCCTAACAATATGGCAATATGTTAACTCTCTGACCAGGAATTCAAGATAGCAGTGTTAAGGAAATTCAGTGGTCTCCAAGATAACACAGAAAAGCAATTTGGAAATTTATCAGATAAATTTAATGAAGAGACATAAATAATTTTTAAAAACCAAACAGAAATCTTGGAACTGAGAAATAAATTTTCTGGACTGAAAATTTTATTAGAGGCTCTCAACGGAAAATGGATAAAGCAGAGGAAAGAATCAGTAACCTCAAAGACAGGCTATTTGAAAAAACAGGAGAAGAAAAACAAATGAAAGGAAGGAAAATCATCTATAAGTTATAGAAAATTATCTCAAAAGGCCAAATCTAAAAATTATTTGTGTTCAAGAGGGAGCTGAGCAAGAAGAGGTAGAAAGCTTATTCAAAGAAATAATAATAGAAAATTTTTCAAAACTTAAGAGATAAATATCCAGGTACCAGAAGATCAGAGAACACCAAAGAGATTCTACTTGAGCAAGACTACTCAAAGCCACATAATAATCAAACTGTCAAGGTCAAGGAGAAAATCCTAAAAACCACAAGAGAAAAGAAACAAATAGCATATAAAGAGTCTTCAATTCCTCAGGCAATAGACTTCTCAATGGAAACCATATAGGCCAGGAGGACGTAAGATATGTTCAGAGTGCTCAAAGAAAAATACTGTCATCCAAGAATATTGTATCTAGCAAACATAACTTTCACATATGAAGGAGAAATAAAAGTCTTTCCCACACAAACAAAATGGAAATAATTCATAATCAATAAATTCATCTTACAATAAATGTTAAAGGGAGGCTGGGCACGGTGGCTTATGCCTGTAATCCCAGCACTTTGGGAGGCCAAGGTGGGCAGATCACAAGGTCAGGAGATCGAGACCATCCTGGCCAACATGGTGAAAACCCGTCTCTACTAAAAAGACAAAAATTAGCGGGGTGTGGTGGTGCACACCTGTAGTCCCAGCTACTCAGGAGGCTGAGGCAGGAGAATCACTTGAACCCAGGAGGCAGAGGTTGCAGTGAGCCGAGATCACACCACTGCACTCCAGGTTGGGCAACAAGAGCGAAACTCTGTCTCAAAGAAAAAAGAAAGAAATGGTAAAGGGACCTCTTCAAACAAGCTGAAAGAACAAAAAACACTGAAGTCCAAAAAGGAAACATTTGAAGGTATAAAATCCACTGGTAAAATTAAGGACACAGACAAACCCAGAATACCCTACTACTGTAATTTGGTGTGCAATCCACTCATAGCTCTCGTATGAAGCCTAAAAGACAAATATATCAAAAATAATAATATCTACAGCAACCTGTTAAGAGATAGGCAACATAAGAATATGTAAATGAAGACAACATAAAGTCAAAATATAGACGTCCCCACATTTGCAGTTAACATATTAGAGAGTTTTTTCATTTTTTCTTGATTTGTTTGTTTCTATTCTTTTCTTTGTAATCTAAGTTATCATCTCTTTAAAATAACTTGTTATGTCTATAAGATGATTTTTGTAAGCCTCATGATAACCACATGTGAAAACCTATAATAGATCCACTTTTTGAAAAAAGCAACAAATTAAAACATACTACCAGAGAAAATAACCAATAATGAAGACAATAAGAAAGAGAAAAGCCACAAAACAACCAGAAAATAAGCAACAAAATGGCACTAGTAAGTCCTTACTGCCCAATAAAAATACTGACTTAAATAGACTCAAATTCTCCAATTAAAAGCCATAAAGTGGCTAAATGGATAAAGAAACATGACCCAAATTTGTGCTACCTGCAGGAAACCCACTTCACCTATAATGACATGCATAGACTGAAAGTGAAAGAGTGAAAAAAAATATTGCATGCTACTGGACACCAAAACAGAACAGGAATAGGTATACTTACATCATGCAAAACAGACTACAAGTCCACGAGACAAAGAAGGTCACCATATATGGTAAAAGAGACAATTCAGCAAGAGAATATAAACTGAAAATCTATGTATGATAAAGGAGACAGTTCACCAAGAGAATATATGCATGCACCCAACATAGGAGCTCCCAAGTATATAAAGCAAACATTAATAGATCTAAAGGGAGAGATAGATTTCAACACAATAATAGTATACAACTTCAACAACCCACTCTCAGTAATGGAGATATCATTAACAGAAAATCAACAAAGAAAATCAGAGTTAAACTACAAACTAGACAAATAAGCCTGACAATAACAGATCATTTAACCCAATGACTGCAGGATTCACATTCTTTTCATCAGCACAGGGGAGATTCTGAAGAACAGACTGTATCTTGGGCTACAAAAACATATCTTAGGCTACAAAACAAGTCTCAACAAATTCAAAAAAGTAGAAATCATATCAAGTATTTTTTCTTATCTCAATGAAATAAAACTAGAAATTAATAATAAAAGGAACCTCAGTAAATGCACAAACACATTAAAATTAAACAACGTGCTCTTGAAGAACCAAAGGGTCAATTACAAAATTTTTAAATTTCTTGAAACAATGAAAATGGAAATATAACATATCAAAATATGGGATGCAGCAAAAGCAATAGTAAGAAGGAATTTTATAGCAATGAAAGCCTATGTCAAAAAAGCAGAAAGACTTCAAATAAATAACCTAACAATGCACCTCAAAGAACTAGAAATGCAAGAGCAAACCAAACTCAAGATTAATAGAAGGGAAAAAATACTAAAGATCAGAGTAAAAATAAATGAAATTGAGACTAAAAAAATACAGAAGATAAACAAAATTAAAAGTCTATTTTTTGAAAAGATAAAAATGACAAATCTTTAGCCAGACTAAGGAAAAACAAAAGACTCAAATAAATAAAATTATAAATGAAAAAGGAGACATGATAGCTGAGAACACAGAAATACAAAGACCATTAGAGATTATTATGAACAACCACAGAGCAATGAATTGGAAAACCTAGAAGAACTGGATAAATTCCTGGACACATAAAACCTACTAAGATCGAACCATGAAGAAAGAGAAAACCTCAGCAAACTAATAACAAGTGATGAGATAGAGGGCTTAATAAAAAAGTCTCCCAACAAAGAAAAGCCCAGGCTAGGCGTGGTGGCTTATGCATGTCATCCCAGCACTTTGGGAGGCCAAGGCAGGAGGATCATTTAAGGCCAAGAGTTCAAGACCAGCATGCACAACACAGCAAGAACCCGTCTCTACAAAACATAAAAATAAAAAAAAAAAGTAGCTGGGTTTGGTGGTGCATGCCTGTAGTCCTAGCTACTTGGGAAGCTGAGACAGGCGGATCACTTCAGCCAAGGAATTCGAGGCTGCAGTGAGCTATAATCACAACACTGCACTCCAGCCTGGGCAAAAGAGCAAGGATTTGCCTCTATTAAAAAAAATGTTTTTTAAAAAAGCCATGACCTGATGGCTTTACTACCAAACTCAACCAAACATTTAAAGAAAAACTAATACCAAACATTCTATTCAAATTCTTCCAAAAAAAGTTGAAGAGGAGGGAATCCTTCTAAACTCATTATGTGAGGCCAGCATTACCCTGATACTAAAATGATACTAAAATCAGACAAGGACACAAAAAGAAAGAAAACTGTAGACTAATATTACTGATAAAAATAGATGCAAAAATTCTTAACAAAAACCACCAAACTGAATTCAGCAACTCATCAAAAAGAACATTCACTGTGATCAAGTGGGAGTCATCCCAGTGATAGAAGAACGGTTCCACACATGCAAATCAATAAATATGATACATCACATTAACAGAACCAAGGACTAAAACCATATAGTCATTTCAATAGATGCTGAAAAAGTAATAAAATTCAGCATACTTTCATGAGGAAAAAACCCACAAACTGGGTATAGAAGGAACATATTTCAAAGTAATTAAGGTCACATTGACAAATCCACAGCTAACTGATCATACTGAACAGGGAAAAATTGAAAGCCGTTCCTCTAAGATCTGCAACAAGTCAAGGATGCCAACTTCAAGTCAAGGATGCCAACTTTCACCACTTTTATTCAACGTAGTACTGGAAATCCTGGCCAGAGCGATCAGGCAAAAAAGAAATATAAATCATATTTAAATTGAGAGAAAGAAGTCACATTAGCCTTGTTCACAGTTGACATGATCTTATACTTAGAAAATCCTAAAGACTCCACCAAAAAAGGATTAGAACTAATAAACAAATTCAGTAAAGTTGCAGGATACAAAATCAACATACAAAAATCAGTAGCACTTATATACCCCAGAAGTCAAGAAAGTAATTCCATTTACAATAGCTACAAAGAATATAAAATACTTAAGACTCAATCTAATCAAAGAAGTAAAGATCTCTACAAGAAAAACTATAAAATACTGAAGAAATAAATGGAAAAGGAAATGCAAAAATGGAAAGACATTCCAGTTTATGGGTTGGAAGAATTAGTATTGTTAAAATGACTATTCTACTCAAAGCAATTTACCGATTCAATGCAATCCCTATCAAAATACCAATGACGTTTTTCACAAAAATAGAAAAAAGAATCCTAAAATTTATATGGACCCACAGAAGACCCCCAATACCCAAAGCAATCCTGAGTGAAAAAAAGAAAGCTGGAAGCATCACACTACCTGATTTCAAAATATGCTACAAAGCTATAGTAAGTAAATCATCATGGTATTGGCATAAAAACAGATATGTAGACCAATGGAACACAATAAAGAACCTAGATATAAATTCATGCATTTATGGCCAACTCATTTTCAACAAAGTTGCCCAGAACATGCAATGAGGCAAGGACAATTTCTTCAATATATGGTTCTGGGAAAACTGAATAACCATATGTAGAAGAAAAAAACTAGAGCCCTATCTCTCCTCATATACAAAACTCAAACAAAATGCATTAAAGATTTAAATCTAAGACTTGAAACTATAAAACTACTCAAAGAAAATATTGGGGAAATGCCCAATGGCATTGGCCTGGGCAAAGATTACTTGTGTAAGACCTCAAAAGCACAGGCAACTAAAACAAAAATCAACAAATAGGATTATCAAGCTAAAAGGCTTCTGCACAGCAAAGGAAATAATCAACAAAGTGAAGACATAACCCATAGAATGGGAGAAAATATTTGCAAACTATCCATCTGACAAGGGATTGAATAGCCAGAATATATAAAGACCTCAAACAACACAGTAGCAAAAAAACAAATAATCCAATTTTTAAATGGGTAAAAGACCTAAACACAAATATCTCAAAAGAAAACATACAAATGGCTAACAGGTATATGAAAAAATGCTTAACATCACTAATTATCAGAGAAATGCAAACCAAAACCACAATATGATATCATCTCACCCCAGTTAAAATGGCTTTTATCAAAAATACGAGGAATAATGAATGCTAGCAAGGATATGGAGAAATGGGAATTTCGTACACTGTGTTTGGGAATGTAAATTAGTACAGCCAGTATAACAATTGTATTGAGTTTCCTCAAAAAACTAAAAATAGAACTACCATATGATACAGCAATTCCACTACTGGGTATATATCTAAAAGAAATGAAATCAGTATATTGAAGAGATGTTTGCACTCTTATGTCTATTGCAGCATTATTCACAATAACCAAAATATGGAATCAACATAAGTGCCCATCAGTGAATGAATGGATAAAAAAATGTGGTATATATAAACAGTGGAATGCTATTCAGCCATAAAAAGATGAAATTCTGTCATTTGCAGCAACATGGATGGAAGGTCATTATGTGAAGTGAAGTGAAGTAAGTCAAGCACAGAAAGACAAATATCACATGTTCTCATTCATATGTGGGAGCAAAAACAGTGAATTTCATGAAGATAGAGAGTAAATTGGTGATTAGCAGATGCTGGGAAAGGTAGTGAGTAGGAGCAGATGAAGAGAGGTTGATTAATGAGTATAAATATGCAGTTTGACATAGGAAATAAGACCTAGTGTTTGATAGGTGAGTAGTACGACTACAGTTTACAGTACCCCATTATATATTTCAAATAGCTAGAAGAGAATAATCTGAATGTTATTAGCATAAAGAAAAGACAAATATTTGAGGTGATGGATACCCTAATTACAATGATTTGGTCTTTACAAATTATATTAAGGTATTACATTACCACATGTACATCCATATGTATATCCATTATGTATCCATAAAAAATAAAATATTTTTTAAAAGAAGGTGGAAGACCTAGATTCCTTTTCATTTAAGTAAGGAAAAATAAACAGTTGGGAATGTTTCACCTGATAAGAGAAGTGAAAACTATGCACATGTGTAATGGCCCATCCTTCTTCACCGTATATTTGAAAATGTGTCCTGTATGAAAAAGAGTACCGTGATTCAGGTTTTAAGATTGGGGGAGTAGAGACAAGGAGTAAGGTAACCATTAACGGAGCGAATGAGAGAAAGACAATATGAAAGCAGGTTTTAGTCCAGTAAATTTAAAAAAAAATTTTTTAACACTAAAATGAACTTCTTCTGTGATTTTCCTGTCACAAAAAGATATTTAATGGTAATAATAGCAGCTAAATAGTAATTATTCTGGTACAAGCACTGCATCAAATCCTTTACTTGTGTTGTAATTTAATCCTAGCAATATTTTATGCAAAACACACCAGAAATCATCTTTACTGATACTTATTTATTTTTATTTTTGGAGATGGAGTCTCATTCTGTTGCCCGGGCTGGAATGCAGTGGTATAATCTCAGCTCACTGAAGCCTCCATCTCCCAGGTTCCAGCGATTCTCCTGCCTCAGCCTCCTGAGTAGCTGGGATTACAGGCATGCACCACCACATACAGCTAATTTTTGTATTTTTAGTGGAAGTGGTGTTTCACCATGTTGGCCAGGCTGGTCTCGATCTTCTGACCTCGTGATCTGCCCACCTTGGCCTCCCAAAGTGCTGGGATTACAGGCATGAGCCACCACACCTGGCCAATACTTTATTTAAATAAATATTTGACAACATCTATCCAGTTTAATGTATTCTACAAAAGAAATCCCAAGGACACACAATATTTTCCTTTTAAAATGGTTTAATATATGTGCACATAATATTTTCTATTTTTTCTTTTTTAACTTTATTAATTTTGTTTTTGCTATTATTCTTAAGTTGAATGCTTTCATTATTTTTCAATCTTTTATTTTCTAAGAAAAATGCATTTTAAAACTGCAAAATTTCTTCTGAGTATTGCTTTGATTATGTCCCATTTATTTTGATAAGAGTTCTCATAATTTATTTCTAAATAGTTTTGCTTTGCTTTTATACCCAAGAACATAGAGGGATATTTTATACTTCCAAGTGGACAGATTTATATGTGTGTGTTTATGTGGCTAGCACTTTCATTAATTTCCATTTTTATTGCTTTGCACTAGGAGAATGCAACTTGCATGACCCTGTTTACTTTGGAATTTGTTGATATTTTCTCTGTGGCTCAACATATGAACTGATTTTGTAAATTTCTGTATGTTTTTTAAAATGTGTTGTCTTTTTGAATACCAACTTTTACATATATCTATGAGATATGTGTATGTTATTCAAATGCTATTACTATATAATACCTTCTTTTTGTGTAGTCTTATTTTTTATGCATCATTAGGTTCTCCTTATATTTCTATCAGTTTTGTATATTTCGAAGTTGTTAGATTCATGAAGTTAAGTGACTTCTTAGTTAACTGTCCTTTTTTTTTTTTTTTGAGATGGAGTTTCACTCGTGTTGCCCAGGCTGTAGTTCAGTGGTGCCATCTCAGCTCACTGCAACCTCCGCCTCCCAAGTTCAAGTGATTCTCCTGCCATGGCCTCCTGAGTAGCTGGGATTACAGGTGCCCACCATGCCTGGCTAATTTTTGTTTTTTTAGTAGAGACAGGGTTTCACCATGTTGGCCAGGCTAGTCTTGAACTCCTGACCTCGTGATCCTCCTGCCTCAGCCTCCCAAAGTGCTGGAACTACAGGCGTGAGCCAGCACATCCAGCCATGAAGTATACTTTTAATCAATATAAATATGTCTCATTTTTCCTTTTATGCATTTGGCCTTAAATTCCATTTTATTTTATATTGATACTCTAAAATTAGCTTATTTAAACTTAATTTTAAATTTTTGAATAGTGTTATATTCACAGAGTTCAACCTTGAAAATGTACAAAAGCATATCTAAAGAAGTAGGCTCTTCACTCTGGTATCCCCCAGACACAGAATTTCCCTCCCAAGACACAGTGTTATCTGTATGTTGAATATATATCTGGATTGGGGTTTGGGCAGGGAAAGCAGGCATGTGCTTGAGCCACCATCTTGATTCAGACTGTGAATATTATTCCAGTGGTGTGAATATAGCTAGAATACGTTCTCTTGCATCAGCCTAGAGTTGCAAATTCACATGTTGGGCCCAAGGAGAATGTCCCATGGTCTATCTTAGGCCCTGTAGTCTAGGGAAGCCATTCTGTATTCCAGAACCCACGCCATTTTCTAGCTTGTTGGTGGGGAAGGGAAGTAGGAAGGTGGTAGTGGGTGCAGAATCAGGGAGGTGTTGACATGGATTTGGGCCTTGAAATTACCCATTTTGGAGAAATTTATTTCTTGAAATACCCACTCATGAGAGACTCTCTGATGTTTCAAGACTATTAGGCTCAATGAATAATCAACCAATCAACACTTTTGACTGATACTTATTGTCTTGATGTGGATAATCGTTATAGACACAAGCCAGTTCCTACTCTTCAGAAGCTTAAAATTTAGAGGAGGTTAAAAATATTCAGAAAACAAGTAATAACATGAGGAAACTTAAAACCAAATGTATGCCTCAGGATGATCCTGTTGGTCTTAGAATAGTGGTAAATTCACAGAACTCCTATATACATATGTGAGATATATATATATATACACATATACATACATATATCTCCTTAAATGGAGCATTATTTCCTGCTGGCTTTTCTTCGCACAGAGCATTTGAAACACAGCCCCATGATGTTAATGGGAATCACACCCAAAGTTTGATTTATATTAGCAGACCATGGACAGTTGTACCACAGATGAAGAATTAACTCCTCTCTTTCATTTATCATTTTCTTATTTTTTCCCCATTCTTGATCTTATTCAGTCTTCTTTTTATCTCTCTCCCCATCCCTTTTCTTTCTTTCTTCACTATCCTTCTCCCACTACTTCTGATGAAGTATTCTCAACAAGCATTCTGAACAATCCCTCCTCTGTGGGCCTCCCTCCTGAGAAATTAGGTGGCTGTGTCAATGCCTCTGATGCCTATTTTTACACTCGTGTTTGTCCGGAGTCTGACGTGGTTTATCACAGTCTCTCCAAAGGCCTATTGTTCAGCACTTCAAGAAGAATGTTGTTATATTGACTGTTAGTGCGTCAGCCCGGCTCTCTCTGGAGGAGCTCTTGGATGAAATTAGATAATTTCCATTAGGAGACCGTGCATTATTAGTCCCCAGTGCCAAACTGGAGAATGAGCCAAGATGACTATTTCTGGCCAGGTTCACCTCAGGAAGGAACCTTCTTGGCTTTAATGGGATTTTGCTATTGTTGGTTGCCTTCTGTTTGACACCAGGCCAGCCCAGGGTTGAAAATTGTTTAGAAAGCTGCATGAAATATAATAGAGCCCCAGCCATTTGCTGAGGCACATTCCTGCACAATGTTTATTTTGAAGAAGGGAAAAAAATATATTGTCCTTGGCAGACAACAATTAAAAAAAAAAAAAAGAAAGAAAGAAAGCAGTAACTTGAATCTCTGACCATATGCTTCTTGTTGCCAGTTGTGTTTAAAAACTCCCTGCTGGTATCAGAGAATTTCACGCTAAAGTGATAAATCTTTTGTAATATTTATAAGCATCTTCATTACAGACCCAGCAAGATATGTGAAGTCATCAGGACTTTCAAGTTTGAGGCGGTCTTAAATGGGTGGATGATGAGGAGGGGAGGACTGAAAGAATATTCCAGGCTCACAGTGGTCCCAGTCTGGGCCCCAGATGTCAGTCCACAAAAATCCCTCTGCCCTTCTCTCTGGTAAAAAACCTTTCTCATCCAATTCTAGGAGCTGAGCCTTTGTGAGCTGGTTGTGTTCTGAGCAGAGTTAATCAATAAAGCGGTGGAAGATGGTAGAAATAAAACTCCTATTCAGTCTTAACGACATTCTAAGGATCAGATTTTGATCAGAGTTGTGGTGGGAGTTTTGGGGCTTTTTGATTCAATAAAAATGGCTCATCATCAGAGTTGACTACAGGGCAAAAGTTGTCTCTATTTTGGCACTGCTATGGCAAGAAATGTCTAGGAATATTGAAATATTGGACACTTTTGAATGAAACTGAAAACTGCTTTCCCTAAATTGCTTTCTTACAAATGTGCTTAGTGTTGCAGGCTTAGCCTTCTTTTATTCTCCAGTCCCTTTGGGGCTAAGTGTGCAAGCAAGAAAATGGTAAACACAACAAGACAAAACAAAACCTAATGTGGGGTCTCAATAGACAATCCTTGAAAAAGCAATTAAATTGTATTTATAAGAATTCCTTTGTTGAATTAAAATGGTGTTTCCCAAGACTGTTTAAAGATATAATCTTCAAGTCAAGAAGCCAATTCCATCAATTGACATTTAGATGTCTTCTGACTTGTTTCCTCTCAGTTATTAGGCTTTAGCCTTGGCCTTTTCCTCTTTAGCTCTTTCAATAAATAATATGCACAACTAAGTCTTGACTGTTAACAACAATGGGGGAGAGGGGAAGCAGAGATAATTAAAAGATAATCACCAAAGCTAACCACCAAATCAACTTTTGACATAAATGTCATCCTTTTCCCATGAAATCTTTCATCAGAAATGCTGACCCATGGCCAAACCTCACTGATGGTGGTGTGTGACCCCTGCACAAAAGCAAATGGAGACAGGCAATTCCAAAATGCATGTGGCTCATATATAGACTCTTCTCTGGCTCTGCCTAGATAACGAGGTCCTGTTTTAGCCAGAAGGAGATCAAAGCATCCACGGTGCTAGGAATGAGTTTCACATGGCAGGCAGAATTCTAAGACGATTCTCAAATTCTTGCCCCATGGCAGGTGGAATTCTAAGACGATCCTCAAATTCTTGCTCCATGGTGTACTTGCTGTACATAATTCCCTCCCTATGAGTGTGGGCAAGTCCTGTGAATAGGGTGGGATATCATTCCTGTGATTTGTCTACATTATATTGCAAAAAATGAAGAGATTTTGCAGATGTAATTGAGGTCCCAAATCATTTGATTTTGAGTGAACCAAAAATGAGGTTATTTTGCAAGGGTTTGACTTAATCAAATGAAAGTCCTTAAAGGAGGCATGTGTCCTTCCTCAGGAACGAGGCACTGCCTTAGTCCCTTGGAGCTGCTATGGCAAATTACCACAGACAGAGTGATTTGTAAACAATAGAAACTTATTTCTCACAGTTCTGGAGGCTGGAAGACCAAAATCAGAGTGCCAGCATGTTTAGGTTCTGGTGAGGGCTCTTTTCCTGTTTTGTAGACAGCTGCCTTCTCAAATGACAGAAAGAGAGCCAAAGAGCTCTCTGGAGTTCCTTATATAGAGGCACTAATCCCATTAATGAGGGCTCCATCCTCATGGCCTAATAATCTCTCAAAGGCCCCATCTCCTAATATGATCACATTGTGGGTTAGGATTTCAACATACAGATTTGGGGGAGAACACAAACATTCAGTCCATAACAGATGCTCTCCTGCAGGCTTTTAAAAAGCAAACAGCCATGCTGTCAACTGCCTCTGGAGGGAGGCAGCATCTAGGACTTGAGGACCTTAGTCCTACCATTGGGAGGAACTGAATTCTGCCAATAGCCTACATGAGCTTGGAAGTGGAGCCCAAGCTCCAGATGAAAATGCAACTGGCCAATACTTTGTGCCTTGTGAGACTCTGAGCAGAGGACCTAGTTAAGCCATGGCCAGATGCTTGAATGCTGAAACCATGAGATAGTAATGTATGTTTTACACCACTAAACTTGCTGTAATTTTTTACACTGCAATAGATAACTAATACAACTACCCTGGGGACAACATGACCAGTTCTGAAGGGCTGAAAGCTCTACCTGAGTCTGTTGATGCTGCAGGGCTCCAGATGGCAGTTTATCCATGGGCTTGAACCTACAGGGGGCTGGAGGCTTTTAAGAGACCGTGCCTGAGATCTGTCAATTGCCTTCAGCTGGACGTGGCTAGCTGCCTGGGGTTCCTGAGGTCTTGAGGAAGCATTGACTATTTTCTACTTGAAGCAGCCTTGTGGAGAGTGGAAATGACACAGCATGAGGCCACACCAGTCTGGGCAGGAAAGTGCCTTTTGATATTTATTAACCATGTAACTTGATCAAGTCATTTAAACTCTTTGAATCTCAGATGTGTCAAAGGGAGATAATATAATTTTTAGAGTTATTTATAGAAGTAAATAAATAATATATATTAAACACCTAACCCAGAGACTGGAATATAACATGTGCTAAATCCATGCATTTTCTTTAAACTTAGCTTAAGCGCTGTCAGACAGCCTTAGTTCAATTCTGCCTCTGCTGCTTGCTAGTATGTTACTTAACTGCTCTCTGCTTCCGTATGATCATGAAGAAAATTAAAATCGCATTCGTACTTATTGTATACAGTTGTAAGCATTAAATAAAATAATTCAGGTAAAGCACTTATCATCTGCATGGCACATAGTAATGTTAATACGTGTAGTTATTATCCCTTCACTCCCAATGCCCAAACTGGAATTCTTCACTTCCTCTTCCATAGTCTCATGAACTAATTGAATTTCTAAGATAGCACTTCTCATATTCTCAGATACCTGTATTGTAAGAAGTTGCATGCATTTCTTTCTCTCCCACTCTACCTTTCACTTTATGAGGCAGGAGCCATAATTGATTTATTTCTGCAATCCACCCAGAGCCTTGTCTATCACCTTCCATGTAGCAGATGATCAAAAGCATTAACTTGACTGAACTTTGAATTAAATTGAACAGTGTTAATGGCAGATAAGTACTACTTATGCATCCTAAGAAATGCCAGTGACCTCGTAGAATCTTTTGGTCTTTTCTTCTTGGTAGGTCAAGTTGGACCGGATCAATCTGTCCCTAGCTTTGGTCGAAATATCCCTACATAAAGACTTGTTCATATCATTCATCAATCGACCAACTGAGCATTTATTTTCTGGGAGATGTACATCTATAGCATCTAGTAGATGCTTTGGTGGTACAAACCAAGAGGCAGAAGCCAGATTCCTCTTCTCAGAAACCTCCATGATAATGCAGGGAACACTCTCCTAGTCCAGAACTCCTTTTGCTGTAATGTTGCCCCTGCCCCAGCTCTGCTCATACCTTCTCCTCTGAACTCAGGAGAGACTCCCCAAAACAGCTGCTCGCCATCCTCAGCCACATGAACCTCACATAATTAAGACCCATTACTGAATCACCCTCAGCCCTTGCCTCACTTAGGCTTTGCCTGGAAAACAAGGATATTGATGATGACCTGCCTGGTAGGGCGACTGTGAGAAATAACTCATTAAAATGGCTGCACAGTGCAATGAAAAGGCCAGAGAATAAGATCAAGCAGCTCTCCCTGGCACTCCATTCATTTTCAAGGGAAAACAATTCCGGATCAGAGCTATAAAAAGAATGCCAAAGATAAAGCGAGCCTCTCTCCCCACCTCGGGTTATTTGTTTTCAATGAAGACCCAGGCACTTGCCTGCCTCCTTTTCAGCCTTTATCACAGCACATTTCTCATCTGTTCTTTTATTCATGCTGGGTCATTTTCATTGTCTCCTGATCAGAAATGTTTGATAAGAATCTAGCTGAGTGGCATTAGGAAAATCCGCTGCTCAACAAAGGAACCTGCCATTGTTACCCACGCACTTCAAAGCTCTTGCAATATCTTATTTTTATTTTATTTTTCAAAAGTACAAACAATGTGGTTTGCGTCCTAGACCATCTGTGGGAAAATATATTTCTCCTTAGTTGGATCCTGAACTGCCAATGACTAAAGGTATAGTAATTCATGTTAAGGTTTGTAAAAATGCTTAACAAATTTTTTTTCTTCTAAAATACAATAGCAATGATTAGATACTTGGGTAGAAACCCAAGAGTCAAGATGTCACAACTAGATTGCTCCTGAGTTAATTTAGCATATCTTTATTTATTAATTCCATATAACTGAGAGTGTAACAAATGCAAAGTATTATGATAGGCCTGAGGGGAGCAGAAAGAGCCTATGCTTTTCATAGGAAGGGCCCGACATGTCTACCAAGTATTACGGAAAAGAACAGTAACAAGGGACCAATGAATGGTATAGACAGGCTTCACGATTATGAGGATTACTCTTAACAGTGCATAGGGCTAGTTTAACAGATCAAGTTAGTCAAAACAAAATTGATAATACATTACAGAGAACAGGAATTAAAGGAAATTCTCCAAATAGCAAGGAGGCATAAATTGAAGGGAAATGGTAAAGTGGCTTCCTATGATTCATTCATAGAAGCAGAATTAATTGGGCAAACTCAGCAAAAGGTAGTTATTCTGAACTTTCCTCATCGCAAATACCATCCTTGGCCTTCTCCGGTGACATACTAACACTCACTGGGGTTAGTTTCCTGGACTGTAAGATGTTCCTAGTTCCTATCTCGTTCAAACTATTTTCCCAGCATCTAGCAAGGTGCCTGGTGCACAGGCAAGTATGTGTTTTATGAATGAATCAACTAAAAACCTGAGTCTAAATGGCATCTTGAAAGGGACTCCACATTTTGTTTCCTTTCTTCCACCACCTCCTATTTTTGGGACACCAGTGGCAAATATTTAACTTAATCATATTTTTCTGTCCATGTCATATCATCATCATCATCCCTTGCAAGGCTCCTTTCTTATGTTATTTTACTTTATTATTTTCTCCTTTTATTCTTCCAGCCTGACTTTCATTCATTTCTCTCCCATAAGCACCCACTCCTGGGTATCTACTTTATGTTCTTAGTTAGGTCCATACCTGTAAATATGATGATATTATTGCATATATGTGATTAATGTACACAAATCGTATTTATCTGTGGATCTCGTTATATTCATTACTTTTTCATGCAAAAATATATTTTTGAGATTTAGTCATGTTGTCCTTTCAAGATTGATTGATAAATAAGATAGATGACAGATAAATAATTTAAAAATTCTGACTCTGCATTGTATTCCATTATTTGTGTCTGACATAACTATTCGTTCCTTGGGAAGAGATTTATGGTTGCCTTTAACTCCTCACTATTTCGATTGCCTCTACTAAACAATCCTTTCCCCATGGATTTTGTTGGTAACTTATAATTTTGATACAATTTCAAATTTAAAGAAAAATTGAAAGAATAGTGCAGGAAATGCCCATATACTCTTTACCTAGATTTATTAATCATTTCATATTTTGCCCCATTTGCTTCCTTACTTCCTATTTCTATCTATTTATATGTAGGCATTTTTAATCATTTGAGAGTAAGCTGGAGATATCAGCCCCTTTATCCCTAAATATTTCAATGTTTATTTCCTTAAAAACACAAACATTCTTTTATATGTCACAGTTCCATTATCAAAATCTGGATATTTAACACTGACATAATACAATATGATTATGTAATCTACATTGCATATTCAAATGGTAACATTTGTCCCAGTACTGGGCACAGAGCTATTCTGCTCTCCCAAACCAGTATCCAGTCCAGGATCATGCACTGTGCTGTGTTGGCTTATCTCTTTAACCTCCTTTAATTTGGAACAGTTTCTCAGCCTTTTTTCTTAACCTTGACTTTTCTGAAGAGGACATATCAGTTATTTTGTAGAATATTCCTCAATTTGGGTTTGTCTAAAGCTTCTTGATGTAAGGTGAAAACTGCCATATTTCTCCACTGTAAGGGTAGTATTTTCACCTTCGTAACTAATAAGTAATATTTTGCAAGATCCTTTGAGACAATGTAAATGTTCTTTTCTTCCCTAAATTTTCACTTTTCAGTTTTAGCACCCATTGATAATTTTCTAACTCCAACATTCCTTCTGCTGTAAGGAAGAGCTTGTTCTTTACCCGTATTTATTTATTTATTCATTGACTGACAATATCAATATGGATCAATGGATTTTCATTTTGTCAAATGAGTTTAATTTATTACTATTCAATTATAAAATTATAATAGATTTGGCCTGTGACAGCCACTTCAGGCTAGCTCCAATATGGTTTTAACATATCCTCGTTACTGGACAAGCACTTCCTGACTTTCCAGCACAAACAAGATGTTCTAGGCTCATTGTTGACTTCTGCCCCAGCCCTGGAATCAGCCTTTTCTCCAAAGAACGCTGATTTCTTTTAATGGAAGGTGGTATTTAGAAACCAGGATCTGGGCATTAGATAGAACCATTGCCGCCGATGTGGCATGGCTTTTAGGTCTTTTCAGGTGACAATGGCTAGGAAATATATATAATATATCATGTATTTTATTATACTGATGTTCAGACTGATACCCCTAATCTCAATTCAACAACACAGAGTACATTCTACTCATCCTTCTTGCTGTGTTTGTAACTCCAACAATGGGAAATCTGGCTCCCATTATCCTCAATATTTTTACTCTTTTGCTAACCATTACTACTTCAACAAGCAAACTTCATAATAAGTTTAATGTTTGCTTACAGTTCTTCTTCATATACAATCTTCAGAAGTGAAATGCACAGATTTTAACTGCAGTTTGATGAGTAGTGGTAAATGAAATCACCCATCTAACCACACAGCTATCAAGATATAAAGCATTTCCATGATCCCAGAAAGTTCTTTTGTCAACCACCTTCCCACCAGCAGCCATTTCTTATATTTTATTTTTTTCACCATAGATTTTTGTCTGTTTTCCTGTTCTTGGCCTCATATAAATGGGATCATAAAGTATCTACTCCCTTTTGTTTTGCCTCTTGCTCAGCATGTCTGAGACATTGATCCATGCTGTTGTGTGTTCTAACAGTTCTTTCCTTTGTATTGTTCAGTAGTATACCATTGTATGACTATACCACATTGATCTATCTATTCTTCTATTCATAGACATTGGTTTCCAGTTATTGTCTATTATGAATAAAGTTGCTATAAACATTCTTGTAAAGTCTTTTTGTGGACATATGTTTCACTTCATTAATCTTCCAAAATAACCAATTTTTGATTTTGTTAGTTGTCTCTATTATTTTTCTATTTTGTATGTGATTGATTTCTTCTCTTATCCCTAGCATTTCTTTCTTTATATTTACTGTGGGTTTAATTGCTCTTCTTCTTCTAGTTTCATAAAGTAGAAACTTGGGTTTTATATGGCCTCCCAACGGGCTGGGATTACAGGCATGAGCCACCGCACCCGAATGACTGAATATTTTTTAGCATTCCATTTTATCGCCTCTACTGGCTACTTAGCTTTACCTCTTCGCATTTTTTGTTTAGCAGTTGTTCTAGGGATTGTATATGCATCCTTAACTTATTACTTAGAGCTAATATTGCCTGAAATATAAGAGCATATTGCAACAGTATAATTCCATTTGTCCACTCCCAGCCTTTGTGCTATTGTTACATACATATTATATCTCAATACATTATAAACCCCAAAGAGAGTACTCTAATTTTTGCTTTAAACACTCATATATTTTAAAGAAATGGAAGGAAGAAAAAATACTTTCATCCCACTGAACTCTCTATTTCAACTATTATATTTTTTCTACCCTGTATTTCCATTTGGCTCCTATTCATAATTTATATCTGCTTCTTGTTTCCAACATCCTTTATTAGAATTTTGAAAATACTTATTACATTTATTTATATTCCTGTTCTTCCCAGACCCTTAACTCTGCTTCCTCTGGTATATGTTGTTCAGTTTTTGGCCTTTCTTTACTGATGTTTGTGTTCCTCAGAATTCTCTTTTTTTTTTTTTTTCTTCTGAAATCCTATCAGCTACCATTACTGTTCGTATATACCTTGGAGGAGAGTCAAATGCCTAGATTGTATAGACTCCAAGTGAGTTGGGAAAGGGGCACGCTTCTAAGCACTTCAGGATGATGTTGCATTCTGCTATAATTCCTAGGTATGTAGTAATGCCCAGAACCTCCACTCAGGCACTGCTCTTTTCAGAGGCTGTCTTTCTCTGTGGTAATCTCTAAGCCCAAAGCATCAGCAGGACATTGCTATCATATTGCATATTGCTCTTATATTTCATGCAATATTAGCTCTAAGTGATAAGTTAAGGATGCATATGCAATCCCTAGAACAATTGCTAAAAAAAAAATGGAAAGAGGTAAGTAACCAGTAGAGGAGGTAAAATGGAATGTTAAAAAGGTTTTGGTAAGGGAATCCTCAGAGTGGCCTGTCCAGCAAATCTCTATTGACTATCCTGGTCAGGATCTAGGATCTTATTCTGTTGCCTTTGAGAGGCATAACTATTTTCCTGTCCTATAGGGTCAATGTGGTGGGCAGTGATCCATCCAGATAAATATGAAGGAAAGAAAGAAACCAACTGGCAAGCACTTTCCAGGCATAACTCCAGTATGTTAGTCAAGGTTCTCCAGAGAAACAAAACCAACAGGAGACTAATTGGCTCACAGGATTATGGGGGCTGGCCAAGAAGTCTCAAGGTCAGTAGTCAGCAACTTGAAGACCCAGGAGAGCCGAAGTGTCATTCCAATCTGAGTCCAAACACCTAAGAAACAGGAGAGCTGATGGCGTAAATTCCAGTCCAAAAGGTGGCAGGCTCAAAGCCCAGGAAGAGCTGATGTTTTAGTTCAAATCCAAAGGTAGAAAAAGACCGATGTTCCTGCTCAAATAGTCCGGCAGAAGAATTTTCCTCTTTCTCAGTCTTCAGTTCTAGCCAAGCCTTCAACTGATTAGATGAGGCCCACCCATATTAGGAAAGGCAATCTGCATTACTCAGTCTACCAATTCAAATGCCAACCTTATCCAGAAACAACCTCACAGACAAACCCAGGATAATGTTTGATCAAATGTCAGGGCATCCTTGGTCCAGTCAAGCTGACATAAAATTACTCATCACACCCAAAGTGTCTGTGACATTTTGCCCTCCCCCAGTCTCACCCTTACCATGTCTCCCACCCTCACCATGAAAATCTCTACAGCTTTTCTCTTCATTTTCAGGATCTGGCAACTTCCTCTCACTTCAAGATTGGGCTTTGGGAGGAAGCCAATATCCTGTGCTAGCTCACCACCTTTTTTGAAACTGGAAGCTTTCAAAGCATTTAATTTCTACCTGACATAGGAAACTCCTAATTGTAAGATTACTCTAAGACATTTCTTTAAAAGGTACAGAAGACTCATTAGCAGTTTTCCAACTTCTCTAACCTGAAAGAAGTATGAGAGGAAAGCACCGACTTGTTATTAATCAAGCTGTGTCTGCCTGGTTTTCTGTGGATGTGTTTTGTTTTTAATAAATGACTGCTGATAGTTGAAATTCAATATACTAGCCATAAAAGAAATGTGACAGGTCATGGGCCAAAAGAAGTTAACTGTAGGAAGTGGAAATTTTGAATAAGACAATGAGATTCAGTGAGTGATAAATATAGTGTATCATGTGAGCTTTTAGTCCCAGAAGAAAATAATTTTATAGACTTAAAGTTATTGATGGTGCCAGATTTCCCTTCCCCTGAGGGAGCATTTCCTAGCCTTTCATCCAAACCTTCCCTTACTCCACACCCTGCACTCCTTTTCCTAATGGGTTTCTGAAGTCCCAGTTAGAGAATGCTGCAGGGTGAACGGAGAGGCGCTGTGTGTCAGCCTAAAAAACAAATCCAGAGAAATCTGCCAAGCATCAAAGTGCTGTTAAAACCTGGATCTGGTCTCTGGTGTGGTCTGTTTGTGTTTTATGTTGCATTTCAAGATGTTTGGAGCAGCCCCTTGGTTCTTGAAGAAGAGGGAAGTAGATGAGATTTCAACTGCACTATTACTCATTCCTTTGTCCTGTGGAGAGCAGAGTTATGGCTACTGTTGCAGAAGGAGGCATGATTATGTTTACTCATATATTTCTTTGTGTTTTTCTTCCTACCAGGCCAGGTGGTCTCAGAAGAGGCAACTGGTTGCCAGGAAGCACAGTCTATGAGACCCAGAAGTAACTCTGGAGATCCTCCAATTACCTCTCACTTTACAGTGAAGGAAACTGAGGCCCAGATGGAGTCAGTAGGTTACTTGAGATCTCACAGTTGCAGAAGTGGACTAAAAGCCAGGTGATCTGATTCCTAAACCAATGGATTTTCCATTACACTGAGAATTCACACATGAAGTGAAGTCCTTTAAGACTTTACTTTAAGACTTTCCTTTAAGTCCTTTAAGACTTTCACCTGTTACATAAGAGTATGTTATTCATCTTGATTTTTTTTTTTTAGATGGAGTTTTGCTCTCGTTGCCCAGGCTGGAATGTAAATAGTGTGATCTCGACATACTGCAACCTCTGCCTCCCAGGTTCAAGCGATTCTCCTGCCTCAGCCTCCCGAGTAGCTGGGATTACAGGCACCTGCCACCACGCCTGGCTAACTTTTTTGTATTTTTAGTAGAGATGGGGTTTCACCACATTGGCCAGGCTGGTCTAAACTCTTAACCTCAGGTGATACACCCACCTCAGCCTCCCAAAGTGCTGGGATTACAGGCATGAGCCACCACGCCCGGGCTTTGATTTTTTTTTTTTTTTTAATGAATTAATGGCCTTGGCTTTCAGAGGTAATGCTTTTATTCCTATTTATTTCTACAGTTTGCTCCTTTAAATTACTCCTTTCTTGGTGGTGGGGAAGTTACTGGGTAGAAATAAGATAGCCTAATTTGAAACAATTAGCCTTAGCTTTTATTTTTTGATGCAAGGGTTTATAAAGCCTAAGTTGAGGAAAAGCTAGAGATGGGGCACAGAGACCTGCCCTTGCTTTCCCAACCCTGAACGACACACAGTCAGTGGGTTGTTCACTCAGTTGTCAGCCTATGTGCTTTCCTAGAGCTGCTGTGATGTGTCAAGTTGTGTACAATGCTGGGCATATGAAACTAGAGTATATGATTTCATTCTTCAGGCAGCTGAGAAGACACAACCCAATGAATCAATTTCTTGCCAGCATGTTACATGCCATAATGGAAGTATACACAGGTGCTGTGGAAGCAAAAAAGAGACACCTAGCCCAGGAGACATTGATTATATCACACTCATTCTCATTTACACATGTGTTGGGTCTTAGTTATCTATTTTACCAGCATTCTACATAATACCAGCTCATGGTAGTTGACAAATAATTGTTAAATGAAAGAATGCATAGCTAAGCATTACTGATTTTGTAAATATAGTCTAGAATGGGAAAGGACCCAGTACTTTGCTTACACCCACAGGTAACCAACCAGCAACCACAGGCCTGAATCTGATGCACCGTCTTCTGCTCGTGCCATGGTTTTTGTTTTTGTTTTTTCTTAATTGAGTCATCTTTACTTAAAAATGCTAATTTCCAGCTTCACTTGTAAGATCAGAATATCTGAAAACACTTTACACTTATTCCAAAATGACTCCAACTGGTTGGAGCTAAGTAGAACTTAGAGCCTATGATGATTAATTTTATGTGTTGATTTGACTGGGCTAAGGGGTGCCCAGATAGCTGGGAAAACAATATCTCTGGGTGTGCCTGTGAGGGCGTTTCTGGAACAGGTGTTAATCAGTAGACTGAGTAAAGAAGATCCACCCTCACCAATGTGAATAGGCATCATCCAGCCCATTGAGGGCTCAAATAAAACAAAAGGCAGAGGAAGGGTGAATTCTGTCTTCCGGAGCTGGGACATCTTCCCTTAGATATCAGAGCTCCTGGTTCTCAAGCCTTTGGACTTTGGGACTTACACCATCAGTTCTCCTTGATCTTATGCCTTTGGATTCAGACTTAATTACGTCACTGGCTTTGCTGTTTCTCCAGCTTGCAGACAGGAGGTGGTGGGTCTTCTAGGACTCCACAATTGCATGAGCCAACTCCCATAATAAATCTCTTTACATATCTATCCAATGGGTTCCATTTCTCTGGAGAATGCTGACTAACACAGATCCCCTTCGATCAAGCACGAGCCCTGAGTTGGCCATGGTCCTACCTGTCATAATGAGAGAACTCTTCTCATTTGTGTTATGGGTCCTGGAGGCATTTGATTATTGGTCTGGTCATTCACAGGAAACCCATGTAGAAACAGCAAGCATACCTAGGAAAACTAGGAGAGAATTCCCAGAGTTCTAAGGGCTTATAGAAGTGCAGTGTCAATGAATGCAGGATTGAACCAAGCTGGAGAGAGGGAGGCTGGCCTGCAGAAGAAGATATCCTTTACTGGTACCTGAATTGGCTCCTGCCAAGTTTATCTCTGCTGATGAGGAAGCTTTGCCTCTAGTTTCTCTCCTGAGAAGGGAGAGTTTCAATCAACCTTGGCTTTTCATAAAGGACTTGGGGCTGCTGGCTGAATAGCCTGTGTGTTGGGGTTCACCCATGGGGATTTTCAAGGAGGCCTGAATCTTCTGATCCATCCAATCTCTCATTTTACACTTGAAGAAACTGAGGCTGAGAAAGGGGAAGTGACTTGGCCAAGGCCACACAGCAAGGTCAAGATCCAAGACTAAAACCAATTGCTTCTCTGTTTTGCTTATTACTACAGCACAGAAATAAAGAAATAGAGAATGGGAGAGGAGAGGTAGGTGTGGGGAGGCGATATGAAAACATGGAACAAGTGCTCTGCTTTTAGAATAACTAGAACTTTGAGCCCAGAAGATTTCTTTTCTTTTAATAAATAAATGTTTTATAATCTTACTTCTGTGGCTGGTGGGAAAAAAAGTCCTTCAAGTCCCCAAGGAATGTTAGGAAAACCTCCATTAAATTCTAGTCTTCAAATCTGAGTCATAATAACTATAATAAACTCTGGGAGTGTTTCCTTAGAGTTTCTCTTTTAGGGTGGAGAGGAGGCAGCAAAAAGAATAGGCAAGTTTTCACAAGAAAAACTTGTAAATAGGCAAGTATAACAAGAAAATGTATAAACCGGGATGGCTTCATAATTAGGCATAGCCTAATTGTGCTTATGTGTCTAGTCAAGAAACTCTATCTAGAGTTCCAGGGGAAGAAGGTGTTGGGGATGAGGGAGTAGGATTGGTTTGAGGGTAGTAGACTATATAAGGCATCATGCTCCTTCCCATGGAGGGGATGTATGATGGTTAATATTAGGTGTCAACTTGATTAGATTGAAGGATGCAAACTATTGTTCCTGGATGTGTCTGTGAGGGTGTTGCCAAAGATATTAACTTTTGAGTCAGTGGACTGGGAGAGGCAGACCCACCCTCAATCTGGGCGGGCACCATCTAATCAGCTGCCAGCACAGCCAGAATAAAAGCACACAGAGGAACATGGAAGGAGTAGACTTGCTGAGTCTTCCAGCCTTCATCATTCTCTCGTGCTGGATACTTCCTGCCCTCGAACAACAGACTCCAAGTTCTTCAGCTTTTGGACTCTTGGATTTACACCAGCAGTTTGCCGGGGGCTCTGGGGCCTTCAGAAGGCTGCACTGTCAGCTTCCCTACTTTTGAGGTTTGGGGACTCGGACTGGCTTCCCTGCTCTTCGGCTTGCAGACAGCCTATTGTGGGACTTCACCTTGTGCTCATGCAAGTCAATACTACTTAATAAGCTCCCCCTCATTTATACATCTATCCTGTTAGTTCTGTCCCTCTAGAGAAACCTGACTAATATAGCATGTGTATGTGCTTTTCCCTTTGCTTGGAATGCTTGTCCCCACTCTGACCCTAAGCACCACCACAACCTTCCTTCCTGGAGCTCAGGCTGTTATCCTCCAGGGCTCTGCTGATTCCCTGGGCACCCCGCACTCTGCTTCACAGCACTCATCACATTTGTCACTTGTGTAATTTGTTGCTTATCCCAGGCTTCCGTATTACATGATAAGCTCCATTAATGACAGTGTTGTCTGCCTTGGTTTTGTTCATGATGAGCACAGTGCCTGGCCCACAGTACCAGCTCACTAAGTATTTAGCAAAGGGCTTTATGAGGTCATCCCTGGCTCCAGCACCTCACAATCTTTATGGTGACTGTTCAGAGGGCAGCTAAGCAGAAAAGAAGTTTTCAACAAGGCTGTTTCTGGCCTGTTTTCCCTCTCAGTACTACATGGCAAGTCACGTCTCCAAACTGAGGAGTGTGCCTGAAGAGTCAGGTCTGGCAGAGAAAGGATTTCTTGCCCTAGGTTTAAACAAGCAATGTCAACATAACTTCCAAAGGCATCGGCTGCTTGGAAGAAGTGAATCCCTTGGGTCATTCCCTTGATTATTGTGAACCCGTGGCTGAGCAGGACAGAAATGTCACACAGGTGGACTGAGAACAAAATGATTTCAGATATGGGAGCCCCAAAGTGGCATCCCAAGGACAAGTGCTCAGAATTGCATGACTTGGTTTTCTGTTGAGCTATTCTGTCTTGGATAATTACAGCATGAGCTCTTGGCCAGTGGTGGGAATTAATTGGTTTTAATTCTCCCGCAAAGATTCTCTTAAGTAAAAGTAAAACATTTGCAAACTGGAGTTCTTTGAGTTATTGGTAACAACTTACTTTGCACCTCATAGCACACTGGTTAATAGCCTCCGCCAAATAACTAATATTTAGGCACTTTGCTAATGTATGCAAAGTGCTTTTAAGTATTATGCTATTAAATCTTCACAACATCACAGGTAGGTATTAGCACCATCTTACCTATTTTATGGATATCCAAACAGAGGTCTTCAAAAGTTAGAAAATCTGCACAGTCACAGAGCCAGTGGAGCCACAGCTGAGGCATGGACAGGCTGCTCTCCTACCACCTGCCAGGCCGCTCTTGCCCAGCTCATGAGGTCCAAAGTTTTCTCAACAAACTGCTTGGTGTCGATGTTGTAACCTGGAGCATTGCCCTGCAGCAGAAAGGCAGGCCTGGACATTCGCATGTCAGCATGGGGCGAAGCTGATAATTTCCAGTTGGGATCCAAGAAAAAGAAAAGCTCTCCACATGCCAACAACATTGTTATGAAGCTCTCTTGACCCAGCTACCCAACAGTGATCTCAAACATTTGGTCTCTCCAGTGTGTGTATGGGGGTGGGGGGCAGCTGGGCGTGTAGCCTTGTACACTTTGCACTTGGAGAGGTAGGGACAGGGGTCTAAATTAAGGGAAACCCTGCCCAGGGGCTGGCTTTGGGAAGCATGCCCAGCAGCCATGTGGAAGTTCACTGCATTACGGTGAATTACACCAGGTGGGGTGAGTACAGGACAAGGAAGTAGAAGTCAGAGCCTGCTTTTCAAAATCACCCTGCAGGCTGTTGTCCCCAGAAGAAGAGATCAACCTCAGGGGAGACCAGAGTCCTAAACACAAAACAAAAGAGTAATAAGGGAGGAAGCAAATGAAGTTGCTTATCTCATTTATTTATTTTTCTCTCCCATTTCCGCCTATGCTCCTCCAACTGAACCCCCCCTAGTCTCTGGTTTCCTGGCCACTATCTGGCCAATAACCTCCACATTAGCATCCCCAGCCCCTCTGTGCCCCCTGTAATCTCTTCTCCAGGCTTTGCTGAGGACTGTATTTACTGCCACACAGGATTTCCGTAGGTGATAACAGCAGGGCCTGGTTGGCTTGACCCTCTGTTCAGAGCCAACCCTTGGCTTCTTATGGTGTCCTCTTACAGCAAGGGAAGAATCTTAGTTTCTCCCAAGAATGTGACTCTCTTTAAGTGTCTTACCTACACTCAACAACTAAGCAAGCCTCTTGATGAGCAGCCCTTCACTCTCACATCCTCAACACTGTGGACTGAGAATTTACATTTTTTTAAAAAGGCAGGGCACAGTGGCTCATGCCTGTAATCCCAGCACTTTGGGAGGCTGAGATGGGAGAATCGTTTGAGGCCACAAGTTTGAGACCAGCCTGGCCAACACAGGGAGACTCCATCTCTACAAAAAAATTTTTAAAAATTAGCCAGGCATGTGCTACTTGGGAGGCTGAGGCGGGAGGATTGCTTGAGCCCAGGAGATCGAGGCTACAGTGAGCTGTGATCACACCACTGCACTGCAGCAGCGTGGGTGACAGAGCAGGACCCTGTCTCTAAAAAAAAGTAAAAGATAAATGTAAAATCAGGTCTGTTCTGCTCTGTATGTGTATGGGTGCCCCACATGGAGAGCCAAGAGACATAAGAGGTGCTGAGGGGAATTTTCCAAGGCGGGTCACCCACTTACAAATCTCTAATCTGGGGACTGGATTGTGGGACGGACCTGCAGAACCCACCCCTCCAGGACTCTGACAGGCATCGTCAATCCAGGTCCCCACAGGAAGGGGACCCTTGATGGCCATTCTCATAGAACATGTCCCCACCCTACCACATTCGCTCACCACAGGCTGCTAGCTTTTCACTCAGAAACATATGTGCCTTACAGGGTGATGTGTTCTGTTTTTTAACTTCCTACTAATGTGTAATGCACATTCAGACAAGTACACAAGTCGCAAGCTCAATACATTTTCACAAAGTGGACAGACTTGGGTCATCAGCACCAGATCAATAACAGAGTATTTCCCATGGCCAGAATCTCTTGTCTGCACCTGGCCCCATCACCGCCCACCTCCTTCCCACCCAGTGTAACCACTGTCCCGACTTTGAGCACCACACATCAGGCTTGCCTCCCAGGGGTCACTCTTTAGAAGCTGATTCCAGAGATGCACAGAAGACTTTACTTTTTCTTCATCAGCAATGCCTGAGGCTGGGGAGGCTTGTGGAGCCTGATCTGGGTGTTCTGTGTTACTTTTAACTGTCAAGATCCCTAACACCTTAACACCACGTAAACCAGAGGAATCATAGGGACAGGATTATCTCAGAGAGAAACACAGCGGTGGGCAGCCGGCCAAGTGTGGAGGAAAGTGAGATGAGATCAACAAGAAGGCATTGTCAAGAGTCAGGAGCTGCAAGAGGTCGGGGCCCCCAGGGACAGACTGCAAAGAAGGCAGGAAACTTAAATATATGCTCATACTTTTACCAAAAGGAGAGAGAAAAGAATTCCAACCCCTTCCTGCAGTCTTCATCCCATCATTGTATCTTTCAATTTCTTCCCCATTCTAGAGACACTATTGTAAGCAAAGCCACACCCTCTACCTCTTTAAACACCCATTGCACAATAGAAATATAATGTGAGACACACATAATTTTTTATTGCAGTAAAAGATACATAACATTTACTATTAGTGGCATGTAGTGCATTCACAATATTGTGTAACTGACACCACTATCTAGTTCCAGAACATTTTAATCATCACAAAGGAAACCTCGTACCAATTACACAATCATTTTCCATCCTCAAAACCATGGTTAGATGCTACAAAGAAGGTGGCAATGCCGAAGTTATATGAGTGTTGTACAGGCCTCTTCCATCCTTGTCAAGGGGAATGCTAACCTTCTCTTCTTTATACAACACTCACATATGTAATTTAAAATTTTTTAGTAACCACATTAAGAGGTGAAAAGAGACAGATGAAATTAATTCTAATGCTTTCTTTAACCTAATATTATATAAGCTATTATCATTTCACATGTAATCATTATACAAAAATTACGAAAATAGCTTACATTTTCACTTGTACTGAGTTTTTGAAATTGGGTGTGTATTTTACATACACAGCGCATCTTAATTTCTACTGGCCACGTGTCAAGCACTCGATGACCACACGTGGTTAATGGCTACCATGTCAGACAGTGCAGCTCTAAACAATTCATAAGATGCTATCAACATCCTAAATCATCTTTTTAAAAAGTGATTCTTACATATGCAGAGATTCTAGGCTATGATTTTGATATAAATTTTATGAATTTTAATTAACGACATTTTAAATGGAAAAATTAATTTTAACATAGGCTGGGCACAGTGGTTCAAAACTGTAATCCCACAGCATTTTGGGAGGCCAAGACACGTGGATCACTTGAGCCCAGGAGTTCAAGAACAGCCTGCGCAACATAAAAAACCTCATCTCCACAAAAAATACAAAATTTAGCCAGGCAGAGCTGGGTCCCAGCTACTCATGAGGCTGAGGTGGGAGGATGGCTTGAGTCCTGGAGGCGGAGGTTGCAGTGAACTGAGATTGCACCATAGCACTCCAGCCTGGGTGACAGAGCGAGACTCTGTCTCAGAAAAGAAATTTAATATAAATTTACTTTCTTAATTATAAAAAATAAAATATTTGGAAGCTACAGAAAGAAAAAGTAGCTGTAAGTCCTAAAACAAGGGCAAGGGTAATCACTTTTTAGCACCAGGTGTGTTTAGGACTTCTTTGTGGTTCTTTGCTCATCATATAGCAAATGAAAACTAAATGCCAACACAGCCACTCACCCAGAGACAAACATGCAGACGTCCAAAGGGTCATGACTGTCAGCACACAAAGCCAGGCAGGGTGACCCCTGAGGACAGCGGCAGATTTGTCCCATGGCCTGACAACCCTCCTATTTCATCAGCAATTTTCTAGCAAACCAGGAGCTTGCACCAGCCAAATCTAGAAATCTGGACTCAGCCCAGCATCATGGGAAGCTGCCCTGGCAGTTTTAGGGGATGCAGTTGGTCCCTTCCACGAGGGCCCTGTGGAAGATACACCTAGAACGGTCACACCTTTGCGCCTCTGCAACCATGTGCCTGAGTGTCCCAACTCCGCCACCACCGGAGCTCCCTCCCTTGTGCTGCCTTATGCTTATGGGGGTGTCCATGAAGACTCCTTTTATCAGGAAGTCTTTAAAAGAAGGGGAAATGTCCCTTTTGTTGAGGACTCAGGCGGGAAGAGGAGTGAAAGCAATGGCTGAATTCCCTCCCATTTCAAAACTCCTTCCAACCTTCCAACCTCCAGATCTTTCCAGCATTCTCTCTCCCACACATTTGGACCTAAGCTTAAAAATATGACCTGGGTAATGAGGAGGTGAGTTAACTAGTTTGTATCCAAGAGCCTTTCCAACCCAAACATTCCAGGGTGTTAGGATGCCATTCATTCCTCCACCTGACACACATACAGACACACACACACACACAGAAATCCACACGCTCTGCCTGAGTCTCCAGTTCCACCCCATAGAGAAGCACACAAAGAAATGAGAATAGGTCTCCTCAGCCCTGCTAACTCACAGGAAATACAGATGGCTAAAAAGAAGCACTGTTATTTAGCATCCATGCTCAGAAAGAAGGAAATCTAGCAGAAACCAGAGCTGGTATCCAAGAATGCAAAAACATTTTTGGGGGGATGCTTCATGCCACAATGCCCCAAGTTGGAAAAAAATGTGCCATTTCATATGTTTATAACAACATCTGATTTAATATTATACAGTTTTGCTTAGTCACAAACCAGAACAAATACTGTCAGATTTATTACATCCTTCTATTCTGAGACTTAAGTAATCATAGTTAGCAATGGAGCCATTCCACAGCTTAAGGGAAAGCTTTACAATTCTTTGGGACCTATGATTCCTGAGAGGCAGGTTATTTCAAGAATTTAAGGTTTTAAAGCTCTCAGTGGAGCTTGAAATTCATCCCTTACATTTCACATGAAAAGAGTTTCCTCTGAAGCTTGGCTAGGAGGGAGGAAGAGAGGAAAACAAGTTGACACAGACTCTCACTGAGCTCTTAGAGAATGGGGCCATCGTTCATCAACATTCCCAATCTTTACCTTGCCTTTCTTTAAAAAGAAAGAAAGGAAAGGAAGAGAGGAAGAGAGAAAGAAAGAAGAAAGAGAGAGAGACAGAGAGAGAGAAAGAGAAAAAGAAAGAAAGAGAAAGAAAAAGAAAGAAAATACCATTGGCACTCATGCTTTTAAAATCGTTAATGCTGTATTTGGGACCCCCTTATCTGTTGATTCACTAAAAGAAACTGGTTGGTTGTTATAAGGAAATTAAATTTTCTTACAAAACATGCTTTCTCATTTACTCCCCCACACATGCATGCACACACGGTCATTTGTTACATGATATGTGGACAATCGTTAAGCCCCAAGCATTGCCTCTGCTTGGCTGACAAATTCAGGATTCGTTAATGATGTGGTCATTGACTTTGTTGCGTGGAGGCTCAGGTTGTGGGTTTGGTGCCTTCAGAGCTTCACTCCCTTTCAGGGCATACACGATCCTCTGCTGCATCCAAAAGTGGGGCTGTGGTCCCCTGAGGGCTGGGGGAGGTGTGTTTGGATCAGTGTGACCCCATCACTCAAAATGAGCACATCCATGCTTAACCATGAAGTAGTCTAATGGGTTCCATTTTTCTCAGAAAGCCAGAATTTGTTCCTCCAGTATTTCTTTACATACCACTAAGAAGAATGTCAACATTAATGTGGGGTGAGTAGGAGTGATGGAAACTTGGTCTACAGAAAATCAAGTAAAAGTTTTGAAGAGCTTGGAGTCTTTATAAAAATGAGAATTTCTAGGTTCCATTGCAGAACTACTAAATCAGGATATCTGAGAATCTGACACAGGAATCTACCCATGGTTCACAGGTGATACAAATACACACACCAGTCTTAAAGGTCCTTTCAGTAAGTCATAAGCAATTGTTTTAAAACAAGATTGTAGGATCAAACCAGTTTCCGGATGAAGGTACTACCACACTTTGAATTCATTCTTGCCAACTTATTTTGTAGCATTGCCAGAAGGCACAAGCCTTGAGTTCTAACTCTAGCCCATCACCTATAATGTGGACAAGTTAGTTAACCTCCCCAAAGCTCAGTGACATGCGTTATGCATTCAGAAGAAGAATGATGATACGTAAGCAGCTTACAAAAGACTTTCACATCTATCCTACCTCACTGGGTCATCAGCAAGATCTAATCATATAGAGTGGATGAAGGTGCACTGCAGGTTTCATGGCACTTTACAAATGCAAGGTACACTGGGTTTTGTTTGCAGGTTTTAGTTTTGTTTTGTTTTGTTTTGAGATCAAAATATCTGCTTTTTTTCTGATAGAAATTCCATTGCTTTTGTATTCCTAAACTACATCCTCCAGCCTAGGTTTTATCAATAATACTGAATCCCAATATTGAATTTATCTCCCCAGCCTTGCACAAAACTGGAGAACTACAGGTATCTCCCAACTAGGGAAGGGTCTTTTCTGCCAAAATCACCACTTGGACCAAAGGGACCAGGGTCCTAGCACCTTGAAGGCAGCAAGAGCCCAAGTAGAAAAGAGAAGGAGAAAGAGCAGAGCTCAAACTCACTGCTTCCAAATTTACCAATCAGATCTCCCCCAAACAAGAGAGTGTGAGGAGGCAGAGAGGGGCCAAGACTAAGGAATGTCTCTTCATTTGGACATACGAGGGATGAGTGTGATTATAACACATTTATTGTAGCTAAGTTATCTGTATCCCCAAATTCCTCAATTTTTTGTTCTTTGAGCCCATTGTGCTTACACATTATACCCAGTCATATATAGGTATATATATTATAGGGATAGCATCTTCAGAGAGGGAATAAACTCCTACCCCCATCTCCAGTGTCACTTCCATGTAGATCTTTCTAGAAAGGTACTGTGTGTTTTTGCCCCATAAGGTTCTGAGATGGGCCAGTACAGTACATTGTGTTCTTCAAGGCCTTTCTGTAGTCAAGATAAAAATTGTCGATCCTTTTCTATTTTCCATCTCAAATTATGTCCAGACATCACACTGCCCAACAGAACCTATCAGAGACTGTGCAGCAAAATCAAGTGATATCACAAAGGTACCTCAACAATAAAATGACAATAAGATGCTCTAGATTTGAACATAAACCCCTCTAACACCAAATTACCAAGGAGTCTGAAGTCCAAAATTAAATTCCAAGTTAAGGGCCAAAAAAGGCAAAATGAGAAATTAAAATCTGAAGTTAAATCATCTCACTCTCAAGTTCAAAAACATTACATTGCAATTTCTTATTCTTTTTGGTGTCAGCAAGAAGAGTTCTGAATGGGCTGCGTGGGATCGGTGTTCTTTCAGCAGCAGTAGCCTAGGATGCCTTTCCAGGAAGGGACTTTAGAGTTGGGATTAACGCAACTCCAAGTCTCTGAAGTGTTGTACCATTTTAAGTTATTTTTTAATTGTGGTAAAATATATGTAACATAAAATGTACCACCATAACCTCCTTTTTTATTCTTTTAAAGACAGGGCCTCACTCTACCACCCAGGCTGGAGTGCAGTGGTGTGATCATAGCTCGCTGTAACTGTGAACTCCTTGGCTCAAGCTATCCACCCACCTCAACCTTCCAAGTAGCTAGGGCTAAAGGCATGCGCCACCATGCCTGGCTAATACTTTCATTTTTTGTAGACATAGGGTCTCACTATGTTGCCCAGGCTGGTCTTGAACTCCTGGCCTCAAGTGATCCTCTTGCCTTGGCCACCATAACCATTTTTTTTTAAGTGTACAGTTCAGGAGTATTAAGCACGTTCACTTTGTTTTGCAACCAATCTCTGGAATTCTTTTCATCTTGCAAAACTGAAACACTATACCCATGAAACAACTACTCCTCATTCTCCATTCCCCCATCCACTGGCAACTAGCATTCTACTTTCTGTTTCTATTTTATGTCTAGAACAGTGTGACTGCTCTAAGTACCTTATATTAATGGAATCATATAGTATTTGTCCTTATATGACTGGCTTATTTCACTTAGCATAATGTCCTCAGGGTTCATCCATGTTATAGCATGTGTCAGAATTTCTTTCCTTTTCAAGGCTGAATAATATTCCATTGTATGTATAGGCTACATTTTGTTTATCCATTCATCTGTCAGTGGACATGGGCTATTTCCATTTTTTTTTCTTTTACTATTGTAAATAACGCTGCTATGAAAATGGGTGCGTGTACCTCACTTTTTAAATTGCTCAAGAAGTTCAAACAACACAGGAGATGATCACAGCACAAATTTAGAAAATAATCCAGTCCCCAGTCCCAGAAAATTTATCCAGGCAAAACTCATTCCTAAAGCCCAATACTTGGTGTTGCCAAAAACGACAGCAGATTCAGAAGGGAAAATCGCTTTAGAAGATTCTTCAAAGGGAAAAAGGGTAAATGGTTTTAAATGAAGTGCTCTTCATTCATTGCCAGGTGACCATAATCCTTGGAGAGGCTAATTATGGCACCATTTTTGTTTGTTTGTTTGTTTTTTGTTGTTTTTTTTTTACCATATCTGGGGGAAATGAACTCATTCCTGTAAAGAGTCTGCTCTGACAGTAGCATTTGAGACATTACTGCTTTAAATGCATTTTCATGGTTCAAAATAATAGCACTATTAAAAAATGTTTCTTCAACAAGGATTTGTTTTCTCCCTAAGAAGCTTAATGTGGACACTACAAATAATGACCAAAGCTGCTGAGTATGGCATAACAAAGAGAAAACAAAGCACTCATCCTGTCCTCCAGATCATGCCCAGAACACTGTCTACCAACATGTGGCTTGCCAACTGGAATGATGCAAATGTCAGACCCACATCTGTGGAAAAGGGGCTCGTCCCACAGGAAACAAGCTATTGGGGAATGGGGAGAATGATATAATTAGAAATTTAAGACACAGTATAACTCAGAAAAATGTTGGCTGGGCAGCACATTGCTAAGACTTGAAATCTTTATTTTGTTCTCTTTTCAAAAGCCCTGTGAGCATAATGAGCAGAATATAGCTTTAAGAACTAAGATTCACCCCATCAGGCATTAATGGTGTCCAGAAACTATGTGAACAATCTTACTTGACATCCCCAAGACATTTATATCTGTCCAATGCAAAATCAGAGGGGGGAACATGTTAATTTTCTCAGCCTTTTGATAGCATATATACAAGATCTCTTAGCCCCACAAAAGCTCCAGATATATTCTCTAGGACTTCGACTGCCTTAAAATATAGACTTGCATTTATCTTGGCCACATTAACGAGATCTGTTTGACCAATACATTTATATTTATGATGACTGAGGGCAGATTATGGTTGTTAAAATTTGTCCTTGGGACATGAAAACACTCTTCTGTCATTAATACATTTTATAATATAAACTATGATGTCAGGTCAACATAAAGGGTAAAAACGTTCCTAAAGTATGCACACATCATTTTTTAAAGCAATTGAGCCTAATGGAATAACAAAGGTCATCATAACAAACCATTACAGCCTTGGTCTTGGCAACTCTGGCCACAGAAGAACCTCCAAGAAACGATCATCATTCCTCCAATGTTATGGCATCCAGACGACAGGAATGGCTCGCAAATGAGTCATACGGGCTCAGATCCGCGGTAGCTATGTGAGCGCTGGACGATCAATTATTCATGTGTTTACAAAGAGCTTTCCCGGTTGATGTTAACCAGAGCTGCCTGCAACGAAGAGCTCTCCAGCTGTCCTCGGCCGTCCTGGGCCTCGGACTAACAAGCGGCTTTAATTGCTGGGCAGGTCATGTGGAAGGTGCTCCTCCCTTCAACCCAGTAAATTCAATCTCTCTGAGACTTTGTTAGGTGTAAAAATGTTAATCAGAAATAATTATAACAACAATAGTTTATTTACAGTACTCCCAGTAAATTCTAAAGAGGGAGACAAAAGTTAGACTTAACTTAGTTCCCACAGGGATCCACCAGGATTGGAGACTGACCAATACCAGGTCAGGGATTGGTAGAGGGCATAACAAATGCCAGGGAAGGGGAGGGACTAGGGGTTGTGGGTTTCACAAGGAAGGTAAGAGGAAGAGCAGTCTAGGATGCTCTGTAAAGGTAAAGGAGCATGACTGAGGACCAGCAAGGGTGAATGCACTAGACTGGCCAACAAATAACCAAATGTGAGTGAATTTGACCTGCCTATCAAAAATGGCCTTGGAAGAGGCTGAATGGGAAGTCACTTCTCAGTCCTTTTTGTTACTTTACACAACCTACAGCCTGTCCAGGAAGAATAATAATGTAATTAAGGCAACTCTTCTCTCTGAGCCAGGCCACAGAGCATGGGAGCAGGTGCCCCACCACCCAATTCCTCAGCTGTGTTTGGAGGAAGAGCAGAGTTATAGTCAGAGCTGTGGCCCAAGCCTCTTCCTGTGAAGAGAGTGTGGTCAGAGCAGACCAAGGGATGCCTCAGGGACTTTTTTACTATCCCAATTCCAAGAACATCTGTGGTACCGAGCCAGATTCTTCCTCTTGCTTGAAATTGGGTAACTTTAGATATCATCATAACTCATTCATCCATTCAGAGAAAGTGGTTGAAGCAAACAATCTCTGTTCTTGCAGACAGCAAAGCACAGTAGTGCTTTGTGCAGACATAGATAGAGTCAGGGCCATAGGACTTCTGAGGTAATTCTGCTTTGTAGGGTGGAAGGCAACACTAGTTGAGAGGACTTGCAACAGAAAGGAAAAGCTAGGGCCGGGCGTGGTGGCTCACAACTGTAATCCCAGCACTTTGGGAGGCCGAGGCGGGCAGATCACGAGATCAAGAGTTCGAGACCATCCTGAACAACATGGTGAAACCCCGTCTCTACTAAAAATACAAAAATTAGCTGGGTGTGGTGGTGTGCACCTGTAGTCCCAGTGAGAGGTGAAGCCAGCTGGACTTCCTGGGTCTAGTGGGGACTTGGAGAACTTTTCTTTCTAGCTAGAGGATTATAAATGCACCAGTCAGTGTTCTGTGTCTAGCTAAAGGATTGTAAATGCACCAATCAGCACTGTAAAAACTCACCAATCGGCACTCTGTGTCTAGCTAAAGGATTGTAAATGCACCAATCAGCACTCTGTAAAATGGACCAATCAGCACTCTGTAAAATGGAGCAATCAGCAGGACATGGGCAGGGACAAATAAGGGAATAAAAGGTGGCCACCCCAGCCAGCAGCAGCAGCCCATTTGGGTCCCCTTCCGAAGCTTTGTTCTTTCGCTCTCCACAATAAATCTTGCTACTGCTCACTTTGGGTCCGTGCCACCTTTAAGAGCTGTAACACTCACTGCGAAGGTCTGTGGCTTCATTCTTGAAGTCAGCGAGACCAAGAACCCACCAGAAGGAACCAACTCCAGACACACCAGCTACTCGGGAGGCTGAGGCAGAAGAATTGCTTGAACCTGGGAGGCAGAGGCTGCAGTGAGCTGAGATCTCACCACTGCACTCCAGCCTGGCAACAGAGTGAGACACTGTCTCAAAAAAAAGAAGAAAAAAAAAAAAGAAAGGAGAAGCTAGCAGAAGAGAAACAGGGCACCCCTCCCTGGTGCATGAAGCATCCTGGAGCACTTTCATCACAGGTGGTTTTGTAACTTACATCACAGGTATTGCTGTAAGGGCAAGGTTAGAGAGAGTTTGGTTTCCCTTCCCTCACCCTGATCCACCCTATCCATCCAAAAATGCATGTTTGGAAAATGATCCCGAAGAAAGAGAGTGCTTCTCCCTAAGGCCCACAACAGGAGAGCTGGTCTAAGACACTTCTCCACACCTCCTTTAACCTATCAAGTCCCAGTTCCATCCTTTTACTCCAGCAAGAGGGGCAAGGGAGAGGACAAGGGGAAGTGTCCCAAGATAGGTCTCCTTCACTTGGCGGGAACTTTTAACTTCTTCAGTCTTCCCATGAGTGCACCCCTCCTGCTAACTGGGATTCCTTGGCTCACTGGCATTCTGCCTAGAGATCAGAGGATCATTTCTCAAAAGACAGTCAAAAACAGACCTTTGGGAAGGGCAGCATTAAACACAGATGTCTTCATGAAGGCCTCTCCAGAGCCTTTTGCCTTTGAAGAGAAGTGAGGCACGCAGGACTTTCCAAACTTACTGGTCCATGGAATTGTTTTTAGAAGCATCCCGAAAGGCAAACTTTCAGAATTCCATGGACCAATAAAACACGGGAAATGCAGTGTTAGGGTGTGGTAGCAACACTCCGATTATACCCACAATCAAGGTCTGGTCTGAGAGCCACTCTGTCATTTTCAAGGAACTTTAATGTATCTGTTCTCCACCATCATGGGTTGCTTTAATTTGATACACTCTTGGAATGCTGGGAGCACTTGCCTGGAATTTCAGCCTGCCATCACTGTTGGTGACAGCCTCATAAATGGTTTCCCGAAGTCCCATTTGGCTAGTCTAATTTACCCAACCTCCCCATGCACTCTTACCAAACTGGCAGACCCTCACAAGCTCATCTCCTCACCATGCCCCGTTATCAGTAAAGGGAGAAGGAGAGGAGGAGTATTTCTCCCTATAGGACAACGGCCTGAATTCCAACAGCCTCCCCTTCCCCAATTTCTTTCTGCCTTCGTGTGTATAAGTTGCTGCCCTCGTCTTTCGGTTGGAAGTTTCTAACATTTTCTGCAGGAGAGTCACAAAAGCAAGCCTTTAGGCAGCCCCTCCGGAGCCTGGCCCACATTGTCCTTTTCAAGACCTCCAGCTCTGAGTTTGTGACTCCCCACTGTGGCTGCAGCATAAGTTGCCACACAGAGGAGATGCCCACCGAGGGTGGATATTTTGGCCTGATCTCAAACATCTGTCATTTGCTGTTGTAAGATCTGAAAGTCTGGGATGGCCTACATTCCTGATTCTATATTTCAAGTGGAATAGTGTGCAAATGCTCAGTATCCAAAATAAATGGGATATCAGCTTTGTCTCTGGCATTAACCAACTCATTAAATATAAAATAAACACAAGTAAATGGCCTTTAAATCTCACTGACAGAAAGCTTGGCAACTACTCTGAGATTCTAGAGGTCACTGGAACTTCTCTCTTCAAACAGGAATCTTCCTCACACTGTGAGGCACAGAAGGACAGGTCTGCCCAGTGAGGAGGGTTTCTGGGTGCTCCCTTCCACGTGGGTGCTGCCCTGCAGAGCTAGCTACCCCGAGAGCCTGTCCATGGAGAATGATGGTTACTGCCCGGACGGGGCACAGAGAAGTGGCTGTTAGTTCTTACAAGTGGTTAGAAATTCAGGACTAAGGCTTTCACTTGCCACTAATTATAAATACCTAGGAAGAGCCACCAAACCTTGGGTTTCTGATTGCTCCCTACCTATTGGCTATTCCCAGAGAGCCCATATTCACATGGTTTCCTAAATCCTGTGTACACTCACTCTCCCACGGGTCCCCCGGTCCCATTAGTAATGCTACTTGCTGAACACTTCGCTTTGTCTCAATCTATCTGTAGTTTCAACATCAACTGGACTTGTTGGGGAAGGTGATGGCCCAGGTTCTCTGGAAAATTGATGTAATTATTCACCTCATGCCAAGCATGCAGAAAACAAACTGTAATAATTCACCAACCATAAAACAAGCACATGCACCTCTTTGCTCAGAACTTTACTTCAGGGCTCAGCTAGATTTCAGCGATTACTGACCTCTTTTATAAAATCAAAGTGAAAAATGTGCAGCTTTTGGTAAAAAGCATGTTGACTTGATAGTCCTTCAAACATGGGTGCTTGCCTGGGAGGCTGTGGGTGAGGAGGTCCATTATGCAGAAGACCCAGCTGTGGTCAGGTGTCAGAATTACTGGCTTTGCCCATTCACCTCAGTCAGCTTTCTTTTTTTTTCCTGTTTCTTTTTTAGAGATAGGGTCTCACTCTATCACTCAGGCTGGAGTGTAGTGGTGCAATCATAACTCACTGCAGCCTCAATCTCCCGCTCCTGGGCTCAACCAATCCTTCTACCTCATCCTCCCGAGTAGCCATAGCCAGGACTGCAGGCACACACCACCACACCGAGTGCATTTTAAAAACATTTTGTAGCGACAGGATCCCATTATATTTTCTGGGCTGGTCTCAAACTCCTGGGCTCAAGCCATTCTCCCACCTTGGCCTCCCAAAGTGCTGGAATTACAGGCATGAGCCCCTGTGCCCAGCCTCAGTCAGCTTTCACAGTCTAACTTTGTGCCAAGAAGTTAGTAAGATCTGAAACTAGTCAAAGTAGCTTCCATTTATTCACAGTTTTAAAAACATTTTTCAAGTTTAGTCAACTTCCCAATATAATCAAAGGACAAAATGGCAATAAAAAATATACTTCATCAGATCTTAGAGTTATACAATCAGTTAAAAAATAGATATTGGGTTTTAAACAACTGACATATGCTTTCCTTTTCCCCCTTTAAAGGTTTTCAGTAGTCTATCTGAAATCACTGAATCACTTTTCTTCTCCTCCACAGAATTCAGAACTTTTTCACCCGGAACTGGAGAAGGAGCACTCCGTCATTAGCTGAGGGGAATGGCAAGGATCCAGGGGTCCTCCATGACTACACAACCATCCTCCTGAGCACCTTTAGGAAATCCAATGCTGTCTGAGAAGCAGCAGGGCCAGATCCAGATCTATGGAAAATTAATATCTGCAGTGCTTCCTGAAGGTCACCTCAGTCTTTATGCCATTTCAAAAGCTAGCCCGGGGCTTGAGAAGAAAAGGGAAGTGGCATTCCAGCCATATTTGGGGTGCAATTTAATTTTCATTGCGTACCTCATGAACAGGGGCAATAACACATTCTAGGATATTCTTCCAGCCCACCCACTCTTCCTCTTTCTCTTCTTCTCTTTCTCTAACGAGTGGTAGTGACAGGATGCAAGTCTGCGCTCTTGGTAGATAAACGGAGAAGCAGGAGAAAGAACTATTCCATAATCAGTTAAACGGGGAGTTTTCAGAATCCTGTCTTGTCATTTAAGTGACTTACTGAAGTCCTACTAAGTTATTGAGACTATATTTCTTTACTTTTTGCACTGGGACATTGAAGCATTGAGACACCAGAAGTCCAAAAGACGAAAAATGTGAAAATCACAAATTTAAAGAAAATGTAGAGGTCTCAGTTCTGAAACACCATGCTTCAAGTGTTGTCATTTTTGAGAACATTTTTAAAAGGCATCTAATATTCCAGGACATACGGTTCCCATTACTGGCCCAGCAGGTACACAGGGTCTCCCACTTTGATGGTCCCTGGGTTTTCCAGCACAAAATACTGCCCAAAGAGTGGTGATTTTCCATATAACTTTCGTTCTGAAGGGTCACACTGGCGATAACTGCAATAGGAAAAGATCATGATGAGTCACAGCCAAGCGGATGCAAGAGCTCAACCAGCACGTGGCTTCCATCCCACACAGGGCCTCCGCACGCACAGCTCGAGAGGGCACCATCCCGTCAAAGCTCAACAGAACAGCGCCTCCTGGAGTGGGGCAGTGAACAGCCTGCCCAGCAAACAACGACAGAAGCATAAGCAATGGCCACATCCCCACATCTTTTCTCTACCTTCATGTTCCCCCTTTCGGCATTAAGACGTTAGATACTTGGCCAGGTGTGGTGGCTCATGCCTGTAATCCCAGCACTTTGGGAGGCCGAGGCTGGCAGATCACAACCAGGATGGAGATCAAGACCATCCTGACTAACACGGTGAAACCTCATCTCTACTAAAAATACAAAAAATTAGCCAGGAGTGGTGGCAGGTGCCTGTAGTCCCAGCTACTCGGGAGGCTGAGGTGGGAGAATGGCATCAACTTGGGAGGCGGAGCTTGCAGTGAGCGGAGATTGTGCCACTGCGCTCCAGCCTGGGCAATGGAGCAAGACTCCGTCTCAAAAAAAAAAAAAATTAGATACTCAATGTGTCTAGACATACTTTATCATCTTCCTTTGCCCTAGGCATCTTTCCTCCTGTCTCCTCCATGTCTGTCACCTGAACCACCATCCTAGCCGTCACTTGGGCTGGGAGCCCATCCTTTACACCACTGTCCTCTCTTCCCACAGCCTGTCCGCAGCTGCCGAGTTCCAAGGTTCTTCCTGTACAACATCATTTGACTTGGCTTGCTTTTCCTCATTCCGACTGTCACGATCTTGCTTCCAGCATGCTCAGACTATCATAATAACTTCTTAACCAACCTCTTTTCCTCATTCTCTACCTGTTTTCAATTCATTGTTGACACTGCACTATATCACTGTTTTAATTGTGTTCTGGTCTTATCATTCCTAGGCTCACAAACCTTCCGTGGCTCTCCAGTGCCTAAAGAATAACATTCCAACTATTCAGCCTGGTATGTAGGGCTCTACCTGGCCCCAGCCTGCTTTTTCAGACCTGTTGCCATCTGCTCCTTACCTGTGCCTCTGCAGCTCTCTGCTGGATTTCACCTTGCTTTGCATTGTACTGACTCGGTAAGTCCTCTGTGATTCCTGTGGGATGCTCCTCCTCCAGGTCCCCATGCTTTAGAATTGTACCTGCCTCAAGGCCCAAATCAAACACCACATCTCCCAGGAAGGAAGCCCAGGTTCCCCCAGCTACGAGTAATTCCCCCTCCTCAATTCTCTTTGCCCCTCCAATACTCACACATCTTGTCCTGTAATGTCAGGGCACAAGTTTGTCTGTTCTACAAGGCAGAGTCCCTGGAGAACAGGAACTGTGATTAATGCCCTTGTACTGCTCACGCCCAATGCCGGGCCTCCTACATCACCTGTGACCCACCATTGTTTGCTGGCTGGATTAGTATGCTCATGAGTAAAACCGTCTGTCAGAGGCAGTATAAATATGAATATTTTTGTCCAGCAGAAAATTAAAGAAGACGCAGGGAGAGGGTACATGAGCAGATGTGTGGGACTCACATGGCAAGATTCCCCCACCTTCCCCACTGGGAAGAAGTTAACCTTCAGTTTTTTATTTAATCTAACCCTAATTTTACATCATTTTTATATTTAAAACATTTTAGATAAATCATTCATTTTATTCTGCCTTGCTTTAAAAAAAAGTGAAAAAGTGACTGCAACAACTTGGTTCTAATGTTGTTCTTCAAATCAGAAATTGTTAAGGAGAAAACAGAGAGTCAAATCTAGAACCACCTTCTGGAGACCTGCAGCTCCTTCCCCAGACTGTAAACATCCTGTAGGCAGCACTGTGTCCACTTTGTTCTCTGTTGCATTCTCATGGCCTGGAACAGTGCCTCACACATACACTGTAACCACTCAAAAATAATGTTGGTTGAACAATGAATGAACAAATGAATGGATGAATGAAAATAACAAGCTGCTGATGCAGGCTTCCCTGCCTTGCCAAGAGTATTTCCTCTCTCTGTAATCAGGTTTCTGCAATGCCCTTGGACCTGACAAACCAGGCATCTCTCCTAGCCTGGCTCTCCTCTTTCAGCATGCAACATTCATGACATTCTGAGATCTATCTGTCAGAGGGTGACCTCTTCAGGAACAGGGGACACATCAGCTGCTTGTATGGGTGTTTCCGTTGCTGCCAAGCTCTGCAGTCTAAGAGTCCAGACTCTCATTATCTTGGGGAGAAATTGAGAGTTGGAGTTCTGCGCATCACACATGGATAGTTTATAAGGAACTTTACACATGTTCTCTTTTTTAATCCTTACAACCTGCTTATGTGGGAATTTGCCTTTTCTTCATTTTACAGTTAAGTCTCAGGGGGAGTAACAGACTTGCCTGAGATCACAGATCTAAAGGATCCAGCTGGGGCCAGAGCCCAGGCCTGGCTGACTTCAGAGTCTAGTGGACTCTTCCCACCCAGGATGTAACCCTGGTCGTCGACATCCTCCTGAGTACACCCACAGGCCTGAGAAGAACCGAGGGGTCTCACAATTTAGTCACCTACACCAATTTCTAGCCACTTACATTTTTCACCTATCCCTTCCTGCCAACCAAGCACAGACACACTCACTCCCCCACCAGGTAATGAGGAGCAGAGGACCGTAAAGAGCGGCTGCCCCTCTCGGCACAGCCTCCCTAAACTGCACAGGTCGGGGTGAGGGAGCTGCTTTGTGAAAGTGCAGGTGTGGTCACCGGCTCACAGGTGGCGGTCCACTCCGCTGTCTAGGAGTAGAAGCGGGAAGAGCTATGGGAGTGGAAAAGGGGTTCTCGGTGGGCCGGCCTGCCAGGGCTTTCCTACAGCTGCCTGGTTTTGCTGCGGGCTCTCACCGCCTCCTGCACCACCTCCTCTTGCTACTGCTGCGGAAGCCCGCCTCCAGGCTGTGGGAAGACTCAACGAGGTCACTAGCGGCGCCTTGTGGCACTAAGAGGTATTGCAAGCAGTCTATGAATTCGTGCGCACACTAAGTTCAACACTCTGAAACAGTATTCTTTCATACATGGGTCTTCTACGATTTTTTAAATATGTGACTTTTCATATATGTATTCCTGTTGGTATTAATAAATTAAAACTCATTTAAAATCTTCCTTAGTGCACTTTCTCCTTAAATGAACATGAAACATAACTATTCTAATGAGCAGGAAGCCCAAGACACTTTATTTAGCTTAAAACCGAGGTCTCTATTATTTACAAGGTGCAATGTAAATGGAAACAGTTTGTTACCGTTAAAGTGCTGTGCACCACAGAGGGCTGATCCTTGTTTACCCTGCCTGGTTTACGCATTCACTGGTCAACGTCCAGGCCATGACTCCAGGCAGAGTATCTGGTCACTGCCCGATCCCACCACTGGCGTTCATGGGACCATAAGTCACCAGCGGCAGAAGCCATTCCTGAGGCCTCATGACTGCCTATCTCTATGGCCAGGTTAAGAATTAAACAGCATTGTTAATCCCAATACTTTGGGAAGCCAAGGCAGACACGTCACCTGAGGTCAGGACTTTGAGACCAGACTGGTCAACATGGTGAAACCCTGTCTCTACTAAAAATACAAAAATTAGCCAGGCGTAGAGGCGCATGCCTGTAATCCCAGCTACTTGGGAGACTGAGGCATGAGGATTGCTTGAACCCAGGAGGCGGAGGTTGCAGAGAGCTGAGATTGCTCCACTGTGCTCCAGCCTGGGTGACAGAGTAAGACTCTGTCTCAATAAATAAATAAATTAAATTAAATTAAATTAAATTGAAGAATTAGACGGCATCGTGAACGTTCCTGGGAGAGGTGCCACACTGAACCTCCAGAGGCTGGCCGCTGGGCAAGTTCGTGTTAGGTTTCATTTAAAGCAGCCTCTGAGTATGGGAAGAAGTGTGGTCAGGCTTCTCCTCCTCTCAGAAGGTGTCAAGTTTATAAACAGTGACTCTCAATGACCGCAGCTTACATGGTCACTGTGTACAGTATTTTATCATCTATAAAAATCCTATATCTTGCCTTATTCCAGTCTACCAGAAGAGGTATTACAAGTCCAGTTTATACCAATAAAGAAACTGTGACTTGAAGAGCCTAAGCGACTTGCCAATGTCACACAATTAGGAGGTGACAGAGCCAGACTAGGGTGGAGAGTCTGCCTCCTCCCATGGAGTTACCACTGCTATATATTCTGTGTTTAGCTCAGCAGAGCACAGCCTGACACAAGTGGCTGCTGGCAAATGTCATTACTGTCACAGTATTCGTGCATCCAGCAAAACGTTTTTTTTTTTGAGTACCCATGCAGTAACTGTGCTATATTCTTTCCATTAGGGGCAAAATGTCATGGAAGCAACAACGGCAGACTCCAGCCATTCCTTCAACCATGGGGATCAGTGTGTACGTCACTTTCCCTTAAGAAAGAAAAGAAAAATTCCATTTTCATATCTTCCTGTTAGCAGACATGCCTCCACTGTGCCTCCCGCTGTGAGCATTTTACAGACAAAGGCTTCCCTATGCCTCTGTATTTCTTTTCCTCCCACTGCTGTACCACCGCGGGCTCTGCCTGTGGGTGACTAACATCAGGAGGCAGGGCTGGTCAGGCACAGAGGTCTCCCAGCTGAGCGCTGGCATTCCAGAAGCAACCCCAGCCATGGGCACCATGAGTGCCCAGAGGCAGAAAGTGGTGTAGCTCTGAGCAACCTGCCCAATAGCAGAGAGGCTGTGGACACCACTGTTTGCTTCCCTTCCCATGATTTATGGGATGTGGCCAGGCCTTTCTCTTCCCGATTTATGACCACCTGTCTTGGGAAGAACATAAATTACACATCCATGGCAATTTAAATCTCAGTAAGAGATAGGAGAAGACACCTAGGCTGGCCGCACTGTCTCCTGGGGTATTAGAAGCAATTAGGGCCAGATTGTTGGGCTTCACAAAGCCTGCGGAAGATCAGGGGGGTGTGCTGGCTCCTTGCGCCCCCCGCCTTCCCACCCTCACTCTGTGTTTAGGGTCAATTATCCTCCTTCTATAAACACAGGCTCCCAATGGAGGAAGGGGGGCACTGAAGATGCAGAGAACAAGCCCAAACACGTGAAGTGCTTTGCGGAGGCTGTTTCTGCAAGAGCATAAACCTTCTAAATCCAGAGGGAAGGATGCCCCACACCGAGCAACACACAGGGGGAAGAGAAAGAACAAGATGGACAAAAAAGGATGACAGCCAATTCCCCAAACCACTTGGCTGATTTACACAGAATCATCTATTTCTGTCCTGCCTCCTTTATTTTATAGGGAAGAACACTCAGGGTCTGAGTGCGGGCAGGGGTAGGAGCACAGCAGTCGGTGTGCTGCACATCCAGGTCTCCTGACTCCCAGCCCGGGATCTTCCCGCTGGCCCACCCTGCTTTCTGCCCCTAGTAGCTCCTCTGTGGCCATGGAAAACAGGAAGACTGAATTCTGGTTTGTTCTGATGGTGAGTGAGCGCATTTCAAAGAATAGCTATAACCCTGGTCCTCTCATCAATGTTCTGTCACATATAGTGACATTTCCCCCCAAAATTTTACTATGAAAATTCTCAAGCAGGCAAATGGTGAAATAATTTTACAGCAAACACCCATTTACCCGCTGCTTGAATTCTGAGCTTAACACTTGACTATATATATTTGTTTTTTTGTTTGTTTGTTTGTTTTTGTGAGACAGAGTCTCACTCTGTCATCCAAATTGGAGTGCAGTGGCACAATCTCAGCTCACTACAACCTCCACCTCTCGGATTCAAAGGATTCTCCTACCTCAGCCACCCGAGTAGCTGCAAATACAAGTGACCACCACCATGCCCAGCTAAGTTTTGTATTTTTAGTAGAAACAGAGTTTCACTATGTTGGCCAGGCTGGTCTCGAACTCCTGACCTCAAGTTATCCACCAGCCTCAGCCTCCCAAAGTGCTGGGATTACAGGCATGAGCCATCGTGCCTGCCCTTGACTATGTTTTCTTTATCACACATGTATCTATCCATCAATCCACTGTATTGTCTTTTTGCATTTCCAAGTAAGTTGCAGACACCAGTACATTTCAACTCTGAACAGTTCAGCTTGAATATTATTACCTAGAGTAAAAACCATTATTTGCTTTTTTTTTTGAGGTGAAAGTTACATGGAATGAAATATACCAATCTTAAATGCTCCACAATATTAGCTTTTTACAGAAAAGTTGTTAATGTTTTGAGTATTGAGAAACATCTCTCAAAATGTTGGGATTCCCTTAGGCTGGTCTGTAGCCCCCTCTTTGAATGTTGATGCAAATCACACCCAACGCTGTTGGAGCCAGGTAGAGACCAGCTGCTTGCTATCCACCTAAGGATTCCTTGAGTACCACAAACCCCCTTCTCCGTAATTCCCTCCACCCACCCTGTTTGACTTCCCTGCTGACCACTGTCTCTCTGCCAGGTGGCCTAGGCCCTCATGGCCACCTGCTAACCTTGCTGCAGCCTGGCCCACACTCTGGGACTTATCTCCTATAGGATGACAGGTGCTGGCCAGAGAGGTCAGGCCACAGCCTCATGCTCAGGGGTGAGGTGACAGCGGGGATGACAGCCCTCCAGCCCAGGGCTTCAGCTTGCCCAGAGATGGGGCCAGATCTGGGACAGTAGAATTGTCAGGGAGGGATTGGTTGTTGATCAAAGATGACTGAATCATTGGCCCCCAAAAAGGCCATGAGGTTGGTGAGAGGTGGAAGGAAGGGGAGGCAGACAACCTCACGTTACAGGGAATGAGTCCTGCTCCACAAAGCCTAGAGCAACCTCTCTGTCATGCGCTCGTTCATGATGGTTTGGATACAAGATAGTCACATCTCAACTGCATTCCTTCCTCAAGGTTCCCAGGGCCCTCCCTTCTACAAGATACACCTGGGGAGGCCAAGTCAGGACCAAAGCCAAGGAAGGGTCTTACACAAAGCCAAGGAAGGGTCTCAGGGGCTGTAGAGAAGAGACCTGACACCTGGCCTGTGACTCAGCATTCAATGTCAAAGGGACCAATGAAGAGAAGCACCCTTAGTTCATTTTCAGAGTTTCAGCAATTTCCTGGGTCCCAAATTTGGCAGATATCAGCTCTGAAGTGCTTGTATGCTAAACTGTTATTGTTGTTTTCACGAAAGTAATGCAGAGTAATTATAGAAAGTTTAGAGACTGCATATGAGAATAACCCTTTTCCATAATTCTATGACTATACCAAAAGAGTATCTCCATTTTGTTTTATATCCTTTCAGCCTTTTATCTACTCATGTGCATTTATATGTTTTTTAAAAAGTAAAATCAAATAAAAATGAAAAAGTAAATAGTGCTATTTTATAATCAACTTTGTAAAATCAACACAGCATCTTGACTATCTTTATATACAATTTAAAATGATTCTCGGTACTGTGTCTTTCACCTAAAATTTTTCCTTAAGAAATTTTAAAGTAAACATAAAAGTAGAATAGTGCAATAAACCCCACGTAATTATCACCCAGATTCTATTTATGAAGATTGTGACACATTTTTAAAATGTACTCATTTATCCTTTTTTTCTTTTTGCTAAAATAATATATGGCAAGTTCCAGATGTCACATCACTTCACTCCTACACACATATTTCAATCAGCTTCTCTAAAATATATTGACATTTCTTATACAACCACAATGCCATTAGGACACCTAGTACATTTTTTGGTATCATCTAATACTTAGCCCGTAATAAAATTTGTCAAAATGCATAAGCAATTTTTAAACATTGATTTATTTGAATTATGATTTCTAAATGAAAAATAAAAGTACTTGTTTAAGCAGACATGTTGGTGTCCAAAACACCAGGGAATGTTTCCCAAATTATCTCGTTAATGGGACCCTCTTGAGTTTCAAGACTATGTGTGTGGTGTTTTCACTGCTTCCTCTTATAAACATTAAGCAACAAATATTGCTTCCGTTCCCGGCACCTAAACCCGAGGATGAGCCCCGTCTGCCCAGTCCTACCTCTTCAGTGTTTCCAGCGGTTCCTTCCTGCTCATGACACCGGTGTCTGGGTCCACTGTGGTTAAAATGCATCTGGACACACACACAGAGCATCATAAGGGGGACAGAGCAGAGCGAACTTATCCCCACCTCCACCCCACAGGGACAGGAAAGCACCTTACCTGGAACAAGCCATCACCCTTTTCAGTTCCACGTCACCAATAAGAAGCTCATCCCAAGAATCCTAGGGGACAAAGCACAAATTCCCATGAGCATCTCTGGGCCCTGCCCCTGACACGTGTGTAGAGATTTCCCAGGAGCCCTCGCACCTAACGATGTCACCCACATCAGTGATGGCAGCCTTCTGTTCTCCCCCAGCCCTGCTCTGCCAAGTGATACCCACACACCTTGGCGTTCCCTCTCTCTGGCTTTGATATGCCAGTTGATTCCCCTGAGATGAGATTTCCCTCTCCTCTCACTTGTAAAAATGTCATGGAAACTCGCCTCGCTCAGGGAGGCTCCCTGATGATCCCACTTTGACTGGTGGTGGGGGGTGGGGTGCACAAAGTGAATGGGGTGGGTGAAAGTGGGGAGGGGGACAGATGGGGGCATTGTTCATTACTTCAGATTATATCAGATCCCTTAGTGCCTGCCTGAAGTTATATGGATCAAGAGCCTTAAGTCACTGAGTATGTGCATGTCTCCCCTAGCCAGATACGGACACATCAGGAGCAGGACCAGCAGCCTCATTCCTCTTTGATTTTTGCTGAAGTATTTACGAAGCACTGCAGCCAGGGGAGCTGTGGGCTGGGTCAGTGGAGCCTAGTTTCCACGACAAACCGCATTAGTGGACCAAGGCCCTCCAATCCAGCAGCCAAGATAGGCCATCCATACATGGAATTCTAAAGATAAATATTTTATTTTTAAATGCCAGAAATATTCACAAAAAGCACTCCAAGGCAGCACGTCATGTGTTGGTTTAACTGTGCTGGCAATGCTTACTCTGGGGATTCAGAGGCATGACTCTCCAGGCTGGTCTGGTTACAGGAAGTTTTATAAGGAATAGGTAAGATGGGTGCTGAGTCTAAAAGGGCAGAGAGTTTGAGAGGCACAAAAGAAGGGTAAGGGGACTCCAGGCAGAGGGGACAGCAATAAGAAGGAAGGGCGCTGAGGAGGCAAAGGACATTTGATTATAGTCCTGACCTTCTTACCCTCGGAGAGAATTGCCCACCACACGAGGGCGGAAGGCAAAGACCTGGAGTTAAAAAGCAAACTGCCTTGTCCTTGGATGATCATGAGCTCAGAATTTTAACTCCAATAGTGTGTGTTATTCTTGATATATATGACACAGGGGTTTTGTTCTATCGTAAATCATAAAATGGATCTCAAGCACATATTTTCAACAGTCCAGAAAACTGGGCACAGCGGATTAGCACAGCCACAGCCTGTCCTGTGAACATTTCTCCACAAGGGGGCACTATGGTCACAAAAAAACACATAAAAAGGGTATAAAAGGAGAGAAATAAGGGTTCCACTTAGGAAATTAAGTTATTATTAATTAAAGAAATACTTCCAGAGCCCCTTCTATTCCAAAAAAAAAACTACTGGAGATTGAGTCATAAGCACTGATGAGCCCAGGAAAGTCTTCCTACAGCACCTGGAGGTGACCAGTTCAAACAGGACAAGCCTGGTATGGGAGAGGCTCAGAGCACACGGTAGCTTCAGAGAAGGGAGGGAGCGCTTTGAGGTCCAGCAATCAGAGCAGGCTTCCCAGGGGAGGGGGCTTTTAATCCAGGCTTTTAGAGAATGTCAAGAGTTTTAAGTAGGGAAGGGAGTAAGATTCTCAGTGACCAGGAGACACCAGTTTGCAGTTTGGAGCTTTCGTTCGTGATATGGTTTGGCTGTGTCTCCACCCAAATCTCATCTTGAATTGTAGCTCCCATAATCCCCATGTGTCATGGGAGGGACCCAGTTGGAGGTAATTGAATCATGGGGGCGGGTCTTTCCCATGCTTTTTTTGTGATAGTGAATAAATCTCATGAGATCTGATGGTTTTATAAAGGGCAGTTCCCCTGCACGCACTCTCTTGCCTGCCACCATGTAAGACGTGCCTTTGCTTCTCCTTCACCTTCTGCCATGATTGTGAGGGCTCCACAGCCATGTGGAACTGTGAGTCCATTAAGCCTCTTTTTCTTTATAAATTACCCAGTCTCGGGTATTTCTTCATAGCACTATGAAAATAAACTAATACAGTTGGTAATAAAGGCTGGAAAAGCAGACTGTGGCAAGGTTACAGAGGAATGTAATGATTGAGTGGGAAGTTTGGACCTTTGTGACATGGAGAGCCACTAAAGGCTTCTGAGCAAGTCAGCAACACTGATGATTTGTTACAAACTTTTAGAGCGGGAGAGATCACGCTGATCAGCTCTAGGAGGCTTGGCTGTGGCAACATTCAGGAGGGAGCACTCAGTGGTCCAAACTTAAAGTAACAAACGTAGGATCTGGCTGGTGGCTAAGGATAGAAAGGGGAGCCGACATGGCTGGGGCTGGGAGGAACACAGCAGAGGGAGGAGCCAGGGCCGACTGTCACGCTCTGAGCCTGGGTGAAAGAAAAAAACATGCTGCCCTGGATAGAAACTGTGAAGTCAACAGAAGGAGTTTGGGGGCCAGGCGCAGTGGCTCATGCCTGTTATCCCAGCACTTTGGGAGGCCAAGGCGGGTGGATCACCTGAGGTTAGGAGTTCGAGACCAGCCTGGCCAACATGGCAAAACCCTGTCTATACTAAAAATACAAAAACTAGCCAGGCATGGTGGCGTCTGCCTGTAATCCCAGCTACTCAAGAGGCTGAGGCAGGAGAATCGCTTGAATCCGGGAGGCGGAGGTTGCAGTGAGCTGAGATCATGCCAGCGCACTCTGGCCTAGGTGACAGAGCAAGACTCTGTTTCAAAAAAGAAAGAAAGAATGAGTTTAGGGAGGTGGGGTGAGGGTGTAGGGGCTGGGGTGGGAGCACATAAGTCTGAGTTTCTCTGTCAACCAACAAAGAGTTGGAACTGTGGTGCAGCACTCCAGAGGGAGTCCTGGGTGGACATTTGAGGGACCTATGTCAGGTGACAGAGGGCGATGCTGCAGGAGACAGTGTGATCACCAAGGAGGGGAGAGAAAAGGGTCAAGGCCAGAACTTTTGGAAGTAAGGGATGAGGACAAACAGCAGAGAAGCAAGGGCAGTACAGCTAAAGGAGAAACGTTTCAGTAAGTAGTGTCCATGTGTCCTCAGAGCGGGGTGGTGGTGACTGAGAAACGGTCACTGACTGTGGCAGGTAGGGTGGTTGTCTCTACTGTGGCTTCAGGGAGAAGTGAGGTGTAAGAAATGTGTGTGGGGAGTGCCGATGATGAAGGGAGGCAGCGAAAAGCCACAGTTGCTGAGAAGGTAGCTTCCGAGATGAGGAGTGGGTCTGCTTTCCAGAAACTTCCATGCAGGTCCTCGGCCTTCCTCCATGCTAGCCTGCTCTCCCAGCTGCACCCTGGCCCCGCCTGCGCTAATCCTTCTCCAGGCTCCTGGCAGAGGCAAATGTGTATCATGCAAATCGGATTCAGTCACTCCCTGGCCAAAAATTCTTCCCAGACTCCCCAAAACCTGACACCAAGTACCTGTGCTCTCAGCTCCCCTCCTCTCCTGAGCCCCAGCACTGCAAGATGGCCATTCTCTCATACCTTCATAGCCCTGTGTATGTACCCCTCCCTCAGTGCCCCCCTTTCTCCTGGACAATACTTTGTCCAGGTCATTCATTTAACAGATAATTAGTGCACACCTTCTATGTACCAGGGGCTCTCCTAGGGGCTGGAGATACAGCAGCCCCTGTCCTCAAGGAGCTTGCATAGGGGAAACAGACAATACACTGATACCTGAGTACACACGGCTTGTTAGGTGGGGTGTGTGCTGTGGGGGGGGCTGGGTGAGCGGGGTCAGTGAAGCCCGCAGCAGGGGACTGAAAGAGGCACTGGAGTGAGCCATGAGGCCTGTGAGGGAAGATATGCCAGGCAGAGGACACAGCTGGGGCCCAGAAAAAAGGCCAGTATGGCTGGGGCAGAGTAAGAGAGCAGAGGGGAGTGAGAGGAGAAGGGGCTGGGAGCTGGCGGGGTGCAGGTCATGTTGGGCCTTCCAGGCAATCCATAAGGATCCCATCTTTTACTTGAAGAAAGGTGGAGAACCATGAGAGGGCTTTGAGCAGACAAATCACATGATGTGACTTACATCAACAGGGTTACCTTGATGGATGTGCTGAGAACAGCCCATGGATGGTGCAGGGCTGGGTCAAGGGTGGGGCAAGGAGGCCAGTGAAGCCAGGCTGCTGCAGCACCAGTGGTGACTGCATCCGGGCAGAGAGGGGAGTGGGGGGGAAGGCCCAGCCACCAAGATCTGTCAACTGTAGGAACCTAGGATGTGAGAGAAAGAGAAGAACAAGGGGTGGTTCGCAGTTTGGGGCCTGAGCCAGCGGAAGTCAGAGCTGTTGTGTGCTGAGATGGGCGAGACAGCACAGCAGGCTTTGGGGTGGATACCTGACCCTCAATTTCAGACATCCTGACGTTGGATTAGACATCCACATGGAGATATGGAGAAGCAGGGGAAAGCTCTGGCAGAAGGATATAGTTAGGGGTCCTCAGGGCAGAGAAGGTCTTAAAAACAGATGATTAAATAAAAAAAAAAAAGGAAAGAAAGAACAGATCAGAAAAGTGAGTGCAGACAAATGAGAAAGGGTTTGAGACCAGAGCCCTGGGTGCCCCATGCTTCAGCTCACCCCACAATGCAGGTGTTAGTCACGTCCCCACGTCTGGCTGCTCGCCACCCTCCTGGCCATATCTCACTGTGCTGTGACTTTTCACTATCTGACCACACTGAGCTCCTTAGGAGAAGCAAGTGCATTTCTTCAACCCTTGTTCTCATGTGTCTATTCACAGCGCATGCCACACAGGGGCAGCAACCCACTCGATGATGGGTGAATTACTAAAAACAAGGCCGGCTCAGCCACCATTGTGTTACCGCCCAGCTTCACATACAGAATGTTCTCAACTAGGGAACACTCAGAGATAGAGAGAGAGATACGGGTTTTTAGAGTAAGACTCAATTGAAAGAAATCTCCGAGATCTGAAGTTCTACTCTGGGCCATCTCCTCTTCTCCTGTCATCCGAATCTTACTGTCACAGAATTTTGGGGTGGAAATGGCTTCAGCATGACCCTCGGTGCACAAATCACACAGGGGAGAAAGAAAGCTTAAAGTCGATCATAGGGAAAAAGCTGGTACCTGAGCCAAACTCCCAGGAATGAAACTCTTCCTTACCTCCCTGTGGTACTTAATGTCCTAGAACTTTTCCACAAATTGTCATCGACCTTGATTCTCACAGCTCCCATCAGGCGAGGGAGTCATTGAAACTGCCCGTGTTTTACAACTGCAAGAAGCAGATGCCTCGGCGAGTTTGGTGACCTGTCCAGGCTTGTACGGTCACTTGCGGAAGCAGGTGGATTAGAATCCAGCTGTCCCAGCCCCATACATATGCCCTAGAATTCTCAGGGTTCCTCTGGCCTTGTACAATTGGGGTTCAAAACCCAGCCCCTCCTTGCTGTGGTATAGCCTAGGGCAGGCCACCTCACCTCCCCAAGCCTCTCTCTTCTCTCCTGTAAGATAGGAATGATAGCTTTATCCCGCTGGGCTGCCGTGAGGCATAGAAGAGACAACATACTTAAGCGCAACACAAGTATTCATTCAAAACCCTCCCCACTCATTTCTCTTTTCCTGAGAAGGAACGTTCTCAGGAGAAATGGCTCTCCTAGCCATAGCTGGTGGAAGATGAATATCAAGGAGATGGTCAAAGGCAACCAAACACTGATTATTTTCCTGTTGTCTAAGTCAGGCTGGCCCATGGTGCACAGGAGCAGGACAGGCAGAAATTTCTTGTCACAAAGAAGCACTGAGAGATGCCCAACCCAGGACCTTGGGGGACATGCACACAGTCCACCCGCCTCACACTAGGAAGTTCTCCACCATCTTTAGAAGAAACGCTACCCTTGGAAGTTTGGAGCAATGAGTATTTTATATGAAGCATTAGCAGTGGATTTGGGCGTACTTTTATTATCCTCCATCGATTGATATTGCTTTTATACATCTCATAAATTACATTATCCAAACTGACCCTTCAACAGACCCTTAAGGTAACCCTAGGCAGAAATATGATCATCTCATTGTTCAGGCAAGGTAAATGGGACTTAGCGGGGCTGCTCAAAGTCATGCAGAAGCCAGTGCAGAAGCTGAAACCAGCCGTCACATCTTCTGGTTTGAATGTGGGAATCAAATTCTTAGATTATTTCTCTTTCAGCATAGTTTTGCCTCCGTACAGCAAAAGTGAAGAATATAATTGGCTCCTCTGAGGATAAAAGGTTAAAACTCAATTGCTTTGATTCCATTTTTCCCTGTTATGGAGGAAATGGGCAGACGTAAGAACCACTATATGGTCCCCTTTACCTCTCCCTTCTCAACATAAATTTGAGGCACAACCAGAGCTCCTGAATTCCTAGCTGTGGGTCAGGGTTTCTGTTGAGTATCCACAGCTGGTGGCCACTCACCATGCCTCTAGGCCACCAACCTCTGCCTTCATGGAAGCCCAGGGAGAGAATCAAGTTAAATAGCCAAAGGCCATTTATTACAAAGGTAAATTTGCTGCCAGAATCCTGTGGAATCCCAGAAACCAAGCCTCAGGGCTGTTCAAGCTAAGTCACCACGCAAACATCTGAGGGCAGATGGAAGGTGGCACTGCAAGCATTTCAGGGTAGTGCCATGAAGCTTAGGGGCAACAACCTCTCCCAACCCTCACCCAGCAGCCTTGCAGTAAATGCCTGTCTTCTCCAAGAGAGCCGTCTACTAAACAGTAAGACCATCCTTTAACAAGACAGGAGCACACACTTTCTTTGTTCCATGGCCCACACAGATCATGTAGTCTATGCAAGAAAATGTGACTCAACAACGAACCTGTCAACTCAGAATTCTCCTTAGAAGCCTTAGATACTGAACTGCCTCCTTGATGACAGTCTCTGACCCATCAACATTTGTATCCTCCACACAGAAGTCTGCACTTATTAAGTGCTGAATAAATCTAAAAATCAAATTGTTATGTATTACAGAGTTGATAAATAATGCACCCTTCAGAATAATCTAATCCAATGTCAAAGACTCTCATACCTTAAAAAAGAAGTCAAATCCAAGGAAAGATCCAAAGGGGCATAGTGTTACCTCTGCATAGACATCGCATCCTGAAATTACAATATTGGGCCTGAAGTTGGTTGCTTTAACTTTCTTCTCTAGCCTGGAGTTGAGATCCGCCAGCGACGCCTCAGAAAGGATCAAGAATGGGCTGGTGTCTGAGTAAGCAATCTGATAAGGAAATAGACATTGTTATAACACATGGCACACCAACTTTTCAGTGGTTAGGTGTGCCTAGTTCCTAGACATAGCCTCCATGCTCCACCCCACCCCACACACAATCTTTCAAAGTAGTTCTCTTGTTCTTTTAATAGAAGTCACAGTGACTCAGAAGTTTTCAATAGCCTTGCAGATAGCAGAAACTGCATGGTGGAATGAAGGGAACAAGGACTCAGAATCAATCCTAAGCTGCCACAAGGCATGTGCCCTTGGGGACATCACTGAACCTTTCTAAGCCTCCCATTTCTCAAATGTTTAATAAGGTGGTTGAGTTTGATGACCTCATTATGTTTGATTTAAATGTTCACTAATTCCATGAATACTTATTTTATGCAACTTACAAATTAATATTTATGTTGACCATAATTTATGCATTTGCTTGTTTCTTTATTTATATATTTTGAGACAGAGACTCCTTGTCACCTGGGCTGTAGTGCAATGGTGCCATCACAGATCACTGCAGCCTCAACTCTCTGGACTCAAGCAATCCTCCCACCTCAGCCTCCTTAGCAGTAAGGACTACAGCATAATTTATTTTTTTTATGGCCATGGTAAAAGCAGTATATGGTACTACAAACCCTGCTTTTATGATGAATCCTTAGAGCTTTATGCCATTAAGGCTGATCATTTGAGTCTGTGTATCTCCATACCCATGCCAACTTGCACAATTGGAATCTGACATACAACTGCAAACTGTAAAAATTCTGGACTCCATGTGCAATTACAGAATGGAATGAAAAAAAGACACTGGTGCAGAACAGTTTTGAAACCCTACTGGCATCAGAATGCTTACACAAATAGGAAGGTAGATGCTCAAGGGCAAAAATTCAAGAGTCCCCCAAACAAAGAAACAAACAATGCTTCCAAGGGAAGGGCTTTATTTCTGCCTACTGCTTGTGATCTGAGCTACCAGAGGGCTGCCCCAGAAAACAACAGAGCCGAGGTCATCAGAGATGCCACCTGAGCCCCCTGATCTGGGGGTGACTGCTTTCTACCCATGGAGGCAGCAGAACCTCTCACCTGGTCCTTGGGTCGGAACAAGTCTGCTATTTGATGAGGACGTCTCGGTCGCATGTGAGGCTCGAAGTGCACCAGGCGGTAGGGCTGTGACTTCAGGAAGCTGGTTATCCACTGGGCGGTGGCCTCGCCACAGTCCCTGCCCTCTATCTCCAGGCCGTGCACTCTGCAGGGGTAGCAGGAGCAAAGGGCAGACATGGCTTTGAAAATCCATGCACCCTAATATGTGCCAGCTATATCAGAAAAGCTGCTCCTAGCTGTAACATTACTGTCATTTCTTAATTATCAGAAGATGTAATTTTAGTCCTGGTCCTGACTCCAAACCTGTGTAAGGCCAAATGAAAATGAAAGCACCCCTTTAAGCATTGCTTTCCTCATTTTAAAAATCAAGTTTTGTACAACTGTGTCTCCCTACCTGGAAGGAATGCAGGGAGGATGAAATGAAATAATATATTTAAAAATGTACTGAGTTCTCCAGAAGAAAACTAATGTATCAGTATAAAGTAAACTTAGAATTACTGCAAAATCTAGTTCACCCAGCTGAATAGCGACCAGAAATCTTTATTCACAGGCCTGGCTATGCTTTGCCAGTATAGTACAGCAACAATATGAAAATGTTCTATAAAGCCTAAAACATTACAGATAATAACTATATATATAACAATCATTAACAATAATATTATATTTATTTAATAATAACAATAATAATCTACTGGATTTGATTGCAAGTTATAACTTTGTAGGATTTGAAGTTCCCACTCCCCAGCACATAGTCCTGTGCAGGGCTGTTTGGCGTTATATGAATTTCACAGCTATGGAGAGGAAAATAAATGCTATGGTGTAGGCCAGTGTTTCACAAAATGCAAGACCATTACCACTGCTGGCATTCAAGATAACTGTAGATGGCACCTGGGTATAGCATTAAATAACAGTGAATTGCACAGAGAGAAATTTCAGTTTAGTGGTAATAAATCTTTACCTTTTAGCAACACTTGATAATCTCCTCTTTTAACAAAGAAAGAACACACCTTAGGTCCAGAGACCTCTGTAGGCAACAGCTTCTAGCTAGAATTTAGTAATGTTTTAGCATATTGAGTGTTGGTTACTTTCTGGCAAATTATATAGGTAGCCATATAAAGTTTGTATACAGGTAGCCATATAAGGTTTATAGGTAGCCACATAAATTTATATATAAACCCATATATATAAATTATATAGGTAGCCATACAAAGCCGTATACTTGGCAAATTATATAGGTAACTACATAAAGTTTCTTTTTTAAATAAATGTGTTTAAGATTAGTTTATAAGCTGAATCAATTTAAAGAGAAATATTAAGTAAACAAGAGTACAGGTGGTTTATGGTTTGGCCTACTATCATCGTGGTGTTATGCAAATGCTGGAAGTTTGAGAAAGCTTAGTGGATCAAGTAAATCTACTTGGGTGAGCATTCCATTTCCACAAATGACTAGCTCCATGGCCTTGGTGATAGTTTCTTATTCTGAGACTCAGTTTCTTCATCAATAAAATGGGGGTAGAAGCAGAACTTTGTTGTGAGGATTAGGAACAATCCGTAAGAAGTCCCCAAACAATTCTTAGGACTGGGATATGCTCAGTAGGTAGTAATGACCCAGGGTCCCCCAACCAAGTTATTTCAAGCTATCTTTGTATAGTTACTCCATAAATCAAACATTTAATCCAACAAAAGCATCCATTCTCTAATAATAATGTATAAATGGATTTTTATATTGTAAAATATATTGAGTATAGTATCCTATATAATTGTATATAATTTTATTTTATTGCTTTATATCTAAAATGAGAAGTCATTACTAACAGTGTCTGGGTTACATTAAGCAGTAGATTGGTGTATTCAAAGTTTTCATAAATTTTTAAAAACTTTTTATTGAAGCGTAACACTCATGCAGAAAAGTACACTGCTGTAGTATATGACTTGATACCTTTTCACACACTGTCACCCCACCCATTCTAAATTAACTCCTGAGAATCAGAGGGCTGAAATATGCACCCAAGGCCTATGAAGTAATGAGACCATTTACAAAGACCAGGAGTGTCTGCCTTACTCTTTTCTGGATCAAGATGAAAAATAAATAAAATGAATAAAATAAACATACCCAAATTTATACACCCAAATGGATATTACCTTTCAGAGCAGTCACCTTGGGAAGTAATCATTCTAACCTAGTATTAATCATATCTACTTATTTCTACTTTTAAGCCTAACCTCATTTTTTAACCAAAAAAAAAAAAGATCCTATCGTTTTCTTATTCACAGGCTTTAGCTCCAAATAATTTTTTACTTTTCCCAAAAAATCAAATCCACCAGTTCTAGAACTGAATATATGTGGGGGGCTTAGCATCTGTGTGTGTGTGTGTGCAGTTTAATGTCTGAAATGCTAATTTCAGAAGCATCTTGTGAAATGCCAGCATTACCAAATATCTAGGTATGGAGACAGCCTTGAAGGTCATCTCCTTGTTAGATGTCTCTTTGCTGGTGCCTATGAGAAAAAAAAAAAAAATCACCCTCCTTTCTCCAGTCAAACCCTTACAGCCCACCAAGGCACCCTCTCAGTCTCAACTTGCCATTTGGCAGCCCAGGGCTTCCCTTAGTTGCTTTTATAGGAGGGTGGGAGGGCACACACAGTGGAGGATATAGACAGGAAGGCTGCTTTGACTCCTTGGGGCTTCAATTGGCAATAATTATTTTTACAAAGTCAAAGCATTTGCATCTATCTTGGGCCATTTAAACATCTGCCCTGCTAATCTGACACTGATTTCCATTGCAACATCTATTTCTAGATCCTGGGGTTCAGGTTCATAATCACCCAGAACTTGAGGCCTTTCAACGAGTAGAATTTGTTCTGCCTTCTTCCTGCTCCTGCCACATTTCTCCTGAGTTCTGATTGGCCTCTGCTGTATCTTGGCCCCAGCACCCCACCTGCACACTGTCCCAAAAAGTGCAAGTGAAGAATTAAAATAAAATTCCAAATGCTCCTATAACCTTTGACCCTTTGACAAAGATAATGTAGGCATGGCTTGAGATGGTTTGAGGTTTGAGGCTGTTTGTCTGAATAATCCATAGCCAAAGTCCCTAATTCTGTGTATCTTATTAATAGCAGGCAAGGCATGTGAGAAAATCAAGTAACATCTTCGACCATGAAAACAGGTGTACTGCCTGTGATCACGACCCCAGCGCCCCAAGAACTCATCCGAAATCTTTAGGAAACTGTGGGCTGAGGTTACAGCTCCCTCATAAGAGAATAGGTTGGGCTGTCAAAAGAAACCTGAATCCAGAAGATTCTTGGAATCTTTGCTCGAAGAGTCTGTATACTACCGTAGCATGTCTAAGCCTTTTCATTTTGCAATTTGCAAGCATGCCCTTGTTTAGTCTTTTGGGCATGGACCAAATGCCCATATGGGACTGTGAAAAAAGTTTCAACACAATTTCAAATGAATTAAAAATTAAACAAAAAAATTAACTGTAAGAAAATATGGGTAAATATCTAACCATGGCAAATAAACACAAATCAAGACATGGACAAACATGAAATACAGATTGCAATATAAGTATTTAAAAGCTTACCTCATTCAGGGAAAAATACAAATTAAATTAACAAGAAATTATCATTTTTGCCCATAAAAATGGCAAAATGTTTTTTAACATAATGGTTAAAATGGAATTGGTAAAACCATTCTGCAAACAATTTAGCAAGGTGTATCAAAAGCCTACAGGATCCATATTCTTATTTCAAGCAAAACCACTGCTAGAATTTTTTCCCTAAGAAAACAACAAATGATATAAACAAAGATTTATGCCAAGATATTCATCACATTCTTCTTAATACCTGGAAAAAAATTAAGACAATCAAAATGTTTAATCATGGGGCATATTAAAATGCATTAGAGGACACCCACAAAATGAAATATTATGCCAACATGAAAAATGGTATCCTTAAAGATTTTTTAACAATATGAAAAAATACTCAACATATCAATTTAAGTATATAAACAATATTAAAGGATTTTTTGTATTATTTCAGTTTAGTTTTTAAGTAGTAGGCATAGAGACCGAAAGAAAATATGCTGCAATATTAATTAGTTATCACAGATAGTTTTTGTTTCTTTTTTTTTTTTTTCTTGGTATTTCCCAAATTTTCAACAATGAATATGTACCACTTTTCTAATCTGAAAAGCCACCAAATTCAAAAAAGTATATTATCAAGTTTAAAACTCTAAAATGTAGAAATTACATCAGTATTGCATTTTGTGAACTTTTCTGGGTCTTTAGACGTTGTTCAGATAACTACATTTTTTGAGGTGATGCTATTTTTTTATGATAGGCTATAAACTACATTCACACTGCATCTTTATTCCAAATGCAGAAACTATAACAAGAATATAACTGGACCAACTCTAATTTTCCCATAATCAGATAAGAAATCAACTCTAGACATGACTTCTTGGAGGCAAAACTAGTTTTCCTAGAAGAATTGCTTCATTGCAGCCCTTCTGATGTTGAGGGAAGGGCTTGTGTACAGAACATCCTCCTGGGTTACATCCCCAGCCTCATTCTGACACTGACCCCTGGGCAGCCGCTGGCTGGATCACTCTTCTAGCTAGAGTTGTTCTTTTCTATTTTGGAACTTCCTTTCATTAGAACTAAATCTTACGGGTCACATAGCCATTTGCAACTCCTTTCCTAACTCAGACTTGGAAGGTGCCCAGTTTTTCTAAGCCAAGAAGAAAAAGTTCTATGAGAATACGTAGATCGAGTTTCACCTCTGCTAGGACACTCGCCCCCACCACTCCCACCCCATTTTTGTGCTTGATCTTTGGGTGCTGTTATTTTTCTCTTGCTGACATGTCAATATGCTTTTGTTCTCATGGGTTTCTACATAGCACTTTCATGTCTGTCATCTCCACAACACAAGTTTCTGAAGCTGCTTCCTTCTTTCTCCTTCTTTTAGATCTTCATAATGTTGAGGACTTCATTCTGTATATGGTACACATGCAATCAACGGTTCATTATTGATATGTTTCTCAGCATTCCCTCTAGAGTTTATGCTTTCTCAAAATTGCATGACTATTCATTCACACAAGGGCTACGACCTGCCCTTTCCTTACCTGCACTTGTGCACTGCATTTGTGGTGGGCGTTTTGATAGGCAGTAGTAGGTCCTTTGTGTAGGCTGCACTGAGAGTCAGGGTGTCACCATCGCAGGTCAGGGAAATCAGGACCAGGCGAGGTTCCTGGCGAGCAGTAACCATGTTTCCCTCCTGGTTGATCACAAGCCAAAACCTGCCGTTTTCAAAACACAGGATATGTGTGAACCATTATGGCAGGAAGCCAGACCCTGGAGGAGCTTCAATTAGACACTGTTGTCATCTTTGATTTCTTCCCCATAAGCCTGGTGTGTGTGAGTTTGAGTGTGTGTGTCTGTCTGTCCTAAACATCAGCACACAGGACTGAGTCTGTCACTTAATTTCAAAGGATTTCATAACCACTCAAGCATCCAACATATATCTGGAGAACAGTTTGAGCTCTTTGATGGCACAGAAATCAAAGATGTTAATTATATTTTCATCTCAATCTCTAGAAAGCCTGATCACTTTCATTAAACATGCCCCAAGCAGATGACAAGAATCTATTTTACATGAAGACCTCAAAGGCAGGAGGAAGCACAGGGCCTGGCATCTGGTAGGCAACGGGCTCTTGTCAGTGGAAATAGCAGGACTGTTGCTTATATTGTTCACAGGGCATGGAGTTCAGCTGAGCAACACACAGTGCCACTTATACTCTGCCAGTTCCAGCCCCCCACCTTTTAAAAATTTTATGTTCCAACATTCAGTGCTGTCCATTCTGCAATTTGCTAAACTAGACAGTATTTTTTTCTTCTGGCCCAGTATTCCTGGTCTACAGGTACTTCCTAGAAAAAAAGATAAATGGAGAAATAAAGGTAATAGAAAGAGCCATTTCCAGAACAAGAACAACATGTTTTTGCAGGTTATCTCTCAGCTACCAAGGAAGCAAAACATATTGGCATTTCAATCCTTACAGTACACACTGATCAAATGATTACAATTATAGAAGTGAGCATGTGCTTTTGAGATTTCCAGACATAAGAAAAAAATATGGCCGGTACTTTAGGTCGTTCAAGATATTTCTTGCATCACTTCCAGCAGGTTATCATGGTTGAGTTGTTCAGCTACACTAGAAAAATATGCTTAGTATAAGCCCTTTCCGTAACTGCCCTTTTACCAGACTTTGTTTCTGCACAGACAGAGGCCTGCCCTGACCCAAATCCTTGGGACTAGCAGGTGAATATTCTGTCTAATATTCTTCCTGGTAATGGCAGTTTACATCGCTCTAAAATGCAAATCTAACTTTATGACCCCCTCATTCAAAATCCCTCCATGGTTCCTGCTTTCAGGATAAAACCAACTCCTAAACAAGGGCGTGCCCAGCCCTTCATGATCCAGCTGTTGCTCCAGCCATTCTTACCTCCCGAGGTCTTCACACAGGCCAGTCTTTTATATATTTATTTTTTAATTGCAGTAAAATATATATAAAACATAAAATACCTAGCACACTCCTACGTATAGACCCCAAAGAACTGAAAACAGGAACTCAAACAGACATTTGTGTATCAATGTTTATTGCAGCTTTAATCAAAATGCTGAAAAAGTAGTAACAGCCCGAGTGTCCATCAACAGAGAATGGAATTTTTTAAATGTGATTTTAACCATTTTGAAGTGTGCAATTCAGTGGCAGTAAAGTACATTCACAGTGTTGTGCAACCATCACCACTATTTGCAAAACCTTTTCATCACCCCAAACAGAAACTCTGTACCAATTAAGCAATAACTCCTCGTTTTCCCCTTCCCCCAGCCCCCAGTAACATCTAATCCACTTTGTCTCTATAAATTTATCCACTAGACATTTCATATAATTGGAATTATGCAATATTTGTCCTTTTGTGTCTAGCTTATTTCAATTAGTATTATGTTTTCCAGGGCCATCCATGTTGTAGCACATATCAGAACTTCATTCCTTTTCATGGCTGAATAATATTCCATTGTGTGTATATACCACATTTTGCTTATCTACTCATCCATCAATGGACACTTAGTTGTTTCCACCTTTTGGCTACTGTGAATAACATCATAATGAACATTCAACACTCAATGCTGCAAAGAACATTCATCCTATTTATGTCCCAGTTCCTTTTGGTAAATACCTTAGAGTAAGCTTGTCCAACCCGTGGCCCAGGACAGCTTTGAATGAGGCCCAACACAAATTCATAAACTTTCTTAAAACATTATGAGATTTTTTTTGTTTTTGTTTTTGTTTTTGCTCATCAGCTGTTGTTAGTGTTAGTGTATTTTATGTGTGGCCCAAGACAATTCTTCTTCCAATGTGGCCCAGGGAAGCCAAAAGATTGGACCCCTCTGGCATTGACTATGCCAGCCTTTCCCCTAGCATACCCCATCCTCACAAGCCGAGTGTCTTTGCCCAGCTTATTCCCTCTCTAGAAAGTTCTTCTCCCAATTTACTTGCCCAGCAAGTTCTGAATCGTTTTCCAGTTTTCAGCTCAAGCTGTTACTTTCTCTCTGATGTTGTCCCTGACGGCCCCAGCCAGCTTCCAGCACTGCATCCTCTATGCTGGCACCCTGGCACGTGTCGCATCCTCTATGCTGGCACCCTGGCACGTGTCACAACCTCTGTTTAGTCTAGTCACAACCTAGGACTGTAAGCCAGTGTTGGCTTCTTTTGATCACACTTTCTGGGAGTGTGTGATGAACGAAAATAAAGAATTTATCATAGTGTCTGGTACAAAGGCCAGCTCTTCTTGTCATCTATTGTAATATGAGCTCAAAAACTGCTTTTTGAATCTAAGTAGTAAAATTCCAGTGCCCTTTGCCTCTGGGGCCTACAAAAACTCTACCACTTTTCAGAGCCTACTATACGAAACATGGATTTTTTTTTTTTTTGAGACTTAGTCTCACTCTGTCGCTCAGACTGGAGTGCAGTGGCGAGATCTCTGCCACAGTGGAGCTCTGCAAGCTCCGCCTCCCGGGTTCACGCCATTCTCCTGCCTCAGTCTCCCGAGTAGCTGGGACTACAGGCGCCCACCACCAAGCCCGGCTAATTTTTTGTATTTTTTAGTAGAGAAGGGGTTTCACCCTGTTAGCCAGGATGGTCTCAATCTCCTGACCTTGTGATCCACCCGCCTCGGCCTCCCAAAGTGCTGGGATTACAGAAGTGAGCCACCGCGCCTGGCCCAAAACATGGAATATTTAGGATTCTTGGCTTCCTTCCTGAAGCAAAGATGCATACGTCACTCACCTTTCAACTATGTCATGAATTGCCCTCTGTCTGGGGAGCTGGTAGGAGAAAGGTTACAGCTCCCATTAGTCCTGTGTTACTTGCTGAACTGCGAGGGCTGCTCTGGAAAGGAGTTTCAAGTGCAGCCTCACAATAAGACCCGAGGCTGGCCTGAAGCCAGACCCTAAAGAGGACAAAGCTGCCGGCTCCCGGGTTTTGCAGCCTTCGCTGAACCCCAGGAATCCACGCAGCTCTCAGAACCCAGACAGGACATTAACAAAGTCACTCTTTACAAAGCCCCAGTGTGCTAAAGAAAATAAGAGTCCTGGTTCTGCTGCTGTGTGGCTCTGAATTCAACTTCTTTATCCACAAGAGTGCTTGAGAGCATTGGAGAGAATTGGGGAAAATAGCATCTGCAATGCCCCCACAACTCTTTCTTTCTTTCTTTCTTTTTTTGATTCGGAGTCTCGCTCTGTTGCCCAGGCTGGAGTGCAGTGGCGCAATCCTGGCTCACTGCAACTTCCACCTCCCGGGTTCAAGCTATTCTCCTGCCTCAGCCTCCTGAGTAGCTGGGATTACAGGTGCGCGCCACTACGCCCGGCTAATTTTTGTTTTTTTGTTTGTTTGTTTGTTTTTAGTAGAGACGCGGTTTCACCATGTTGGTCAGGCTGGTCTCGAACTCCTGACCTCAGGTAATGCACCCGCCTCGGCCTCCCAAAGTGCTGGGATTACAAGCGTGAGCCACCGCGCCCGAAGGTATTCGTTGAACTGCTGTCATTACTATTATGAGCTCCGCCTTGGTGCGCTCTTGGAGGGCTGGACTCTACAGTTCAGCTTTCTCCAAGATCTCAAGAAAGTCACTCAAAATAGCGACTGGGAACCAACCTCTTCAAGCTAGCCGCCTCCACTAAATGGAGATTAAGAAGTTTGCTCACTGGCAGACACCTGGGAGCGATACCACACCTCAGCAGGAGCACATGACGCCAAAGAGCCAGTGGGAGGTGGAGATCCGCCCACCCCGGGAAAACGGGTCCACGCGCTCAGAGTCCCAGAGCCCTGGGGTCTGATGCTGGGGGGTGAGGGTTCCTTTTTCTCTTTGGCCTTGTCTCACCCAACTCCCAGTTTCTTTGTAATAGGAGGAAGGACCTGTTAGCAGACTCTGCAGACCTCCCCTGCGCTCCTCCCTTCTCACCCCCTTGCCCCGAGCCGGATCAGCGCTGCCCCGCGCCGGCGCTTGGCCGTACCTGTCCCGCAGGTTGCCGCTGCGCAGCCCCATGGCCGTGCACTCCGCCTCGCTCACCGGCACCCCCTTGCAGGATTTCACAGGGTAGATCCAGAGCTGCGCCACTGTGCCCACCTGCTGCAGCAGCCGCCGGCGCCGCGTGGGCCATGCGCGGCGCCAGGCGACAGCCCCCAGCGCCACCGCGGTCAGGCCCAGCGCGGCAACCCCGAGCCACCCGGGCCGGGATTGCGCGAGGAGGACAAAGCGCGCCAGCGCGGAGGAGCCGGCGGCGCCCATGGCTGGCTTCTCCGCGAGGTGGCGGCGGCAAGGCCGGAGCGCGCTGGTCGCCCGGGGCCGCTGGGGGAAGGTGCGGCCTTTGGCCCCGAGCCCAAAGGCTGGGCAGCTCCTGAACCCTTCCGGGCCAATCAGAGCAGTGCGTCCTTCTGGGGGGCGGCGCGGGGAGTGGGAGGTGGTGGCTCAGCTTCCACTTGGTCGGCGCCCCACTGCCTCTGCAACCTTCCGTCGCCTGCGCTGCAGGGCGCTGTGCCCTCCCCCACCCCACGATCGCTGCAAGTGACCAATTTATTTACTTACGTATTTATGGGGTTATTTGACCTAAAATAAACAATATACAACATTTGCAGGACAAAGCGTGATTTTGAAATTAGAAATCAGACAGCTGGCAGCAGCCTCTCCTGGGAATAGTGGAGAGCTGGTAGGCCCTGCCTGGCCTGTGCAGTGTCCAGCTCTCTGCTGCCGCCGCCCTCCCCTCAGTCTGCCCAGGGGCTAGGAGCTTCCAGAGAGTGGGGGTCTGATGAAGGAGGATGCTACCAGGCCCTCCGCGCCGGCGAGCCAAGGCCAGAGTTCTCCCGGCGGCCCCTGGGAGCGGCAATGGGCGTCTGAGAGTGCCTTCTACACGGCTCGGGGACGCTCGACTCCTACCGGCGGGGAGCCTCGAGCTGGAGCTGCATTGGCAAGGGCCTTGGCTCAGTTTAACGCTGCACAAGGTCCCCGGGCTGCTTCCGGCGGGAGGGAAAGTCACTTGGTCCTGCAGGCACTCACCTCAGTCACTTGTCACTTCCAAATCAGGTTATATTCCAGACAACAATGTTAGCATACCCCGAACAGCGTGGTTTAGGAGTCAGGCTCCTGCTTGATGTACCAAGCTATTAAAGGAAAAAAATTCCCTCAGACGCTTGTTAAAAAGGTAAGGAAGACTATTCAAGGCTACTGTAACAGGGGCATCACAATAGGGGAAAGAGATTAGGCTCAACTCTGTATTACAGCAAAGACAGCTCAGGATTCATAGCCAAGGAGCGAAGTTCCTCGGGGTCAGTGAATGGAAAATCACTAAGCGGAGACATCAAGTGTAGAGGATTCTTGATAAACCCACTTAACAGGATTCTACTGAACAAGGCAAGGACTTACACACTGAGGGTGACATATGAGGAATCTGAGCAGACATCAAGGGTGATCAGATATTAAGGATGGGAGAATACTCTGGAAACTGACTAAGCAGGATTCTTGCTAAACTGGGCTCTGCAGGGAGTAGGGTGGCAAGGTCAAGGCCTCATGAAGAAAAGGGCACAGGAGAGTCCGAAGTTTGGTCAAGGAGAGTCTGTGTTATCCCCAGCTCAGCCATGGTCCCCTGAGCCAGGAGTGTACATTGCAAGACTCAGCCAGAATTGCCCATGCAGGGCAAGGGTGCATGGATGAGAAGCGGGAGTTCGCCAAGAGAAAAGAACAACACTCTTCCTCCAGCTGGCAACTCACTGCAGAGCAGTTCAGTGCTCAGGGAGGCTCTGTCTTTATTGGCCTGAACACTTATCTGTCCTGTTTTTCTGCTCTATTCTCTTCTCTTCCAACCCCAGGTCACACCTTGTCTGTAAAGGACACAGCTCAGCAGGAGGCACGACTTGATCCTCCTCGGAAAGGCAGTTCCGGGGCACCAAATGTGCGTTTCTGTTTATCTCCCTCCTGAATTCCTCTTTGAAAATTTAAGAGGAAAAAATGGCTTCCCTATTTTAATGGCTGACTTTGAAGTTCTGATTTTTCAATTTCATCACTTCCAGAATTTACCCAGGCCTACAGCTCACTTACCACTTTTACCTCACAGGGTGCGGGGAATGGTGGTGAATTTCAGTCCCAGAACCCAGCAAAGGAAAATGGAGGAGGAGGGAACAGCCACTCCTCACTGACCACTAGGAAGGCCCCTTGCGGACACTGGCCATCCTGCCACAGACAGGCCACCTGTGTGCCTGCAGCTCACAACGCCCTCGCCCCCTGCCAATGACAGAAGCCAGTGTTTGTGGAGTCAGATTGTATCTCTGGAGGCAATCAGAAAGGGTAAGGAAAAATAAATTGCAGTGACTCAAATTCTAATATAAAGAGAAAAACCCAGGAAGAAGACTCATAAATACCAAAGATAAAGCAGGATTGAGATTCACATTTATTATTTACAAAGAAACCATAAAATTGTAAGTAGGTGAATTCATCCACATACTATTTCAGTGAGTATTTTTGCTTAAGATCATACCAAAGTTGTTCGTTTCTTTGTTACGAAAAAATTATTTGCACTGAAAAAAATATGTTCATGCTGTCTTCCTTGCATTCCTACTCTCAAAATTCCATTCTCTTTTAAATGTCATCCTCTTCCTTATCTTACTTGGAATTCCAGGTGGTATATCTGGCAGTTACACACAAACAGATTACTTTTATGTGGCTTAGTAAAGGTGTAATAGAGTACTAAAACTAAGTCTATAAGAGAATTTCCATACTCAAGTACAGCCCAGATTCCATAATGCTAGAGTAAAAAGCACATGAGTGGAAAGTCAACAGGACTCAATGGCCACATAAAGACCAATATTAGGCATTTGTGAGTGTGGTAACATGCGTCCTGCACATCAGGACACAGTGATCTGTTGCTTCCCATTTCTCCCAAAACATAGACTGATAGGTAATAAAAGGCACACATTTTAAAAACATTTTTGCAGCTTTTTAGTTGATTCATTAAACTTGCTTTATTCATCAATATTAAAGTCAGGAAGTAAAAGTGTAATAGCCATGATAACATTCAAAATAGCATTTTTGATGATCTTAATTATTTTTAAAGCCTTCAGTACCTAAAATTTATATATATACTTTCATATTCCCCCCTCTAATACTTTCCTTGCATTAACCTGGAGCATACACAACTTTGAAAAGTCAAAAATCGAGATTGTTTTCCAGGGTAAAGATAGTTGAAGGCTGGATAATAAGGATTTGCTGATGTATCGTTGCTGCTGTTGTTAAGATCTCAGTCAATCCCTCCTGGTTGCTGAAGCCTGAATAAATAATAAGAATCTCTGGTTATTTGGTTGTTTATCCTACTGTTCATAAATAATTCAAACTCCCACAAAACAGTCACTTATTGAGGTTACACATATAAATGTATGGTGCAGTGCTGTGCAGAAAGCATGGCCCATTAGCTCTAACTCACATCAGCTCCCAGGCCCTACGTCAGCTGACCTATCTAAGCCTTTGTTTCTCATCCATAAAGTGCCTGTTATCATATCTATCTCACAGAGATCCTCTCACAGATAAAGATTACACAAGGCCTTCTGGGCAGCAGAGACAATTGGAAATTGAGGCTGAGTGAACCACAGATGTTTGTTGCCTCCATCCACTGCAAAACAGGATCTGATTGGATGAGTTTGTGACGGAGTGATATGGAAAACCCTCAATCGTTATGGTATCTCACAGCCATTGGGCTCCCTCAGATGCAGAGAACACATGAAAGCCCTTGGCTCACACAATGATCCAGGTCCAGTCAATCATGACTGGAACAGCAGGACACAGGATCAGTTTCACTCAAGCTAGATGGCTCAGGCTTGGGTCCACTCTCCCCAAATGGGGCTTTTAGAAATGCCAGGTACTTAGGAGCTTCACAGTTTCCCCTCTAGTATTAATACTTATTGTATTTCATCAAATCCAAGATATACCAATTGTAAGATGCACCATTATTATATGCATCACTGATAATTTTATGCATCACTGATATTTTTCAAAAGGCATCCTGAATGTTATAAGAAGCTGACTGATATCAGAGATGTTAGAATAGGATCTCAGAACGGATGAAATATGTTATGAAATATGGTTATGGTTATGCAAATACCTAGTCATAACAGTCATCAATAGAAGTGTAGCTCCTTTTTGCCCACCTCAAAGGCAAAGCCTGTGTCATCTTTATACCCACTATGGAACCTAAGACTGGATCATGATGGAATGATGGCAATAAAAAACATAACTGATATTTACTGAGCACTTTATTTGTGTTGCAGCGCAACTTTATATGAATTAATACTCAAGATAACTTTTATTGCTTGTTTTGGTAAGTACTATTATTCCCACTTTGCAGATAAGGGTACTGAGACTTAAAGAGAAGTTAAACATCTCAACCAAGTTAGGAAGATGCTTGGATTACAAACCCAAGTCTATCTAATGCTAGATCTACACCTTCTAAGCCACTGTGTTACACTGTCCTTAAGGAGGGTCAGGTTGTGGGTGTCAAGACTACAAAGGCAAGTAACACACGTGAGAAGCTCAGGCCAGAATCAGAGAGAAGGATGGTCAAGAGTTTTGGAGATGAGGTAACTTAAAGAACTGGGTCATGGATTTTATGAGAAAACTTGCTTAAAATCTCCAATTTGAGGTCCTCTGTCCAACTTTCTCATTCCTTTAATTTGGGAGTTAGGCTTTTGCCTCCAGGAGTGAGGGCTGTATTGGACACAATGAAATCAATGTGAGAACATTATTTTCTAACTCATGATTCAGGACCCAGTCACCATGATGCACTGATTTTTTTTCAAACTTCAATTATACTTTAAAAATACATTTGATAAAAGACATTCAATTTAAACATTTCCCAAGCTGATGTTGAATAATTTAAACATTTTCCCTTCTATCTGAGACAGAAAAAATAAATACATAACTCTGAGAATGTACATAACTCTGAGAATCAATCACCTTCATTTCCCTATTCCTTAATGATATTCTGTAATGAGCTGTGAACATATACCTGTCTTTCTGCTGAGCCTCTTCCATCAGCATTTTACCATTAAATGGGAAATAGGGGTGGAGAAGGCTGAGGTAGGAGTACACAAATTACTGCAGGGAACAGAAATTAAGGGCATTTTCCAACTCCAAAGATCAGAATATAAAACTGTTCATTCTCTCAAGAATTAAAGCAGCATAACATAAAAAAAATTAACACAAGAAAATGCAGCAATGGCTTCAAGACAGCGTATTCAGAAGCAAAGCTGACCCTTTACCATATCACCCTAGTGGATCCATCACTCATCACTACACCATCCGATACACAGGGTCACCAACTCTCAGGCTTCCAATTTTTTCCACTGAATAATAGATCCCAAAAAGTGGAGACAACTTGTACAATTCCCTCTCAGAAGGATCACACAGGCGGTAGCTGAAACAAGCAAAAATTCAATCATCAGACACAAAAAGGAAATAATAATCGAAGTATTCTCAATAGAACTCAAGTTTGCCTTCCAAGTTATTTATAAATACACAGCAAGAATTTTCTAAAATGTTGCGAGAGAAGTCTGTGGACAATTAGTCAAACTGCAAATAATTCTAGTTTTTCTAGAAGTATCCTGAAAGTCTACGCAATTTCTCCATGGCTTCAGTTTAAGTCCAAAAAGAAAAAAACTTATGTGTAAGTATAAAATAAATACTTTGTCTATATGGGTACCTTCAACTTCACAACTCATTGAAACAAATGCCCCTAAAACTCAAAATGGAATGGCCCTGAACTCTACAAATCTTCTGTTTAGTGCATTTAAGCACCATGCTTTCAACCCCCTCCAGGTTTATGAGCCCAAAGCTGGGGTTCACTGGTGAACAAAAATTCAGACAGACATGAAGTTGGCAGATGGGTCTGGACTACTGCAGATGTTAATCTTTTTCCAGTGTCCTGTCTAAAGAAAACAATAACTTTCACAGCATCTTAAATAATTATCACTACATCTTAAAAATCAAAAACAAAATAGAATTGTAAATCTGAAGTCATCATGAAATAACCTCTTTTCTAAGCTAAACCCATTGGAAACAATCCACAAAACAGAGGAAAGAGAAACAAAATAGAATACAGCTCCAAAGAATGTTAAGCCTAAATCACTATCTTCGTTGGGAACTAAAGTCAGCCAAACTTCTTTAAATAACAAAACAAAAGAGAAATCCTTAGCATAAAAGAAGCTCCTTGGTAAAAAAGCTCTGACAACTCATTACATTCATTTTTTTCTAATATTTCATTATGCAGTTTCAATTATTCTCATATTCCTTGATATTGATTCTAATAAAGGAATTTGAGTTGCAATAAACATGATTAAATAAAGTGTTTAAGGCCTACATTTGGAAAGACATATATAAATAGTATTAAAAATTGATATGAGAGATACTAAAATTTCAAAATGTAGTATTATAGAATTAAAAGTTTATCAAAGCTGGGTATGGTGGCTCATGCCTGTAATCCCAGCATGTTGGGAGGCAGGCGAATCACTGAGGCAAGGAGTTTGAGACCAGCCTGGCCAACATGGTGAAACCCTGTCTCTGCTAAAAATAACAATAATCACCCAGGCATGGTGGCACACACCTGTAGTCCCAGCTACTCAGGAGGCTGAGGCAGGATCACTTGAACCCAGAAAGTGGAGGTTGCAGTGAGCTAAGATCACGCCACTGCACTCCAGCCTGGGGGACAGAGTGAGGCTCCTCTCAAAAAAAAAAAAAAAAAAGTTTATCCAAAGCACTAGAGGATCCATCCAGAAAAAGAGAGGAAGCAACAGTGCTCTCATTAACCAATAGACGCGAATCAGTCAGAAGGTAGACTGGAAGGTTCTCCGGAGAGAAAGGTCATATCTTCCCTAAAGCAGACATAGCACCTAAACCCATAGGTAGTTCTGGGGTGGAGATAATATTTAAAATACACTGGCTGTGGTGGTATTCTACCTCTTCAGGGTGTCCAGTGGCTGTTTCCTGTCTATGACTCCAGTGTCTGGGTCCACCGTTGTCAAAATACACCTGTTATGCAGTAACCAAGGGTTAGGTGATGCTTAGGAACCAATGAATGGGCCACACCACAGTCCTGGGGTCTAGCTAGGCTCCTTACCTGGGGCATGCCATTACCTTTTTCACTTCTACACTACCAATTAGGAGTTCATCCCAGGTATCCTAAGAGAAAAGAGAAAGTTATCTTTTAAATGGTGGCTTCATTAGCCTTTGAGTCTGTTTATTCTTTGGCTCATATTAAGTATGAAACTATTATAGCAGAAGAAAGCAGCACAAGGTGACACCAAGAAATATCTCCCAGAGGACTCAAAGGGAGGCAGAATGCTGGCAAGTTCAGGTCCACCTCTTGACTCCCAGTCTCAAAACCCTGATTCCATCATCGCAGGGATGACAGATCTTCTATAGAGTGCAGTTTGCCATGAGAGTCATAAATTAACAGGAAAGTCAATGTGTAGATATACAATGAGAAATGTGTAACTTGCAAGACAAACCCACACTTCCCTTGTAGCTAAGCTGCAGTGGAACCCAAGTTACAATCTGAAGGTTCTTTGAAGAGTGGGGACATCACCCAAGAGAAGGCAGTCATGATTCACACATTCATTGCTGCCACCTTCACAGACAGGCAGCCTGCTAATGGGGTCCTGATCCCACTGCCACTGACTGTGCCTTGCCTTCCCACCCTTGAACGTGGGAACCACTAACACTTGCCTCAGGGATTAACTCAATCCTCACAACTTTGAGGGAGGCGCTATCATGAGCCCCATTTTACCCAAAGAAATGGAGGACTAGAGAGATACAAAATTGTCTCAAGGTCACACTGGAGGATGTAAAGCAGCTGGGTTTGAAATCTTACTGATTCTGAAGGTAGGACTTTGAACTACCCAGCTTTTAACCATATATATGTTTATATGTGCACACACACATATACAGAAACATATATGAGGAATATAGAGATTGTATTATATATATAATATGATTTGTTTTTATACACACACACATACATATACATATATAAGGTGGTTATATGGATTATATTGTAGGGAGGCAAAAATCACCTCTACCCTCTTAGGGTTTTTTGGCTGGGCCTAGTAATTAAATTGACGTAAGATAGATCAACAGGAGAAATGCATACATATTTATTTAATATAACTTTTACGTGGCACTGGAACCTTCATGACAAAATGAAGATGCAATTAGAGTTGAACACTTACATTATATGCAGAATTGGGCAAAGATGTGGCAGGACTAGGGTACTTAACTAGGTAGAGAGGGACAGGGAAGATGAGGATTGGCTTGACAGGGTTTGTACAGATTTCCCTCAGCCTCAACTTTTTGTCCTTGATGATAAGCATGACACTTTCCTTCTGGTATTGGGAGACATCTTTTACACAGGAATTTCATCTCCTGCTTTTAAGAAACGGAAGGGCAGAGTGATCTTCTTGCACCTCTGTTTTTCAAGTGTTCTTAACTCAAAAAAGTCAACATGCTGGAGCGGCATATTTTGGGTTCATGTGATCTTAACTCCTTCAATATTACATATACACGTATAACATGATATGGTTTGGATCTGTGTCCCCACCAAATCTCATATCGGATTGTCATCCCTACTGTTGGAGGTGGGACCTGGCGGGACAGAATTCAATCATGGGGGTGGATCTTTCATGAATGGTTTAGCACCACCACCTTGGTGCTGTTCTCATGATAGTGGGTGAGTTCTTGCGAGATCCGGTTGCTTAAAAGTGTCTGGCACTTCCCCTTCGCTCTCTTGCTTCCGCTTCTGCCATGTAGGAAGCTGGACCCCCTTTGCCTTCCACCATGATTGGAAGCTTCGGGAGGCCTCCCCAGAAGCAGAAGCCGCTATGCATCCTGTACAGACTGCAGAACCATGAACCGCTTTTCTTTCTTTCTTTCTTTTTTTTTTTTTTTTTTTTTGAGACAGAGTCTCACTCTGTTGCCCAAGCTAGAATGCAGTGGCGCAATCTCGGCTCACTGCAGCCGCAATCTCCGCCTCCCAGATTCAAGCAATTCTCATGCCTCAGCCTCCTGAGTAGCTGAGATGACAGGCAGTGCCACCATGCCCGGTTAATTTTTGTATTTTTAGTACTGATGGGGTTTCGCCATGTTGGCCAGGCTGGTCTTGAACTCCTAACCTCAGGTGATCCGCTCAACTCAGCCTCCCAAACTGCTGGGATTTCAGGGTGTAAGCCACCGCACCCAGCCTAAACCTCTTTTCTTTATAAATTATCCAGTCTCAGGTATTTCTTTATTGCAATGTGAGAACAGACCAATACATATATCCAGACAGATTACAACTTTTTGACTTTATGATGCATTTATTGGGAGGTAACCCCATGGTAAGTCAAGAAGCATCTGCACACGGGAGGGGATGTATGTAGAGCTATATAAAGGTTGCAGGCCCCTCCGTGAATAGGGAGGCCATCTGTATTCTTTATCTTTAAGGCACCATGCCTGTCTCTGCTGCTACCTACTGATTTAAGGTTTGAATTTCACAGGGCAATCCTCTGTCCAGGTCTCAAGGTAGGAGGCATTGGGGTACGGGGCCTCACTACTGCCTCCATAAATCAACAACATAGACTGTGAGTCTAAGGAATTCGGAGAAACAATCGTCTTGACTTAGGAACTAAAGAAACCTATTCCTACTCCCCTGGCTGCTTCGCTTGGGCAGGAGGCATAAGAGGTCTGAAGTCTCTGCAGGAGGCAGAGCAGGGCAGGGGGTAGGGACTAGCCCCATAACTTTTCTCCCTCTGCCGCTGATGACCAGGCCATGTCTGGTCCTCCTTCAGTGGCAAGCCAGCCCCTCCAACCCCCTCCCGGGCCTATAGTGGTGCTTCAGCAAATGCAAATGATTCTCCAGTACCTAACCGGGTCTTCAAAACTCAGAAATCTCCTACAGGGCATGACCACAGCTAGAGACTAAAGTAAGGAGGTCTCCATGGATGCACTGGGTTCTAAACCATCCTTTAGGAAACTGCTGCTTTGTGGAAATAAACGCCACGGTCCAACCAACCAGTTGAGGATAACTGCGTGTACACAACATGTGTAAGGAATGGAATCGCCATGTCCTACTCAGGACTTATTACAAGCACTCCTAGCCAGTAACTTATTGCGAAGAACTACAAGACAACCACAGCGGGTGGCTAACCTCCTGGTAGATCGTGACCTCCGATGGGGTGTGACCCAGGAAGGCAGCTACTGTACTGGGAAGTAAGGATCAATGGGTACCCTGGCCTGAGATGCAGCCAGGAAGGCTGGGCACCTACCACACGAGGGCGCTGCGGACCCAGGAATGGAAGCCGACCCAGCCGCGCTGTGCTGAATGGACCCTGGCTCTCCAAGTATCTTCCGTTCAATTTTTTGTGTGTGAGAGCTAAAGAATTTAAGATTTCCAAGACACATAACGGTGGCAATTCTGCGTCGTTATTATGACAGAAGGCAGGGAGTCTGACAAATTCAGTTAGTCATCTATTCTCACTGTTAGACAACCGCAAGGCCGCGTTTAAAAGAGCAAATTGTCTGGATTCGTAAGAATCGTCCGCAACACCCCCAAATGCCGGCTCTAGTTACTTCCTAAAATATTAATCACCACCTATAATCATATATATTCTCAACCTAATCTGATCATTGTCAGCATTTTGGTGTAAAGCATTATTTGCAGTAAAAAAAATACTATGCTAATTAAGTTTAAATGCAATTATTAATTCAGTTATTTAAAATAATAAATTATATACTATTAAAATAAATTTAATAATGCATGAAATTAAAATTTCCATTACATTCTACTAGACATACAAAGAGTGAAATACGCTATTCAGCAAGTTCCAGTGTCTTCTCAAAGGAAGACATACACGCGACCAACAAGCACATGAAAAAATCCTCAATATCACTGATCACTAGGGAAATGCAAATCGAAACCACAATGAACTACCATCTCACACCAATCAGAATGGCTATCACTAAAAAGTCAAAAAATAACAGGTGGCGAGGCTGTGGAGAAAAGGGAATGTTTATATACTGTTGGTAGGAATGTAAATTGGTTCAACCACCATGGAAAGCGATCTGTAGATTTCTCAAAGAACTTAAAATAGAACCATCATTCAACCTAGCAATCCCATTACTGGGTATATACCCAAAGGAATATAAATCATTCTACCACAAAGACACATGCACGCGTATATTCATCACAGCACTGTTCACAACAGCAAAGACATGGAATCAACCTAGATGCCTATCAACAGTGGACTGGATAAAGAAAATGTGGTATACATACACCATGGAATACTATGCAGCCATAAAAAAACACAGATTATGTCCTTTGCAGCAACATAGATAGAGCTGGAGGCCATTATTCTGAAAGAATTACTGCAGGAACAGAAAACCAAATACAACATGTTCTAATGTATAAGTAGAGGCTAAATGTTGAATACACATGGATACAAAGAAAGGAACAACAGACACGGGAGCCTACTTGAGGGTGGAGAGTAGGAAGAGGGTGAGAATTGAAACACTATAGGGTACTATGCTTATTACCTGCCTGACAAAATAATCTGTACACCAAACCCTCAGCAACACACAATTTACCTATATAAAAAACCTGCACCTGTACCCCTGCACCTAAAATAAAAGTTGGAAAGATAAAAATAAATAAGTAAATAGGTAGAGAAAAAGATTCCGGGGTCTTCCCTAAACACAAAATCAGCTCGAGACGCTTAGTGCGCCCCCTGCTGGTAATCAACCTTTCCGCAGTCTGCCGAAATCCAGGCCCCAATGACATTTACTTAGAGTGATGGGATAAAACTATGGAGTTTTCAAGATGAAAGAAGCAAGGTAAGGAAGAGGAAAAGGCAAGGAGAAAGGGGAGTACTATACATAAGGGTTCAGCTCTGAGGAAATAATCCTGAGGATTTGCTATGAATGAACGTGTGCACATCTTGTAAATACTAAATTAGGACTAGAGGGTTTTCCATCACAAGCAGCACCCAGAGAGAGAAGTGAAATAAGGGTGGGGCGGGTGGGTGTTGTGGAACACACAACTGAGGGTGTTTGTCTGTTTGAAACCTTCATAGATCCATGTAGGCATTTGCCAAGCAAAAAAATTGGATGTATGAAACTTAAAAGTTGACTACTAATGGAGAGTCTCCCTCCCTTTTTTCCTGTCTCTCTCTCCGTAGATGCATACGAATGTGTGTACACACACACACACACACGCACACACACGGGTCTATATAGACACACAATTGCATGGCTATATCCACACAGACAGAGGAAGTAGATACAGATGTGAAGAATATATATCTCTACCTATATAGTCCATCTCTCTATGTATAGCCAGAGAGAGTGCACAGTCAGGTGAGAATGGAGGCCAAGGTGAGTTCTTAAATACCAGCTGACCACAGAAGTATAAGACCGCTGAGAGTGAGGTGGAAAGAGCCTGCATGGCCTGCCGTGGCAATGGGCTATGAAAGACATCACTTGTAAGACCACAGATCAGAGCAGCAGTTCAAATTAGATCCAGGCCACCAAGCCTTTGGGATTCTGTTCCTTGAGCCTCCTGCCACCACCATCCCAGCCCCTTCATCTGCTTAATCTCTGTCGCAGGACTGGCGCCTCACTTTCACTGCTCCTGGTTTTCTACTCATGTGTTTATAATATTGTGTTGTACGCACAATTGTTAGAAACAACTTTAAACTATTTTGTGATAAGTCGAGGGAATATGTAAATAAGACTATTCTGTTTCTAAATCCATAGCAATTTTTCTGACTTGATATCAATGACTCTACATGATTATAGAAAGCTCCAAGTCACCTCCTGGAGACTGGCTAAATATACATGGGACATATGTGCAATAATCATTATTCGGGTATTAAAAAAGGGTGCTCCCAGTCTAGACAACATGATATAACCTCGTGTCTCCCAAAATTACAAAAATTAGCCAGGTGTGGTGGTGTGTGCCTGTGGTCCTAACTACTCAGGAGACTTGAGGCAGGAGGATGGCTTCAGCCCGGGAGGCAGAGGTTGCAGTGAGCCGAGATCACGTCACCGCACTCCAGCATGGGCGACAGGGTGAGACCCTGTCTGAAAAAAAAAAAACGAGGATGTGAGTCTATATCTATTAACACTGAACACTTTTCAAGGTGTTGCTGAGTGAAAAAAACACAAGGCACATTTTATATGTGTGTGTGTGTGTGTGTGTGTGTTTATATATAATAGAGGATGATTCCATGTACATAAAAAATCTGTATACATAGCTATGTGTATACATTTATAGCAATAAATCTGGAAGGCTCCTCACCAAGATTTAAACATTATTTGTTTTTCATAATAAATCTTAATTTTTTTCTTTTGCCTTTTTTGCTTTATTTTTTATAAGAGGTATAATCCCAACAGCACATCTTAAAAATAATTTTTGTCTAGATAGTTCATTAGATTCTCTGTGACATCAAATACATGATGTCTTTTCCAACACCATTTCTGCAATTCTCTGACACCAATTGGGTGTCCAACAATTCAACTCAATTCTGACACTCACTACTAGAAGCAAGTAGAGATCCCTTAGGTAAGGGCTCAGTCCTACAAGACTGCCCCCCATCCCAGATGCCAGCCAAGTCCAGGCCACCCATGCTTCTCACCAACTGGCTATAAATTGAGGGTACCCACAATCCCCTCCTAAGGTTTGACAAGTTTCTAGAATGACTCCCAGAACTCAAAAAAGGCTTTACTGTTGTTCCTGACTTATTATAAAGGACGCAAGTCAGGAACAGCCCAATGGAAATGCTGTCTAGGGCAAGGGATGGGGATGGAGGCTCTCCGAGTTTTCATGCCCTCTCCGGGTGCACCACCCTCCCAGAACTTCAATGTGTTCTCCAACTCAGAAGCTCTCCAAACCCCATCTTTCAGGGGTTTTTTGGAGGTTTCATTTCATGTAAATGATTGATAAAATCATTGGCCATTGGTGACTGAACTCAACCTCCAGCCCCTCTCCCTTCCCCTGAGATCAGGGCTGGGTGGGGCTGAAAGTCCCAACCCTCTAATCATGGCTTAGTCTTTCTAAGAACCAGCTCACATACCAAAGCTGTCTAGGGACACCCCTCTTTCCCCAAGAGTCATCTCACTAGCATAAAGTCAGGTATGATTGAAAGGGGCTTGCTATGAATGACAAAAGAAACTCCTCTTACCCCGTCACTCGGGAAATTCCAAGGGCTTAGGAGCTTGTGCCAGGAACCAGAGACGAAGCCCAAATATATATTTCCCATTATACCAGAGTTAAATGATCTCAAACCGAAAGTTATTTTTTCTATTCTTAAGACATACAAGCTAATGAATATTCCTTAATGTCATATTTCAAAATCTAATCACTCTTCTTATAAAGAAAGACCATGCCATGGTTCCCGCAATTGGATCCAGTTCATATCAAGCAAGTCTTCAGCATCCACTGCCCCCAAACACACACACACACACACAAACACACACACACACACCCTGCCCAGAGTGCCTCTTTCTCACTGGGATCCTTCAAGTCTGATGTCCTGACTTCAGCTGCAGCCCTCTACCTACTGTAGCCTTGATCCCACTTGGCCCTGAGACCCTTGCAGGCAGACACAGTGAGGTCATCTCTGTAATCTTAGCATCTATCTCAGAGACTAGCACTAGGAAACCCTCAAACATTTGCTGCAAATATGAATATTTTAGAATTTGGGGACTAAGACAGGATGCCATACACTAAGAATTACCAACTTACATAGGACATTACTTTTCACTTACTAAATTAGTAAAAATTATAGCAATGCCAGGAAGAGCACAATGAAAAGGGCACGCTTATGCTCACCTTGAGGGAATATAAATTGGTATAAGGTTTCTGGAAAGCAATTTGGCAATATATACAGAGAGCCTTTAAAATGCTGCATTAGCATTTCCTAAGAATACTTTTGGAAATGTAGATACCCACCATTTTACAAAGCTGCTCATTATTTATGTGAGAGAAAATGGAAAACAACCTAAATGCTCAATCATAAGGGAATGGCTAAACAAGTTATTGCAGAGTCACAGGATGGACTAACATGGAACCACTGGAACCACGCAAATGAAGGATTTGCAAAGACAGAGCTGGTTGCCATGTGCCATTAAATGAAAATGGTGGAATTTAATACTATTTCTACAATATTGTATAAACCATACTGGAAACACAACAAAATGTTATCACAGGCTACCTTTTAATAGTATGATGATGAAGAATTTTTTTTAATTTTACTTTAAGTTCTGGGATACATGTGCAGAATGTGCAGGTTTGTTACATAGGTGTACCTGTGCCATGGTGGTTTGCTGCACCTGTTAACCCATCATCTAGGTTTTAAGCCCCACGTGCATTAGGTATTTGTCCTAATACTCTCCCACCCCTTGTCCCCCACCCCCCGAGAGGCCCTGGTGGGCGCTGTTACCCAATGAGGAATTTTTATGCGTTTCTTTAATCTATACTGTGTTTTTCAAGCTGTGCAAAGAGTATGAGTTACTTTTTAAAATATCCTTTATAATCAGAAAAAAATTAACTATCTGAAAAGCTTCTTGAAATTAATCACTAAAATGTTTTCCACAGCCCTGGTTCCAGACTCCCTGGGCTTTCTCATGACCCCATGTTTGAACGGCACTGTGTGGAGACCCAGTGTGCTTTATCCTTCAAGGATAAGTATCCTCACATTACACAATATCTGGTGTATGCTCCTACGGAATCGCATGAGACACATTTCTGTAAACCTTAATGCATATTAAATGTGCCTGGAGGCATCTGTTGTTTGGGACACTTGGACCTGGAAAATCCTAGCAGAAGAGAAAGACAGAAGCCTAAGGCTTTTTTTTTTTTTTTTTTTTTTTGAGACAGTCTCACTCTGTCACCAAGGCTGAAGTGCAGTGGCACGATCTTGGCTCACTGCAACCTCTGCCTCCAAGGTTCAAGCAATTCTCCTGCCTCAGCCTCCCAAGTAGCTGGGATTACAGGCATCCACCACCATGCCTAGCTAATTTTCGTATTTTTAATAGAGATGGGGTTTCACCATAGTGGTCAGGCTGGTCTGAAACTCCTGACCTCAGGTGATCCGACTGGCTCGGCCTCCCAAAGTGCTGGGATTACAGGCGTGAGCCACGGAGCCTGGACTGCCTAAGGCTTTTTTAGAAGCTGGCTTCTGTTCTCTGGAGACCACCTACTCTTAGAAACACCAGCAACAGGCTACAAAAAGGGAAGCAGAGCTCTTGAGATGTGGCCATGTTGCTCTGAAGTGTATTCACTGACTGGGACATCCTGCAGGCTGACGCCGTCTGTGTGTTCCACCCACATACCAGTTTCCTCTCAGGGGAGGTTACGGCCACGAGAATTTTAGTGCCTGATGAACATAAGACATTCTAGTCTCCCACTCTGGGCTTGGCTGGGTGGTCCCACATGACCAACAGCAGAGGCTGGGAGGGGCAGCTACCAATTGAATTCCCAAAGGCAGTAGCCTGGGCTGTGCTGGACTGCTTTTCAGCACACTTTGTCCATGCAGTGACTCACAGCCCTCCAGAGAACAGCGAGAGAAAGGTATGGGGGGTCATGGTCTCTGAGATCAATCCTGCCTTACCTCCACTCTGCCGTCTCTACTCCAACATCTGTATTTGAAGGGCTTGTCTCTTGGGTAGCATTGTAAAGTGAATGACCTCTCCTTACAAGGGATCGATAAGCGTGCGTTCACGTATCACACTCACTCGAGGGGAATACCGCGCACCACCGTCTCTGAAGACACACTTCCTCCTTGGTCTGAAATGTAACATATTTAGAAGTGGATGAGACCTGATAAACACAACTCAATGGCCAAGTCCTTGCCTCGAATTCAGTTCAACAAGGTCTCACACAAAGCCTTGCTCACTCAGGGGCAGGGATAAACTAGAAAAAGCATGGTGAAGGACATCTCGAGAAATGGACTTTAAGTGACTGTTAAGATTAAACGAGTTCACTTACAAAAAAGCTAGAACACAGCATGTGCAATATGAGTTTTTGTTTGTTTTGTTTTTGGTTTTGTTTTTGTTTTTTTGAGACAGAGTCTTGCTCTGTCGCCCAGGCTGGAGTGTAGTGGCGCGATCTCGGCTCACTGCAAGCTCCGCCTCCCGGGTTCACGCCATTCTCCTGCCTCAGCCTCCCGAGTAGCTGGGGCTACAGTCGCCCGCCATCACGCCCGCTTAATTTTTTTTTTTTTTTTTTTTTTTGTATTTTTAGTAGAGATGGAGTTTCACTGTGTTAGCCAGGATGGTCTCGATCTCCTAACCTTGTGATCTGACCGCCAAAAAAAAAAAGAAAAAGCCAATGCAGCGGTTCTATCAGACAGGGCGTTCTGAGAGACATTTGTGAAAAAGTGCCTTTACCGACCACACATACACAGAGAGAAAGAGAGAGAGAGAGAAGAAAGTGCCCAGGGAGTTAAACAACTTGAGGGCTGCAAAGAGCCTTTAAAGTCCCTTGGTAGAACCTGTTAACTTTCAGATCAGAAAATCATGCTCAGGGAGGTTAAGGCCAAGCTCACGATGATTTAAAGGCCACTCTGCTCTCCAGGCACATCCGCAACTCCTGCCAGTTACGACTTTGCTCCCCTGGAAAACCCTAGCCCAGTGGTTCCCACCCCTGGCTACACACTAGAAACCCCAGGGGAGCTTCAAAAGCTCCCTCTGCCCAAGCTGCACCTGAGATGGAGGCACCAGTGTTGTTTAAGGCTGTCCGCTGGCCCGATGTGCAGCCAGAGGGGGACCCACCGGCCCAGGCAGATCTCACTGCAGGTCTCCTGTTAATCCGCCTTCCGCTGGCCGCCCTAGCTGCGGGCTTTCCAGGGGTGTCTCGCTTACTCACTGGGTGTAGTGATAAGAAAGCTGTGTGAGGCTGTGCGGAAGGAACCTCGCAGAAGCATCTCCTCCTTCTCCTTGATGAGAAAGAGGCGAAAGTCCTGTAGTCCTTGGCTGCGCCATCTTTCACTCCCTCTTGCCCAACCCCTAAAAGCCCCTCTGGAAAATATTACAAATGACTCAGTTGTAATCAAAAAAGCAAATGTAGAAGGAGATCTCCTTAAGTAAAGGAGTTCTGTTGGCAAATTCTTCAGAAATGTGAATGTATTCCTACTCCATCCACTCCTGATGCCTATCCTCCTGTTTTAATCACTGGAGCTTTTCCTAATCAAGGCAAATCCATCCAAGACTCTTGCTGGAGTCCCCTAAAAATATACGCATGTCAGAAGCTCCCCAGATGAGGACATGGAACTTTTACCTTGAAAGGCATGCCACAAACGCCTGCAGGGAGGGGACACCTGCATTCCCCAGGCCCCTGCTTGGTTCTTTTCATTACGAAAGAAAAATGACTTTCAGATGCTTTCAGCTTGCTTCTAACAGAGATAATGAACATGAAATTCAGGCTAATCTTCCTTATGCCAAAGCTGATACCTGTTCTTCTTCTCCATTTTTTACTGAGCACAATTGTCCTGCTTCTTTCAGAGGGCAGCCCCTGACACCCATGACCCCCCAGCCCATCCACAGTGACTGGGGCCCTATACAGGTTTGCCAAATGACCTGAAAATGGCTTTAACAAGGTGGCAGAGTTGTGTAGTTGGCTGATATTCAGGGACTTTTGACGGCCAGCCACAGTGCAAGTCCTCACTTGGCCACACGCTGGCTATGCGACCTCGAGAGCAAGTTACTCAACTTCTCTGAGTCTCAGTTTCCTTATCTGAAAAACAAGGATCAAAACACTACCCGCCTCAATGGCTATCAGACATTTTCAGCCATGACCCACAGTGAAAACCACATTTTACACTGTTTCCTAATACTCTCCCATGTGTACACATAAGAGAGTTTTGCAAGACAATTCTTAACCCTTCTACATATAGTTTACTCTGATATCTTTTATTCCACCCTATACTTTCCTGTACTTCTTTTAAAAGTGTTAGTCAGGACTCACTACACTGATATTAGAACCCAATAATGGGTTGTGACCCACAGTCTGGAAAGGGAACTAGAATTAGATAATGCATGTAAAGGGTTTGGCACGGTGCCTGTAACGTAGTAAGTGTTCAATAGCAGTGAGTCGTGATTCTTGCTGCTATTTTTGTATATTGTTATCATTACCGCTACTTCAAGAAATCCCTGAAGCCTGGTAGAGACTGCTGTTCTTACACCAGAAAACGGACTTGTTATCTCAAATCCTAACCCACCCAAACTCAGTTTCTGGGGACTGAAAAGTCTAGTGATCATGATTTACAAAAACTGTGTTTCTCAACAGCTGGAAAGGATAGGACTGGGAGGACCCAATCCACACAGCCAGTAAGCAGTGAGGCTCAGAGTCCAACCACAGCTGTTCAGCTTCAAAATCTCCCTCTCTGGAAGTTTCCTGGAGAAACACTTCCTGAGTGAAAGATAACATACCAAGAGTTTTCTGCAAGCTTCTCCACAATTCTTTCATAATGTGGAGTGAGGACTGATACAAACAAGTTATTCCATTAAAAATATCAAGTTTATCTCATCAGGACAGTGAGCAAAGATCAGTAAACACTGACCCCACAATGGCCAACTACAGAGATAGGAAGCATTGGTCAATTTCATTATTTCTAAACTTCATTTTGCTGCATTCCCGGAACTCAAGCACACCACACTGACCCAAGGAAGCAGCCTTTTAAAAATCGTTTAATATTCTGAGCTACACGGACAAAGTACAAAGTACTTTAGGCCACAGACAGTAAATGTTACACAATACATTCTCCTATTACTCTGTGTTTTTGCAATAAATGATGGCCTGAATTTCATGCTGAGGTTTGCTAATTTTTAATGATTAATTGGCCTATTGAATATTCATTTTACATTAATATTTAAGAGAGTCCTACTCATTGAAAGAGTTACAGTTTTGTGATGGTACCAGGTAAACAGATTAATGCATTAGGCCTTTAACTACTGGGCTTCCTAATTTAAGGAAGAATAAATCAGCAACATTAGCGTCATTTAATAAGAAGGATTTTTTTTTAATGTGCGTGGCCAGAGGATTGTTCGAGAAAAATCAGTGTTCTACCTGATTTGCTACTTCTGTAAGCCCATCATAGCACAGGAATAAAATGACAAATGGACTTGGGAGCACAAATTCATTTAACAGTTTATTTTTTTTCACTTTTAATTAATTAATTTTTTTTTTTTTGTAGAGGTGGGGTTTCACCATGTTGCCCAAGGCTGGTCTCGAACTCCTGGACTCACACAACCTGCCCGCCTTGGCCTCCCAAAGTTCTAGGACATGCCTAGCCTTTTTTTTTTTTTTTGTACTTTTATTTTCAGTTTATTATTTAAAAAAAAAAAGAAGAAGAAGAAGAGACAACTCCACTCTCACTGCCCAAGAAAGCAGGATTAGGTTTACATTAGCCTTAGGTTCAGTTTGACAAGTTATAGGAGAGCAAAAATTATAGGTTGGCAAGGTACAGGAAAGCAAAAATGCTTCAGCCAGGGACAAGAGTGTCTTTTTTCTTATTTCCTTGGCTCAGGATTTTAAACTAAAATTAATATCAAAATAATCTGTTCTTTAGTGGAAACAAATCAGGAAACATTTTATTCCCTAAAAGAAAGTTTCTCAGAAAATAATGGAAGAATTACAGGATTCCTGTGGAAAAACTGTTGCTTCATGGATTAATTTCTACTCCATGAACTAATTTCCATTCCAATCTTTAGTAACATACTTCTTGAAACAGAGAATTTCATTTGCTGTTTGCCAGGCATTTAATGAATCTGATATTATGTACATCCTACTAGACAATGTGGGAAACTAGAACTGGGAGGGGGAGGTGGGTTTACTGGCAAGCCATTGAGGCTTGAGCCTCAGGCGCCTTATTTGCACAGAACCTTTCAAGGCCTTGAACCTAATTTTATTTTTGTTAATTTTATATATTTTTGTCAATAATTTTATTTTTTTCTTAAAGGGGCCCCCAAATTGTATAAATTTCAGGTCCCACCAAGTCTAGATTCATTCTTAGAAAAATCTAGTTCCTTCCCTCAAGAAACTAGTCTCCTGAGTACGTCGGGGGCCTCTTCCTCTCTGGCACTCTCCATTGCCCTCCCAGCCCTGACCCTGTATCATCTCTGACCCCCGTGGTCCCTGCACTCTCCTAGCTCAGTGCTTCTCCAGACACTGTGGGCATGAGATTCACCTGGAATGCTGCTGCCAGTGCAGAGATGCAGGCCTTGTCACAATGCTCATGTAGGTTTCAGGTAGGGCCTGCTAATCTGCACTTTAGAAAAAAGACTCTTAGCTAGGTGAGGTAGCTCATGACTATAATCCCAGCAGTTTGGGAAGCCAAGACAGGCAGATTGCTTGAGTCCAGGAGTTCAAGACCAGCCTGGGCAACATAGGGAGACCCTGTCTCTACAAAAAAATACAAAAATTAGCCAGGCATGATGGCATATGCCTGTAGTCCCAGCTAGTTGGGAAGTTGGGAGGCTAAGGTGGGAGGATCACCTGAGCTGGGGAGTTCGAGGCTGCAGTGAGCCGTGATTGCACCACTGTACTCCAGTCTGGGTGACACAGTGAGATCTTGTCTCAAAAAAGAAAAAAACAAAGACTCTCTAGTGACTGGGCCTGGCCTTGGTATTTCTGTCTCAGGCTTCCCTGCCTTTCAATGAGTGTTCAAGAGAGTTGCCAGAATAATATGTGCCTGGCACACTGTACAGGCATTCGGCAGATATTTATTGGAAGAATGCAAATCATAATTACTTCCTTGCTCAGAGTTATTACCAGCTCCTCAATATCCACAGTATAAAATCCAAACTCCTTGGTGTGGTGGCCTCCAGCCAGCTCCAGTGCAGCCTCCCTAACATTTCTCCTTTACCCCCATGCTCCTGTGATTCTAAAATGCTCCCAAGCACCCCTTTATTCATGGCCTCTTGTGCTTCTAGGCCTCCCAACTGCCTGTCACCTTTACCCATAAAGACCCTCCTCTGACCCTGGCCTGCACACAATCCACACAAGTATAGGGTGAACAGCATTGCTTCCGGGGACCTGGACCTGACCCCTCCCCATGCCCAGGCCTCCCTTCTCCAGGCAGATTTAGGTAGTTCTACTTCTACACATCTCTGGTATCTTCTAAGTGTGTACACTAAAGCACGTCTGACACTGGGCTGTCATTGTCTCCTGGCCATGCCCCTCATGTTGGAACATTCTGAAGAGCAGGATCCATATCTTTTCATCTGTATCTGGGCTCCTACAAACCATGCCTGACCTATAATGGATGATTGAATTTTAAAAACTAACAAAGGCACAGAGGAATTCAACTAGATAACAAATGACAAGATAACACCATCAAGTAGACAACTTCTGTATACATTGCTATTGCTCTTTTCTTTTCCTTTTTTTTTTTTAAATACACAGGTTCTCGCTCTGTCACCCAGACTGGAGTGCAGTGGCACAATCTCCGGCCCGGGGCTCAAGCCATCCTCCCACCTCAGGCTCCCAAGTAGCTGGGACTATAGGCACGCACCACCATACCTGGCTAATTATTATATTCTTTTAGTAGAGATGGGGTTTTGCCATGTTATCCAGGCTGGTCTCAAACTCCTAAGCTCAAGCAATCCTCCTGCTTCGGCCTCCCAAAGTGCTGGGACTATAGACATGAGCACCTACAGCACCTGGCAGCTATTTTTCAAATTATCAGATAATACGGAGTGCCTACATGTACGATGGTTTATACAAGGCTCAGTGCAAAGGTTTATCCTAAAGAACCATGTTTATCAACAAATTAGGGGCCGGGCACAGTGGCTCATGCCTGTAATCCAAGCACTTTGGGAGGCTGAAGCAGGTGGATCACCTGAGGTCAGGAGTTCAAGACTGGCCTGGCCAACATGGAGAAATCCCATCTCTACTAAAAGTACAAAAATTAGCCAAGGTGGTGACATGTGCCTGTAGTCCCAGCTCCTCTGGAGGCTAAGGCAGGAGAATCACACAAACCCAGGAGGTGGAGTTTGCAGCGAGCCGAGATCGTGCCACTGCACTCCAGCCTGGGTGACAGAGCGAGACTCTCTCTCAAAAAAAAAAAAAAATTAGGGCACATTTTACTCACACAAAAGGAAGTACGGTCATTCATTCAGGGGAGCAAAGAATTGAGAGGGTGTTTAAGAGCCTCTTCTCTCAGAGTTAACTATTTGGGATCTCTAAATTGGAATTGTCACCCCAGCTCTACAGATGCTGGAGTTACAAGTCTTGTGTTCTAATGCCAGTCACCATTTCTCTGCTAGGCAAAGTGTATAACACCTCTGAGTTTCATTTTCCTTATAAAAAGGAGACAGTAACACAAATTTCACAGGGTTATCGTAAAGATCAAATAAAGTAATTTATCTGAAATGATTATTTAGCTCAATGCCTAGCACCCAGTAAACACCCAATAAATGGTATTTGTCATTGTTACTTCCACTGCTCGGAAAGTTTAGCTCACCCCTGAGGCTTAATATGATGGCTAATCCTTCTTATCACCAAGCAATACCCAGCTATATATATATCACATACAGAGTTCAGGGTTTCTACTGGGTTCTGATGTAGTTTTCCCTTAAGACCACAAAGGTGTGTCCTTGAAAAGGGTGGAAATGTCTGGTGTCAATCCCATAGAAGAGCATGTGGGTGCCCTGGGAGAGAACTCAGGCCACAGCATGGTATGTCTCCGGGGCAGATTGCCTGTGTCCTCTTGGTCTGCACTTTGGGGCATGGGTCTTCTGAAAGTCTCAAATCTTTGAGAGCTCTGCTGAGTGATAGAGAAGTGGAAAATGGCTTTATCTTTCTCTTTATCTTCGCTTCCCTCAGTTATCTCTGAGCTATGATTACATATTCCAACCTCAGATTTGCTACAATTTCGAGTTTTGACTGTTTGCTTTGGGGCCCAAGCATTAACGGGTGAGAGCAACGCCCCCCGAGGCCAGCGTGTTGATGGCAGCAACAATGGGTGAACAACTCCGCAAGCAATGAGTGATGGCAGCAGCAATGAGTGAATGACTGGACCCTGGCGGATCTGAGTTGGCTCTGGCTAGAGCAGAGTTCCCTTAGCACCGCGAGCAGCACATCTGAGCATGATGCACAAAAGCAGTGGGTCGCTTACCTCCTCAAAAGCATCACAGCCGGTCACCACAATATTTGGCCTGAAATTCTCCATTTTCATTTTCTTCTCCATCCTGGTATTCAAATCTACCAGGGAGGCATCTGTCATGATCAGGAGCGGGCAGTAGTCTGGGTAGGCCACCTTGCCAAGAACACAGGATAGTCAGGCCCCACCACTCCACAAAATGGCCTAGACCAACTACAAAGCTAAGTAATGTCCAGAAGCAAAACCTCTTCAGTGCAGAAGAGGGGAGCAGTGTTCAGGAAGGAGAGAGATGTGAGTTTGGGCTTGCAGTGGCCAGGAGCTGGAGCAGTTCCTGCCCATACACAGGGACAGGGCTGCAGCCAGGGCCGGCTCTGGGCCAATGTCACTCACCAGGCTTCCTCTTCCTGGGTTCCCACTCCCACTCCAGCAGCGACCCCCTTCCCCCATCATCCTCAAACAGCGAGGACCTGCTGCCAATCAGCTATACTCCAGTAATAATTTCCTCAACAACACCATTCACTCACTAGGCATTTACTGAGCACCTACCAGGCACTGTTCTAGTGGGGAAACAGCAGTAAAGAAAGCAGATAAAAACCCCTGCCCTCAAGGAGCTTGTAGTTTAGGGGCTATGGAGAGAAATTCCCTGAGGTCCTTGTATTTTAAACCTTAGCTCATGGCAGAATCAGAGGCTTTGGTCTTTTGCACTGAGCCTAGTATAAACCATCGTACATGTCGGCACTCTGTATTATCTGATAATTTGAAAAATAGCTGCCAGGTGCTGTAGGTGCTCAGGGGACAGTTTTCCTTAGGGGGAGGCGCCTCGCCAGCACCTGAAATAAGCACATGTCACAGATTGTGAGGGGCGGGTCAGAACAAAGTCCGCTTCTATAATTCCAGGAAACTTGGATTTAGTCCCAAACAAACTTCTCACTTTTGTTTCTCCAGCCAGTTTTCTCTTGCATCTCCATCTACCTGGGAGTCACCCCTGGCTCCCCCCTCCACAATATCTCCCATATTCAATCCTCCATACACCCTAGAGATCCCACTTTTGAGACACCTCTCATATCCACCTTCTTTTCCATCCCCTGGTACCTCTGCCTAGGCTGTGCCCTCATTATCACTCACCAGGGCCATTATCATATTTTCTTAACTGAGGTCCCAAGAGAGGCTCTTTATCAACTGGGAAGGAAGCCAGAAAGAGAAGGGTGACTAGTAGCAGTGAAGGTAAACTCTCTGTAAGCTCACCTGGAAATTCTGATCAAGAGTGGGGAGAAGTTTTCTTGATGTTCTTCCCTTCATGTTTGTCTCAAATTGAACCAATCTATACGCTTCAGTTTTCAAGAAGTTGGTGAACCACTTAGCTGCCTCATTGCCACAGTCTCTGCCTTTAATGTCAAGGCCAAATATCCTGGAAAGGTCACAAAAGAACACCAGGTTACTTACTTATATCAATACACTGAGGGATGGTGTCAAAAATGAACAGCTGGACTGTTGGGACCTGACCATCCCAGAGGGCTGTTAAGTGGTCCCTGGGTCAAAGCTGGGCAGAAGTGCAAGAGAAAGGAGTAGAGTGTGCTCTGGGGAAGAGCTACCCAAACCCTAATGTATGTGCAAATCCTCCAGGATCTTGTTTGAATGCAGATTCTGGTTCAGTAGGTCTGGGTTAGAGTCTGAGATTCTGCATTCCCAACAAGCTTCTGTATGCCTAAGCTGCTGGTCCATGAACGTAAGGATTTAGGACACTTTCACAAGAGGAGAGGGGCTGCCCTGTGGCAGATGCACCCTGAGCTTAGAATCCAACAGACCTGGGTCAAATTGGAACTCGGCCATTCTCTAGTTCTGTGACCATAAGCAAATCATTTAACTCCTCTGACCTGTCTTCAGTTGTAAATTGGAAATAATTATATGGTACCTACCTACGTCACTTGGTGGGAACAGATAACTTTAGATAACACAGCGGCCCTCAAGGTTTTCTTGCTTAAATTCCCCTAATGGAGTTTTAAAAAGCTATGGACCCTTCACAGAACTATAAGTTGACAGGTAAACTTTTTCATCATAAGTTTAATTTGTTCTGAAAGACATCATTTCCATTGAATTCTAAACACTGACATTTAAAATAAAATGATTACATTATGCTTTTAAAAGTGTGTAACGGGATCTAAATGCCATGTTGGTTTGATATCCACCATTATCCATTTAAACATTTTTGTATTATTCCTCTTTTTATTCATGAACACATATGTATATTATTTTACTTATGTAATTTTATCCTAATGTATTTTTATGGCTATCGCTCACTTACTGTATTTCTTTTGAATCAATTAAATTTGTTTTGTTTCTTAAGCTTTCAAGTGTGAAGAAATGTTTTCAGGATTGAGTTATCATTACAATTATGATTTATATACAATTGATCATAACAAAATAGATATGCTATATATTTTTATAATTCATGAACTTAAAAAGTGAAATTTTATTTGAAATCAAATGCTTAATGAACCCCATAAAATATCCATAAAACTCTGAATGAATCTCACATATTGCTAGAATAAGACAAGGTTCAGTATCAATTTTCTTTCTTTTAAATAAGCCCTGAGGAATTTTTCACACAAACAAATAGATAGAAATGGGAGTTATAGTAATTTCACTTATTCCTTGAATCTCCAGGCAATATATTTCACATAGTGATTTGTCATCAAAAAGTATTTTTAATGATTTATCAGCAACAATTTCACTGGAGGCCCCTTCATTTTAATGTAAGACAAAGAGTTGGAACCACTGACTTGTACAACCATTTTACCCTGTCATTAACATCACCCTCTTTATCAACACCAGCATTTTTCATTGTTTGGGTCCCTGTATGTTTTTCCCTCCAAGGGCAATGCCCCTAGTAAGATGTGGGGTGGACAGACAAAAGCCTTTCCTCTGTACAAAGAAGAAATGTTTATGGTGAGACCGGAGAACTTGCTGATTGTAGATATAATTCACAGGATCTGGAAATTGATTCCCCTACCCTCATCTACCATGGGAAGGGCTTGCCCCTCCCCGTGGGAAGGCTCATACCAGTGTGAGGACTCCTGAGGCGATGCATGTGAAGGATTTCAATGTGGACACCTGAGGTGCTCCCAGTTAGATGAACCCCTGTGTACCCTGCAACTCACAATCCTGGTCTGAGGGTAGAGACTCCCAACCTCTCACCTCCTCTCCTATCTACTGTCAAATCTCAGTGCTGTTCCTTTCACATTTCTTGGGCCTTTTCCTTCCCTCTAAACCCCCTTCTCGAAGCCACTGTTTCACCTCTGATTAATTCTTGGCTCTACAGACATCTCATGATCCTCTCCTGGCCTTCTGCCTTTCCCCTAAAACTGATTCCATCCCACTGTTCAGCAGTTCCCTAAGTACATGCTCCTGGATGGAGCTCTTCCCTCATCCCCTCAGAACAGCACTTGTACATAAGTGCACACATATTACTCACAGTCTCCACCCACCCGGGAAAGCTTATGGGTGGCACTTTGAAAAGCAGAAAAGCCCCCAACAGGGCAATGGAATACTGATTAACCGGAGCCCCTTCCCCCCGATGGAAGGCATCCCTCCACCAGCCCTGTCTCCCATCCCTGCACTGGATGGTATCGCTCCCTCTGCCATGCCATCTTCTCCAATTCTTGCAGAATTTTCTGCAAAGTCCACTCTCTTCTACATTTTGACACAAAATGTCTCATCAGCAACATTCCATAGAAAAAACTGACCCTCACTCTGGGTTCAATAAAACTTCATTAGTAAGCAATCTCTTAACTCACTAATCAAAAGTAACTCACTAAAAATTATGTAAGAGGACATAAAAACTTGAATAGACTCTTACAAAGAAAATCCAGATACTTTTACTGGCAAGTTCTATCAATAATTAAAGAATAAATAATACCAATCTTACACAGCAAACAAAAAAAGTGTTTTTAAGACTTGCTATGTAAAAGTGGAAGAAAAGAGTAAATGTTTAGGACTAAATCTAACAAAACATGTAAAATCACATTACAGATAAAATTATAAAACTTTATTAAAGAGATAAGACACAAACAAGTGAAGAAAAATAATATTCATAGATAAGGTGGATTAATACAATAAAGATAATAGCTATTTAAGACCTAATATCCAGTTAAGTGCTTACTGTATACCAGGTCCTCTTGCAAGTGCTTTATTTAATACACACACACACACACCCAGACACACACACACACACACATATTTTCACATCAATTTTCTGTAAATTGAACCACAAATTCAATATAGGGTTGAAGTCATGTCTTACTTCCCCCTACTTTAAAACATTAGCTTCACCTTTTAAGACAATAATCAGGCCGTGCACGGTGGCTGATGCCTGTAATCCCAGCACTTTGGGAGGCCAAGGCAGGTGGATACTTTGAGGTCAGGAGTTCGAGAACAACCTGGCCAACATGGTGAAACCCCACCTCTACTAAAATACAAAAATTAGCCGGGTGTGGTGGTGCATGCCTGTAGTCCCAGCTACTCAGGAGGCTGAGGCAGGAGAATCACTTGAGCCTGGGAGATGGAGGTTGCAGTGAGCTGAGATCGTGCCATCGCACTCTAGCCCGGGCAACAAGAGCGAAACTCCATCTCAAAAAAAAAAAAAGGTAATAATTATTCATAAATACTTGTGATAATCAAGAAGCCATACTGGTCTATAATTAGTATAAAAAAACTTAACACCACACAAGGTGAACAGGGAAAGCTGATTCAAAACACTAACAGTGAAAGTTTAAAAAAAATAAGTGGCCGGGCGTGGTGGCTCATGCCTGTAATCCCTGCACTTTGGGAAGCCGAGGCGGGTGGATCACAAGGTCAGGAGATCGAGACCATGGTAGCCAACATGGTGAAATCCCGTCTCTGCTAAAAATACAAAAATTAGCTGGGCGTGGTGGCGTGCGCCTGTAGTCCCAGCTACTCAGGAGGCTGAGGCAGGAGAATCACTTGAACCCAGGAGGCAGAGGTTACAGCGAGTTGAGATCGCGCCACTGCACTCCAGCCCGGGTGACAGAGCGAGACTCCATCTCAAAAATAATAATAATAATAAAATAAAATAAGTGTAGAATAATATAAAATTCATAACACTTCAGCCTTGTCCAAATGTCTGTGAAGGGACTTTTCTTTTTACTAACTTGAGGTTGTTGGTTTATGTTATTTGATTCTGGGCTCTGGTGGGCTGGCTGTGGTAATCACTCTGTCGCTTACCATCTGTTAGGGGCTAAATGTTTGTGTCTCCCCAGAATTCCTTTGTTGACACCCTCACCCCCAATGTGGGGCCTATGGGAGGTAATTAGGGTTAGATGAGGTGGAGCCCTCATGCTGGGATTGGCACCCTTATAAGAGGAAGAAACACAAGATTGCTTTCTCTCTTCATGCAGGCACCAGGGAAGGTCATGTGAGGACATAACGAGAAGTGGCCATCTACAGCCCTGAAAAGGGACCTCACCAATCTACCAGCACCTCGATCTTAGACTTCCCATCCTCCCAAACTATGAGAAATAAATGTCAGTTGTTTAAGCCACCCAGACTATGGTATTTTGTCACAGCAGCTGGCACTAGCTAAACACACTATCTATGTTATTTCTTCAGTTTTTAGCAGTTCCCTTGGCAACGAATCCATTAAAAATAGCTTATAAATACAGGCTGAACTAGTTACAGCATGTCTAACCAGCTAGAGAGGGCAGTGCGCTGACTACACCTCTGCATCAATCCAAATGCACAGCTCTCAATCATTTTCACCAAACTGCCAGGGTTCCAGGCTCTCTATTCCCACCTCATCCAGATCTACAATTCATGCATGGAACAGAATTACATAAGAAGAGGCTTCAGGCTGAGCACGGTGGCTCATGCCTGCAATCCCAGAAGTCTGGGAGGCCAAGGCAGGTGGATCACCTGAGGTCAGGAGTTCGAAACCAGCCTGGCCAACATGGTGAAACCCCATTTCTACTAAAAATACAAAATTAGCTGGGCGTCATGGCACATGCCTCTAATCCCAGCTACTCAGGAGGCTGGGGCAGGAGAATCGCTTGAACCTGGGAGGTGGAGGTTGCAGTGAGCCAAGATCGTGCCATTGCACTCCAGGCTGGGCAACAAGAGCAAAACTCCGTCTCAAAAAATAAATAAATAAAAAAGAATAGGCTGCAATTGCTGTCTTTTTCAGACCCAGGCAACTCACCTGCAAGGTCTTCCTCTTTCCCTCTTTCCATCCAGGAAGGTGAGTGTCCCCCTAGATTTCTGCCTATTTAGCTGGTAAAGAGCCTTGGGGGAAAAACTTGCTCACTGTTGGCAACACAGTGAGTCTACAGGGCAACACCTATATTACTCATGTGACACATGTCAGCTACGTATTTACCCATCACCTTCACATGTCTTCCAATTAAGCCGAGATGGCTACACACTTCCTCTTCAATGAACTGATGGGCTCAAAACCTGTCATTTATGGAAAAGCTTTTCTTCTCCCTACACAAACACGTTAAAGGCAAAAGCCTTAGGAGGGAAGTGGGTTCAAATCCCAGCTCTGTGTTTTCGTGGCAGTGATCTAAGACGTGGTTTCCTCGTTTGTAAAGTGGAATTAATGACCCCCTCATGGGCTTGCTAAGATAATTACCTGAAATACTGAATTCAGTGAATTATTGCTTCAGACTTTTGAAAATTGGGAACCATGAGTTGTGGATTTCAGCTTAGACGCTTTGCTTGAAAAAGCGTAAGATGAGAGTTCACGGAGTAATCTGAGGCTCCCCTCTGAGCCCTGGGACAACACCAACTTCCACACACTTAACAAGCTCAGTTGGTGACAAGGGATCCAGTTCATCCCATGACAAGCATCTAAGTCTTCTTAATGTGGAAGGACAAGACCCCAGCAAACCACGGAACTTGACAACCCAACAGAAGTCCCATAGGCCAAAAGGAAGCCAAGGCCTGAGGTGTGTCTTTGGCCAGAAGTGGAAATCCCTTACACCCAAGGAATATGTCTTCATCTCAACCACACACTTCAGAGGCCGCAGAGTCAACTTGAAAAGCTCTGGAAGCTCCAGCATCCTTCTCACCCAGCCCTGAGATACAGCTGCTAAAGTCTCCACTAACTCCCTTGTCTGCCTGGTTGGAGAGTTGACAATTCTGAATGAAGATTTGAATGAAAGGAGAAAAGCCCTAAAGATGAGCACATTGTACCACCTTTATACTTGTAGTAATCCTGCTTTTAATTTTCTGCATGTTTTACGCTTTGACATCTTGGAGCCTTGTTGACACTGAAGAAACTGCTTCTTCCAGGGCTGACCAATTCCTAGAAATAATAGACTGATGACCTGCAAGTGTGCCTGTAATAGGAACACCAACCCATCCAGAGTCTGCACTCCCAGTCACCTCCTTTATTTGGTGCTTACATGCCGGGCCACTAGTCCCATGCCCTAGTCAACCCTAGAGCCAAGTACCAGACAACCTGTGACCCAGAGCCTGCTGAAATTGTTCAAACTAGCCAGCCCTAAGCCTGCCGCCCCTGCCTTGCTTCTCCTTTCCTGTGGAAACCACAATAAAAGCCCTTGCCCACATGTTCCCCCTGCTCCCTCTGCCTCCTGACCCACCCTGGTACTCCCCCACTTGGCCTTGCGTGGCGTAGCGTGCCTCCAGTTTCTAGAGAATCTGTTGGTATAACATCTTCTTTTTTCAGGACAGTCATTTCTATGTCTGCGTGTCTAACCATACCTGATTAAAACAAATCCTAGGTACCCTGAAAACAATACCCTGCATCATCCACTCATGCCCAATCCCAACTCAAACTGCACTTCTCTTAAATGTTTCCTTTACCAATGTCATCCTCTACTGTAGAAACTATAGCAAGACAGAATGCAAGGAGGAGCCTGAAGAGAAACCAAGCCTGTTGCAGTTCTGTGGATGCCCCCAAGCGGAACACCTGCAGTTGTGGAGTTTGTTTGAGGAAGGCTGCTTGCTAGGCAAAACCAGCTGGTCCATGTCTGGAGCCCTGAAGATCAGGCAGTTATTCTCATAAATGATGGAGATGAGCACGAGGCGAGGCTCCTGTCGGGCAGTGACCATGTGTCCATCTTCCTTAATCACCAGCCAAAACCTGCAGAGAAACAAACCAGGGCACACTCAGAAAATCCTCTTCCACCTCCCAACAGCTTCCCTCCAGCTTTCTACTTCCTCAGAACTCTCCACCCACCCCGTCTTGGGACCTAACAATCATTTTCCAGACAATTATCCAGGTCTGGCCAAATGATTTGGGTCTAAAAGTTGGTGACCCCAGAAAGAGCTTATTTGGCGGAAACAGTTCTGGGAGAGTGTCTGGCTGATGTATGGCAATCTCCAGTTTCAAAAACAAGAACATGAGCCTGGCTCAGAGACTCTCCCTCACTGCTTAGTCAACCCTGCTGCTTGTCTGGGGGTTCTGCTTTGGTTAGAAGCTTCTGCAGGTCTGTTAAATATGTCTCTGTGGCCCTGGGAGAAGTAAAATAGCTTTCAGGTCCTTTTGTTGTAGAACAAGATGAGGTTGGCCAAGTGAGTTTGAGTCTGAGACAAAGGTCTTGCAATGTTGCTGCCTCCAAGCGGAACCAGGCCAGCCTCTGCTCTGTTTAACTTGCCGCGGCATGCGGGGGTCCTACATCAGGAAACCTCCCAAACAGCCTTTCCTCTTCATGCACACATTCTGACATAGAGAACAAAGACACACAGAAGTCACATGTTAGATAAGAATCCCACTTATTTCCTAGAGAGCCCACTGTACTGGACTTGGTTTTCTTACTTTGTATTTCTATGGGATGAGCTGAAGAGTGAGGGGAAGCTGGCCAGGCCCAGTTGGTTAGGCTTTTACCTACAGCCTAGCATATAGGTTGGGGCTGTACCACACAAAAGACTGTGTTGCCAAAAAGAAAAAAATCTTCCACTCCTAGGGAAAATAAATTTCAATATCACAGTTTAGTTTCATTTTGTTTTGTTTCGTTTAGTTGTTTTGTTTCATTTCGTTTGAGACAGAGTCTCACTCTGTCAGCCAGGCTGGAGTGCAGTGGTACAGTCTAGCTCACTGCAACCTCCACCTCCTTGGTTCAAGTGATTCTCTTGCCTTAGCCTCCCGGGTAGCTGGGATTACAGGTGTGTACCACCACGCCCAGCTAATTTTTGTACTTTTAGTAGAGATGGGGTTTCGCTATGTTGGCTGGGCTGGTCTTGAACTCATGGCCTCAAGTGACCTGCCGCCTCAGCCTCCCAAAGTACTGGGATTATAGGCATGAGCCACTGTGCCTAGCCCAATATCACTATTTTAGAAAGAAGATAGAATCTGCAGACTAGCGGGTGAGGAAAATGCAGGCACTGATAAGTAAAAATTGTCTGAAAGCCAGAGGCTTTCCAAATGTGAGGAGGATAAAAAGCACAGCCCCTTCCAGAAGCAGGGGCGGCTCCTCCCAGGGAGACATTCCAAAATATGACCAGAGCCATCAGGGAAAGGCTGAGGAGACCTCAGGAGGACATCCAATATCCCAGCACAGGGAGCTCCGTCTCTGCCCTGTCCTGACCCTGACAGATAGTCTTACATCTGCAACCTCCTTATCCGTAAAGTCCTTTCCAGGTGCTGGCTAAACTGTCCCTTCCCCGCAACCACACCAGAAGACAATGGCTGGCAGCCTGTGCTCTGCTAACTGGCATTATGATGGTGTGGCAGTGTAAAGGCATTCCAGTAACTGTCTTGACTACCTGCTTCCAAAAAGCTGGTGACACTGGGTAGCAGCAAGTCCCCACCCCACTGAGGAGACCACCTTTTTCTTTCTTTCTTTTTTTTTTCTTTTTTTCTGAGACGGAGTCTCACTCTGTCACCCAGGCTGGAGTGCAGTGGCACGATCTCGGCTAACTGCAAGCTCCACCTCCTGGGTTCACACCATTCTCCTGCCTCAGCCTCCCATGTAGCTGGGACTACAGGCACCCGCCACCATGCCCGGCTAATTTTTTGTATTTTTTTTTTTTTTTTTTTAGTAGAGACAGGGTTTCACCGTGTTAGCCAGGATGGTCTCGATCTCCTGATCTCATGATCTGCCCACCTCGGCCTCCCAAAGTGTTGGGATTACAGGCGTGAGCCACCGTGCCCAGCCCACCATTTCCTAAGTGTATATATGCATATGTGTATTATTTATTCATTTATATATATTTATACTTAATTAATATCAAGAGAGAGGGAGACAGGGTCTCACTCTATCACCCAGGCTCTGGAGTACAGCGGCGTGATCTTAGCTCATGGCAGCCTTGAACTGCTGGGCTCAAGCGATCCTCCTGCCTCAGTCTCCTGAGTAGCTGGGACTACAGGCACACACCACCACGCCCAACTGATCTTTTTATTTTTTGTAGAGATGGGGTCCCACTGTGGTCTGGACCTCCTGGCTGGTCTGGAACTCCTGGCTCAATTAATCCTCCCTCCTTGGCCTCCCAAAGTGCTGAGATTACAGATGTGAGCCATCCTGCCTGGTCAAAGATGTCTTTAGATCCCACAGTTCTCTGGCTCACTCATCCTGGGGCTGGGTTCTGTAAATCTGAGGATGTCTGCCCAGAGAATGGGGCTACAGTGAAATAGGCAGGCATCCACTGACTTAGATGCCTCACAGGGCTGGGCCCTATTCCCTATTTCCAGCCTTGTCCCTTGGTGCACATTTCTTTGGTTAGCCTCACTAAAGCCTTCACCCTTAACTTCCAACATGCCCCTTCCCCAGACAAGACTCCCTTTGAGATCTGCACACAACCAGAGCCATGTCCAAACAGGAGTGGCAAACCTGTTTGCACATTATTTCTGACATTATTTCTCCATGGGCTGAATCTTCTCATCTCCCATTCATCCCTTATTAATGTCGCCCTTCACCGTGGCTCACAGCCTGGCCTGTGGCTCCAGACTGTTGTATAATAATACAGGTGTTAACTGCTGAGGTTAACAGTGGGAAGTTGTCACTAGAGGTTTCCCACTCATCACTGTCACTGAAAAACTGGCAACTTACAGGGAGTCCAATTTTGGAACAGGACAAATACAGCAATCACAGGTTAAAAGGTTACCATTTGTAACATACCCCAACCATCTCATTTCCCTGTCAACCTGGGCAATATTATTTTTCACCTCTTGTGCACAAAATGATGCCCAGTGAATGAATAACTAGTTCTATTCTGCCAGATCTGAAAGAAGAGATAAGTCTGGAGCATAGATTTCATCATAACCAAGTTACCCCAACCTAGTCTGCAACACTAAAAGCCAGCACCTTGAATTCACAGGTAAAACATGAGTATGTGGTAGAGGGATCAGTGTAGAAGCCTGGAGCCCCGATTCCCCAAAAGAGCTATAGAGCCCCGAACAACCAACAGCAACGGGTAAGTGGAGCCCAAAACAACAGAAAAAAATATCATTTCTCAATTACAAACTGGCCTGGGGAGCAGGAAGGACTGAAAAGTGAGGGAAAGCAGGAACTCTACTACTGAGTGTGGGAGGAGAAAAACAGCAGGAATTGGGCAGGGAATAACACCCTGGACAATAATAAACTTAAGGGATTCCTTTCTCCAACAGTTCATCATTTGTGCAGAAGAAATAAAGGACTGGCTTCAGTAAGGGTTTAGAGAGATAAAACTGATCAACTCACATATGGCTGCTAAGGAGAGCAGAGATTTCCAAGGTCAGGGAGGACAAGCACGCCCTCCCAGCAACTGCACCAGGCACCGAATGCCAGCATTCTGCCAGGTGGACTTTAAACACTCAATGCTTAGGGTGCTCAAGCCAAGTGTTCACAAGTATACTAAGAGCTTTGAACAAAATACCTTTAGAAATTTGAGACCCAGAGCACTTCCAGAGGAAAATCCCAGCTCCTTGGAACAGTTAGTTCCAAAGACACAGGTTCAGAATGGAATTCATTAAATGAGGCCTTTCCCTGAACTCTAGGAACATTTGTAGTAGTGTTATTAAATTGTCAGGTGGAGAAGACAGCGGCTATCAAACAGAGTTCTCTCCAGCAAGCCTGCTTTCAAATTGTTAATTATGCTTTGATAAATAAAATGTAGTTAAAATGGGGCTTTAGAGACCATGAAGTTCAACCTCATTCTTTTGCAAATGAGACAACTTTGTAGAAGTTCGCCCAAAGTCTCCTGATCCTCAGTGCAATCCTTATAGTTTTATATCATGCACTGGTTTCATACAAACAGCATAAGTTCTGTACTCACACAGATCTGAGTTCACATCCCCACAGCACACACTGGTTTTCTGGCCTTGGATGGGATACTCCTTCATTCTGATACTGTTTCCTTATTTGCAAAATGGTGATAATACTATCTAGCCCACAAGATTGTTATGAGGTTTAAATATGCTAATCTATGCGACAGGATTTAGCTCAGTGTCTGCTGCATTTTAACACTGAATAACATTAATTTCATTGCCTTTCCCTCTACCCCAGGCTTCACATCACCCCACCCCATCCTAAGCGTTTATTGTTTAAAACAAGGGAAAGGTAATACAGTTGTATTTATTTTAGGATGCCAGTGGGAGCAAAAAGCACAGGCAAAGGACACGTATTTTCTTTCCATGGTTGCAGTAGTCATGGCAAAGCAGTGACAAAGAGAAGTGGGAAAGAAACCGTTCTTCAGGTGATCAGAGGAAACGCAGATTAGAACTGGAAACTGTCTGTGAAACCAACCCTTCAAGCGAGGAAGGAAGTAGTGCAACCTAGCCTGCAACACTAATTTTCTCTGGACATGCATCGTGAGAATTTGGTTCTCCCAGTTTTTTGGAAGGTGTCCAGTCCCACACAGCCTGAAGTCTTTCCAGTAATAGGAAGGCTTTTCTTATCCTTCATATTTGAATAAGCTCTAAACATCCTCTTCTTCTTCATGGTCTCGGATAAAATCCTTTAATTATAGCATCAAAATCACCAGGGGGAGATTTAAACATTCTACACGAGTTGGCCCCACTCTTGGTGATTCTGCTTCCGTAGTCCTGGGATGGGAATCTCAGGAAGTTATAGTTGAAAAAGCTCTCCAGGATAAGAAATCTGGGGTAAGGGTGGGAGAATGAAAATCCTCCCATGATTCATATGGTCTGTGTACACAACACTTCTCTAAGACTCTCTGAAGTTTTCCAACACCATGGAAGTCCACATTTCTTTAAGAGGGCAGCAGTCTTCAGAAAACAGTGCATCCGCGTGTCCTGGAGTGAACACAGGGATGCAGGTGGCTCTCTGCTAGAGGAATCCTTGAATGATCAACTTGCAAACCTCCCTCCCCTCGGACACAGGCCCACAGCTAAACCATCTCGGCCAGATAAGAAGACATCTTGGCTGGGCACAGTGGCTCACACCTGTAATCCCAGCACTTTAGGAGGCCGAGGCTGGTGGATTCCCTGAGGTCAGGAGTTTGAGACCAGCCTGGTCAACAGAGTGAAACCCCGTTTCTACTAAAAATACAAAAATTAGCCGGGCGTGGTGGCGCACACCTGTAATCTCAGCTACTTGGGAGGCTGAGGCAGGAGAATTGCTTGAACTTGGGAGATGGAGGTTGCAGTGAGCTGAGATAGTGCCACTGCACTCCAGCCTGAGCTACGAAGTGAGATTCTGTCTCAAAAAAAAAAAAAAAAAAAAAGAAGAAGGCATCTTAATCCTAAGTATGAAATGTCTATGTGTCAGGCCCAAAAGTCCCAAAGTTCCAGGCTGTGAACAACTCTGCCTATGGGAGAAGGGGGGACACTATTCCCTTAATGGCAAGTATCACCTCTGCCCCAGAGTCCCCATGCCACTTGCTCATCCTTCATCAAAGTGTATCAGGCCTCCAGGGCACCCCCAGGATTGGAGAAATGTGAGGAACAAGGCCCAGCAAGGCCTAAGCCAATGTCCTTGAACAACACTTGGTTTCTTTCTTGCTGCTTTCTAGTGCCAATAGCTTTATTTTTCTACTTTGGTATACTAGGATAGAATCACAAACTTTAGAGCTAAGGAGACTTGGAGATACAGGTCAGACCCCCTCCTGTTACAGAGGAGGAATCTCTCGTCTAGGGAAGGGCAAGGGATTGCCCCTACCTACTTTACCAAAAATAAACCTGGCATGAACTTGGCCTTCCCAGATAAACGACCAACGGCCCAACAGTCAGCCCAGAAACTCAGGTGGCAAACCTCTATAGTCCTTCCCAGATAGATCGGGCCCCACCTGCCCCCCCGCTCCTCATCCCAGGCAGGCTCCGCGCTGCCCCGCGCCCGCGCTGTGCTGTACCTGTCCCGCAGGTTGCCGCTGCGCAGCCCCATGGCCGTGCACTCAGCCTCGCTCACCGGCACCCCTTTGCAGGATTTCACCGGGTAGATCCAGAGCTTCGCCACGGTGCCCACCTGCTGCAGCCGCCGGCGCCGCCTGGGCCATGCGCGGCGCCAGGCGACAGTCCCCAGGGCCACGGCGGCCAGTCCTAGCGCGGCGACCCCGAGCCACCTGGGCCAGGGCCGGGCTGGGAGGCCGAGGCGGGCCAGCGCGGAGGAGCTGGAAGCGCCCATGGCAGAGCGAGGGCGGGCGCGGACCGGCGCACAGACCCGGCAGCGACCGGAGACCGGGAGGACGAGGAGGCCCTTAAGGATCCGGGCAGGCGAGAGGAGTCAAAGTTGACCCAACTACGGACCCTCTCACACTTTCACCGCCGAGACGGCAGAGCAGTTCCGCGGAGAGCGGGAATGCCTTAATGCGGTGACCAAGCCTGCGCGGTAATGGAGGAAGACAGGCAGACAGCGGCGGGGGTACCCTGGGCGCCGTGGGAGCGACGCCGCCCAAAGCAAGCGAGCTAATGGGGCGGCCTCTGGGGTGGTCAGTGTCTCCTCCCTCTTCCCCGCCCCTACAACACGACAGTTACCCATGCAACATGACCTTCAGCGCCAGCACTCTGCCACCCCCTTCTCTGCTAATACTGCACGCTTAGTCGCTCGACAAGATCACCGCAGAACGTGAAGGCGGGTTGCCCAACGGAGGATTTACAAACATTTGGGAACGACTTTTTCTGGCAGGTCGCTGTGAGAACTGCAGGACTTTCTGCACACAAAGACACAGTCTAAACCTCTGCACTCAAAGACGAGGAACTCTAGCGTGGCTTATAGGAGCATGACTCAAGGTCCCCCACCCTCCGCTGCCGCCTAACCTCGACCCCAGTAAAATGTCTTCCCGAGAAAGCTCAAGGCAGCCAGGAGAATTCCCCGTTTATTCTAGCCAACACCCGATGGTAAAGCCCCTGACCTCCCTTTTTTAGGATATTTTCTTAAAAGGGCTTACAACTGTGAATCCTTTCTCTGTTGCTTTGAGATGTATATGTATCGCCTACACCTCAGAAGTGTCTTTCTCAAGGACCTGAAAGCCATTGCTCTGAAATGCAGTCATGGGGAGGATAGGCCTCTGTCCCCCAGTCTCTGTGGGAGGATAGAATCCCAGCTTCATAACGGCCAGCTCCAGGCACAGCTGCCCGTCATTAATACTGACCGCCCCTTCATGATTTTTCACTTGATCCCCTGCTAGCTTCCCGGCCCTATTCTCTCCTTCACCCTTTAAAACGCCCATTCTGCTATGCACAAATGAGAATGATCAGCTTTTTCTCCTACTGTAAGTAGTTACTGAGTAAAATCTGTTTTCATGGTTTAACTAATGTCTGGCTTTGTTGATCTTTAACACCTCCATTCAAGCAAGCTATTGGGTTAACAGTGGATTTTCTCAGACAAATTAAGGTTTGAAGTCTTTCAAGTTTTTTGTTGTTGTTCTGTTTTTCAAAAGTTTGTCCCTTAAACTGTGGCACAGTTCTAGGAAAGTTTAAGGAGGCCAACCAGTGGGCCACCCCCCAAATCTGGGCTGGCCACCTCCAGAGAAAGGGGCCCGTTCTGGAGTGTGGGAAGAGACTCCGGGAAGGATGGAGAACCAGAGGAGCCAGGTTCCCTTTGGCTGTTCCTTGTGAAAAGTGAAAGACAAAACAGGGCCTGAATCTCTCCCCACCCAGGAAAAAACCTCAGGCCAGCAGAATTAGTCCCTCAATCCCCATACATTTACATCATGCTTGGCAGCTGCGACTTATGGATTTGTTTTTTAAGCATGGTGTGGTGAATGTGATGTGTGTACACTTGTAGCTGACCCCCTTTGCCTCTCCCAACTCCTGAGGAGGGTCAGAGTCCTCCCTGCCCACAAGCCTGCTGTCAGAGTGAGGGGCTTACAAAGCCATCGCCTCGCTATACGTGAGCTCCCAGACAGGGCAAATGTCTTATTGATTAATCATCTCTTTCTTTCACCACATAGATATTGATCATTCACCAGGCTTCGTCCTAGATTGGCACTGGGGATTTAAAGTTTAGAAGAAGCTGCCCTTCCATCCAGTTCACTGACTCCCCAGAAGACTGACACCTCCCCTGCAAGTCTAGAGGATAATGTCAGAGGAGAAGCAAGGTCAAGATGCAGAGGATGCAGAGGCAAAAGAGCAGCTGAATCTCAGGACAGTGCTGTTTTCAGAGGGCGGAGCTTTGGAGCTGAGACTTGAACATGAGGAGGGGCTTGGAGATGGGTAAAGGAGAGGATTCTGGGCAAAAGGAGCAGCACGTGCAATAGCCTGAAAAAATGGAAGGAACAAGAGAGTGTGGCATGTTTGGGCAACCACCAGCAATCCAGCTGTATTAGGATGTACCTGTGCATGCAGCAGGTGGCGGGAGTTGAGGCAGGACAGGTGGGCAGAGGTCAGATCAACAGGCATCTTATCTCTACTTAATGTGGAGACACCTCAGAATTCTGAACAACAGTCTGGCATGATTAGACTTGGGTGCTAGGAAGGCCATTCTGGCTGCTCTGAGAAAGAGTAACACCAAAGATGGTTAGATGAGTTGCAAATGCCCTAGTTCAGGCTGATGTAATTCCAAATCAAGGAAAAATAACAGTGGGGCTGGAGATAGACATGTGGTTAGGAGAGATGGTCAGGGGACAGAATTAACAAGAGATAGTGATGACAGAACACAGAGCCAGAGGGAGAGGAAGAGCCCACGGGGCCTCCTGGCTCTGTGGCATAAAAGTCTGGGGTGGGATGGGGGTACCATTCTCAGAGATTAAGAATTCAAGAGAAGCTGGGCACAGTGGCTCACACCTGTAATCCCAGCACTTTGGGAGGCCGAGGTGGGCGGATCAGGAGGTCAGGATATCGAGACCATCCTGGCTCACATAGTGAAACCCCGTCTCTACTAAAAATACAAAAAATTAGCCAGGCATGGTGGTGGGCATCTGTAGTCCCAGCTACTTGGGAGGCTGAGGCAGGAGAATGGTGTGAACCCAGGAGGCGGAGCTTTCAGTGAGCCGAGATCGCGCCACTGCACTCCAGCCTGGGCGACAGAGAGAGACTCCGTCTCAAAAAAAAAAAAAAGAGAATTCAAGAGAAGAAGATAGTCTGGGAAAAAAGATGATGAGCCTATTGTGAACAGCGAGTGAGAGGTATCTTTGAGACATCAAAGAAGAAATAGTTACCTAGATAGATGGGTAACTTGACCTTTCCATGCTTCCACCTCCTCATGTGCAAAATGATGGGGATAGACATCAAGTGAGGAACTTTGCCATGGTGAGTGCTGCCAAGTCTTTGCTGTCTTCACCAGCCATTATCTATCATAGCCTGCCCTGTTTAAGCTTCACCAATGCTGGGGTTGGGGGTGCCTTCAGGGGAGCAGGGAAATTCCTTATCAGTAATGTGTACATTTGCAGCCCAGCATCTTCATTTGTAGAATTAGTGAGGGGTGATGAGAGGCTGTATTAGTCCATTCTCACACTGCTATAATGAAATACCTGAAGCTGGGTCATTTATCAAGAAAAAATGTTTAATTGGCTCATAGTTCTGCAGTCTGTACAGGAAGAACGGCGGCTTCTGCTTCTGGGAGACCTCAGGGAGCTTTTACTCATGGTGGAAGACAAAGCAGCAGTGGATGTCTTACATGATAGGAGCAGGACCCAGAGAGAGGGGGGAGGTTCCACATGCTTTTAAACAGCCAGATCTCATGAGAACTCACTCTCAGGATGATAGCACCAAGGGGAATGGTATTAAACCATGAGAAACCAGCCCCATGATCCAATCACCTCCCAGCAGGCCTTAACTCCAACACTGAGGGTTGCAATTGAACATGAGATTTGGTTGGGGACACAGATCCAAACCATATCAAAGGTTGAGGATTCATGAGTCTAATTGGCTGTTTGCATATCTTTTTTCCCTTCTGATTTGAATCAACTTATCTATTTTTTTGTTAATTTATAAGATCCTTTTATAAATTAAGAAAATTACCCTTTTATCATGCCTTCCCAAGTCATAACTTTTTCCCCTAGTTTGTCATATTTTGGCAACTTCTGCTTAGGAAAAATCTTTCTAGTGAATAAGACATCATTGTCTGCCTAGAGGCACTGACATAGATAAAGAAAACTCTGTCAATTAAAATATCAACCAAGAAACCAGAGAAAAAAAGAAGCCTAAAACCCAAATATTACCTTGCTTAGCCAGGTCCTCTTCAGGAAGGTGAGTACCCAGCAGCCAATGGAAGTATTCATCAGGGCCATGTAGCAGTTTGTCTTTCCTGGGGAGATGAGCACATCAGATTATCAGGCAGTGAGGATAGTCAACCTTCAACCCATATAACAAATCTCATGACGCAGGCTAGGCTAAAATATTGTAACAACCTCAACATCTCAATGCTCTAACAAAATAAAAGTTTATTTCTCACTTACATCCCAGTTTGATGCAGGCCAAACATTAATCAAAGGTCCCCTTAGGCCAGGCCCAGTGGCACACACCTGTAATCCTAGTGCTTTGGGCGACTGAGGCAGGAGGATCACTTGAGCCCAAGAGTTCAAGACCAGCCTGGGCAACATAATGAGACCCTGTTTCTACAAAAAATTTAAAACAACAGAAAAAGAGAGAATGAGGCAGGCATGGTGGTGCATGCTTGTAATACTAGCTACTTTGGACACTGAGGCAGAAGAGCCGCTTAAACTCAGGAGTTTGAATGGATATTAAGCATATATATATAGTGGAAGAAGAACCATGGCTAGGAAGTCAAAATGCCCTAGTGACTATGAAAATCCAGCCACATGACCAGGGCTGAAAGCACCAGATTAGAAACTCAAGCTTGATAGTCAGCACCTTCAGCTTTGAAAGGAAGATGGCATTGGATCTCTCACCTACTTTCCCTTGAACACATAAAACCAAGTGGCAGGGACAGAGCAAGATGTCTGATTAGCAGCCTCTATAGATCATCCTCCATGCAGAGACACCAATTTAACAACTATCTATACTACAAAGTACCTTTATAAGAACCAAAAATCAGGTGAGCAATCAAAGTACCTGGTTTTAACTTCGTATCACTGAAAGGGGCACTGAAGAGGGTAGGAAAGATAGTCTTGAATTGCCAGTACCACCCTCCCCAGTCTCCTGGCAGTGGCCAAGAGAGAGTCTGTGCTCTTGGGGGAGGAAGAGCACAGCGATTGTGGAACTTTGCATTGGAACTCAGTGCTTTCCTATCACAGCAGTAAGCAATATGGGCAGAACTCAGCTGACACCCATGGAAGGAGCACTTAGACCAGCCCCAACCAGAGGGGAATCACCCATCCCAGCAGTCACAACTTAAGTTTCAGCAAGCCTTGCTTCCACAGGCTAACGGGCTCTGGGGTACTAAATAAACTTGAAAGGCAGTATAAGCCACAAGGACTGCAACTTCTAAGCAAGTCCTGGTGCTGTGCTGGGCTCACAGCCAGTGGACTCGGGGGCCATGCAACCTAGTGAGACAGTAGCCAGCACATCTAAGGGATTTCTTGACCCACGCTTCTAACCCCAGGCAGCACAGCTCACAGCTCTGAAAGAGTCTTCTTACTTGAGTAGAAAAGGAGAGTACTTTGTCTTGCAACTTGGATACCAGCTCAGTCACAGGAAAATAGGACACCAGGCAGAGGTGTGAAGCCCCCATTCCAGGCCCTAGGTCCTAGATGACATTTCCAAACATACTCTAGGGCAGAAGGGAACCTGCTGCCTTGAAGGGAAGGATTCAGTCCTGGCAGAATTCATCACCTACTGACTAAAGAGCCCTAGAGCCATGAATAATCAGCAGCAGTACCCAGGTAGTATATGCTGTGGATATACTACACAGCATATACTAGTTTGTAAACCTAGATTACAACACCCAAGTCCCTGTGAATACCTCGAAAGCTTTCCCAAGAAGGAAGGGTACAAACAAGCCCAGACTGTGAAGACTACAATAAATACCTAACTCTTCAATGCCCAGATGCTGACAAACATCCACAAGCATCAAGACCATCCAGGAAAATATGACGTCACCAAAAGAACTAAATAAGGCACTAGGGACCAAGTCTCAACTTGGGTGAGACTCTGAAACATGCTGGCTTCAGGTGTGACCCAGCACATTCCCAGCAGTGGTGGCTACAAGGAGAGACTCCTTCAAGCAAAGGGAAGAGTAAACAGGATTTTGCCTTGCAGCTTAGGTACCAGTGTGACCACCGTGGAGTAGAGCACCAGGTGGGCTCTTGGGGTCCTTGGTTCTAAGACCGGGCTGTTGGATGGCATTTCTGGACCTGTCCTGGGCCAGAAGGGAGCCCAATGCCCTGAAGGGTGAGTCCCAGGCATAGCAGTATTCACCACAAGCTGACTGAACAGCCCTTGAGCCTTAAGCGAACATCAGCAGTAGCTTGGCAGTACTCCGGTGGGCCTATGGCGATGGTGGCATGGAAAGAAGCTCCTCTGGCATGGAAAGAAGCTCCTCTGCCTGTGGAAAGGGGAGGTAAGAGTGGGAAGAACTTTGTCTTGTGATTTGGGTGCCAGCTCAGCTGCAGCAGAATAGAATACCAGGTAGATTTCTAATGTTTCTGACTCCAGGCCCTGGCTCCCTGACAGCATCTCTGAACCCACATGGGGCCTGGGGGAACTTGCCACCCTGAAGGGAAGGATGTAAGACTGGCTGGCTTTGCCACCTGCTGATTGTAAAGGCCTAGGGCCTTAAGCAAACATAGGCAGTAGCCAGGTAGTGGTCACAGCAGGCCTTGGGCAAGACCCAGTGCTGCGCTGGCTTCAGGTGTGGCCCAGCAAAGTCCTATGGTGGTGGCCATAGGAGGGATGGTGTCACCCCTCCCCCAACTCCAAGCAGCTCAGCACAGAGAGAGAAACTCCATTTGTTTGGGAGAACATAAGAGAAGAGAACAAGAATCTCTGCCTGGTAACCAGAGGGTTTTTTAAAAATCTTATCCAAGACCACCAAGAAAGTACCTCCACAAGTCTGCAAGAGGCACAGAATTACCAGGATTAGTGTGCCCCCTAATGCAGATACAGCTGCAGGGACCAAAACCTAGATTACAACACACAAGTCCCTTTGAATACCTGGAAAGCTTTCCCAAGAAGGATGGGTACAAACAAGATCAGACTGTGAAGACTACAGTAAAAACCTAAGTCTTCAATTCCCAGCTACTGACAAACATCCCTGAGCAATCAAGACTATCCAGGAAAACATGACCTCACCAAACGAACTAAATAGGGCACCAGGGATCAATCCTGGAGAGACAGAGATATGTGACCTTTCAGACAGAGGATTCAAAATAGCTGTTTTGTGGAAACTCAATGAAATTCAAGATTACAAAGAGAACGAATTCAATATCCAATCAGATAAATTTAACAAAGAGATTGAAATAATTAAAAATTCAAGCAGAAATTCCAGAGTTGAAAAATGCAACTGACATACCAAAGAATGCATCAGAGTCTCTTAATAGCAGAATTGAGCAAGCAGAAGGGAGAATTAGTGACTTGAAGACAGGCTATTTGAAAATACACAGAGGAAACAAAAGAAAAGAGATTAAAAAGGAATGAAGCACACCTACAAGATTTACAAAACAGCCTCGAAAAGGCAAATGTAACAGTTATTGGCCTCAAAGAGGAGGTAGAGAGAAAGATAGGAGTAGAAAGTTTGTTCAAAGGAATAATAACAGAGAATTTCCAATCCTAGAGAAAGATATCAATATTCATGTACAAGAAGGTTATATAGAACACCAAAGAGATTTAACTGAAAGAAGATTACCTTGAGGCATTTAATAATCCAACTCCCATGAAGAAAGGATCCTAAAAGCAGCAAGAAAAAAGAAACAAATAATGCACAGTGGCACTCCAGTACATCCAGCAGCAGCCTTTCAGTGGACACCTCACAGTGGAAACCTCACAGGAGAGAGTGGCATAACATATTTAAAGTGCTGAAGGACCCTAGAAGAGTATATCCAGTGAAAAATATCCTTTAAACAAGAAAGAGAAATAAAGACTTTCAAACAAAAGCTGAGGGATTTCATCAACAGCAGACCTGTCCTACAGAAAATGCTGAAGTGAGTTCTTCAATATGAAAGAAAAAGACATTAATGAGCAATAAGAAATTATCTCAAAGTGCAAACTCAGAGTTGATAGTAAGTACACAGAAAAACATAGACTATCATACCACTATTATACCACTATTATTGTGGTGTATAAACTGCTTATATTTTAAGTTTCTACTTAAACATGACAAGACTGAAACATGTACTGATCAAAAATAATAACTACAACAACTTTTAGATGTAAATAGAAACAACAAAAAGTTAAAAAACAGGGGCACTAAGTTAAAGTGTAGAGCTTTTTGTTTTCTTTTGCTTGTTACTTTGTTTAATCAGTGTTGTCATCGGTTTAAAATAATGGGTTATGATATAATATTTGCAACCCTCATGGTATCCTCAAATCAAAAAACATATAATGGATACACAAAAAATTAAAAAAACAAGAAATTAAAACATCCAACCAGAGAAAATCTTCACTAAAAGGAAAACAGGAAGAGAAGACCACAAAACAGTCGGAAAATAAATAACAAAATGACAGGAGTAATTTCTTGCTTATCAGTAATAACATTGAAAGTAAATGGACTAAACTCTCCAATCAAAAGACACAAAGTAACTGAATGGATTAAAAAAAAAAGACCTAACAATCTCTCACATACAAGAAACACACTTTACCTATAAAGACACAAACGGACTGAAAATAAAGGGATGGAAAAAGATATTCCATGCAAATGGAAACCAAAAAAGAGCAGGATTAACTATACTTATATCAGACAAAATAGATTTCAAGATAAAAACTATAAAAAGAGACAAGATCATAATGATGAAGAAGGGGTCAATTCAGCAAAAGGATATAAAAATATAAATGTGTATCCACCCAACCTGGAGTGTCAAGGTATATAAAACAAATATTATTTGAACTAAAGGAAGGGATATACCCCAATACAGTAATAGCTGGACTTCAACACCCCGCTTTCAGCATTGGACAGATCTCCCAGACAGAAAAATCAACAAAGAAACATCAAACTTCATATGCACTACAGACCAAATGGATCTAATAGATATTTACAGAACATTCATCCAATCACTGCAGAATACACATTCTTATCCGCAGCACTTGGAATTTTCTCAAGGATAGACCTTATGCTGGACCATAAAACATGTCTTGAAACATTCAAATAATTGAAATAATGTAAAATATCTTCTCTGACCACAGTAGCATAAAACTAGAAATCAATAACAAGAGGAATTTTGGAAACTATACAAATACATAGAAATTGAGCAATATGCTCCTGAATGGCCAGTGGGTCAATAAGGAAATTAAGGAATTTGAATAATTTCTTAAAACAAATGATAAGGGAAACACTGTATACCAAAACCTATGAGATACAACAAAAGTATTACTAAGAGGGAATTTTATAGCTATATGTATAAAAAAGTATAAAAGTAAGCCAGGCACAGTGGCTCACGCCTGTGATCCCGGCACTTTGGGAGGCCGATGCGGGCGGATCATGAGGTCAGGAGATCGAGACCATCCTGGCTAACATGGTGAAACCCCATGTCTACTAAAAATACAAAAAATTAGCCGGGCGTGGTGGCGGACGCCTGTAGTCCCAGCTACTCGGGAGGCTGAGGCAGGAGAATGGCGTGAACCCGGGAGGCAGAGCTTGCAGTGAGCCAAGATCGCGCCACGGTGCTCCAGCCTGGGTGACAGAGCGAGAAGCCGTCTCACAAAAAAAAAAAAAAAAAAAGTATAAAAGTAAAAAAGTATAAAACTTCAAATACACTGTATAACACTACATCTTAAAGAACTAGAAACGTGAGAGCAAACCAAACCTAAAATTAGAAGAAAAGAAACAATAAAGATCAGAGCAGAAATAAATGAGTTTGAAATGAAGAAAACAATACAAAAGATCAATGAAATGAAAAGTTGGTTTTTTGAAAAGATAAACACAATTGGCAAACATTTAGTCACACTAATTAAGAAAAAAAAGACAGAAGACTTGCCATGATGTGATTATTACATATTGCATGCCTGTATCACAACATTTCATGGATCCCATAAATATATACACCTACTATGTACCCGTGAAAATTAAAAATAAGAATTATAAAAGATCCAAATAAATAAAATCAGAGATGAAAAGGAGACATTACAACTGATACCACAGAAATTCAAAGGATAAGTAAAGCTACTATGAGTAGGTACGTGCCAATAAATTGGAAAACTTCAGTAAAGTTGCAGGATATAAAAGCAAAAAGCAAAAATCAGTAGCATATCTATATGCCAACAGCAAACAATCTTAAAAGAAATCAAAAAAAGTAATTCCATTTACAATAGCTACAAATAAAATTAAATACCTAGGAATTAACCAAAGAAGTGAAAGATCTCTACAGTGAAAACTATAGAACACTGATGAAAGAAACTGAAGAAGACACAAAAAAGTGGAATGATATTCAATGTTCATGGATGGAAGAATCAATGTTAAAATGTCCATACTACCCAAAGCAATCTACAGATTCAATGCAATCTACAGATCCAATGCAATCTCTATCAAAATATCAATGACATTCTTCCCAGAAATAAAAGAAACAATCCTAAAATTTATATGGACCCACAAAAGACCCAGAATACCCAAAGCTATCCTAAGCAAAAAAATAAAACTGAAGGAATCACTTTACCTCATCTCAAATTATACTACAGAGCTATGGTAACCAATACAGCACGGTACTGGCATAGAAATGGACACATAGACTAATAGAACAGAATAGAGAACCCACCAATAAATTTATATATCTACAGTGAGCTTATTTTCACAAAGGCACCAAGAATATACACTGGGGAAAGAACAGTCTCTTCAATAAGTGGTACTGGGAAAACTGGATATCCATATGCAGAAGAAAAAGCTAGACCCCTACCTCTCACCATATACAAAAATCAAATCAAAATGGATTAAAGACTTCAATCTAAGACCTCAAACTATGAAACGACTAAAAGAAAACTTTGGGGAAACTATCCAGGACATTGGACTGGGCAAAGATTTCTTGAGTAACACCCCACAAGCATAGGCAACCAAAGCAAAAATGGACAAATGGGATCACATCCAGTTAAAAAGCTTCTGGACAGCAAAGGAAACAATCAACAAAGTGAAGAGATAACCCACAAAATGGGAGAAAGCATTTGCAAACTACTTGTCTGACAAGGGATTAATAACAAGAATGCATAAGGAGCTCAAACAACTCTATAGGAACAAATCTAATCTGATTTTAAAATGGGTAAAAAATCTGAATAGACATTTCTCAAAAGAAGACATGCAAATGGCAAACAGGCATATGAAAAGGTACTCGACATCACTGATCATCAGAGACATGCAAATCAATACTATAATAAGATATCACCTCAGCTCAGTTAAGATGGCTTTTATCCAAAAGACAGGCGGTAACAAATTCTGGTAAGGATGTAGAGAAAAGGGAACCCTGGCACACTGTTGGTGGGAATATAAATTAGTACAGCCACAATGGAGAACAGTTTGGAGGTTCTTCAAAAAACTAAAAATAGAGCAACCATAAGATCCAGCAATCTCATTGCTGGGTATATACTCAAAAGAAAGGAAATCAGTATATGAAAGAGATATCTACACTCTCATGTTTATTGCAGCACTATTCACAATAACCAAGATTTGAAAGAAACCTACTACATGTCCATCAACAGATTAATGGATAAAGAAAATGAGGCACATATACACAATGGAGTATTCAGCCATAGAAAAGAATGAGATCCTGTCATTTGCAACAACATAGTCAGTACCGGAGGTCATTGCATTAAGTGAAATAAGTCAGGCACAATAATACAAACTTCACAGGTTCTCATTTATTTCTGAGATCTAAAAATCAAAACAATTGAACTCATAGAGATAGAGAGTAGAAATATGGTTATCGGAGGCTGGGAAGAGTTGGGAGTTTGGGTAGTGGGGATGGTTAATGGGTACAAAAAATAGAAAGAATGAATAAGGTCAACTATTTGATAGCACAACTGGGTGACTATAATCAATACTAATTTAATTGCACACTTCAAAAGAGTGTAATTGGATTTTTTGTAACACAAAGGATAAATGCTTGATGTGATGGATACCCCATTTACCCTGATGTAAATTTTTTATTTTTTATTTTTTATTTTATTTATTTATTTATTTATTTATTTATTTATTTATTTATTTATTTATTTTGAGACGGAGTCTCCCTCTGTTTCCCAGGCTGCAGTTCAATGGAGCGATCTCGGCTCACTGCAACCTCCACCTCCCGGATTGAAGCAATTCTCCCACCTCAGCCTCCCAAGTAGCTGGGACTACAGGCGCCCGCCACCACGCCTGGCTAATTTTTGTGTTTTTAGAAGAGGCAGGGTTTCACCAGGTTGGCCAGACTGCTCCGAACTCCTGACCCCAAGTGATCCGCCGTCTCGGCCTCCCAAAGTGCTGGGATTAGAGGCATGAGCCACCGCGCCCGGCTTTTTTTTTTTTCTGTTTTCTTGAGACGGAGCCTCGCTCTGTCACCAGGCTGGAGTGTAGTGGCGCGATCTCGGCTCACTGCAACCTCCGCCTCCCGGGTTCAAGCGATTCTCCCGCCTCAGCCTCCTGAGTAGCGGTACTACAGGCACGCGCCACCATGCCCAGCTAATTTTTGTATATTAAGTAGAGATGGGGTTTCACCATGTTGGCCAGGATGGTCTCAATCTATTGACCTTGTGATCCACCTGCCTCGGCCTCCCAAAGTGCTGGGATTACAGGCATGAGCCACTACGCCCAGCCCCTGATGTGATTATTATGCATTGCATGCCTGTATCAAAATATCTCTTGTATCCCATAAAAACATACACCTACTATGTACCCACAAAAATTAAAAATTAAAATAAAAACAGGAGTTTGAGGCTTTAGTGAGCTATAATCATGCCACTGCACTCCAGCCTGGGTGACAAAGCAAGACTGTGTCAAAAACAAAAGTCCCCTTAAAAAAGTGATTGAAAACAAGAAAGGAAGGAAGGAAGGGGGAGAATGAAATGATAAGCTATGTATAGTGATCTTCAAAGTTAAAGAATATTTTTTAACTTGAAACATTAGTAAGTACAATGTTAATTTTTAAAAATCAATGTAGCCTTGTTTAGGGCCTTTAGGGCCTTGTAACAAAAAATATATATACACACACTTATATACATATAGATTTATATGTAATATATTTCTATTTATTTAATATAAATATATATTATATATTTACATTTATTTAATAGAAATATATTATATAAGTACATAGTTATATAGTATAATTAATTATTAATTATAAATATATATTTAGAATATACATAATTTATAGTATATATTTACATATATACATATTTACATATAATACATACTATAAATTATATCTTACATATTATATAAATATAAACATTTATACATATTATACACATGTATAATATGTATCCCTGTGCCGTTTTATCCATTCATAGTGACTAACATCTCTGCATGCCCACAAGTTTCTCTTCCTCCCTGTGAGGATTTGACCTGGGAGAACAAACCAGCTCAGCTCAGGGAGAGTTACTTGTGTATTAGTCGGGCACCTCTTTAGATTGCAAGGAGAAGACACACATTCAGATTAGGTTAGGTTTGGGGGTTGTCATCAGGATACCCAGGGAAGTAATGCCTCAACGGCCAAACGTGTGTCCCAGAACAACATCTGAGGCGGCTAAGAGCTCAAAAGGGCTCCAGGAGAACAAGCACAAGGGTCAGTTGTTGTCCAAGCGTGAGCAACTTTCATTCACGCCCTGCTATACGCTAGATGCTAGTATGTAGTCTTTAATAATGATAGAGGAAGATAGAGTGTCTGATCTTGAGAAGCCAGTAAATCGCTAAGGTAGCATATCGGGAAATAGCCACTTCAATCCTGGCTGGAAAGTAGAGAGCAAAGGCCAGGAGAGAGGAGTGTACTAGGAAGGTAAACAAGCACAGATGGTAGAAAAAATTATACTGCACGCAGAGGAATGTGGACTTCATTCCACATAAGTGAGTAACATCATGTACCAATAAGAAGAGAAACTGGGTGGCTGGAAACATGAATATAATGGAAAGTTTTCATTTGTATACTTAAGCTTTTTGAATTTTGAACTGTGAAAAGTATTACTTGTTCAAAAAATTCAAAAATAAAATTATTTAAAAATCCAATGCAATGATTCTGGTGGTGTACTAGGCTCTGGGAGAGCGAAACAGCAAATATTCCCTATCAGCCTACAATCTACTAGATATTTTTAAAGTTTTATGGCTCATCGGTGACACAACACAGCTTTAGGTAGATTCCCAATATCAAAACATGTGTAAACAAATAATTATAAGAAAAATAGTAATTGTTTTCCTAAAGATATGGGCTTAGAGCTTTGAAAGTGCATGTTGTGGGCTGGGCAGCTTATTCTGCTTGAAGGTTAGTGGGAGGTAACATGTAAACTGGGATACGAAGAACGCATGCATAGGAGCTTCAAAAATGGAAAAGAGAGTAAAAGCAATTAATCAACGAGAAATACAATTTTCCAAAAAAAAAAAGAAATGTTTTTGGAGGAAAATAGTTTCGTATGATGATCGGACCAGCAAAGGGAATGACAGGAGGTGAGGCTAACAGTCGGGATGAGAACAAATTGTGCAGGCTTTGCCTGTTGTCTTAAGAACTATGAATTTCTACCCCAGAAAGCTCAAAAAACCCTTCATGGGCATTGGCATTCTGGAAGTTGGTGAATATGTACCTTTAGGAAAATGGATTTTATCTCCAAATAGTGGGGAAAAAAATTAATGGGAATTTCTTTTTCTATTTTGAGTTTTTTTCCCCATAATTTTTACTGAAACTTTCTGGTTTTATTCTGGTTAATATAGGAAGTTAAGAAAATCAGTATATAGCCAGCAAATATAGATGGGAAAACTCAGAAGCAAGTATGTTAAGAATGTTTGTTCTTTTTTTCTCCTTGTCAAATATGTTCACAGTTGTGATTTTTATATATCATATAAGATATCTTCTGTTACCAGGATCGCTCCTTGTCAATGTGTTGGGATTAACTATCATCAATGTTTCATCTTTTCCACAAGAAATCAAAGCTTCCTGACGGTTTGCAGCCCCCCCACAGCCTGGCCCATAGCTTGTTTTATTTGGCTTACACAGTTGTTTTAATCGGGAAGTGTCTAGCTTGTCTTTTAAAATCAAAATATCTGGCAATATGAGGTCTATATTCAGCATAATGAGAAGCAAACGGACCTGACTGGAGCCTGTCCCCTGTAGGCATCACCGCCCTGTAGGAGCCCCAGTTCCCGCCCACCCAGAGTTCAACCGGACCCCCTCCTTCAGCTTTTGACTTTGGCCCGGGTTAGACGGGGGATTTCCCGGGCAGTTGCTCCGGATTTACACGAGGGGGCGCTGTGATCAGGGTTTTGGACGGAAGGGTGGGGAGGAAATGCTTGAAGCTGGTTCTAACCGGAAGTGAAAGGAAACCCTCCTTTCCTTTCTGGTGAGTAAGTCCTAAGGAACAACCTCCTGTTACCCAACTCAGTGAAGAGTCGGGACTAAGAGTATTTTGAAATAGGAGGAATACTATATTTGAAATGTCAGAAGTCATAGAAAAGTGTGGGAGAAACAATGCCACACTTTTCTATTTTCCCTGCCATTTGAATAATACTTTGCAGTCTATAAAACTCTGTCGGAAGCAGAAGGCTATTCGGTCCTCACAGCAATCCCATGTCCGAAGTAGGAGAAGGCACTTGCTCCTGCAATAGCCGAGCCACTCAGAGTTCCTCGTCTCACCTAGGAGCGCCTACCCAGCCAGAAAGGGGAGGTCCCATGGCTGCTTCCTCACACTTTCCTTTTTAGGGGAGGAGGAGGAGGGGGAAAGGCCCTGGAGAAGGACAGGGTGCCAAGAATATGTGGCGAGAGGAAGGGACAGGCCAGAAGAAATAAGTTGAGAGATCAGTCCCAGGAAACTTCCTACCTAGAAGATGCCCTTCCTTGGCTGGGACTTGTGCCTCTCCCTGTGTATCTCAGGCACAGTCAATCTCAGTTTGTATTTGTTAAGTAAATAAATTACCCGAGGCATCTGTTGGGTCTTAACCTGTATATGGGAAGGGCCCTGTTATTCCATCAATATTAGTTACAAAATTATGGGGGCTTGGGCTGATGACACTGAGGGTCCGGGGACCTTCTCACCTCTGGTCAACCCTGCCCTGGATGGCCCCTAAGCTCTATCAGTGGCCCTGACTGTGTGTCTTTGTGGCTTTGATTTTGACGATGTTATCAACCAGGATGCAGAATCCTGCTTCCTCTCCCAGTTTTCATTTGCTTTTTTTCTGTGTTTGTTTTCTTTGGCTGCTACAGGGAGATTTGCTTTTCATCTTGGCAGCACGTGCCCCACTCAGAGTGGAAGAAGGCTATGGCAGGATACAGTGTTTTGGGAAGGGAAGAGAATCTCCTTGCTTGGGGACATCCTTTCCAAAACAAATTCCCTGTAAAGTCAAGTCCTGCTAGTGTTTCCCTCCAACCTCTCTGTGTTCTACTACTCGCCCAAGAAAAAAATTATACGAAGTGTCTCCTCACCCATGTTTAGTCACAAAAGACCTCTGTTTCCCAGGCTCCCTTTCATTCTACTTATTCATCAGTTCATCAATTGATTCGTCCATTCATTCATTTATTCTGTGACAGTCTTTACTCTTTCCTAAGTATGACCAGAAAATAATGACGTAAGTATGATCTACTCTACAGCATGTAGGTTGTAAGCATTGTTATGGTCTTTTTTAAAATTAAGATACAACTCACAAAACATAAAATGTACCATTTTAAAGTGTACAATTGTATTTGTCCATTTTCATGCTGCTGATAAAGACATACCCTAGACTGGGTAATTTATAAAGAAGAAGAGGATTGAGGGACTCACAGTTCCATGTGGCTGGAGAGGCCTCACAAACATGGCGGAAGGTGAAAGGCACATCTTACATGACAGCAGGCAAGACAGAGTGAGAGCCAAGCAAAAGGGGAAACCCCCTATAAAACCATCAGATCTTGTGAGACTTATTCACTACCACAAGAACAGTATGGGGAAAACTGCCCCCATGATTCGATTATCTCCCACCGAGTCCCTCCCACAACACGTGGGAATTATGGGAGCTATAATTCAAGATGAGATTTGCGTGGGGACACAACAAAACCATATCAACATTCCATTGTTTTGTAGTATATTCACCCTATTATGCAACGATCACTTCTCATTCCAGAATATTTCTATCACCACAGAAGGAAACCTCATACCTATAGCAGTCAGTCCCAGCTCTGCTCCCCTTATCCCCTGGCAACCACTAATTTGCTTTCTGTCTCTGAGGATTTGCCTATTCTGGACATTTCATATAAATGGAATGACACAATATGTGGCTTTTTGTGTTTGACTTCTTTTATTTAGCATAATGTTTCCATGTTTCATCCCTGAGCATACAGCATATAACAACAGAACATTCCTTTTTATAGCTGAATAATATTTCATCATATGGATAGGCCACATTTTGTTTATCTAGTCATCAGTTGATGAACTTTGTTCTGGCTGTTATTAATAATACTACTATGAACACTCATGTACATATTTTCTTTTCTTTTCTTTTTTTTTTTTTGAGTCAGGCCTTGTTCTGTTGCCCAGGCTGGAGTGCAGTGGCACAATCACAATTCACTGCAGCCTTGACCTCCTGGGCTCAAGCAGTCCTTCCAGCTCAGCCTCCTGAGTAGCTGGGTCTACAGGCACACACCACCACACCTGGCTAATTCTTGTAAGATAACATATTTTCAGTACTCATGGGTCTATATTGGAGTGGATTCATTGGGTCCTGTGCTAATTCTGTGTTTAACTTTTTGAAGAAAAACTACCAAATGATTTTCTACAGTGACTGTACCATTTTAGATTCCTTCCAACAATGTTGAAGTTCCCTTTCTTTCGTAACACAAGCAATTTAAGGGATTGCTTAAATGGTCTTAGATGAATCTGTCATCAAGGTGGGGGAGGGCATGAATTGATATTTGCACAGTGCCTGTGCAGAGACACCTGACAGTAACCCTTAGGACGCTGGATAATTTATCCCAAGCCATGGTGAGGAAAATGGGAAGGAATAAGGCAGTCAGTAACATGGAGCAGATTTGCCAATCTCTTACCCTCATCAATTTAGGGATTGTGTTGGTCTTTAACAGATGGAGAAGAGGTCTGAGAACATTTAATACATGTCCACTGCTGAAGGAGCAAAAGAGTGTAGGCCTGCATTTTGCCTCTCTCCTGTAAGACTTCTGAGGTGCCTTTGAACCCAAGCCTCAGAGAATGAACAGCAGTGGCAAAGACAATGCCCTTTATAAGTGTGTAGAGGGTTGAGGAAATGGTTGGGGTGGGGGGCTTTTCTGTAGAACTGCCCTCTTTTCATGTTCCCTTCAAAGGGTACAGTGAAACAGAATACTGTATTGTCAACTAATTTATAAAAAAATGGGCTCAATACATCCTGCTATAGAAATTCCATCAATGTACTAGAAAACTTACATTTATCAGAGTTCATCTATTGAATAGCAGCTGGAGTTGTGTGTGTTCATGGATGTGGAATGAGAATACAGAAGTTCAATCTTTATAAGCACACAGCAGAAACACTGTAGGTAGAAGGGTCAATTTGAGACCATCCCTGCCCATCTTTGATTGGCCTGTGAAACACAACAGGAAACTAATTCATCTGAAAGATGTGCTAAAAACACTTGTTGGCTTTAACAAAAGGAATCTTGGCTGATTTTACATTAAAACTTCTAACAAAGGAAAATAAATGCTCTTGGGTGGAGAACATGTCTTTATAACCAAACTCCACAATTGTTACCATATAAATAATTTTTCTTTATAAAAGAATAAAAATATATATGTACCTACATATATGTATGTGTATATGTAAAAGACAAATATAAAACTTCAAATAAATTATTTTGCTTTGGATAACTCACTTGAGCCTTTGACAGTGTGAGAATGTTTTTCTTGGCCGGGCGTGGTGGCTCATGCCTGTAATCTCAGCACTTTGGGAGGCCAAGGCGGGTGGATCACTTAAGGCCAGGAATTTGAGACCAGCCTGGCCAACATGGTGAAACCCATCTCTACTAAAAATACAAAACTTAGCTGGGCGTAGTGGCACGCACCTGCAATCCCAGCTACTAGGGAAGCTGAGACCAGAGAATCGTTTGAACCCGGGAGGTGGAGGTTGCAGGGAGCCAAGATGGCACCACTGCACTCCAGCTTGGGTGACAGAGCAAGACTCTGTCTCAAAAAAAGAAGAAGAAGAAGAAGGAGGAGAGAAAATGTCTTTCTTTGTCTCTCAGTAATCAAAATGGGGAATCAATATATTTAGTAATGCTCACCCCACCTGGCCTCATCAGCATCTTCCCCACGATTATCTCTTTTAGTGTTGTTTGCTCACCACAAGCTGTAATATTGATACATATGAATTATGACTGAGCATCTATTATATGCAAGACTCTTACATTTGCAAAACAAATTTGGGAGCATTCTTCTCCCTACAATCTTAGAATCAAGTGTATAAAATATACATATACATAAATGTATAAATAAATAAATATAATACAAGGTGGAAAGTGATGAAGGTCATGTGGGAGGTTGGAACCTAGTGATATAGAGATTCAAAGGGAGGAAAAATAACTTTTGGTGTGGAGTCAAGAGAAAGATTCTATTCTTGTTGAGAAAGGCTGAAAAGCATATTTTGAATGGGGAGCTCACTCTGGTACCAGGGCAGCTATTAAGAGAAGTTTTAAAAGGAAATGCCCAATTAGACTTGTGGTGACTATGCTAGATACTCAGTTAAAAGAAGAGAGAGTTTGTACATGTGCCTCATTTAGGCCTTGTTCCCTTCCTTTCGCTGCATGAATAATTAGTTTTTGAGACCTAAAAGTCCATCTTCCACCCAATTAGTTCCTCTAATTAAAAGCCATCATGATGACAAACGTTTTCTCTCACATCCTTCATTTTTCCAAATCTAAATGCACAGCTTCTAGAGGTTCTCTTCCAGTTCAAAGTTTTTACAATTTGAGAATAATGAAAAATGACCAGCTTTCCCTAATCATATGTATAGGAAAGTGTGTACCTTAGGATTTTGATACTCCTTGAGGAAGGCCATGTGGATTTCTTTTCTTTTCTTTTTTTTTTTTTGAGATGGAGTCTCGCTCTGCCGCCTAGGCTGGAGTGTAGTGGTGCGATCTCGGCTCACTGCAAGCTCCGCCTGCCGGGTTCACACCATTCTCCTGCCTCAGCCTCTCGAGTAGCTGGGAATACAGGTGCCCGCCACCATGCCTGGCTAATTTTTTTGTATTTTTAGTAGAGATGGGGTTTCACCGTGTTAGCCAGGATGGTCTTGATCTCCTGACCTCATGATCTGCCCACCTCGGCCTCCCAAAGTGCTGGGATTACAGGCGTGAGCCACCGCGCCCAGCTGCCCGTGTGGATTTCAAGTATCATACAGAAAGCCCAAGTCCACAGCTTGGAATGTTCCTAGTCATTATTAGGATGATTAATGAAAAAATTCCAAAAGCCAATATGGACTCAGATTAGAAGCATCAAAAACTCCCCACTCTGGCTCACTTTATCGTGACTCTGCTGAGCATGTGGTATAATAAAGACAGTGGGTTAATTAGGAGAGAATATTATAGTAAGGAAATATAGGTCTCACCTATAGAAACTTCAGGAAAGGTTTACTGCTTTAGCTTGGCTTGACATGGTACAAAGCCCACTTCCATAATTCATTCATGCAACAAACTATGTCTGGTAGGTACTGAGGATCTAATGGTAAACAAGAGAAAAACAATCCTGCCTTCAAAGCGGCCACAATGAAATCATCAATGTTTTCCAGGTTTCTTTGGGCCAAGCTGACTGCTTTCTTTTGCAATATCCTAAAGTGCTGAGGAAGCAATAACTAAAAGGAGGAGTCTTTGGCAATGATAACAGCAATCATTATAAAAACAGAGGCCTGGTTTCCAATAATATTAAATAGTAGACTAGAAAACTAAGACACATACAAGAATGTTTTGGGCAGCATTATTGGTGATAGACAAAACCAACCCAAATGTCCCTCAACAGCACAATAGATAGATAAGTTGTGGTGTATTTATTCAGCAAATGAATGTACAGCAAATAAAAATGAACAAACTATAGCTACACACACACACACACGAGTTAAACTTTTTTTAAAAATGAGCCAAAGAATCCAGACAATAAAATAATACATACTGTGTGATTCCATTCCTATAAAGTTCAAAACCAGGAAAAACTAAAACACGATGTCAAGGGATACACAAGATGGTGGTGAAACCACAAAAAGACGCAATCAGGTAATAACCATAAAACCAGGCTGTGGTTTCATGTAGAAGGGAGAGTAGGTGATGTGACTGGGAAGAAGCAGGGGGAAACTTCTGGAGCCTGGAGCATTCTTTTTTGTGGCTTGTTCAGGGGTTACAGAGGTGTTCACTTTATAATGATCTGTCCACTATTACGTTTCCTGCACTCTCAACATGTGTACTGTTGGGAGAATGACAAAATAAGGAGAATGACAAGCCAATACTGACATCAGGACAGCAGAAAGGGGTCCCACTATCCATCATGTTCTGGGGCAGTGCACAGTGATCTAACAGAGTGGAAAACAGACACCTAGAGTGGGGCGTTGGTCCTTGGGCTCTGGGGCTCTTAGGCTGCATGAATGGGAGAAGAACCAGCTCCTCTCTGTCATGATCAGTAGCTGGCAGTCAATTATAAGCTGAAAAGAGAGACCCTGGGTTTCCAGCCCAATTCTAGCACCTCAGTGTTTATGGCTGGGGGAGAACCAGCCCCCTACCTGCATAACCAGGAACTACAGGCAAATCCTTGCAGTTGCAAATGTACATCTATCCGGTAGTGAGTTCTACCAGGATTGATTGGCTTCATTCAGCCTACCCTACAGCCGGTGTTCTTGGAGGTCTGCAGAAGACCAGTGCTTTCTCTGGGAGAGCTGTCTATAGGGATCAGCCTCAGCTCTCGTGTGTTATATTTCACAGTAAAGAAGGAAAAGAAGATAGGGTAGGCAGAAGTATAACTGATCAAAGATGTCCACATCATAATTCTCAGAACCTGTGAATATGTTACCTTACATGGCAAAAGAGACTTCACAGATGTGATTAAGTTAAAGATTTTGAGATGGGAAGATTGTTCTGGATTATCCCGGTTGGCCCAATGTAATCATGTCTCCTTATGAGGGAAAGAAAGGGGCAAGAGAGTCAGAGAAGAAGATGTAATGATAGCAGAATTTGGAGTGATGTGATTGCTGGTTTTGTAGACGGGAGAGGGCATGAGCCCAAGAATGTGGCAGCCTCTGGGAGCTGGAAAGACAATACCAGAAAGAAATTTACAACATTCGCAAATATGTAAAAATCAAACACACTCCTAAATCATCAATGGGCAAACAAGAAATCACAAGGGAAATTAGAAAATACCTTCAGATGAATGAAAATGGAACCACAACATACCAAAACTTTAGGAGATAAAGCTAAAACAGTGCTTAGCAGGAAGCTTAGAGATATAAATGCCCAAAAATCCCAACTCAGTAGCCTAATGTTCTACCTCAAAGAAAACCAAGAAGAGCAAACTAAACCTAAAAGAAGGAGAAGAAAGGGGTTGATAAAGATTAGAGCAGAAATAAATAATGCAGAGAATAGAAAGGCAATAGAGAAAAGCGATGAAACCCAAAAATGCTTGTTCTTTGAAAAGATCAGCACAATTGACAAACATTTAGCTAGACTAACAAGAGAAAAAGAGAGAAGACTCAAATTCATAAAATCAGGAATGAAAGATGGGAAACCACTACCAATCTTACAAAACTTAAAAGGTTATTAGAGAGTATTATGAAAGCTGTGTCCCAACAAGTTAGATAAACTAGTTTAAACTGACTGATTCCTAGAAAAATACCAATTATCAAAACTAACTCAGACCTGGGCAACATGACAAGACCTTGTCTCTACTAAAAATTGAAAAATTAGCTGAGCGTTGGTGGCATACACCTGTGGTCCTAGCTACTTGGAAGCCAAGAGGTTGAGGATGCAGTGAGCCATGTTTGTGCCACCCAGCATCTTTCCATGGTAAATATACTGAACAAATTAGCAACAGAAGGGAACTTCCTTAATCTGAAAAAGACCATCTAAGAAAAACTCACGTCATACCTAATGGTGAAAAACAGAATGGAATGCTTTCCTCCTAAAATCAGGAGCAAGACAAGGATGTCTGCTTTCACTACTTCAATTCAATATTGTATTGGAGTCTCTTGCCAGAGCAACTAGACAAGAAAAAGAAAAAACAGGATCTATATTGAAAAAGAAGTAAAACCATCTCTACTATATCATAGTCTTGTATATAGAAAATCCTAAGTAATCACTAAAAAACTATTAAGTCCAGTAAATAAATTTAGTGAGATAGCAGAATACAAGATCAATATCCAAAAATCAATTGTACTTCTATACACCAGCAAATGAATAATCTGAAAAGGAAATTTAAAAAATAATTCTACTTACAGTAGCATCAAAAATAATAAAATACTTAAAAATAAATTTAACAAAAGAAATGCAAAACTCATATTCTGAACACTACACAACACTGTTAAAAGAAATTAAAGAAAATTTAAATAAATGGAAAAACATCTAATCTTCATGGATTGAATGACAATATTAAGATGACAGCATTCCCCAAATCTATAGGTTCAATGCAATCCTGTCAAAAATCTCATCTGGCTTTTCTTTTCGTGAAAATTGATGAGTTAATAATAAAATTTATATAGAAATGCAAGGAACCAAGGAGAGTAAAACAATTTAAAAAAAAACCACAAAGATGGAGAACTCACACTTTCAAAACTTACTACAAAACTACAAATATTAGGACATTTTTTATACTGTCACACAGTCCGGCATATAGTTCATTGGAATAGAATTAAAAGCCCAGAAACAAACCCTTATATGTATGTTTAATATACATAGCGGAGTCTTGCTATGTTGCCCAGGTTGGACTTGAACTCCTGGGCTAAAGCGATCCTCCAGTCTTGGCCTCCCAACGTGCTGGGATTACAGGCATTAGTCCGAGCGCCCAGCCTTCAACTTATTTTTCACATAAATCCCAAAACAATTTAATGTGGGGGAAGAATTATCTTTTCTTTTTCTCTGTTTCTTTCTTTTTGAGAGAGTCTCCCTCTGTCACTCAGGCTGGAGTGCAGTGGCAGGATCTCAGCTCACTGCGACCTCTGCCTCCCAGGTTCAAGCAATTCTCAGGCCTCAGCCTCCCGAGTAGCTGTAATTATAGGCGTGCACTACCACACCCAGCTAATTTTTTTATTTTTCATAGAGATGGGGTTTCACCACGTTGGCCAGGCTGGTCTCAAACTCTTGACCTCAGATGATTCACCTGCCTCAGCCTCTCAAAGCTCTGGGATTACAGGAGTGAGCCACCAGGCCCGGCCAGAATTGTCTTTTCAATAATGGTGCTGTAACAACTGAATATGCACATTCAAAGTGCACCATACAGAAATTTAACTCCAAATAGAACATAGACCTAAATATGAGTTAAAACTATATTTTTATATAGTTTTATAGGAACTAAAACTCTTAGGAAAAAATAAAAGTGTACATCTTCATGATCTTGGATTAGGCTAAGCCTTCCTAGCCAGCACCAAAAGCACAAGAGACAAAAGAAAAAAAATAGTCACAGTGGAATTCATCTGAGAAAGGAACATTTTGGGACCCCCAAATTACTAAGCTAAAGGCAAAAGTCAAGCTGGAAACTGCTCAGGGCAAACCTGTCTCCCACTCTATTCAAAGTCATCCCTCTGCTCACTGAGATAGATGTGTATCTGATTGCCTCCTTTGGAAAGGCTTATCAGAAACTCAGAAGAATGCAACGCTTTGTCTCCCACCTCCCAGTAACCTGGAAGCCCCTTCCCTGCTTTGAGTTGTCTCCACCTTTCTGGATGGAACCAATGTACTTCTTACATATATTGATTGATGTTTCAGGTCTCCCTAAAATGTATAAAAACCAAGCTGTGTCCTGACCACCTTGGGCACATGTCTTCAGGACTTACTGAGGCTGTGTCACGGGCACGTGTCCTCAACCTTGGCAAAGTAAACTTTCTTTTTTTTTTTTTTTTTTTTTTTTTTTTGACACTCGCTCTGTCTCCCAGGCTGGAGTGCAGTGGTGCAATCTCGGCTCACTGCAAGCTCCGCCTCCTATGTTCACGCCATTCTCCTGCCTCAGCCTCCCCAGCAGCTGGGACTACAGGCGCCCGCCAGCACACCTGGCTAATTGTTTTGTGTTTTTAATAGAGACGGGGTTTCACTGTGTTAGCCAGGATGGTCTCTATCTCCTGACCTCCTAATCTGCCTGCCTCCGCCTCCCGAAGTGCTGGGATTACAGGCGTGAGTCACCGCCCCCGCCGGCAAAGTAAACTTTCTAAATTAACTGAGACCTGTCTCAGATTTTGGGGGTTCGCATTTTGGTAACCGCGAGGGATTCTGAGTGGAGGTGCTCTTGACCTTTGACAAATCTCCTATCGGTGCTTGGTACCAGCATGAGCTATGTTTATGGCTCAAACCAATAAGACAATTTGCTGAGGTCTGGGAACACCCCCTCCAGACAATCCCTGATCTCACAAAATTTGGTCGAGATCTAAAGTTTATTTTGCTGTACAACTCCCTTTTTTTTGGAGTTTTACTTGCTTCCAACAAGGAAGGCAACACTTCCTACTTTTTTCAATTTAAAGAACTGCATCTTATTCTATGCTGATTGCTATTGATAGTGGCACAGGCATTAAATTTTAGGGTTATATGCTTGGGAACCCCTCTTTATTTTGTCCTAGCTATTACTTTACTTGTGTCACCTAGAAAAGGACCAGTCCTTAATTTTATTTTAAAAACTGTGTTCATGGGAGGCTTAAAATGGGTCATAACACGCATCAGGTTTGTTATTTCCTGGGCTGCATACCTTGGATACAATAGCATTATACAAACAAGTTTCTTTTAGAGTCCCGGTACACTTATAATAACCATAAAATAATAGGACTGTAGCAATCTTTTGTCCTACCTCGGTGACTTGATGTATATACTGGGAACAGCCCTAAGTCTGAGGAAGGTCAGTTGAAGTCCTTACTGTAGAAGTCCAAATTTTAAGGAAAATGAGTCCTGCGATGAGTTTCCTCATGATTCGGCCATGCGTGGACCAGTCAGCTTCCGGGTGTGACTGGAGCAGGGCTTGTCGTCTTCTTCAGAGTCACTTTGCAGGGGTTGGCGAAGCTGCTCCCATCCACATACAGCTCCCAGTCTACTGATGTTTAAGGATGGTCTCAGAGGTTGGGGCCACTAGAATAAACTGAATCTAATACTTCCACACAGTTATGTTTAACTGGGCTCTCTGATACCAGGAGCAAGGTGGCAGGGTTTAGGGTGTTGTAAACTTCAATGGTTATGCGGGGACTTTCACAGAGCAAGCTTTGGTATCTAGTTAGTCTAGCATTCGTTAACTAATGATGTCCTTTGGTATTGATTAAAGTCACCACAGCATGGGAGGACTTTATGTTTAGGTTTTGCCTAAGAGTTAGCTTATCTGCTTCTTGTGCTAACAGGACCATCGCTGCCAGGGCCCTTAGACATGGGGGCCAGCCTTTGGAAACCCCGTCTAGTTGTTTTGAGAGATAGGCCACTGGCCTTGGCCAGGGCCCCACGGTCTGGGTTAAAACTCCAACTGCCTTTTTTTTTCTTTTTGACACACAGAGTGTAAAAGGTTTTGTCAGGTCAGGTAGCCCCAGGGCTGGGGCCGACCTGAGTTTTTCTTTTAACTCATGAAAAGCTTGTTGCTGTTGGTTGTAATAGATGTAGTTTATCTAATTTATATTTTTATTGACTGTCATCTACCAAAATATTGACTTGAGTCCTGTAGCTATTTGATTTCAAGCTTTAAATTGATCTGGTATTCCTTGCGGGGCTCCAATTGCATCTAAATAGATGTGAGAGTTGAAAGACCCATAAGGGGCTTCTCTCGCTTTATGATGTCTTATTTTTTTTCTTCCTCTGGTTGATGAAATGCCAGGGTTAAAGGGACAGCCAAATGGACTAAAGCACAAGTGCCACTCTAGTTATTTGGCAGAGTGCCCAGTAAAGTTCCACCACAACACCACCATACATCCGCTCGGGGATGAACAAGGGCTGACTGATTGATAAGTTCTTGAAAATTCTTAAGCTCACTGCATCCCTTCAGGTCTCCAAGGAATGCTAAGTTTCCTCCCTGTCATGAGAGACACGAAGTGAACTTAGCGTTGGGAGACAGAAGCTGGATGGCCTTCGGGGGCTGACCTACGGGGTGCCGGACATTGGGATATAGCAGAGAGAGCTTGGCACGACTTATTACTCTAGGCTGTAGAATCCTGGAAAAGAGCTACCATGGAGCCCATGCTTGGTCGACTGGAGGACCACCTTAGTGGAAAGGGGACCATCTGGGACTCTGGCCTGTCATGTGCACAAGCATAATAATTGCTTTTGTTTAACGTGCAGATGGAATATTTGATCCATTCCAACCAGGCATTTGCATCTTGTTGTGCTGTCTTAATTGCCAAAGTTTGTTTTAAGTCTTTAACTTCTATGATCCTCTAGTAAAATGCATGTTTCCTTTAGCACCTATTTTTATTAGTTTTTAGACCAAAGAAAGCTAAACACAATTTTATATTTAATAATGCTTCTTGTATGATTTTTATACCAGATAAGCTAAACTCTACCTTTATATTAGTGTGTTATTAATGTTAAATTTAATTTTAATAAAACCTTGTAGACATATTTATCCAAATTTTCATGTTTGACCATAAGGTAAGATTTTATAGACTCTTTTTAACCTTTTATAATTTTTGTTAAAGACCAGGTTGGTGCTTTAAGAAAAACCTGTTGTGTTTTTACTTTAATGTCCAGTTCACAGAAAAACTGGATGATACCTTTTTAACTTTAGCTAATATGTTTACACACAGAATTTTCTTTACAATTGATGTTTTAAAACTTGCTTAAACTTTCAAAACAATAATTTTTTTAACCTTTTACTGTAGGTAAAAATCCACATTCTTATGCCTCCTTATATTCCTTTTACCAAAGGTATATTTTACTTTTCTTATACACCTTGCACATAAAACTGTTTCTTCAATACTACTCAGGAGGCCTTATTGCTTTTTAAATTATACAACATTTTTTGCATAAAATTTTTTTATAACCTTTTTTCTTTCATGACTTTCACAGACAATTCTTCGACATGTCTCAACTTTCTGACTTATTATAAACATTTCTTTCTTTAAACAACCAGTTAATTTATTTCAGGACAAGAATTTACCATATAACACTCTTTTATGTAAATTCTGCCTCCCCCTTTTTTTCCTTTTTTCTTTTTTTGAAGATAACCATTCTTTTTTTTTTTTTTAAAGCGAACTTTCTTTATGTCTGTGGACTAGATTGTCTACGGCCACAAGATTAGAAGTTACTGTAATACATGTTACACTGTTAACTTTAGCAAACTTTACTTTTGTTGAAAACCTTGTAAGTTTGGGATTTCAGTTATCCTTTGCTATTAATAAGACCTCGTTTAGTCTAAATTAACTTAGAATTAGTATAGATGGCCCTTTTTTTTCCCGTTAGCAAAGCAGCTGCCGCTACAGATTGAAGGCATCTGGGCCATCCACGGGTTACTGGATTAAGGATTTTTGATAGGAAGACCTCAGTGCTTTCGGGATATGCCCTTGTTTACACTGACAACAAAGTGGTATTAGAGTGTTACAGGGTTATGGAGAATACCTTTAATTATCAATTATAGGTTTTAAATTTACCTTGGCTTTTAAAGGAATAGGGTATACTGTTTTTTTCTTAACTACTTGTATATTTCTCTTTCTCTTTTTCTTTCTTTCTTTGACTTTCTCTCTCTCTCTCTCTCTCTTTGACTTTCCTTTTGCCTCTGTCTCTTCCTCTCTTTCTGCCTCTCTCTCTGCCTCTCTCTTTTCTTGACTCCTTCTTTGTCTCTCTGTCTCTTCCTCTCTCTCTTTGCCTCTTTTTCTCTCTGTCTCTTTCCTCTCTTTCTCTCTGCTGGTCTTTCCTTGCCTCTGCCAGCCGCTTATGCTGCTGTTCACTTAACTACTGTTTTGGGAAAGGGGGTCTAAAACCAGCTGTAACTAAGTGTCTCTGTACGGAAACTGGTCTGGTTGCCCTGCCTTGCAGGTTACCTTGTGCCATACCTTTGAAACAAGGGACCTGTCCAGGCTTCCTTCTGATGGCCAACACACCTCTAATGCTGGCCAGTCTATTTCACACAAAGTTCTAAGTTTTCCTGGTGTCATAGTAACACCGTAATCTCCCTTAAATCTTTTCTTGAATTTTTTCGACATAGTTCCTAGCGGGGTGGGCTTATTTGTGCCTGACCCATGCTTCTTCAAGACAAAACACCACACTCACACCACACATACACCACAAAACAAAGAACAGGTAAAAAGGGCACACACACACTTTTGCGGTTTACACCAAACCAAAATCAAAACCAAAATCAGAGTATCCAGAAATCCAGGCCAGGTCAAAACCAGAACCAAAGTATCAAGCAACCTAAGTCAAGTCAAAAACAAAAACCAAAGTGCCGGTACAGGCACACCGTGGGTGATCAGGCCACACTTCCACTCAAATGGAGTGGGCAAGTTCCGAAGACCAGTCCTATCAAGCAATTCAAACCAAGTCAAAACCAATACCAAAGTGCTGATAAAGGCACACCATGGGTGATCAGGCCATGCTTCCACTCAAATGGAGTGGGCAAGTTCCAAAGACTAGTCTTACCAAGTTTCAGATATCCAGACTCCAAGCGCCAGTTCCTTCCCGGTGTTCAGCCACTGCGTTGATCCTCCACAGGGGCGTGCCACACACTGCTCTGGTGAGGTGTCCCACCGGGGCAAATGCCTACCCGGGAGCACTCTCAGGATCCGTGTCGCTCCGGCTGGTTGGAGTCCCCCTCAGGGATGTTCCACAGGGCAGGCTAAAGCTGCCTAAGGAGCTGCCTTGACCGTCCATTAATCACCTCGCTTCCTGGTCAGAGAACCAAGAAATGTAGCAGGACCAGCCATGGAAAAAACCCCTCAGACACCGAGACACTGAAGGGAATGGCTTTAATCAGCTGGGAGTATCGGCAGACTAGCGTCTTAAAATCCGAGCTCGTCAGGTGCTCAACTTCTGTCCCTTTTAAGGGCTCACAACTCTAAGGAGGTCCACGTGAGAGGGTCGTGATCAATTGAGCAAGCCGGGGGCTGCGTGACAGGGGCTGCAAGCACCAGTGGTCAGAGTGAAACAGAACAGAACGGGAGGTTTCACAACGTCCTTCCATACTGTGTCTGGAATCTATAGATAACAACAGTTGCTAGGTCAGGTGTCGATCTTTAACTACCCAGCTTAGGTCAGGCAGGCCCAGGCCTGGTTTCAGATCTGGTTCCTTGGTTTTGGGTCTGGTTCCTAGGCGCCAGGCTACCTGCCTTTAGTTTCGCTTCTCTTTCCTTTTCTGAGTGTAAAACAATATCAAACAATAGGAGAGGGTCTCTCTCTTCCCTCAGTATGAAACAGTGTTTGGTTTTCTTTGGGCCATATTTGTGTAAATATGTTATTTGTATGTGTTCCAAAATTATGGGCAACTCCTGTAATTCTGATATGACTAAGTGTACATTATCAGTAATAATCATAATTGTCACGTTAAAATTATTATGTGCCACAAAGGTAACAAACTTTCTTGCCAATTGTGTCTTTGACTATGGTGGCCCTAAAACATTTTGTCATCCACAGACAATTGTTCTCTTGCTTTGGTACTGTTTAGACAGTTGTTTTATAATCAGCTATAACTGGTGCCCTTGAATGCAGGTTTCTAATAACTTTGGAGATTGTGACATCAGAACAGTGGAAAAAGGGGCACAGCTTGGTTTTATACATTTTAGGGAGATACGAGGCATCAATCAATATATGTAAAAAGTGTATTGGTTCCATCCGGAAAGACGGGGACAACTCGAAGCAAGGAAGGGGGCTTCCAGGTCACAGGGAGGTGGGAGACAAAGGGTTACATCCTTCTGAATTTCTGATAAGCGTTTCCAAAGGAGGCAATCACATACGCATCTATCTCAGTGAGCAGAGGGATGACTTTGAATAGAATGGGAAGCAAGTTTGCCCTGACCAGTTCCCAGCTTGACTTTTACCTTTAGTTCAGTAATTTGGGGGCCCCAAGATTTTCCTTTCACACTTCCCCCCTATTCTTTTTTAAAATCTTTTAGAGAAAGTATTTTAGAAGAAAATGAGTCTCTGATTTCAGGTTTCATCTGATCTCTCATGGCAAGGATGGTTTATTCCTAGACAGGTAGGTCCCAAAAGTTCATTTTTAGCAGGTTATGAAGTCTCATGTCCTATAAAGAGAAAATAAGGGGAGGAAGGGAGAAAAACAACAGCAAACAAAAGAATGATCCTGGAAAGTGGCTTATGTATGTAAATGGGATGCTGTTATTTTCTTCTGAAGTTTAAGTTGTCTAGCTTCAGTTTGCAGGGCTTTAAGAAACACAGCTTAGTTTTCAGTGATTTCAAATTAGGAAAAATTGGGGAAAAAAAGAAAAGAAAGAAAAAAAATATTGAAAATGTTATTTTGTAGACTTGTAGCCAGGAAAAATTAGAGTTCAGCCCAAACTGTAGAAAATAATAAAAATTGAAAAACATTAGGCAAGACTAGAATCTAACAACAAGTGTACTATAGTTTTTGAAACATATTTTTTCTCTCTCTCCAGTTTCCCATTTTCACTAAAGACAAATCATGGTAGGACCAACCTGCTTTATTTTACCTGTCCAGATTATTTGTATAAAGTACAGCAAGAATAATTATTTTTCACATAGGCTTTTTAAAATTGGCTTTGATGAAACTTTGTTCCATAGAAGAAATATCAAGACATTTTTAAAGCCGAACCCCGCGATGGATTTGTGCCACCACCAAATACCTATGAGTTGGGTGAATTACCTCTCCTCTTGAGGTTCCAAGATAAACCTAGGGCTCCTGGGCCTGTCAGAAGGTGACATTCTTTACTAACGACAGGTCAGAAACCCTGTACAGGGACTCTGTAGACAAAGTATGAGGCCAGTTTTCCCAAGGGCTTTTATTGGCTGCATAAGTCAGGTTTTATTCCTTAAGGAAAGCATGCCATTCCAGTCAAAGCCTTGGTAAAATAACCAGTTTCTCCAATTGTGTCCTCTTACAAATGAGAACAGATTCTTATTGCACTTATGCAAATAACTGTATTGTCGTAAGTTAAGAATACTCACAAATAGTTTCCAAATTCTTCAGAAATCAGGTAGAGAGAAACAAATATGCTCCAAATTTTGTTCATAGGAGTGTACTCAATTGTTAAAAGCTGTCAATAGCTCAAAAGAAAAGTTTCAAGACTCCGAAAAACAAAACAAAGGATCAGCAATGTTTTAAGCAATAAGTCAAAAAGATGAGTACAGTCCATGCAGTTAATTCCTGTTTTGCTTGATATTCACGGACATTTTAGCTCTCCATGAGTCCACCGTGCGCACATGTCATCAGGACTTTGTGTGGTTATATCATGGGCATGCATCCTCAACACTGGCAAAACAAACTTTGTAAATAAACTTTCTAAATTAACTGAGACCCTCTCAGATATTTGGAGTTCACAAATCAAAATTAAAAACTTTTGTACTTCAAAGGACACCATCAAGAAATTGAAAGGACACCCCACAGAGTAGAAGACAATATTGGCACATTATAGATCTTATTATATAAGGGACTTGTATGCAGAATATATAAAGAACTGCTACAACTCAACAATCAGAAAAAGTAACTCAATTTTAAAACAAAGCATTTGAATAGGTAGTACTCCAAGAAGATACATAAATGACCAACATGCATAAGAAAAGACAATCCACATCATTAATCATTAGGGAAACAAAAATTGAACCATGGTGAAATATCACCTCACACCCACTAAGATGGCTATAATAAAAAAGATAACAATAAATGCTGGTGAAGATGTAGATAAACTGGAACCCTCATACATTCCTGATGGTAATGTAAAATGATGTAGCCACTATGGAAAAAAATTTGGCAGTTTTTCCAAAATGTTCTACATGGAGTTGCCAATAACCCAGCAATTCCATTCATAACTTGTGATATTATGATTATATGTTTAGGTTTTCCTCTATGGTTTCTGGCTAATAACTCCACTAGCCCTTGTTACAGTCTTTTACTATAATGTTGAGGTGTTTTAGCCTCAGAAGCAGGCCTCAGGAAATAGAATCTCTCTCTCTGACCTTCTCCTGTCCTCTTTACACCTTCCCAAGGCAAGCCTTTAATCTAACTGTGGGTCAAAAGACTCTCATTCCAGAAGCAGTCCTGCCTCAAACCCTGGGGAAAGGAATGCTATGCAGAGAGGCCACAAAAAGTCTGAATAGACAAGCTTACTGGGTTTAGATCAGGCACTTTTTGTCCAATCACATTTCTACATGGTTGTCAACCGTATCTATGTAATAAAGCCTCAATGACAACCCAAAGGGACATGGTTCAGAGAGCTTCCAGATAGTTGGAACATGGAGATCCTGGAGGGTGGCATGCCAGGAGAGGGCATGGAAGTTCTGCTTTCCCTCCCCCATGCCTCACCCTATGCCTCTCTTCATCTGTATCTTTTGTAATAGCCCTTATAATAAACCTGTAAACACAATTGTTTTTCTCAGTTCTGAGAGCTGCTCCAGCAAACTAATCAAACACAAATTAATCCAGCAAATTAATCCAGGGGGGCATGGGAACCCCAACTTAAAGATGGTTGATCAGAAGTTTTGGAATCCCAGACTTGTGACTGGGTCTAAAGCGGGGGACACAGTCTCAGGGGACTGATCCCTCAAACTGTGAGATCTGACACTATCTCCAAGTAGATAGTACCAGCACTGAATTAGAGGATGACCATTTGGGTGTCATCTACAGAATTCATTGCTTGCTTGCTGGTAGAGAGAAATACCCACATATTTTGAGGTCATAGAAGTCTTCTGTGTTCATTATTACTGTGTTGATGTGAGAACAGAGGGAAAAAAAATGGTTTGAAAAACATGTTAAACATAGTTGTATACCCAAGAGAAATGGGAATACATGTCCACACAAAATATGTACACAAATGTTCATAGCAAAATTATTCATAATAAACAAAAACACAGACACAACCCAAATATCAATGGATGAATGGCTGAACAAAATGTGATGTATCCAACCAATGGAATATTATTCAGCCCTGAAAACAAATGAGGCACTAATACATGCTACAACATGGATGAACCTTGAAAACATCACGCTGAGTGAAAGAAGCTAGTCATCAAAGGCCACATTTTGTTTTATTGCATTTATATGAAATGTCCAGAATAGGCAAATCCATAGAAAAATAAAGTTGGTTGGTAGGTATCTGGGGTTGGGAGAAAATTTGGATTGACCACTAATGGGTACATAGTCTCTTTTTGAAGTGATGAAAACATTCTAAATTAGATTTTGGTGATGTTTGCACACCCCTGAAAACATAGTAAAAACCATCGAATTATACACTTTAAATGGGTAAACTGTATGATATGTGAATGATATCCCACTAAATCTGTTTTTTTTTAAAAAGACTGTCCTTATATAAAAATGTTTGTTAGAGGATACAGCAGCAACTTAGAAACAGGGCTTACATTATAGTCAGGAAAATGGATTCCTTGCATGCAAATATAAAGCAAACTGCAGTTCAATAAGCTAATGTAAAATCAGTAACACTTTCAGAGCTAAGGGATTTCAGAGGTGGGAGGGGTCCTCTAGCCAGAGGAAGAGGGAGATAGGGAGAGGTTCAGAAAAAGCTTTCAGCTGGGCCTGAAAATGTGAAAATTCCTAAGTAGGAAAGTACAGAAGACCTAGACGTGTGGTCCTGCAGGCTGATCACATCATGGACAAAGGCAGAAAAGATGGAAATGTGAAGGACATGGCCGGGTGTGGTAGGTCACGCCTGTAATCCCAGCACTTTGGGAGGCCAACGTGGGCGGATCACTTGAGGCCAGGAGTTTGAGACCAGCCTGGCCAACATGGCAAAATCCTGTCCCTGCTGAAAGTACAAAAAAAGTAGCCAGGTGTGGTGGCAGGCGCCTGTAATCCCAGCTACTCAGGAGGCTGAGGCAGGAGAATCTCTTGAACCTGGGAGGCGGAGGTTGCAGTGAGCCGAGATGGCTCCACTGCACTCCAGCCTGGGCGACAGAGAAAGACCCTGTCTCAAAAAAAAAAAAAAAACTGTGAAGGACATGTTCAGAAAGTTTGGCTGTAGCCAAGGGTTTGTATAAGGAAGCAATGGATTTTTTTAAGTCAATTGAATAGGTTATAATGGTGTATTTTTGTGCTAATTTGCATTTCTATTATTATTGAGGATGTATTTGCAATGTTCTTTTTTTCCTTTTAATTTACAAGTGTTTTGTTTCAATTCTGCATATATTATAATTTATATTACACACACACTTTTTTTTAAATTTAACCCACAGTTCTATCTGAAATTTGGGTGAGAATATGGCATGATATAGGGATCTATTTAAATTATTATTTTTTACATAAATAGCGAATTGTCCCATCATCATTTATCAAGTAATCCACCCTTTCCAGATAGATTTAAAATGCCTCCTCCATCACATAAACAGTAGCTCCAAGCCCGCAGACCCCGTTTGTCGTCTGGTTTCTCATGCTTCCAGCACAGCACAGTGGTGTGCAGTTTGGGAAGCAAAGATCTTGCAGAGATCTATCCAGAAGAGAACACTGGAGGCCTCCCGAACAAGCAATAATAGAAGATTATGGTTCATTCCACACAGTCACTTCACAGTGTGCTGGAGAAGGCATCAAATGATCTAGCAAATGTCCATCACCGTATGTCTGAGTGGTGGAATTACCAGTGTTTTTCATATCCCTCTTTCCTCCATTCAAATCTTCTGTGAGTAAATATTCAGAAGACGAACAATAAATAGTAATCAAACAAAAACACTTTTAGGACATTTAAAGCCTTGAAAGGTTTAAAGTAACTCATCTGCAGGCACGTCTGGGTCCACCACGCAGTGTTATCCTGGGTGCAGGGGCCCCTAGAGATCTTTGTGCCCAAGCTCACCTGGCTGGCTCCCCGCAAGAGCAATCATCTCTAAGAGTGTGAGCCTATGGCTCCAGCCAATCCGGATCCATCTAAACTCTATTTCCCCAGGAGCAGTTCTCCCTTCCCTCAGCCTCTGCCTGAAACATCACCCCTTAACTGAATAACAAGGGGGTGCGCTGCATAAAAGTTGCTGCCCGACCAGGAGCCGTGGCTCACGCGTGTAATCCCAGCACTTTGGGAGGCCGAGGTGGGTGGATCACCTGAGGTCAGGAGTTCAAGACCAGCCTGACCAACATGGTGAAACCCTGTCTCTATTAAAAATACAAAAAAATTAGCCGGACGTGGTGGCGGGAGCCTGTAATCCCAGCTACTCAGGAGGCTGAGGCAGGAGAATTGCTTGAACCCGGGAGGTGGAGGTTGCAGTGAGCTGAGATCGCGCCATTGCATTCCACTCCAGCCTGGGCAACAAGAGGGAAACTCCGTCTCAAAAAAAACATTTTTTTTGCTGCCCATATTTCCCTAAGGAGAGGGGGATTTCACTGAACCCAATACTGTATTTGGAAGCCACAAAGTTGTTTCTTCCCTAAGTTTTGGAGAAATCAACATGGGGAACCCACAGACCCTCAAATGGGAAGAGAAGTGCTTGGGAAAGGGGAACTGCCTAGTGTAAAGTCCACCTGGATGACAAGCATAAAATGTATGTGTGTGTTGAGGGGAGTGGGAGAACCAGAGCAGAAAAAGCCTTTCGGGATCTATCTGGAGGGAAGGCATGACCAAGAACGGTGTGGAATCCACCCAGCCTGAGATGTCTCCTGTGGGGCCTTGTGCAAGGAGAGGCCTCTCGGTCTCACTTCCTCATTTGAATAAGAAGGATAATAACATCTATGTTACTGGGCTCTTATGAGGATTAAATGACGTGATACTGAGCACCTAGCAGGGCCTGAATTTTACTGAGGCGCGCGTGTTAATTTCCTCCACTCAGTTCTGCCTTATATGCACAAAAGGCACCACTTCTGTCCCCTTCAGGAGGGCCTGAAATGTGCCTTGAAGCAGACTCCAGAGCCAGGAGACACCAATGGGGAGTGTGTGTACAGTAAGTCTCTGTCTCCCCCAGGGAGGACAAGGTCAGGGACGGGGCCAACCATGTGACTGTACAGGTTCCAAGGTAAAAATGACAAGGGCACAGGAAATACTTTGGCTGCAGCAGAAAACCCCAGAGCTTGGCTTTGCACATTGTCTTTCTGGCCCAGCATAGAGGCATTGTGCAAATTAAACAAATAAACAGTAATCTTGGCCTTGGGCTCAAAAGTCTCCACATTCTCCTGTTTCTTCCTCCAGCTGGTGCCTTCCCTGTCGCTCAGACCAAAATCCCAGAGAATTATTTGGTTCCACGCTTTCCCTAAGTCCCACACTTACATAGACAAATTTTGTTACCTCTGTTTTCTTTCCTTTCCTTTTTTGGGGGGTAGGGGGGCAAAGGGGTTGGGGACAGGGTTTCTCTTTGTTGCCCAGGTTGGAGTACAGTGGCAAAATTATAGCTCACTGCAGCTTCAAACTCCTGGGCTTAAGGGATCCTCCAGCCTCAGCCTCCTGAGTAGCTGGGACTACAGGTACATGTCACCATGCTCAGCTAAACATTTTTCATTTTTTTAGAGACAGAGTTCTCACTATGTTGCCCAGGCTGGTCTCAAACTCCTGACCTCAAGCAATCCTCCTACTCTGGCCTCCCAAGGCACTGGGATTACAGGCTTGAGCCAATGCACCCATTTCCTCAATATGGCTCCAGTGGGCTTTCTCTTTTCCATTGCTCCTGGACCACCCAAGGCCCCTTCCACTCCTCTCTGCTTCAGCAAGGCACACCCCAGGCCAGCCTGTTCCCATAGCAGTTAGAGGGATCTTTTCAAACCATGGAGTGGATCCTACTGCCACGCCTCCCCACTACTTAGAGCCTATCAAAAGTTTCCCCTTCACTTCCCCTCGCTGTCAATACAGCCTACAGGAAGTGGGGAGAAGGCACCTCCACTTCCCACCCCCACTCCCTTCCTCTCCCCTCTCCAGCGAAACTGGCTTCCCTTCCCAACCACGCTGAGCCCCCACCCTCCTGAAGGCACTGAAGGCATCCCTTCTGACAACCTCGCAGCTCTTATCCCTGCCCAGAGCGCCTGCCCCAAGGCTGTCAAGTCCTCCCACAGGCCTCCCTGCCCATCCACCGGAGGCTAAGGCCTCCTCATTTGCTTCCCCCATAGCAGCTGACTACTCATTTGTCTTTTATCCTTGGTCTGCCCCTCAGTAGGAGGCAAGGAGGCAGGCACCATGCCCCTGGTTGCTTGTGCACTGTCCCAGCCTAGTGACAGGTGCAGAGCAGGTGTCAGGTAACATTTGTTAAATGTCTGAGTGACTAAATAGATGAAAGAATTAGCCGGGCATGGTGGTGCATGCCTGTAGTCCCAGCTACTTGGGAGGCTGAGGCAGGGCATCCCTTGAACTCAGGAAGTTGAGACTGCAGTGAGCTGTGATTGCACCACTGCACTCCAGCCTGGGTGACAAAGACCCTGCCTCAAAATAAATAAATCAGTAGGTGAAAGGAATTGGTAATGAATGACACTATAGAGCCAAGCACACTTCTTTGACTCTCCAAGGTACAGTGTCACGGTGGGTTAGGGTAGGACCCTAAGCAGACACCCACATATTGGACTTCAGGCTGGCATGGAGCCCCAGAATTTGTATGGGAGCTTGAGTGCTGACTTTTTGGAGAGAACCCAGCACCGGTCATGCCAGCACCTCCTCTCTGGGCTGTGTTTGTCTGTCCTTGTTTACTATAAGAGATAGGAACAAAGTCAAAGTATTTTTCCTACTCACACACCCAACACTCAACACAAAACACTTCTGAGACCAGATGTTCCCCACACACTAAACACTTCTCCGGTAGACTCCAGCTGGGTGTCCTATAATTCAATCGATTTGGACCTGAGCCACCTGGAGTCAGTCAGATCCCTCAGGTTAAGGGCCCAGTCCTGCCAGACCGCCTCCTACTTCAGACGCCAATCCCAAGTGGTAGGTTGTCATCTATACTTCTGATCAACCAGCTATAAATCAGAGTTCTCATGACCTCTTCCTTAGGTTCAATTAATATGCTAGGATGGCTCACAGAACTCAGAGAAACACTTATGTTTACCAGTTTATTATCGTAATAAAGGCTGTGATAAGGATACAGACGAACAGCCAGATGTAGAGGTATATAGGGCAAGGTCTGGAAAGGTCTCAAGTGCAGGAACTTCTGTCCCCAAGGAACTGTGGTGTGCCACCCTCTCAGCATGTGATGTGTCTACCAACCAGGAAGCTCTCTGAACCTTGTAGTTCAGGGATTTTTTTTAAGTTTCATTTCATTTATTTATTTTTAATTTCAACTTTTAGGTTCGGGGGCACATGTGCAGGTTTTTTACATTAGTATATTCTATGATGCTGAGGTTGGGTGTAATTGATCCTGTTAGAGAAATGCAAATCAAAATCACAATGAGATACCATTTCATACCAGTCAGAATGGCTATTTTGTTCATTTCTAATTTTTGTGGGTACATAATAAGTGTATATATTTATGGGGTACCTGAGATATTGATATTTTTGATACAGGCATACAATGTGTAATAATCACATCAGTGTAAATGAGGTATATATTGCCCTCAAGAATTTTTTTTTCTGTTTTTTAAATCATTTATTTTTTTTAATTTTAATTTCTGGGATACATGTGCAGAACCTATGCAGGCTTGTTACATAGGTATACATGTGCCATGGTGGTTTGCTGCACGTGTCAACCCATCATCTAGGTTTTAAGCCCCACATGCATTAGGTATTTTCCCTAATGCTCTCCCTCCCCTTGCCCCCACTCCCTGACAGGCCCCCAAGTGTGATGTTTCCCTCCCTGTGTCCATGTGTTCTCATTGTTCAACTCCCACCACTTGAGTGAAGCTCAGGGAATTTTTGGAGGCTTCATCACATGGGCACGATCAATTATTAACTCAGTCTCCAGCCCCTCCCTTCTTCTCAGAGGATGGGGGATGGGGCCGAAATCTCCAAGCTTCTAAACATGGCTTGTTCTTTCTGATGCCCAGCCCCCATCTAGGAGCCCACCAAGAGGTGCCTCATTAGAACAAAATATGTTCCTATCGCCCAGGAAATTATAAGAGTTTTAGGAGCTCTGTAACAGGAACCAGGGGCAGAGACCAAATATACATTTCCTATCTTATCAGTACTATGGTTTGAATGTGTCCCCTCCAAAATTCAGGTGTTGCTAATGGGATGGTATTAAGAGTTGGGTCTTTCAAAATGTGATTGGGCCACGAGGGCTCCTCCCTCATGAATGGGATTAGGGCCCTTATAAAGGAGCTTGACAGAGAGTTCACCCCTCTTGCCCTTCTGCCTTTGTCCATGTGAGGGGACAGCCTTCCTTTCCTCCAGAGGACGCAGCAACAAGGCGCCATCTTGGAAGTAGAGAGCAGCCCTCAGCAGACACTGAACCTGCCAATGCCTTGACCTTGGAATTCCCAGCCTCCAGAACTGTGAGAAGATAACTTTATTCTTTATAAATTACTTTGTCTGTGGTATTCTATTACAGCAGCACACATGACTAAGACATCACAAGATCTCATTCACTCTTCAGCAGATGGACACAGAGCCCCTGCTCCATGCCAGGCATCGTTGAAGGCATGAGGATTCAGCAGCGAACAAACCTGTCCCTGCCCTCACAGAGGTGACATTCGAGTTGGGGGAGTGAACCTGCAAACAAGTGAGCAAACTGATGGAGAAGTAAGTACGGACAGGGCTGGTCATGAGCAGGGGGCTGTGAGGAAGTCACACCTTAGATGCGGTGGGGCTGGGGCTTAGGCGAGTTCGTCACTTTGCTTCAGTGTCCTCATCTGTGAGATGAACTAATGAGCGTCTCTCCCTTTAGGGCCCTGCCCTCCTCTGTTCAAAATCGTGCAGCAGTGCGTCATCCCACTCTGAGCAAGAGCCAAGTCTTCACACGGCCCATGAGGCCTGCGTGATGGCCCCATCCCCAGCTCCACGCCCCCCAACCCAGCTCCCTGTCCCTCTGCTCCTCCTGGGCATCCTGCTGTTCCTCAGTCAGGCCAGGCAACACATGGGACAAATGCCATCCACATCCGGACCACACCTAGGGCAGCCTGTGGACAGCCCCCAGAACTATAGCTGAGGGTCCCACCCTTCCCACCCACGCACACTTTCTGAACACTCTGCTCCAGGCAAAGGGTACCTGAGTGCAGCAGCAGGGCCGTTGGAGCAGCTTTCTCAGGGCTGTCAGCAGTGACCCAGGGAGACCTCCCTCACAGCCTACTTCCTTGTTCCTGAGCAGAGCTATCCAATGGAAGTACCCAGAGCCCACACACTCCCTACAGATTTTTATGTTGGACATAAAACAATGAACAGAGACTAATGTTGCCCTAGATGTACCAAGCCTCCTATAGAGATTTGTACTGTTTCCTTTCTTGCCTTCTTCTTTCCCTCCTTCCCTCTCCCAGCCAAACATGAAGCACCCACTATATGCAAACATCAGGCTGGGGCCAGTAGGGGAAACCATATCTGTGAACAGGTAATTCTCATACGCAGCAGAATAAGACAGGGGCTGAATATCGGGACACACATCGTGCTCCCCTGTCCAGAGGCTGATTCATTCCAGCTGCTGAGATCAGGGAAGGTTTCATTCAGGCGGGGCCCTTGCTTTGAGAGAGAAGCAGAATTTAAAGTGCAGAGTGGGGAGGCTGGGGTGAAGGCCGGGAGTGGCCTCTCCTGGCCAATCCTGACTGTTCTGCCACTGGGAACCTTGGTCAGGAGGGAGCCCAGGGCAGAGCGGATGGTGGGGTTGGGAAAAACAGCCGCAGGGCCAGCAAAACAACACAGATACCTATCCGAGATGGGGCAGAAGCGATTCCCATTGTTTTTGTTTCCTTTGTGGGGGGCAGCGTGAGAGGAGGCGGCAGGCCTGATATTGTCAGAGTGGCCTTGGGAGCTGCTTAAGAAGTCAAGAGGGAGCCCAATAGGAAATGGCCCTCATGAAATGAAAGACAATGATCCAAAAAAAACAAGAGGTGATTTTCTTAGAGGCAGGACAGGAGAAAACACCTCAGACTCAGCATGCCAGAGCAGGGAGGGATGAATGTACCATCTACTTCAACCGCACTGTTTTGCAGAAGATGCCCAGATTCAGCTAGGTGGGTGACTGGTTCGAGGTCACATGTGGCTGATTGCCTTGCTGACTCCCAGTATAGCGCTCAGGTTGCTTCCTGGGGCTGAGAACAGGCAGAAAGGAAAGCCCTAAATGCTTTCTTTCTCCCTGCCTCCTGTGTCAGCTGAGCATGGCTCCAAATTCCCAGCTAAGCAGGACAACTTGCCCAGGTGTCCGGGATGACCTCATGGCATAGCGCCTCAGCAGGGCCTTAAGAGGAGGAGGCTACTGCCCCACCGCTCCCTGGCCTTGGAGGTCAAGGTCTCCTGATAATTCCCTGCCAACTAGCATCCGTCGCTCTAAAGCCCAGGCTATCTAGGAGGGCTGGCTCCAGTCCCGACCAATCAGAAGAGCAAACAGGTTATTATCATTATTATTATGATAACAACAGATTATTTTATGCTTGCAGCAGAAGGCACCTGCTTTGTAAAGGCTTCTGTTTGCCAAGGTCAGTTCATGATTGAGGCACCCGCCACTGCCCTCTCCCTGCCAGCCCCTGGTCTCCCACTCCAGCCACACTGTCGCTTCTGAGTTTCTTTCACCTTTAGGGTCTTGCATCTGTAATTACCATTGCCTAAAACCCTCTTCCTCTCCCACCCTTCTGTACTTCCTCTGCCTGGGCATCACCTACTCATCCACAGGCCCCAGCTTGGATACCCCTTCCTTTTGAGAAGCCTTTCCAGGATGGGGTGAGGTGCCCTTCCTAAGGGCCCCCTCAACCCCTGCTTCTACATGCTCATCGTACTGGATTATAGTTGCCTGGAAGTGTGCAAGACAATACACACCAAGTTCTTTCTGTGGGTTTCACTATTGTGAGAATTCACTCACTCCATCCTGCTGATGGCTCTAGGAAGTGGTATTACCCCCATTTGTCAGTTGGGCAAACTCATCAGAGATGTTGAGCCTCTTGCCCAAGGTCACACCGTGAGTTGTGGAGTCAGATTCCACAGAGCCAGTGTGGTGGACAGATCAATATGCTACCCAGATCCTCCTTCGAGTGAGGATATTGTGCCACTTGCTGGGAGTGTTGTCAGCAGACAACTTTGCAGCGCAGAGCCCCTTCAAGGATTGCCGCAGCAACCCAGAGCTGCCTGGCCTCAAGGTATCTCTGTCCCAGGGCAACTCGTCCATCAGTTGATCAACGTCAGGTATAATTGTTACTGGAAAGAGGGGTTTTGGATTTTGTGCAGGAAGGAATTCAAGGCAAGCTGTGGGGTGGAGTGAAAGAAGCGAGTTTATTGAAGTGACTCCATTACAGAGTAAGGTGTCCTCAGAAAGCAAGCAGACGAATGTCTTTAAGTTTTTCTTATGTGGGGCCTTCCCTATGTCAACACTAAGCTAAGCTGTGCCTTATGTGTTTTTCTTATGTGGGACCTTCCCTGTGTCAACACTAAGCTAAGTTGTGCCTACGTCCAGGTGGGTTGATAGCCTGAGAAATTTTATTATTTTATTGATTTAAATAAAACTATCCTTAACATTTTAGTGTATTAATACATTCAAGTATAACTATCATTATCTTGAAAGCGTATATTGTTATGGGACGTCTGGACTTTCTGTTGTAGGAATTTGTCCTTGAAGGCATTATCAAGCTGTTTTCTTAGCTTTAAACATCTTAGGATGGGTCATGACTGGCAAGGAAAGTGTCTTGCTAGGCTAGTTTTAAGAGAGATTTTTAATTTTTTATTATTTATTTTGAGACAGTGATTCGCTCTTGTTGCCCAGGCTGGAGTGCAATGGCGCCATCTTGGCTCTTTGCTACTTCCGCCTCCCAGGTTCAAGCGATTCTCCTGCCTCAGCCTCCTGAGCAGCTGGTACTACAGGTGCGTGCCACCACCCCTGGCTAATTTTTTGTGTGTGTATTTTTAGTAGAGACAGGGATTCACCATGTTGGCCAGGCTGGTCTCGAACTCCTGACCTCAGGTAATCCACCTGCCTCAGCCTCCCAAAGTGCTGGAATTACAGGCATGAGCCGCCGCGCCCAGCCGACAGAGTTGATTTTAAAATGGTGTCACTCTGGCTCTCTGAGGCCCATGCTTCCCTAACATAATGGCCCGGCCATCCCATTGCAAGTCGGGTCAACCCTGAAGGGCCATTCTAGTTTCGGAGCTCCTGGTGGGGTGGGCTGAGGCCTTTGCTGGGTCTGCACTGCAGCTCAACTTCTCCCCCTGTCCAGTCCTGCTTCCTTCTCCTGTGGGGTTGATCAAGGCACTCCCGCTAGTCATCACCCTGTACATTAAACTCCAACCCTCAACAGAGAATCTGACACTAGGACTCACAGCCATAACGGCTCTCTCCCTTCTAACACCTCCCAGTGGAGCAGGCCCAGCATCTAGCATGAGGCCAGCACACAGCAGGGGCTCAACTGTGTTTGTTGAATAAGTGAATAAATACACAAATGAAAATACTTTGGGAGATTAAGGAAAGTGCATATTTGCCTTCCAGGTTGTCATAATAGCTATTATTAAGTATGTTGCCATCATATTTGCAATGAGCAGTGACAGCGACCCCTGTGCACCTCCTCAGGGCCCAGGGGTTTTCTCATTGATCCTCAAACTGCCTGTTTGTCCTGTGCACCCTTGTGCCTTGGGGAGCTAACAGGACTTCTTCCATCCCGTTACAGATAAGGTGAGTTTGGGTCTCCAGAAACAAGGCCATAGGCTGACCAGAAGGGGAAGTGAGTTCAGGGCAAAAATTGAGTCATTCCTTGTCAGGGGTGGCTGGAAGATACCAAAAGCTACACACAAACCCCTTCTTTCCCGCTGCCTTGAACCAGCCCAGCTCCATCCTCTTCAGCCCTCTCTCTCCTGCTGCTCCTGAGCCACAGCCCCCAACCCAGTTCCCCTGCAGCTCCTGCCGCTGGGTTTGCTTTCCAGCAAAGGGAAAGCTAGGTCTCCAATCTTTCTGGAAGGAGAGAAAAACACAAATGGTTGGGGAGAGAGGTTGTGTCCCTCCTTTCCTTTCCCTCTCACCCCTGCCTGTTTCCCTCCCTGCACTCTCCCCACCACCCTGCCCCACCCCTAGCTCTCAGACCTCTTTCCTTTCCTCCCACGGGTCAGAGGCAGCTGACTTTCAGCTAGGGGCAGTTGCAGAGGCAGAACACTTAATCTCCTACAGGTTGGGCTCTTAATACACTCCATAGTTAACCTTCCGAATAAGCCTCTGAAATAGATGCCATCTACTTTGCAAATGAAATTCAAAGTTGAAGAGCTTGTCTGAGGTCACACAGATACAGGATTAGAAGCCAGCTGGTCCAATGCCAATACTGTTCCTATTAGGTGGGGTGGCTTCCTGCTGCCCCTGGAGCTTTGAAAGGTGGCTTCTGGGCCCCTGGGGTGAAAAACGGAGGGTTGCATCATGAGAACAAAATTGCAGCCAGTGGGAATAGTTACTGCAGCTGCAGAAATCACGCCAAGGAAGTGTGGCAAAACTGCAAAGCAAATTCAACCCCATCGACTTGGGAATCACACAACCCTTCACATTCTTCCTTCTGTGTTTTGACCATGGCAAATCCCCAGCTAAACTATCTCAGCATCTCAAAAATCCAGAGTATAATTTCGGCACCTCAAGTCTTTATTGGAGTCTTGCTAACTATTTTGATTACATAAATGCAATGAGGAATACATGTTGGATATAATTACATCTAAAGCTTTCTCTTCCTTGTGGTCACTGGAGGTTAACAGGAGTGTGAGCCAAAGCAGCAAAGGTAAGAAGCCATGTTCCCTCAACTCTGCCTGCCAGCATAATTTCACGAAGCCCCTGACTGTGACAACATGCAACTCTCTGAAGGATGCACTGAAGACAAAATAGGATACAGCACAGGACACCCCCATATCTCTTGCCTGAGTCACTACATTCCTTAAAAGATAAATGATCATAGTCCTTGCTGTTTCCTACACATAACGTCCCCCAAACAAGCAATAATAGAAGATTATGGTTTGTTCCACAGTCACTTCACACTGTGCTGTAGAAGACCTCAAATGATCAGGAAACGTCCATCACCATATGTCTGGGTGGTGGAATTACCCGCGGTCAGTGGTTACACTTCTGTAATCTGGAGCTGATGTAATCTTGAACCCAAACTTTGATGTGATTTTGCAGCTACTTAACCTGCACCACCTGCGTATAAGCAATGGGCTGAAACACTGTGCTGGAGCAGCCTGACAGGACCTCTCTAAAGGGCTGCTCCTCGGCTTTAAGCCTCAATCTAGAAGATTTCTGAATAAAAGTGACTTTAATGCTTTAAAAGCTTGATTTTTTTTCCCTTCAGTTGACAGGAGCTTGAGAGGAAATGGAAATAAGAGGCAGCTGAAACTGACAGAAAGTGCATAGTCTTGGGTCCTGATTTCAGCACCTCCTGGCCAAAGCACCAGAGCCAAATTCCCTAACTTTCCTCAACTTCAGTTTTATTATCTATAAAACAGAGATAATCATAATATCTACCTCATCGACACTGTTATTGAGAATGAAATGGAGATAAAATGATGCTGAACCACCCAGCACAGTGCCTCGTGTACCTACCGAATGTTTATTTATTTTCATTTTTTTGAGACTGAGTTTCACTCTGTCGCCCAAGCTGGAGTGCAGTGGCACTATCTCGGCTCACTGCAACCTCCGCCTCCCAGGTTCAAGCGATTCTATGCCTCAGCCTCCCGCGTAGCTGGGATTATAGGCGCCTGCCCCCATGCCCGGCTAATTTTTATATTTTGAGTAGAGACAGGGTTTTACCATATTGGCCAGGCTGGTCTTGAACTCCTGACCTCAAGTGATCCGCCCGCCTCGGCCTCCCAAAGTGCTGGGATTACAGGCATGAGCCACTGCACCTCACCCCTACTGGATGTTTAATGCATCTTAGTTTGCAGTGATCATATATGTCCCAGAAGTGTGTCCAGGGGAAGCAGATGGGGTTCTATTCAGGGGCTTGTGGAATTCTATGAATGGCTCATTGCTTTATTAAAATGAAAACACTGAAAGACAAATTCAAGTCTGATTTTGTATACGAGAATGATGGCTGTGAAAATATTTCATAATTACATGCTTTTTTTCTCCTTGACTCTAAGAACTCAAAATGCAAAAATCATCATCCTTGCCAGAAAGCATCTCTGCTTCCGAGCTCTGTGACCATGGACATGATAATAATACCATGGAATTAAAGAGCAAGTGAAAGGAAGTGTGAACTCTTCAGCTCTATTTCTGTCTGGTCCTTTGGCTGGGATTTTTATGTCTGGTTTGAACCAGATGCATCTGTTCAGAGCCTTGTCAACAGGTTATGCAAGAGGCACTACCTGAGAAACACTTTTTTAAAAAGCAAAGCCCATCTTCAAGGTGCTTTATTCTAATCCTAGTTTGTGTCTTCAGATGAGGCTGAAGGGTAGAAAGCAGGAAGCATTTAGAGGCGGAGATTTGGCCTGAGGCTTCCAGCAATAAAGCCTTTGTTCTGCCTTCCTTGGCAGGGTGGCTGCTGCACTCACTAGGCTCAGGCACTGAGCCCTGTAGATCAGAAGTGATCTCCTTTTCCCTTGGCTATCCTTGGAGTGGTTTGGCTCAAAACCAACCTTGCCTCTAGGAAAAAAAAAATACATACCCTATATATTTTTTATTTTCCCACATTTCCCCATGAATGGTCAATGCAGTAGAGACTTTTTTTCACTCAAGAACCATCTGGGTTTTTGATAAAACCATGGAACCTCTCAAATATGTTTTTTCTGTGTGTTAATTACAAAATAAGCTTCTGGGGTGATCTATCAAATGTTCAAAAACATTCTGGAAGTGATGGCATCATTGAGTTTACTCAGTTCCTCTGTACTCCTGCAGTCAGGGGCTGGAAAAAGACCTCATGGGTGCAAACCCCCTAACCACAGCTGCCTAAATCTAACACTGCAATAACTGTTTCCTGAGGCCACAACTGTTTTCTGCTAAGGGAGACTACCATTCCTCAGAAGACTATTGGAGGGCGGAGGAGGTGGTCTGAGTTCAAGTCCTGCCTCTGGCTGCTTCTTGGTCACAGAGGCTGTCGGGACTTCTCTGGCATGACACAGGTGCTGGGCAGAGGGGCAGCAGAGATGACTCCAAGGTGGCTGAAGACACAGTGGTCCCTCTCTTCTGCTTTGCTGTAAGCCTAACAGCAGGTTGGGACCAGTGGGCCCTGATGGCTACCAGGACCACTCCTCTCCTCTCCACCTTCCGCACCTCCAAGACCTTCTCTATCACTTCTGTGAGGACTCAGTGAGCAGGCATACCACACGTACTCAGTGCAGGCCTGGAACCCGGCAGGGCCCCTCCTCTGGCCCAGCCTCCCACTTGGAGTCCCACTGGCAGATGCAACGTGCAGCAGGGCCCCAGGGGCCAGCATTTCCCAGCTGAGGCAGAGGAACAGCTGCATTGGAGTTTTCTCAGCACCCTGTGGGCAGTGCAGCTCCTGCCCCCCTGCTAGGCTCTCTAAATCTGAGCTGGAGGTTCTGGAATTTTTTTTTTTTTTTTTTTTTTTTTTTTTGAGACAGAGTCTCACTCTGTTGCCCATGCTGGAGTGCTGTAGTGCGATCTTGGCTCACTGTAACCTCTGCCTCCTGGGTTCAAGCAATTCTTCTGCCTCAGCCTCCCAAGTAGCTGAGATTACAGGAGTGCGTTATCACACCCAGCTAATTTTTTGTATTTTAGTAGAGATGGGGTTTCGCCATGTTGCCCAGGCTGGTCTCGAACTCCTGAGCTCAAGCAATCTGCCTGCCTCAGTGCTAGGATCATAGGCGTGAGCCACTGTGCCCGGCCCATTTTTCAACAAACTCATGAGCTGAGGCTCCTAGAAGGCAAAGCCTGTTCTGCTGGCTTAGAGAGAACTGTCCCCTTTAACACACATGCAGAGTTCCCAGGTGAATTGGGGTCTCTCCCTCCCCTGGGTCCTTGGGGAGCAGCTGTGGGCTCCTACTGGTTCCCAGGGAGGTCTCTCCCGACTGGTCATCACCTGCTGTGCCAGGCTCTCAGTGTGGCTGGACTCCAGGAATCTCCCTCAGGCAAGGCTAGAAAGTGAGGAGCTGGGAACCCTTCACACCAGAAACATTACATAAATCGAGGCTTTTATTTACATCATAGGACAAGAAAAGGATACAAAAGAAGTCTCTTGGTCAAGCACATCAAGCGAAAGCTCTAAAACTCAATACTCAGTAAGGTGTGGGCACTGATATTGAAAAAAAGAAAAAAAAAGAAAGAAAAGGTAAAAAGGTAATCTGTGACACAATCCAAATGCTTACACTCCAGGGATTGAGTAAGAGAAACCCAGGGCAGCCCTGCCACAGAGAATGACGGCTCAGGTTGAGTGACATCTGAGATTCATCTTCTGTACCCGTGAACCTGACTCCCAGGACAACCCCTAGGAGGTTTTGACTTTTGACATTAGTGAGTTAATTCTTAACCAGATTCTTAAGAATTTCAGGGCCAAACAGGCTTGAATGTACGGTTTTTCCAATTTGGGGGATGGGAGTGGGGAAGCTCTTCCTGGGACAGATTCCCAGGCAAGGAAAGGCCCCAGCAGCTCTGTCCCCTACCCTGGGCTCTGCCTCCATCTCCCCACGAGAAACTTGTGGGCTGCCTGGGGCTCGTCAGCAGCCTGCACAGGCTCTCACTCTCTTTCCCACTCACTATGCTTGGCTTTTTCTTCCACTTATGACTATCTCTCCCTTTCTCCAACACCCAGTGTTGTGGGGCAAGCTGTAATTATCTCACGTGTGTGAAAATGTGCCATATCCACTTTCATCATCTGGGCTAAAACCAGATCACTTGTTTCACTTTTCCTCACAAATATTAACAATGCAGGAATTGGGTCCCAGTGAATCTTCGACATGAAGTTGAAGCTTCAGGAAGTGAAGCAGAGTCTAGCTCCACAGCTTCAACCTTCTCCTCTACCCCTTCCTTTTTTCTGTCTGTCTTTCTGTCTGTCTTGGTAGGGCTTGATTAGAGAAGCATGAGCGTTGAGGCCTCCTTTGTATGCCTTGGGACAACAGGTAGGTGCTGTCACTGGTCCTGCAGACTGTTCAGCAACAGCCCCTTTGGATTTCTGGATATTCTGGAAACAAAGTCAGAACAGTGGCCTACTGGGGGGTTGGCAGAGGGGTATGGTAAGAGGACCTCCTTTCATCTCCCTGTTCAGCATCCGATGGCAGTCCACAGGTCATCCTTGGTGGGTGTCAGGCCCAAGACCCATGCCCACCTTACCCTTTGAATCCAGGTGAGATGAGATCAAACCAGGCAGCACAGAAGAAGACAGGATGCTACAAAGGCAGCCAATGAGCTCATGGCCTCAGGGGTTTTAAGCACCAGCCCTGGCTACCCAGCCTCCCTTGTCCCTACCTAGAGGCACAGGCCCAGCCTACCTGAACTCCCTCACACTGATGCTCCAGACCTGGCTCCTGGACAGCAAACTTCTCTCTTCCAATGTCCTCTTGCCTCATTTCCATTTCCTTCACATCTGTCTCCTACTTACTGGTTCCTTCTCTAAATCTGTATTTTCATTCCTGGGTGTTATGTCTCCCCCCATCTCTCTCAGCCCCTATGTCCCACCCAGGACAAAGCACTCTTAGTTGGACTGGCAGAGAGGAGCTGAGCCAATGGCGGGAGTGCGCTGATGGTGCTAGTAGCACCCTGACCACAGCCAGCCACACCTTTGCAGGGACTCTGGTCGCTGCAAACACGTGGCTGGGCCGAAGTGGGCAATGCCAGGCAGAAGAGCCCTCCAGAGTAGTCCCTTAGCCAACCTGTCCCAGCCACCCAGCCTGCATCTGAACTTGCCCTTCTTCCTCCTTCCTCGCCAGCTTCACAGTCATGCAGGGATGGGGTAAAATGACAAGGTTTTATCTACTTTAAACAGTCATGCCACACTGCCAACACAGTTTTCAAAGCATCAAGATATCTTTTCTTCCTTTCTTCTCCTCAAGCCTGTAATTAAACTCCTGGTGACAGAGTGGTAGAGGAAGGAGATCGGGGAGCATGACTTGAGGAATAAACAGCTCCTTAGCTGCCCTCAGAACCGAGGCAGCCAAGGAATGTGAGCGCCTGTCAGCCTACGACCTTTCAGGAGAATACAGCAAATCATCTGACTCTAGTAACATCCTCTTCCTCCCCCAAGATCACTGTTCTGCTGCACACCCACACTGCTTGCATCTGTTGAGTGTTGGCTTCCGCCCCAGTGCCTGCCACCTTCACGTGAAGGCTCTGGCTTTAGCACGCTAGCTCCACTCCCAAACCTAACCTCCGCCGAATTCTCTGCAGGATTGACCACTGGGTCCACGTGTGACTGAGAGATGTGAGAAGCTCAGCAGATGGGCAGGGATGACTCACTCATCATACTAATGTGATTCAACAAAGAAAGGCATGTTTTCTCTTCCAAATATGCTGTGTGTTCAAGTCTGAGATGCTCCAGGATTCACAAAGTTCCCACAGCAGGGGCTCCCGTTCACTCTGGGGGCACCTGCCACAGCAGCTCCCATTAGCGCACGAAGGATACCACGCTGGTGGCTACCGCAAACGGGGCGGAGTAGGCTGCAGCGAAGCCTTGCAGGCCGATGACCACGTAGCGGCATCCTTTGATGATGACCTTCCCGACATTCTAGTGTTAGGAATAAAAGAGAAAAGCAAAGGATTAGGGTAGGCAACTTTTTAATTCTGCCATCTTTCATGAAAAAAAATGAGTCACGGCGACATATATAAAGATCATTTTTCCTGATTCTCTTGTGACAAATCAGCAAGTTACCACATTCCCACATCTCTGGTGGAAGGTGCCCACCTCCAGCCTAAGAATATGTAGCGGCTCACAGCAGACATCATCACCTTGCAAAGTGCTTTCAAGCACAGCTTATTTCCAGATAATTCAAAGACCTTCTTGGAAACAGCAGTAAGGCTGCTAATTCTAAAACTAAAGCAGTTTTATTTTGTTTTTTAAACCAAAGATCACTCCTCTTCTCTGTTCCAGCTAAAAATTACTGGACCGTCAGAAGGCTGGGTTAAGTTTTCCTTCCTTCACCTTATCTGAAAGCCCATCTTCTCCTCCTTCTACCTCAATGGCATATTTCTGTCTGACCCACACATCTGTCCTTTTGTAGTCTTCTGCCATTTTCTAATTGCTATATCTATGTAAGTCCAGCATTTCCAATACCATTATAAGCTCCCTGATGGTCAGGCTTGGGCAATGCTTTCTTGGTAACCACTCCTCCTCTTCCTTTTCTACAAGGCTGGGTAGGGGACATTCAGGGAATGTCAGGTGCTAGACAGGGGACATCTAAAGGACTCAAATGTGATTGCAACAGAAAAATTACCACCACCACCACCAAACATTTATTGCACGGCTGCCCATGGTCTTCCCCTCCGTACCTCAACTTCTGTCATCACTCTTGGTGATATCAATGTCCATGCAGATAACCTGTGCCTTAGGCCACATACCTTGTCTCTCAGTCCTTTGACTTTTCCATATTACCATAACCACTCAGACTGGTTTAACTTAAAATTCCTGATCACAATCACATATCTCACCTTGACTTCCAACACCACCTGACAAACCTCCACATCTGTCCAGTAGGATGAATTTCTCTCTCCCCCGGGTACTGCCTCATACCTTTTCCCTTCTTAAGCCTCCCCACTTGCAACACACACGAACACACCCAAGTCTCCATACCTTCATGAGATGATCCCACTTCACCTTTCACAGAAAAAAAAAAAAAAAAAAAAAACCCAGACATCGTCAGGGAACACGTTCACCTTCCACCACTCTCAACAGCCCTGCCTGTGGCTGCCCCTGGCTTCTCCCGCATTGCCTGTGTTACGGTGGAGAAAGTGGTCTTCTTCCCCCAAGCCATTCCCTTGATACTTGGTGTCAGTGCCTTCTCCCACCTTGATCTTGGCTTTCCCTTCACCACCTCCATCATTCGCTTCCTCTCCATTGGATCCCATTAGCTTACATACATGCTCGGGTATCACCGTGACTCCATATCCTGCCCCAGTCTCTGCCCTCCATCGTGCCAAGCCAGCCAAAAGAGCCAACCACATATACTGCCTCCATGTCTGCGCTTCTTATTCCCTCTGACTCCGGCTCCTACCCCAACCCATGAGGGACTGTCTGGTCATGGCCATCTACAACCCCCATGCTGCCTGACCCAGTGGACGCTTTTCTGTCTTTCTCTCCCTGACCTCTCAGCAGCTTTTGACATACTTTATGAAATAATCATGTGGCGTCTTTGACTCCATATTCTTAGTTCTCCCCTACCTAAATAGGGAGCTCCTCCTCAGCTTTCTTTGCTAAATTATCCCTTCTACCAGACTTTAAAATGTTGGTGTTGTTCAATACTCAGTCCTGGGTCTTTCCTTCTCTCTTTCTTTCCCTACAGTCTCTCCTTAGATGGTCTCATCCATTTCTAATGACTACAAGTATCTCCTAGATTTGAAGAACTCTTTAGTTCAGACTCAAATATTCAATTCGTTACTTGAGATCTCCACTTTTTGAAGACCCCACAATTCCTCTGGCATGCACTCTCCCTTGTAGCCCTAAGCACATAAACCTAACGTGGATTGGCTACTGGCATGTCCCTGGTGGCCTTTGTCTATCAGACTTCAATCATTCAAAGCACAGAGAGATTACATCTGTCCACATGTATATATCTGGTTAGGGGCAGAGCTGAAGTTCAATCCCAAAGAAATCTCACTTCAGGGCCTATGACCTTAACCCCCATACTATGTTTCCCTTTTTAAATAAAGGCAATATGTAAGCTTCTAGTTAACCACTCATGCCCTGGGCTTGAATTCCAACTCTATCACTTACTTAATTTCCCATGGCCTCGGTTTCCTCACCTATACAATGGGAATATTTAGTAACCACCTCATTGGGTTGTTAAGAGGAGTAAATGAGATCATGTAAGCAAAGCACTGAGAACAGGGCCTGGCACAAACTGCAGGCAGTATAAGTGCCCCCCAATGTCAGCTATTATTACTGCTAAATAACATCTGCTTCTTTTGATTACATAGCAATTTAGGTTTGTGGTGGTGATAGATAAACCCAATATTTTTGTTGTCTGTTTGGGAAAGTTTCTTAAGACTATAATTTCCTATGACTTCTGGCTTACTTGAGCTTTTTTTTTTTTTTTTTTTTTTGAGACCGCGTTTTGCTCTTGTTGCCCAGTCTGGAGTGCAATGGCGCGATCTCAGCTCACTGCAACCTCCACCTCCCAGGTTCAAGCGATTCTCCTGCTGCAGCCTCCCAAGTAGCTGGGATTATAGGCATGCACCACCGCGCCAGGCTAATCTTTTTGTATTTTTAGTAGAGACAGGGTTCACCATGTTCGTCAGTCTGGTTTCCAGCTCCTGACCTCAGGTGATCCACCCGCCTCAGCCTCCCAAAGTGCTGGGATTACATGTGTGAGCCACCACACCCAGCTGAGCTTTCAATAGTTTAAATTACAGGGTCCCTCACAGTAACAGAAGGAGGGCAGGGACTCTGTTGTGCTCATTACTGTATCCTGAGCATGTAGAAAGAGGCTGAGTGTTTCCTTTGGTACCTCTCCCGCTAAATGAGGAGCTTTGCAAGAACCAAGTAATGTCTGTGTCTTCTCTAGACACTGCTTTCCTGGACATTACCCTGTTGATGTCTCAAAGAGACACTGGGCTGGGGCATGCGCATGTGTGGGTATGTGATGTTGCTAAGAGATACAGTTCTTTAAATGTGTGATAAGAATCACTGGGGGAATTTTACTTACATGTTTGAAACAACAAAAGAAAAACATATTCTCTGGGAACAAGCTTAACAATCAAGAGTGATCCATTATAAACAAGATCAGAATGACAATCGCCTGCATTAAACGTGACATTTTTGGTATTTGTACATCCATTTTGCTCAGCCTGTTATACTTTAAAAGCTACTTGTCACTTTGTAATTTAGGGAAAAAAAATCTACTAAAATAGTTCATTAACTGGAACACTGTTAAAAACACAGATTTGAGAAATGAAATGCAAAGAAACATAAAATATCTCTCAACCACTATTTCAGTGTCATTTAAGAGAGTGCATTTGGAATTCTTTGATCTGAGTAGAGCTTTCTACCCAACTACTCTCTCAGAGGGGAGCTGGGGTCTCGGGGAACAAAGAGGGGTCACCTGCTTTATATCTCCATGTTTGAGCCTGGTGACCCTCTCAGGTGGCTCCAAGAAAGTAGAAGCTGAAGTCACTTTTGAAGGGCAGAAAGGAGAGATCCAACCCTAACCTGACGACATCCTCTCACCTGGCCTCCTGGGTCCATTGAACTAGCGTGCAACACTCTAGAGCTTTCATGCCCACAGCTGGGCTTGTGATGGCCCCTCTACCTGAGATGACACCACTTCTCTATCCACTGAAATCTTGTTTTTTTTGTTTGTTTTAGTTAAGGCAAAATTCACATAACATAAAATTCACCATTTTAAAGTGCGTACAGCCCGGTGGCATTTAGTACATTTACATTGTTGTGCAACCACCACTTCTATCTAGTTCCAAAACATTTTCATCATCCCCAGGAAAAAACACATTACCCATTAAGCAGATGGGCTCCATTCCTCTTTCCCGCAGTCCCTGGCAACCACCAATCTGTGTTCCATCTCCATGGGTTGACCTATCCTAAGCATTCCATACAAATGGAATCATACGCACAATATGTGATCTTGCGGGTCTTGTTTACTTCACTTAGCATAATATTTTTAGAGGTTCATCATATTGTAGCATGGATTAGTACATTTCCTTCCTTTTATGGCTGAATACTATTCCATTGTATGTATATAACACACTTGTTTATGCATTCATCCATTTAGGGACATTTGGGTTGTTTCCACCTTTTGACTATTGTAAATAATAATTCCATTAAAATGTGTATATAAACATTGATTTGAGTACCTGTTTTCAATTCTTTGGTTACATCCCTAGGAGTGGAACTGCTAGATCACAGAATAAGTCTACACTGAACTTTTTAAGGAACTCCCAAATTGTTTTCCACAGCAGCTGTCCCATTTTACATTCCCACCAGCAATGTACAATGGTTCCAATTTCTCTACATTCTCGCCAACATTTGTTATTCGGTTTGTTTGGACATTTTTTGGAGTAGCCGTTCTAGTGGGGATGAAGTGTGCCTACTTCATACCACTTCACTGTTATCTGGTGAAATCTTAACTCATCCTTCTGTGCCCAGTTTTCATGTCACCGTGATTTGAAAACTTCCCTGAGTTTACAAGCTCACCGCTGAGGAGTGAACTGCCTGAGCTCTGTGCCCTGAAGCCCCCCCGGGGGCGGGGGGAGCCAGCTATGTCAGTGTCTCCCTGGGAGGCTGTGCCCTTCTCTAGGGCAGGGCTGCACTGTATTCATTTTCGCATCTCTACTGCTCAGCACAATGCCTGACGCATAATGAGTGCCCCCAAAATATCTTCAAGTCCTAGTCCTTGAGCTGAGGTTTCTGCAGTATCAGTTCACCAATGGAGAGGGACATGATGGCTTCTTTGTGCTCAACTGGGACCCAAAGCAGAGATGAATCGTCCTAGCAGGGCTCTAAGCCTGAAAGACCCAACTTTATAGTTTTACCCCTGCCTGTATTCTGCTCCAGAAGCTGCTGACATACCTTTAAAGAGGATGATAAACCTAAGCTCCCAGGCATGGAGACTGAATGGCTTCAGGTGTAAGACGGCATTGGGCAACACAGATAAATAGACAATAAATCAGATGGGGCCCGTGGCCTTTGGCCAGGACACAGTAACTTCTGTGACTTTATTCTGGGTGGCCTTGTCCAGGCCAGCAGAGCTTCCGGCAGCAGCTTCGACTGTTTCCATGCAGAGACACCTGGGAACTGCATCTGCGCTTTGATTTCCGCGAAGGAAACTGTCATTTTCTCCCATATTCATTCTTCCTAACCCCATCTCCCCGAGACAAACGGCAGAATGTTTTGAAGGCCCCAGAGTACACTGATAGTTGGCTAGACGAGAAAAATTCAACGAGCGCCTATTTATGTATTTGTTGCGCTCCCAGGCTCGGGAAATAACCTTGGGAATATTTGGGAGAGTAACCCAAACATTTCTCAACTAGTGGGATATCCTGGAGGGGATGTTACTGGAAAACAAATACACTGGGTTGCAATTTCTTTCTTTCCAACTGGGCCACCTTCTCCAAGTCACCTGCCGCGCTAACGCTTCAGTATTCCCATCTGTAATCAGGAAACTGATTCCTGATCTTACATAAAAACCACCGCGGTAGGAGCCCCTTGAGAATGTTCTTAAGAAGCCAGGAGCGCAATAGCAGGCACAGCAGGGACCACCCAGCGCAACCCCCGATTTAAGTTTCTATCACGACTCGCAACTCGCGGCTTCCCTCCGGCGAGGGAATGGGAGCGGGGGCGGAGGGGTCGCAGGTGCAGCCCGGAGAAACTGGGTGAGTCGATGGTAAGGACCCGGCTCCCGCTCCCCCGCGGGACACCACACCCGCGCCCCCCGGGCAGTGGTGGCGCAGGGCCCCTACCTTGCCGTACTTCTTCAGCTTCCTCCGGTACCTCTTCCTGGGCTGCTCGCTCGGCGCCGGCTCCTCCAGTGGCTCGTAGCGCTCGGGCAGGAGGGCGAAGTGCACCCTCCGCGCGCCCCGGGTCCCCGGGCCCCGCTCGTCCGCCGCGCTCGTCCCGCTCTCGGCCGCCGCCTCCGCCTCGTCCGCGTACTCCAGGTGCTCCAGGATGGCGGCCGCCTCCTCGTCCCCCTCGGTTCGCCCTCGCCCTCGGGGCCCGCGGCGCAGGAGGCTGCTCTCCGCCTTGCTTCGGAGCCTGGCTCCCACCGTCATGATGTCCCGGCCCCTCTGGCGAAGGTCCGAGCGCAAAGACACCAACCTTTGGTCCCCGCCCGCTCCTCCGCCCCAGCCCGGACGGGGCGGGGGATTGGGGGGGCCGCAGCGCCCCCTGGCCGTGGGGCCCGGGATAGCGTTGGCTCCGCTCCGAACTGGCCTACCAGGCGGCGGGCGCGCTCCGCCAGCCCCGCCCTTCATCCCACCTGCCGGCCAAACTGTGCAGACTACGGCGCGCACTGCACAATGAACATGCAAAACACCTTCAACTGCACTTGCTACGAAATTAATGACCCCAAATAATAGGACTCCATCTGCTCATGTTCAAATTAGCAACGATGGAAAATGATACTAGAGATCACGCTCAGTGCTAGGGAGGGCATGGCGAGATAGTCACGGTAACAGGATTCGTGGGAGTGCAAATTGGTGGCAAGGTTTTGGAGAGACGATCAGAAAATCTTTATCGTGAGTCTTAGGAAACGTCCGTATTCTAGGAAATATTCGGAAACGCAAGACAGTGTGTCCACGGTGTTCAACGGTCTGACTCAGTGAAAAAGTGGAGCAAACCAACAGGGAGGCGCAAAGGAAATTCTGGTGCAGACATGCCAGCATATGGCGCAGTCTTTAAAATCATGATTTTCAGGAATATCTCTCTGTGAGATAAGCATTATCAGTGTACTGTGAATCTCAACAAGCTGAGAGTGCCCTATTTTCTTAAGTGGGTAAATGCCTTTGAATTCTGGCTAATGTAGAATTAAGGGCCGAAAGCAGTGGCTCACGCCTGTAATCCCAGCACTTTGAGAGGCCGGGAGGATAGCTTCAGCCCAGGAGTTGGGGAACAGCCTGGGCAACATAGTGAGACCTCCATCTCTAGAAAAAAAAAAAAAAATTAGCCAGGCGTAGGGGCGCACACCTGTGATCCCAGCTATTCAGGAGGATCGCTTGGGCCTGGGAGTTTGAGACTAGCCTGGGCAACACAGGGAGACCTCATCTCTAGAAATAGAAAAACAAATACAAAAGTTTACCTGTAGTCCCAGTGAGGTAGGGAGATCGCTTGATCCTGGAAGGTGGAGATTGCAGTGAGCTATGATTGTGCCACTGCGCTCCAAAGGGGTCGACAGAGTGAGATCCCATCTCAAAAAAATACTTAGGTATAAAATAACATAGATTGTTAGATACACTGATATTTTAACATTAAAGTTTGTGATTAAATTTAAGAATAACGTGTATATGTTGGTATAAGCACATACAATGTTTACGACAATTTAGTTCACTAGGATGCAAAAGAAATTAGTTTTGTGATTCCAACTTAAAATGTGAGCCAGCATGGTGACTTTCACCTGTAATCCCAGCAACTCCACAGGCTGTGGTGGGAGGATCCCTTGAGGCTAGGAGTTCTGAGCAACGTAGGCCCCATTTCTAAAAAAGTGAAAATGTGTGGCTCGGTGCGGTGACTCACACCTGTAATCCCAACACTTTGGGAGACCAAGGCGGTGGATCACCTGAGGTCAGGAGTTCGAGACCAGCCTGGCCAATATAGTGAAACCCTGTCTCTACTAAAAATACAAAAATTAGCCAGGCATGGTGGCGTGCTCCTGTAGTCTCAGCTATTCGGCAGGCTGAGGAGGAGAATCGCTTAAACCCAAGAGGCAGAGGTTGCAGTGAGCGGAGATCGTGCCACGGCACTCCAGCCTGGGCAACAGAGTGAGACTCTGTCTCAAAAAAAAAAAAAAAAGTAATCAGCTAATTGATTTACGCTTTTATTTAACTTATGTAATAAGGTAATAAGTAATGACTTATATTTAATCTTAAAAACATAGAGTCTTTATATGTAAAATAGTATATAAAATTTATGTACAATTCAATTTCAGGTGAAATGGGTATGAAAATGAATTTAACTTACTATATTTATAAGAATTACTTAGAGTTTTGTTATAGAATTGAAGTACTTGAAAAGAAAGTCAAATATTAAATTTGTAAAAGTTGCTTGAAATGTTTAGGAGAATTAACTAAACAGTAAAAGTGCCTCCTTACAGTAATTGTAAAATTTTATCGGGTGAGTAAATAGTTTAAAACAGTATGTAATTTGAATTTAAAAGGTTAAGAGAAAGTAGATTTGTAGATTTGTAATTTTGCTAAAGCAACTATTACTTTATAAACAAACAGAGACCCTTGTAGTCCCTTTTTTTTTTGTACAAAACCGACCTCAAAGAACCCTAGGCTGCTTATCAAATGGTGATATAGTTTGGTTCTATGTCCCCACCAAATTTCATGTTGAATTGTAATCCCCACTGTTGGAGGTGGGGCCTGGTGGGAGGTGATTGGATCATGAGGGTGGCCCTTCATGAATGACTTAGCACCATCCCCTCAGTGCTATCCTAGTAATAGTGAGTGAGTTATCGCGAGATCTGGTCGTTTAAAAGTGGGTGGTGTGCACCTCCCCCTTCTCTCTCTCATCTTCCTTCTTTGGCCATGTTTGCGTGTTTCCCCTTTACTTTCTGCCATGATTGTAAGTTTCCTGAGGCCTCCCCAGAAGCAGAAGCCATCATGCTTCCTGTATAGCCAGCAGAACTGTGAGCAAATTAACCCTCTTTTCTTTATAAATTACTGAGTCTCAGGTATTTCTTTATAGCAGTGCAAGAACGGACTAATACAAATAGAGACGAAGGTAGAACATCCATGGGCCTAAAATGTGTTTTTGTCAGTACAAAATACTGTTCAAATATCACAACAACATTTAGTTTGCCTTTAAAGGCAAAACACTAGAACAATTAAAAATTGATCTCCAGATTAAGTCTCTATAACCAGTGAACAAGCAGAATTTAAGGAGATGTAATCAGAAACTGTCTTTATGTTGCATTCCCTTGTCTCTCTACAAGTTATTCTGTTCAGAGAATGAGTCTCTTGCTCCTCGGTGAAAACTTAGGTAGTCTTGTAGGGTTTTTTGTTTGTTTGTTTGTTTGAGACAGAGTTTCACTCTTGTTGCCCAGGCTGGAGTGCAATGGTGCGATCTTGGCTCACGGCAATCTCCGCCTCCCAGGTTCAAGTGATACTCCTGCCTCAGCCTCCCGAGTAGCTGGGATTAGAGGCATGCGCCACCATGCCTGGCTAATTTTATATTTTCTAGTAGATACGGGGTTTCTCCATGTTGGTCAGGCTGGTCTCGAACTCCTGACCTCAAGTGATCCACCCGCCTAGGCCTCCCAAAGTGCTGGGATTACAGGCGTGAGCCACCACGCCCAGCAGTCCTGTAGTTTTTCTATTCACACAGAAGTAATAAGTCCCAACCTCTGTCTCAAAAAAAAAAATAAAATAAAAATAAACAAATAAATAACTAAACATAATCTTCATCTATATAATCCTAAATCGTATAATGTTCAATTCCATGTAATACTCAGAACCTTGAACTTGATTTAAAGTAAATCTTCTCTCCTCAGGCAGCACCTGATGTGGGTGTGTACCTGTGTGCAGTGGTGGTGAGAGAGTAGGGACTGGGGAGAAACAACAATTTCTCTTCTGCTTCCCCCACCTAGTGTTTCTCAGTCTCCCAAGCTTGTAAACTGGTTTCTGACTCTTCCAGGGCCAAAACAGAGAAGAGTGCAGAAAACATCTTCCATGGCTAGTATTGCCCAAGGTGTTGTCTCACCCACAAGGCCTACCAGGTGTTTGAAGCTGGTTGTCCATAGTTTTTTACAGGCCCTCACTGGAAACATTCTACTCTACTGGTTATGACCCAGCAAATACCCTTGAATCCCTGATCACCTATGCCCTTCTCAATCTCCAAGGGTCCTGTGGTTCCATGCCAATGCTATGGTCTGAATGTCTGTGTCCCCCCTTCAACCCCCAAATTCATGTGTTAAATTTCTAACCCCAAGTTGATGGTATTGGGCATGGGAGGCCTCTGGGAGGTGATTAGGTCATGAAATGTAGCCCTCATGGGACTAATGTCCTTATAAAAAGAGGCCCAAGAGAGAAACCCCTCACCCCTTCTGCCTTATGAGGACGCAGCAAGAGATAGAATCAGCTGGCACCTTGATCTTGGACTTGCCAACCTCCAGAACTCTGAGAAGTAAGTTTCTGTTGTTTACAAGTTACCCAGTTTATGATGTTTTTTATAGTGGCCTGAACGGACTATGACAACTGGTTTTCCTATCCTGAGCCTTTAAGATGGCCATGTGGATACAGGATTTGATATACGGACTTCAGTGCTTCCACATTTCACAAAGGGCTAGAATAGCAAGCTCTAGGCTGGGCCATCTCCAGTGTAACTCCTAGAATGACCACTGAGCTGTTACTTGTGCTGTAGTGAGGAAGCTGGGCACCAGGAGGCTGCCACTGGACCTGGTGGCTGTAAGGACATTAGCACCTCAGCTGCCACCTAGCAAGCTCCCAAATCCCGACAGTTAGCTACAGTCCCAGCCTTGCCTGTGTGTTAGTCAGCTAGAGCTGCCATAACAAAATACTGCAGTCTGGTGGCTTAAACAACAGAAATTTATTTTTCAGAATTCTGGAGGCTGGAAGTCTGAGTACAAGGTGTCCGTGGGTTTGGTTTCTCCTCAGGCCTCTCTCTCTGGCTTGCAGATGGCCACCTTCTTTCTGTCCTCACATCACCTTTGTTCTGTGCATGCACATCCCTGGTCCTTCCTCTTTTTAGAAGGACACCCGTCTTATTGGATTAGAGCCCCACCCTTATTACCTCATTCAACCTTTTTTTAAAAAATTTTTTAATTTGAGACAGGGTCTGGAGTGCAGTGGTGTGATCTCAGCTCACTGCAGCCTCGGTCTCCTGGGCTCAAGCCATCCTCCCACCTCAGCCTCCCAAGCAGCTGGGACTACAGGCCTGAGCCACCATGCCCAGCTAATTTTTTTGTAGATTTTATAGAGACTGGGTTTCACTATGTTGCCCAGGCTTGTCTTGAACTGGGCTCAAGCAATTCACTGCCTTGGCCTCCCAAAGTGCTGGGATTACAAGTGTGAACCACCACACCCAGGCTCATTCAACCTTCACGACCTCTTTCAAGGCCCTATCTTCAAATACAATCACATCTAAGGTACTGGAGGTTAGAGTTTCAACCTATGAATTGGGAGGTTTGGGGCACAATTTAATCCATAACAGACTGCTGGTCTGCACTGGCAACACACAGGCACCCCCTCCCCTTTCTCTAAATACCCATGAGACTGAGGACCAGACGCTGGCATTCTGGCACAAAAAATCCCAACATCTGCAGGACTGCCCTTGTCAGCAGAAGCAGCATAAACAGTTGAAGCATGGCTTCCACCCTCTCTGCCTTCCAAAACTCTCGGGAGTGCACCTGATTAGTCTAAGCTAACTTGCTCAATTTCCTCCAGTACCCGAGGGACCCTGGAACATGATTTCACTTCCTAGACTCTGCACGCTGGAAGGAGGGTGAGAAGAATGCTGAGTGACAACCCACAACATTCACCTCTTGTAGGAATCTTTCTTTACTGATAAGAATTAGAAACTTGTTCTCCAAAGGAGCAAGTACATTGGAGAGCTAAGATTCATGAAAACACATCGTCAGTTATTGAGTTCAAAAATGTGTAGAGACCTCAGAAGCTTAAAAATAATTGCTTATTTGGAATGACTTGCATAGAAACAGCTATACATATTTAATTGAAAACCAAGTTTCCATTTGTAGACATAAGGACCTTATGTTTAACTCTTTACTCTTTCATTTTGTAATAAATGTGTGAATTTAGAGTAAGAGAATGTGGATAGACCTGAGACTGTATGAATTAAAGTTGTTTAAAACAATTAATTTATTTTTACAAGATAGATTTAGACTCAGGAAGA